>NC_000023.11:99962542-100587542 GCF_000001405.40 Homo sapiens
CAAAAACAGAATAGGCCCAGAACAAAAAATTATATTTATAAAAAATAACATTTTTAGCTTTGATAACAAATGAAAGTTCGGTTTTCAAGGGCCAAAGCAGCTTGTTTACTCAAAGAAAACAACCCAGACTTATGAAGAACATGTGTCTTGAATTCTCCAGGACTTTTCTTATTTGATGTAATCTAAGGAAGAAATTTTATTTAATAAAAATGGCCAGGTTTTGCAGCCAGACATATCTGGGTTTAAATTCTGATTCTACTACAAATTAGCCACATAAACTTGGATAAGTTACAAGACCTCTAGAAGGCTCAATTTCTTTATCTGTAAAATGAATATAATAATACTTTTCATACAGTTTGTTGTGAGGATTAAATTATGTAATGTTAGGAAAGTAGTTGTCATAGAGTAGGCATCCAATAAATAACCAGTATTATAATTTTTGCTAAGCTATGTTCCTCTTTTTCTTGAGTCAGAAGCATGATACTAATACAGGAAATATCTCTAATTTATTCTCAGTTTGTTAAAGTATTTTGTATAACTCAAAGAGTAAACTATAGATGGAAGAAGTGCTCTTTGAATTTACATTTATAGCACAACAGTGAACTGCTATGGACAGTATCAGTAGGTTATTTACAATGGTTGTTACTGATGATGTTAAAGACACTGGCAAGACTCCAAAATCACTGATATTGGTTTAATAAAACTAAGATATATCATAAAAAAACTAAGAGAAAGTTTGATATTGATGAGAAACAATGTGAAGTGCTGGGAAAAATGTGTTTCAGAGTCTTGCAGATGTTCTTAGGTCAAATATGATTTCTCTGGAAATACGTAGGATTATTTTCAATTGTTTTAGAAGGCATAAAACACAGAGTAAAAGAGCAGTGGGATTTTTTTCCTGTTTTGTTTTTAGGAATAAACAATAAAATCTCATCTCATCTAATGTGTGTATGTGATAATTTTCATAAGTTTTTAATTCTGCAGATGCAATGGGAATTATTTTGATATTGGTGCTGTTAAAATTCCTGATTGCCTTTTTCAAACTCCAAAACCTGTCAATAATTGGTATGTCTGCTATGGAGAACTCCTACACAATCACCTTCACTGGAAAAACAAGTTGATTTTCTATTGAGACTACCGCTCATTTTGAACATGTTTAGATTCCTTTCTTTGCTTTGAAGGAATCTAGCTATGTAGACTCAAAGAATGGTTTAAAAAAGTAGGCACAATATTACATGTGGAATCAATAAAGCTATAAGAAGCCCCAAGCATTCACTTTTTCTTAAATAAATTGAAGTATACATACTAAGGATATTAGTGTTCCTCAACAAAGTTTCTTTATTGTATCACATCCGTAAATGAAAAAGTGGTTGCTGAAAATATAATCAGTGAGATATTTGCTTTAAAAAGTCAAAATAAATGTCCAGAATATTATAATGGGAACAGAGTTAAAATCCTCAGAAGGTGATTTCAAAACATTTGCATTTTATTGCAGAGTAGCCACCTACGTCTGTATGGTCCCATTCCACTGTCATCCTGATCCAGCTTTGAGAAACCTTTGTAACACAATTAACAAACTGGAAACCATCGTAAAAAATTCAGAATGTCAAAGAGGAATTGGGAAAATTTCCCCTGAAATGGAACAGACTGATACATCTTCTGCCGTCAACAATAAAAGAAAGTGATTCAAAAGGTGGAGAACATTTAGTGGTATGAAAGAACCAGAAATGAAAACTAGTCAGAAATTGCTTTCATCTAACCTATCACTGCACTAGTAAACATCTTACGCCTTTAGAGAGATAAAGTGGGCCACATGACAATGCTTATTGGATCTACAAACTGATAGCCATAATGGGAGTGCAATATAATTTTAAAAGGCACGGGTTTGAAATTAAATAGGCACATGTTTCCAATAGCAAAGACTTGGAACCAACCCAAATGTCCAACAGTGATAGACTAGATTAAGAAAATGTGGCACATATGCACCATGGAATACTATGCGGCCATAAAAAATGATGAGTTCATGTCCTTTGTAGGGACATGGGTGCAGCTGGAAGCCATCATTCTCAGCAAACTATTGCAAGGACAAAAAAACAAACACCGCATGTTCTCACTCACAGGTGAGAATTGAAGAATGAGAACACATGGACACAGGAAGGGGAACATCACACACCAGGGCCTGTTGTAGGGTAGGGGGAGGTGGGAGGGATAGCATTAGGAGATATACCTAATGTAAATGATGAGTTAATGGGTGCAGCACACCAACATGGCACATGTATACATATGTAACAAACCTGCACGTTGTGCACATGTACCCTAAAACTTAGAGTATAATAAAAAAATTAAAAATAAATAAATAAATAGGCATGTGTTTCTATGTCTATTTTTCTGCTTACTAGCTTTGTTATCATGGAAATAACACTCAACCTGAGTTTATTATACATCCATAGAGATAATAATACTTAATTCGCGGGACTGTTGTGAGAATCAAGAAAAACGGCATTTAAGGTACCTGAAAACATACAAGACATATATTATTAAGTAATGGAACAGGGAGGGAACTCTAGGTCTGCCTGACTCCAAAATTCGCCCTTTTCACCACCTTATTACATTGACAATCAAGTATATTTTTGCATCAAAATTTAGTTAAGTTTATATTCTTATTCTTATGAATGATAATTTTGTAGTTTATATTACCTTTTCAAATTATATAAAGTGGTTTACAGATGCATCATGGAAAAAGGCAATCAACACTGAGCATCTTCCAGGTAGGATGCTAAACCCTTTATATTTACATTTAATTTTCTCAAACTTATAAGATAAGTAGGTATTAACCCACTTTTACAGTCTAGGAAACTAAGACTCAAATTAATTTTCCCAAGTCTTTACAACTCTTGATCTTAGCCAAAAGGTCAAGAAACAATACCCAAGTCTTTAAGATTGGAAGGGAACAGATCTAAGATTCACCTTCAAGTCAATCTGATTTTGAAGCCTGGTTTCTTCAGTACATACCCCTGCTCAGTGCAGCCCATATTTCTTTGTTCACCCAGAATAAGATACAGAAAAATAGCATGTGTCTTTTTTTTTTTTTTTTTTTTTTTTTTTTTGAGACAGAGTTTCACTCTTGTTGCCCAGGCTGGAGTGCAATGGTGCTATCTCAGCTCCCTGTTCCACAACCTCCACCTCCCGGGTTCAGGCAATTCTCCTGCCTCAGCCTCACGAGTAGCTGGGATTACAGGCATGCGCCACCAAGCACAGCTAATTTTGTATTTTTTAGTAGAGACAGGGTTTCTCCATGTTGGTCAGGCTGGTCTCGAACTCCCGACCTCAGACGATTTGCCCTCCTCGGCCTCCCAAAGTGCCGGGATTATAAGCATGAGCCACCGCACCCAGGCGCATGTGTCTTAAACGAATAAAAACCTGTTTGTATATTTTATAAGTAATTATATAAAGTGAAAAATTACAAAAATGCATCTGAACAGTATCTGAGGAACAGAGCCCGTTGATAAGATCTGAGTATAATCCACTCTGAATTGCCTTGATGTATCACACCTGATTTCTTTGAGAAGTGTAGTTTTCCCATCCTCACTTTTCTTTTAGTTTTCTGTAAGATGATAATGTTAACTAATAAAATACCAATGTCATGAGGGTGAAGAAACGTATGTATAATTTTTGTGGGTATATAATAGTTGTATATATTTATGGGGTGAATGTTGGCCTGTAGTTTTCTGTTTTTGTGATGTGTCATTGTCTGGTTTTGGTATCAGGGTAATACTGGCCTTGTAGAATGAGTTTGGAAGTAGTCCCTCCTCCTCTATTTTTTGGAATAGTTTGAGTAAGATTGGTATGAATTTTTCTTAAAATATTTGGTAGAATTCAGCAGTGAAGCCATTGAGTCATGGGCAATTCTTTACTTGGAGACTTTTTATTATGGCTTCAATGTCATTACTTGTTATTTGTTCAGGTTTTGGATTTATTCATGTTTAAATATCAGCAGGTTCTATGGGTCTAGGAATTTATTTCTTCCCTGTTTTCCAATTTATTGGCATGTAATTGTTCATAGTAGCCTCTAACAATCCTATGAATTTCTGCAGTATTGGTTATAATGTCTCCATTTTAATCCCTAATTTTATTCATTTGGGTCTTCTCTCGTTTTTCGTTAGTTATTCTGGCTAAAGGTTTGTCAATACTATTTATATTTTCAGAAAACCAACTTTTTGTTTCATTGATCGTTTATGTTGTTTTCTGTGTTTCAATTTCATTTATTTCTCCTCTGATTTTACTATTTCTTTTCTTCTACTAATTTTGGGTTTGGTTTGCTCTTGATTTTCTGGTTCTATAAAATGCATCATTAAGTTGTTTATTTGAAATTTTTCTACTTTTTTGATGTAGGCACTATAAACTTTCCTCTTAGTACTGCATTTGCTGTATCCAGTCGGTTTTAGTACATTATGTTTATATTATCATTTGTTTCAAAAAATTTTTTAAATTCCTTCTTAATTTCTTCATTGATCCACTGGTCATTCAGAAGACTGTTGTTTAATTAACAGGTGTTTCTATAGTTTCCGAAATTCCTCGTTATTGATTTCTAATTTGATTCCATTGCAGTCAGAGAAGATAATTGACGTAACTTCAATTATTTTGAATTTCTTAAGGCTTCTTTTATGACCTATCATATGATCTATCCTTGAGAATGATCTATGTGCTGAGCAAAACAATGTGTATTCTGCAACCATTGGAAGAAATATTCTTTAAATATTTTTTAGATCCATTTGGTCTATAGTACATATGAAGACTGATGTTTCTTTGTTGATTTTCTGACTGGAAGACCCATCTAATGCTGAAACTGAGGTGTTGAAGTCTCCAGCTATCATTGTATTGGAATCTATCTCTCTCTTTAGCTCTAATAATATTTGCTTTATATATCTGAGTGTTCCAGTGTTGGGTGCATATATATTTAAAATTGTTATATTCTCTTGCTGAATTGAACTCTTTATCATTATATAGTGACCTTCTTTTTCTTGTCTTATTGTTTTTGTCTTGAAATCTATTTTGCCTGATATATGTATAGCTACTCCTGCTCTTTTTTGTGCGTTTCCTTTGGCATAAAGTATCTTTTTTCATCCCTTTGTTTTTAGTCTATGTGTGCCTTTATAGGTGAAGTATGTTTTTTGTAGGAAGCAAATCAATGGGTCTTGTTTATTCCTCTATTCAGCCACTCCTTGTCTTTTGATTGGAGAGTTTAGTCCACTTACATTCAATGTTATTATTGATAACTAAGGATTTACTCCTGCCATTTTGTTATTTGTTATCTGGTCATTTTGTGGTCTTCTCTTCCTTCTTTCTTTCCTTCCTGCCTTCCTTTAGTAAAGGTGATTTTCTCTGGTCATATGATGTAGTTTCTTGATTTTTATTTTCTGTGTATACGTTGTATGATTTTTTGTTTGAGGTTACCACGAGACTTGCAAATACTATCTTATAACCCATTATTATTAGGGAATAACATAACACTGTTTGCATGAACAAACAAGCAAAGAAGGCTACCTCTAGGTATTTAATAATTAAACTGTAACATTTCTTGTAGGGCAGGTCTGGTGTTGATGAAAAAGAAAAATGATAAAAACTCTATGCCTTAACTTTATTCCCCCACTTTTTACATTTTGTTGTTCCTATGTATATCTCATTGTACTGTCTATTTCTTGAAAAATTGATGTAGTTGTTATTTTTGCTTGGCTCATCATTTAGATTTTCTTCCTATAATAAGAGTAGTTTGCACACCACAGTTACAGTGTTATAATCTGTGTTTTTCTGTGTACTTATTATTTACCAGTGAGTTTTGTCCATTCAGATGATTACTTATTACTCATTAATGTCCTTTTCATTATGATTAAAGTATTTCCTTTAGCATTTCTTGTAACAGGTCCGGTGTTGATAAAATCCCTCAACTTTTGTTTTCTGGGAAAGTTTTTATTTCTTCTTCATGTTTGAAGGATATTTTCACCACGTATACTATTCTAGGGTAAAATGATTTTTTTTTTTTTTTTTACCTTCGGTACTTTAAATATGTCATGCCTCTCTCTCTCCTGGCCTTTAAGATTTCCACTGAGAAGTCTGCTGCCAGACATATTGGAGCTAGATTGTATGTTATTTGTTTATTTTCTCCTGCTGCTTTTCGGATACTTTCTTCATTCTGGACATTTGGAAGTTTGATGATTAAATGTTTTGAGATAGTGTTAGTTGGGTTAAATCTACTTGGTGTTCTATAATTTTCTTGTACTTGGATATTGATATCTTTCTCTCAGTTCAGGAAATTCTCTGTTATTATCTATTGAATAAGCTTTCTACCCCTATCTCTCTCTCTACTTCCTCTTTAAGGTTAGTAACTCTTAAAGTTGCCCATTTGAGGTTACTTTCTAGATCTTCTAAGTGTTCTTCATTCTTTTTTGTTCTTTTTTCTTTTGTATCCTCTGACTGTATTTTTAAATGGCTTGTCTTCATGCTTACTAATTATTTCTTCTGCTTGATCAATTCTGCTCTTAAGAGACTCTGCTGCATTTCTCAGCATGTCAATTGCATTATTCAACTCCAGAATTTCTGCTTGATTCTTTTTAATTATTTCAATCTTTTGGTCAAATTTATATGATAGGATTCTTAATTCCTTCTCTGTGTTATCTTGAATTTTTTTTAGTTTCCTCAAAACAGCTAATTTGAATACTCTCTGAAAGGTTATAAATCTGTGCTTCTCCAGGATTAATTAGTCCATGTTGCCTTATTTCGTTCATTTGGTGAGGTTATGCTTTATTGTATGGTCTTGATGCTTGTGGATGTTCATTGGTGTCTGGATATTGAAGAGTTGGGTATTTATTGTGGTCTTTGCATTCTGGACTTGCTTGTGTCCATCCATTTTGGGAAAAGTTTCCAGGTAGTTGAATGGACTTGGGTGTTGTGATCTAAGTTTTTGGTCATTGCAGTTGTATCTGCATTAAATGTGGGCACCCCAAACTCAGGAATGCTGTGGCTCTTGGTGGTCTTGAATAAGATCCAGAAGAACTCTCTGAATTACAAGGCAGACACTCTTGTTCTCTTCCCTAAATTCCTCCTAAACAAACAGAGTCTCTCTGTGTGTGTGTGTGTGTGTGTGTGTGTGTGTGTGTGTGTGTGTGAGTGTGTGTGCTGGGCTGCCTGGAACTGTGGCAGGGGTGACACACGTGTCCCTGTGGCCACCAATCTTGGGACTGTGCTGGGTCAGTCTTGAAGCCAGCATAGTAGTGGGTTGTGCTCAAGGCCCACGATAACCGCTGCCTGGCTACCTATGTTCACTCAAGGCCCTAAGGCTCTATAATCAGTAAGTGATGAAACCAGACAGACTTGTGTCCTTCCATTTAGGACAGCGAGTTTTCCCTTGTCCCAGGCGGGTCCAGGGATGCTGTCAGAGAGCCACAGCCTAGAGTCAGAAACTTTAGGAATCTATCTAGTGCTCTATTCTACTGTGGCTGAGTTGGCACCCAAGCAACAAGACAAAGTCCTTCCCACTCTTACCTCTCCTTTCCACAAGTGGAGGAGTTTCTCCCCGTGGCCTTCACCAACTCAAGCCCATGGTAAGTACTGCCTGGCTACCACTGATGTTTATTGAAGTCCCAAGGGCTCCTCAGTCAGATTGTGGTGAATGCTGCCAGATCTGAGACTCCCCTTCAGGGTAATGGGCTCTCCTCTGGCCAAGGGCAAGTCCAGAAATGTTGCCCAAGAGCCAAAGCCCGTAATCAGGGACACCAAGAAACTGTTTGGTGCTCTGCCTTACTGTGGCCAAGCTGGTACCTAAGCTGCAGGACAAAACCTCCTTATTCTTCCCTTCTCCTTTTGTTAAGCAAAAGGAGTACCTCCCCATAGCTACCATAGCTGGGAATGTGCTGGGTCATTCCTGAAGTGTCACCCAAGACCCATGGTGAGTACTTCATGGGTACCATGCTGATTATACAGGGCCCAAGGGCTCTTTAGTCTGCAGGTGATGAATCCTTCCAGGACTGGGTCTTTCCCTTCAAAACAACGGGTTCTCTTCTGGCCCAGGATGTGTCTAGAACTGTCCAGAAGCTAGGTCCTGGAATGGCAGCCTCAGTACTCTGATGCCCTATTCTACTGTGGCTGAGTTGATATCCAGGTTCCAAGACAAAGTCCTCTTTACTTTTCCCTATCCTCTCCTCAAGCAAAAGAAAGGAGTCTTTCCTAGAGCTGCACTGCCTAGGGTCAGGGGAGGGGTAGCACCAGCACTCCTTTGGTGGCCCCAGCTGGCATCTCACTATGTTGCATGCCCCACTAGTCCATTGGTTCTGAGCCCAGCACAGCCCTAGGACTTACCAGGAGTTGCAGTCCTTGTGTCCTAGACTGTCTTTCAAGTTTATATAGGACCTCAAAGTACTTTAGCTCACAGAGGCAAGGCTTGAGAGAACTCAGATTCTGACCACTGGGAATAGGGGATTCCCCTCTGGCTAGGGCTGGTGTAGATGTTTCCTTCATGGGCACTGGCTGACTTCTGCCTGTGTTACTTTCTGCTGTGACATGACAGCACAGAGTTCCAATGCAAATCCCCACAATAATTGTGCTCTCCCTCCCCCAAGAACACAGAATCTCTCTCCATGCTGCATTGCCACTGCTGTGGGGATGGGGGAGGGATGGCATCAGTGATTTAAGATTGTCTTTCCTACACTCTTCAGTGCCTCTTTCAGTGGTGTGAATTTAAAACCTGGATTTTTGGTTCTTATGACGGTACATTTTTGTGTGGATAGTTGTACAGTTTGGTGCTCCTGCAGAGAAGATGATTGGTGGAGGCTCTATTTGGCCATCTTGCCATCAAGGATTCTTCTCTAAGATTCATGAGACTTAAAAGCAACGTTTCACAAAGGTCTCATTGGGTCTCTGCTCAAATCTGCCTTGATAACTGTGTAAAATATCACCACCACTGGTTCTTCCTAACACTCTTACCAAGCTTTATTTTTCTCTATAGCACTTAAGACCTGGTGTAGCATATATTTAATTGTATTTTTATTCATTATCTGCTTCTCCTTATTAGAACGTAAACTCCACGACAGCATGCACTATGGTGGTTTTCTTCACTTCTCTATCCTCTCAGTGCCTAGCAGAGTGGACAATCATTATTTTTAAAAATTATTTGTTGAATCAATAAATATAATAGGCAACCAATAAATGTCATTTTCATTCTCTTCCCCTTCTTTTATGTTAGATGAGAAGTTTTATTATCTTTAAATTATTTGAAATAGCCTTATCAAGAGAAAATTCAGTTGTTATCTATGAACACTTAAATAAACTGGTCAGTTAACTGAAATAACTAATAAGTTATATGAAACAACTGTTCAATTCATAAAATTGAATTTCATATCTTCATCCCTTTGTTCATGGTTTTTATGAATTGTGCCCAAATGATTTGGATCATTGCTAAGGACCAATAACTGCTGGGTGGTTCCAATTCTCCCTTTCTAAATGGGGGTTTTTGTGGCAAATATCCTGTTTCTTCTCTACAGTTGTATACCGGGTGGGTGAATGAGAGGGCAGATAACTTGTCTGTTAGTTTATAGGTGACCACAAGACAATGAATTATATCTGAATGTGATAAAAGGGTGTAGCATCAGATATCTTGAACTTTGAGATGAACACAGTAACCTAGATAGGACTCTGGGTCCTCTCTCGGGAAGAAGTGAAATGTGTTCTATGCATAGAAAGAAGAATGAGCACTGTTATTTGGGTAGTCAATAAGGTAGAGTGTCTCAGAAGTTACAACTTGTTTTCTGATCTAGTACCTACTTTTTTCATAATAACAAACTTTTCAGCTGTGTTAAATATTACATTCTGAACTGTCCTTAAAGCTAGACGTAGCTATGGGTCACAGTTATATGCAATGCAACATAAGCAGAAATATCCTATAGCAGCTTCCAGGAGTCTTCCTCAATTAACAACTTTCCCTTCTCTATTTCAAATCTTCCTCCGTCCTTCTGCTTAGAATACAGATGCCACAATCTTGCAACATAAAATCAAGGAAGACGTAGTCGATATGACATAATGATAGATTAGAAGGAACTTGGGTCTCAAATGCATATCATGGACCAGAGGTGGCCAATTCTGCACTGCTTATAATTGAAACATTTATACGAAAGATAAATAAACTTCTATTTCCATAAAGCCACTGCCATTTCAGGTTTTATGTTCCTCACAACTGAACCTAATGCTAACTGATAGATATTATAAATATCTGGTTATGGCAACTGTATTAGTTTGCTAGGGCTGCCATAAGCAAAACACTACAGACCAGTTGTCTTAAACAGAAATTTGTTTTCTCACAGTTATAGAGGCTGGAAGTTCAAGATCAAGGAGTCAGCAGGTTTGTTTTCTTCCTAAGCCTCTCTCCTTGGCCTTGGTCATCTTCTCAGTGTATCCTCACATGGTCTTTTCTCTATGCCTATGCATCCCTGGTGTCTCTTTGTGTGCCCAAATGTTTTCTACTTCTAAGGATGCCAGTCAGATTGGATTAGGGCCCACTTTAACAGCTTCATTTTAATTTAATCACCTCTTGAAAGCCCAATCTCCAAATATGTTCACATTCTGAGGTACTGAATGTTAGGATTTCACCATGTGAATTTTGAGAGGACACAATTCAGCCCATAACAGTAACTGACTTGTGTGCAAGATGATGATTTCTGTGAAGGCAGGAGTTGCATTTTCTGCACTCATATTGGCAAGTGGTTAGCACATAGCCAGGCAGAGAATAGGTACTTGCTGGACATCAACTGCTTTTGAGAATTGAATCAATTTTCCTGAATGTTTAGACTGAAATGACTGGCCAGTTTAACTAAATGGCCACATTCAGTGCAAACAAAGACACAGGCTTAAAATTCCATTTCTAAAACAATAGATTGGGATACTTCAGAATATCTGAACCAATATAAAATAATGGAAGGCAACACTGAAAGAAGCCAAACCCTAGGGAATTAATAATTAAGCATTTGCAGAAACTTAAAATATAGATTGTATTTACTAAAGAGAATATAATGGGATTCAATATAAAGTACTGCTATCATGGTGGAATCAGATGTTGAGTATATCTCAGCTGAGCTTCCTATGAAGCCGTCCTTCTCTGCCTCAGTCATCCCACATAACCTATTCCAGAAGCCATGTGCATTGTAGCCAGAGTAAGTGGTATGTTGGAGCTGCCTACGACTAGGCCACAAGAGCTGATTGTTATATTTTCAAGTATTTTTCAAGCTAACAGTTAAACCACTGGTAGCTGAAAATAAGCCATGGTGGGAATGTTTCTACCATGGAAACTGGCAAATGTTACAAATCAGAGTTTGTTGTCAGGGAGGCAGTTTTTAAACATTTATCAGCACATCATTGGCCATAGTCCAGATGAGCTCATTCAATGCAAAGCTTCTTCACATAGCAAATAGTTGTAGAGCAAACCCATTGAATGAGACAGATAAATAGAAATGGTGAGAAGAGTGGTGATTCAGGAGAAGGCTTTTCCCAGTCTCAGCCTTCACTCCCAAAAGGTTTATGGCAAGCTGTCTTAGCTCAGCAAAGGGTACTTAAGTTTGCTTTTATCGAATCTCATTAAACTATTTTCAAACTCTCCTCCCTCAAATCTCTATCACCACATGTTCTATCTAAGAAAATGATCCTGTTTTTCTGCAAATTTACCTGGTCTATTTTCTTTGACTCTAAGGGTGGAAATATATATCATTTATTATCATTACTATTGACCTTATAGTATTATCTGTCCAACACTTACTGTTGAACAAGATGAAGTATATTCTTTTGTACTTTCTCATTAAGCAGTTCTATAACATGTTTATACTTTCAAAGTGTCACCAAACCACTATTTTGATTATTTTTAGAACAGTTATAGGAATTGAGGAGTAAGGAAGTGGCATTATACTGTTACAAAACACCAAACTCCAGAAAGTTCAGATGTTTTCTTTAACTCAGGCGCTAATCTGGGAGCTTATAGTGGATCACAGAATCTCTAAATCAATCTTTGTAGAATATTAGTACCAGTGCCCCCTCTTTACTTCCTATGTGCCTCTCTGATGTTGGCTCCTGTAATGCAAGTTCTTGTTCTTACCTCCCTCTCAACCCCCAACAGGCTTTGAAAGGATCAAAGTTTATTATTACCCATAACAACTGCACCCATTTCTATGTATTAGGCACCATTCAAGGTAATGTCGCAGATAATTTTCAGTGACCCAAATAGGTAGGCACAATTATGCCTACTTTTCAGATGAGGAAACCGAGGCCTAGACACGTTAAATAACTTACTGAAGTAAGTGGTAAAGCCAAAAAAACAATAATTTAAAAGAATTTTAAAAGTGGCTGAATTTAAATTTCATGGTTAATATAAAATGTAGTTGTCTGTCCATGAACTCACATATATGTTATCTCATTTAATATTCACTGTAGAATATGAGGCTCTTACTACCCTCTTTTTAGGGTTGTGGAATCAAGATCTAAGAAATTTCAGTCATTTGTTTGGGGTCATACAACCAGTAAGTTAACAGAGTTCAGATTCAAACCAAGATCTCCTGATTTCCCAACCAGGGTCCTTCTCACT
The DNA here is from genome assembly GCF_000001405.40 of Homo sapiens. Taxonomy (NCBI): domain Eukaryota; kingdom Metazoa; phylum Chordata; class Mammalia; order Primates; family Hominidae; genus Homo; species Homo sapiens. The sequence goes on from NC_000023.11 coordinate 99,975,156, forward strand.
CTAACACTAACACAGAGACCTCGAACATTACCAGCTTGTTACCTGCTGTTTTTCTTTCTACTATACAGACTGCTTAATGACTACATTTTTTTTCTCTCTCTCTCTCTTTTTTTTACTTCACCCTTTCTTGTTCCTATCCAGTATTAGGTATCATCTTTGCATCATTTGTGTTGGAGGCACTGATTTACTGGTCATGTATGATACTTGGCTTCTCTGACTATTACATGTTAATAAAACAAATAGAAAAAATGGGATACATATGTCTCACAGACTCATTGGAACAGTGACATAGTACATTAAGAATTAAAAGAACTTTTGTTAATTTTATTGAAATTTATTAGGCTCCAACTATGTACCAAGCAATGTTTTGAGTACAAGAATACAATAGTGAACATGTCTGGCATAAGCCCTGCCTCATAAAGCTTACATTCTGGTGGAAGTGAGAGGGAGGACAAATAAAGTACATAGAAAGTTAATAAAGTTATTTAAAATTGTGATAAGTACCTTGAAATAAGCAAACAAGGATAAAATATAAAGAATGGCAGAAAGGAATGGGACCTACTTTATATTGATCAGTAAAGAACTCTCTAACAATGATTTAAGCACATCCTACTGTTAAGAAACATATATGTGAGTTGTCCATATACATATGTCATGAGGAAGAATGATATTTTGTTCAGAAGCTTGAAGTCTTAAACATTGGAAACTATGCTTAACAGAAAACAAAAAAAATTACTTTTATCAAGATGTGATACATAAAATAATATTTAATAAGAATATGTATATGAAATACATATGCAGTACATATATATGTACACATATATGGTTTTTCTCTTCTAAATAGACAATAGTTAAACCTGCAGTAAGAGTAATTAAGCCATATCTTAGAAACATCAAGATACTATACATTTAGGAAAAACAATAATACAATTAGAGCGTGGTAGGCTTTTTGTGATACTCATTCAGAAACTGTGATTTTCAATTAATTTCAACAATGTCCAAATTAATTCATTTTTCTTTAAGTATTACCCAGGAGATGTTATTCAAATATAAGAAAACAGAAAGATGTTGCTTATCAAATCCAAACAAATTTGAGTTGATTTTTTAAATGTTAAAAGGTTATTTTGTCTCTATAATTTTTTACCAAAAGAAATTGGGAAAGACTGTAATTATTTCTACTCCTAAAAAAATCCCCAAATCTGAAGACAGTCATTTTCTAGTTTGTTTTTTAGAAGTCAAAATTGGGCTATGGATAGCTCAGAGTCATCTTTTTTTTCTTTTACAATGAAATGTAGTGGTGGCATTTATTATTAGAAATGTTTTATTCGACATGGAATCAACTCAGGCGTCCATCAATGGTAGACTGGATAAACAAAACTTTGTATTTATATACCATGGAATAGTACATAACAATAAAACGAATGAAATCATGTCCTTTGCAGCAACATAGATGGAGCTGGAGACCATTATCCTAAGCAAATTAACGCAGGAACAGAAAAACAAATACCTCATGTTCTCAATTATGGTGGGAGCTAAGCTTTGAGCATGTATGGATATACATAAATATGGAAACAATAGACACTGTGGACTACTAGAAGGTGGGGGGAGGGGTAGGCTAAAAAAAACTACCTATTGTGTTCTATGCTTACTACCAGGGTTACAGGATCCATACTCCAAACCCAGCATCACAAAATATTCCCATGTACCCCCGTATCTAAAATAAAAATTGGAAAAATAAAGAGAAATATCTTATTGGAATCAGGGCTTAGTGGCTAGTTCAAGTTAACTAGAAGACAGAGATTAGGATGGCTGCTGCCACTTTTTATTCTTTACCCATTCTGGTTGTTTTTCAGAGATATTTTAAAAAAAAAGATGGGCTGACTGTGAAGCTGTCCCTTCTTGGGATGGGAGGCTAGGTTTGTCCTTCTCTAATATTTCAAGGCTGCTACGTCATACACATAAAAGCAGGAACAGAATGATAATTGAACAATTAATAATACCCATGATAAAACAATGTCCTTAAAACACATAATTAAAACAACTGAACCACAAAAAAGTGCAACTATACACAGAAAATGTGCATGTACATGCTAAACAGGAGCGGAGCAATCCCATAAACACCACCACTAACAAAAAATAATAAACATGCCAGATAAAAGAAGAATAGATACACTCCAGCTACCTTAGGCCCATAAATGCAATTTGAGGTCATTTTGTAATATAGGAGGAAGAGGTCAATTCCCTTTGGGAATTTCTTAGCCAAGGAATTCTCTATTGGTGTATTGGTACTAATATATGTCTGCTGTGCTGTCTTTCATTACTCTTATATCTAGCTCATACTTTTGATGATTATAAGGCTAAATTTGGCGGCTTAATACTCAAGGTAGAATAATAAGGGAAGACAACATGGCATTTGTTCTATTACCAATAAAGTGATCTTACTTATAAAGACCACTTATCGAAGGCCCAAAAATGTTAAAGAATAAAGAGAGAAGCAGTTGCCAGAAGCCCTCAAAATTCTGACAAGTGACCCAGAATCAAGTATATTTGCCCAGACTGCTGTCTGGAAAGTTCACCTCAGGCACTTTTGTAATCTCATGGGATCTCCATGAAGCCATTAGGCAACTTCAAAATATCAGCTCCCCAATTCATATTTCCCCAGTAAGGGCAGGAAATGTAAGGGTGCCTGTCAGGAACTTCCTGACTTAGCTGAAGTTCAGTATATTTCCTAGAAATTAAGAGACAAGGTAGTCAATAACCTGAGTAAACTATTTAAACCTCGTGTTACTGTCTTTTATTTTTTATTTTATTTTATTTTATTTTGAGACAGGTTCTTACTCTGTTGCCCAAGCTGTTACCAGTCCACAAGGAAATAAGTATAACCACTGAGTTTAGAAACTTCTATAGCCACATAATCACAGTGTCTAAGAAACTGCCTTTGTCATTGAACTCAGATGTTGTTGAACTGACGTGATGGTTCACATTTGATGAAAGCTGTGTCATAGACATATGTGTGGTAGAACCACATTACATTAAATATTTTAAGATTAGTTCATGAACTAAACCCAAATGTTTAAATAAAATCTAAAGCTCTAAAATCCATTTCCTTCAATAAAAGATCATTTTACTATAACTTTACAGGGAAATTTTTAGAAATGATTATCAGTGAACACTTGAAGATGAATTTTGAAACTATAGAATCATTTATTTTATTTTGAATAAAAGTTAAAAATAATAACTTCGGCTTGCCGAAATGCTTGGAAATGTCTTCTATTCCTGTCAACATATTTATGAAGTGCATTTCTCTCCTCTAAATGTTACTAAAACAAAACATAGGAGAGTTATATGTACATTACTTCTTGGGAGTAGCATTGTCATCAATCCAGCCTAGATTATGTAAATTCATTAGCTAGAAGCAGGCTCATTTGTCACATTGAAAACTTTAAATCGTGATATACACAGTGTCTTTTAGAATGTTCATATAGGCATCTAGTATGAGGAATCACCATTTCACTCACGTGATCGTTAATTGCCTATACTTACACTTTCAATGACTAATTTAGGGTTTTGGCAAGTAAATAATTTTTTTCCTATGATGTTTGTTCTCATTATATTTATTAAAATGTAATTTTGGGTCTGTTTAATCTAATAAAAGTGTAGGCTTTTATTTCATCTTACCCCAACCAAACTATGCCACCCTATGAGGGTTTCCTTTGGGTGAATGCATTCCTCATCCTACTTAAGCTCCTCCACAGAGATGCCCTCTTCACCCTGTTCATGCTGTAACATCCCATACAGTCCTGCCATGCAGATGCCCTCTTTACCCCTCTAGGCTCTCACACCTCTGTACCACCACAGCTCCCTATCCAATCAGGCTCAGACATTTATATTTCTGTGCCCTACTTAGTGGACTCAAGAGTGAATTTTTCAGGAAGAAAGGAAGGAAAGAACATGAAATGGAAGAAATGCAAGGGATGGGTAGAGGAAGGGAAGGGAAAATAAAAAGGAAAGTTATGATTTTTTATTTTAAAGAATCAGAACAGAATGATACAATTTGTTTTGAACTATCATAAGCACATATGCTTCCATCACCGCTTTCCTGCACATTACACCAATAATGCTTTGTCATGGGAAGATATTTTCTAGGTGGAAGGACAGTCCTATCTGAAAGCTCCTTCACTTTTTCAATCCTCTAATCACTATACCCTATCGCAGTGCCACACAGGAACACATCTCCAAAAACCTGCTCACAGCTGCAACATGGTGAATGGGTGATTGCTTGTCTCCAAGTCCCTCCTTGGAGAATGGAAAATGTTAAAGAGATAAAGTTATAAAAATAGGCATAGGCCGGGCATGGTGGCTCACGCCTGTAATCCCAGCACTTTGGGAGGCCAAGGTGGGCGGATCATGAGGTCAGGAGATCGAGACCATCCTGGCCAAAATGATGAAACCCCATCTCTACTAAAAATACAAAAATTAGCTGGGGGTGGTGGTGCGTGCCTGTAATCCCAGCTACTCGGGAGGCTGAGGCAGGAGAATCACCTGAACCAGGGAGTCGGAGTTTGCAATGAGCCGAGATCGCGCCACTGCACTCCAGCCTGGGTGACAGAGCGAGACTCCGTCTAAAAAAAAAAAAAATACAAAAATTAGCTGGGGGTGGTAGTGCATGCCTGTAATCCCAGCTACTAAGGAGGCTGAGGCAGGAGAATCACTTGAACTAGGGAGTCGGAGGTTGCAGTGAGCCGAGATTGCACCACTGCACTCCAGCCCAATGACAGAGCGAGACTTTGTCTCAATAATAAAATAAAATAAAATAAAATAAAGACAAAATTAAAAAATAGGCACTATACAAATATCAGAATGTATTCTTTTCTGTACTTCAAAGATGTTTAAATGGTTTTGATAAGAAATAAGTTTCATTCTCACAGACTTCAAATCCATTGGTGGCAGTCTACTGCAGAATGATGCATATCTATATATCAGGTTTGACAAGAATTTGCTCTTTATTCAATTAAATAGAAATAGTCAAATGTGAGGGATGGATACTGTGCAATCATCGGCCAGTTCAAGAATAGGATATATTTCAAACATAATCATCTTTACCCAAGCCTACCATCTATAATTTTGTAAAAAATTTTGCCCTTTGTCTCTTCTGCTCAAATTTTCTGATCACCATCCTGTCTACTACCTCCAAGGCAAACCTCTTTTCACAATCCCAGACCTCTCACACTAACTGGTGTAACCTATGAATATAAGGACTTTCCATTCTGGAGTGAGCCACAATTGTAGGTGGAGGTCTGGAAACCTGGACCCAATCCTGGTTCTGCCACTTGTTAGTTGTGTTACTTTAGCAACCATAATTTCTCTGTCTTTACATAAGGAGCAAGATAGAAGCAACCATTACGACTCTCTGAGGTCTCTCTCCAGTTTTAAAGCTTTTGAAAGTACAATAAAGTGACCACAATGAAAAAGAGAGATCACTGGCTCAGAAATCACCTTTTTAAAACATATATCTGATCATGTTCCCTGATCCTGAATACATCCCTCTCTCTTACTCCTCATATCCAATTCATCCCTAAGACATAACAGTTTTACTTCCTAAATTTCTTTCAAATATGTGCACTTCTCTCCTCTAGCCTGCTCTTAACTATCATCATTTTTGTCCAGACAAATACAACTGCTTCCTCAGTAATGTACATGAATCTACCAATATCCCATATTTTCTCAATACTACAGCCAGGGGAATCTTTGTGAAAAGCAAATGTAATCATGTTACCTCACTCCATCTATGCTTATACTCTCCATTGGATTTCCATTGTAAATAGGATACAGACTCATTAATGTAACCAGTCTAAGCTCTTTATGGTTCAGCCTAGAACTACCTCTCCAGCTTATTCTAAGACCACCTTCTCTCTATGAAGGTGTCCTCTACCCCCACTTTTAATGCCAACTCAACCTATGCATTCAACTTGAGCATCACTAGCTAAGGGAAGCCTTCCTTAATCACCTAGAATTAGTCAGATTTCCATATTATAAAATCTCATTGACCATTTGCCTCTCCTTTATAGCACTGCCACATCAGTAATTTCACAACTATTTGTTAAGTTATTTGATAAATATACGTCTTCCACACTAGTCAGTGAGCTTGAAGAGAATAGGTAACTTGTTTTAGTTTCTCACTACTGCATCCCCAGCATCTAACATTACGTTTGGCACATAATGAGTTCTTGAGTCAGGTGGCCTAGGTTAGTCTTAGCTAGTATGTATTTTTGCTATGTGATCCTTGACTTTTCAAGGAATATAATCTCTCTATGCTTCAATATTCTCACCTGTAATAGAAAAGTAATAATCCCTCGATCACACGGTTGTTTTTAACAGGCAAATAGCATGTGGTGATAGACAAGATGCAATTATTCATTTTTGAAATTTCAATATGTAGCTTACTTAGTTCCAGGCATGCATGTGATGTGAATAAATAAAACTCATAAAGCTAGTACCAGTAAAAAAAAAAAAACTAGGTATATATTGGTATAACACTGTATATGTTATAGTTACAGTAATACTTCCAAAAAGGTGTAGATGGAAAACATACTAACTTCGTATCTCTGATTAAATACCTTATTTATTTACTAAGAGTTTGTGGCTATACCTTCTAATGGAAAGAAATTAGCCTCTGTCAATGACCCTAAAACCATTTTCCTGTAGCCAGTACATCTCCCACAGCCTTCTTCTCTCTTGTTCTTGTTAAATAATGATCACTTTCTAGTAAGAACTTTTAGGGTTGATGAATTAGCCCTGAGAACTGATATTTTCAGAGATGAGGTACACAACTAGGAATGACCACTAATTAGCTCCTGTCATGGGAAAAGTAACAGACACATGGACTATGTTGTTAAGGAGCCAGAGTAAGACCAAGAGATAAGAGATTTTAAGTTTAAAACTTCCACATTTTCCTTTTACAAGAGATTTAGCTTCTACCCCAAAAAGATATTGACTGTAATTAAGGTTTAAACCCTGAAGCAATTGTGTCAGGAAGAAAGGAGAATGAGGGCATTTGCTGACCACTAGATTCTTGGTGTCTAACACAATGCCAGCATACAATGGGCCCTCAGTCAGCACTTATTGTAGCAATAAATGACATGAATAAATGAAAAAAACAAATGAATTAATGAAGCGACATTTGCAAATGAAACTAGAAGCACTGAACAAATGCATTACTAGTTATCAGCAACCACCTATTCCAACCCAGAGGGTAATTCAGGCTTTCAGCCTTCACTGAATCCTTAACAATGTGCTCAAGGCCTAAAAGTACTTTAATATCCATTATCGTCAGATTTTTCTGTGCATGAGGTCAAAAGATCCCATCAGTAATAAATGTAGGTGAAGCCAGTGAATTTCCAGTGAAAATTAGTGCCAAATTTTAGCTAGCCCTCAAACTCCATTTCAAAGTGTATTTGCATTTGCTTCTTTTTTGTCCCCCAGAGTGTCATACAACCTACCAATAAGCCACACCTATTAAACATTTCCTGACTCTGTTTTGATGACCTGACACCTGAAAACTGAGGTAGAATGTAAATCTGAAGAATTTTCATAGGACCTTTAACTTGTTTTGATGAATCCAGAAAAGAAGGATTTGAAAAATACACACTTGATCAATGTGGTTGAAGAGAAGGTCACAAATGTCATTTGACCCTCATGGGGCTGATTATAATATAACCATTATTGCTCAATATTTTCTCCATTAAACAAAAAATAAAGTTTCAAAGTGTTTTTAATTGGGCTGCCATATATTATAGTGTATGCTGCCCTCAGATATAATACAAGTAATTTGTATGTATACACACATATTTGATATATATATGCATGTGTATATTTACATGTTATACATAACCATATAAATCCTGTAAGTATATGGTTAAGGCCATTCTTTTACCTGGAAAGTAATAGAAGGAAAGGTAATATTAACTAAACAACAAATATACTTAATGTGTTTTTTGATCTTTTGGTGGGGCTTGTTTATTTGCTTAAAACTCTTGACTAGCCTCCCTTAGAAAAAAGGTGTGGTTAAATATGCAGTTTAGTTCTTCACACAGAGACATGAAGGTCTGATGTACTTTGAAATTAAAGTAATGAAGAGGGGGAAAGTGTTTGTCAAACAGGAGAATGACCAAACAGAACTACACAGTCTGAGTTTCAAAGAGTTTCTCCTTTAAGAGTCACAAAGCTGTTTAGAGCAGAGAAAGAAAGAAAATCTATGTTTTTTTTTTTCATACTGCATCATGAAGGGCAACATTCAGCTCTGTCTTTAATGCCAAGCAGTCAAACTATAAAAAGGAGCATTATTTTAGAGTCCTTGAAATGACTTACAAAAAGCCTTTCAAAAGATTTAGATGCTAGTGGTGCTATGCAAATGTCTCACTTGAAATTGAAATTCTTAAAAATAAATGTTTATTTTGCTTTCCATTAAGAGAAAAAAATGCAATGCCTCCTCACATAACCAGAGAGCTATTTAACACCTGCTGAATGGCTAAATGGTTCAGCTGTCTTTCTCTTAAGACTGTACAAATGATATTAATATACCTTTACAATGGAAGTATCTTGTGCTCCATTTCCTTATTGATAGTATTCTTAATTTTTGTCCTCCTTCTATTGTCTCCTTCAGTCCATCAACCACAAACCTAAGGATCTATGCACACCTACTGTATATATTATATATCTAGGAACTGATCTAGCCTAGTATGTTACATATACTTTATAATATATGTTTCTGCCCATAACACCTCTTCATACAGAATATCTCAAAATGCTAGATAAAATATCTTTAGATATCTATTTTAAAGCATGGCTGCATTGGTAAAATAAGAGCATCGACGGAGCTAGAAATGACAAGGAAATGTAATAACTGAGGCTTGCAGAAATGAGCCTCTGACAATCACGTATGTACCACCACACTCCCACCACTGGTTTACAGCTGTTTGGCAAGCAACAGACACATGAGCCAAACTGAGATGATCAAATTTTCTCCTCTGGAGATTTATATACATGATTTAGGAATGGCAAGTCAATCTTTATAATGTGGTTCTAAATTCGAGAGTAGTAGGGCAACCATATTTTGCCACATGGGCATGGAAACAAAGAAAACTGTCTTCAGTATAGGACAAAAGTGAAGCAGAGAAAGAAAAACAAGCAATCAACAGTATTCCCTGGGTTTATAGCAGCTTTCTATTTTCTTATTTTAGTCGATTTTTAGACCCAGATGCTTTTCTGTAGCCTGTATTAGTTGGCTGGGGCTGCCACAACAATCTACTACGACTGGGTGGCCTAAACAACAGGAACTTATTTTTTCGCATTTCTAGAGAATAGAAGTTTGAGATCAAGGTGTCATAAAGGTTGGTTTCTTCTGAGAACTCTGTCCGAGGCTTGTATATGACCATCTTTTCCCTGTGCCTTCATGTGGTCTCCCCTCTCTGTGTGTCCCTGTCGTATTTCCTTTTCTTACAAGAACACCCATCATATTGGATTAGGGCCTGCCCTAATGAGCTCATTTAATCTTAATTACCCCTTTAATGACTTCCAAATACTGTCACATTCTTAAGTACTGGAGGTTAGGACTTCAATATATGAATTTTAGGGGGAACACAATTCAGCCCATAACACTGTCCTTGGGTTCCTTAAGACAAGTCTGTACTGTTACGTAACCTGTATAAAGCTAAGCCACCATGTAATTCAGTCTCAACTCAGTGCTGCATACAAAGATATGCAAAAACAAAATAGAAAAAAAGAATTGAAAACTATTAACATATTTACTGAAATATCTTGGAAAATGCTGCGAAGAGGTTCCAAAGTTGACACATTACAAAAGTTCTTTAAAATTGTCCTCATCCACTCATCTCTTCAAAACCCTAGTCATCATAACATAGTAGCTAATCCCGATCTTTACTCTAAGTCATATCTAACCCTCCCTTCTCTCGTTCCTGATCTATTATTTCCTTATTCCATAATTAACTTTTTGTATTTTCCAATAAAAATTATAAAGCCGGGCTTGGATCTTCTTATTTCCACCCATCAGCAACCACACTCATTTGCCCCAATTCTATACAAGAAAGGCCTGCTAACCTAGCTCAAGTTATTTTCTATTAACTACCACAACTGAAAAAATATTGACTATTAATGTTAACAAAATATTTGTTTTACTATATCCCCTCACTAACAGGCATTTCTCCTTCTTCCCTGCATCTGTTCAATCTGATACTAAGCCTATCTGTATTTCTCAAATTCTGAAGACAGGATTTTTTAAAAACCTTTCTTCTTCTAGGGTTGGAATGGCATGGTAGCACTGTAGAGCTATGACCATAGCCATTGTCCTCTGAAGGACCAAGCCAAGACTTCTGCTGTTATACCAGGCTAGCTCAGTATTGTGTGTACACATATTTTTTATAGTCAGATCTGCTCTAGCTGTAAATAGTATGTAAAGCCACTAGATAACTCGAAGACATTAGATGATAGGTGCTGAAAATACTCTCTACCTCCTTCCAAAAATAAAAAATAAATTTCTCTTCTACTGACCCCAGTTTAATTCCTAAAATTTCAACTGTTTCTCCATCGGTTTTAGTAACTGAAGGACACAGACAAAATGTAAATGTATGCTCTAGGAAGGGAAATGAATTAGCTTGCTTAATAAAGATAATGGCCTCAAGCAAATATGACAGTGGATTGCTAAGTTTTGATGAGTGGAGGAGGTTAGGGTAGACAAGAATGTTTTGGAGTTTGGAAGGCTACCCACGATGATCAATGAGGTTAAGGGCTGAATGAGCGCAATGAGTACCTGGGACAGGGAATGGGGTAATCAAACACAGAAGGGTGTTGAACGCAAATATTGCTCACATATCTGTAACTCTCTTACAGTATAAACATCACAGCTGAAATGAACCATTATTGTAAATGCATGAATCTTGGGCACTGAGGAAGACATGTGTCCTGCCCTTTAGGAGCTCAAATGTCAGCTCATAAATAAAACTTTCAAATTGTTTTTCAGTGTGACTCAAGTCACTTGAACCTCTTTATTTTCTCTCATATCTACTCCATGTCTTCCATGTCAACCACTAACTACGCAATTATTTAAACAGAGATCCCTGAAGCTATAGCATTTAGCCAGTGCTTGGCACATTATGCTTAGAAATAATACAAATTGGTGTTTCCCTGTGTGTTCAAAATATGCCCTTTGAAAAATCTCATTTGCCTCATCCTGCACTATAATCCAGTTTGTTTATTTGTGTCTCAGGATGTCTGACTGCTTGGCTATTGGTTGCCTCCCTTGACATTTCCCTCTGACTTCGTATATTGCTTTTTAGAACTCAAAATTTGGTTTGCTTCTCTCCAAGGAGATTTCCCGAATTTGTATATATGATAAACACTGCACTATGCTGGATTGGAGCAATAGAGTCTTGGGGCACTTTTAGAGATCCGTTGCAACCAATTAGCATGACTTATTTATTTTCCATATATTTTCATTCTCTGTGATGTCTTTCATCCAAGGAGCTCAGAGAGTTTTGCAAAATTTTAACTAACCCTCACAGCACTCCCAGTGGTATGAAGAGCAGAAAAGGGATGGAAAGGAATTCCATCCATACAGTATTCAGAAGAAAAAAAAAATCCTCTGTCCAATACATTGAAGAAAGACCGGTCTTGGGACTAGTTCATTAAAAAAGAAAAAAAAGAAAAAAAAAAAACAGCCTTGAAAATGCAACCTGGGAGTAATGTACTCCACCAGAACCAAGAAGGAGTGTAAGCATTCAGAAGTTACAAATAAATTGCTTTGTATTTCACTCTCAGAGAAAATCTCTGGAGACAAGAACTATAGAAGATAGCTTCTCTGAGGTGATAAGGTTTTAAATGCTCAGATGTGATTGTCAGTGGCAACTTTTCCTTGGGTAGGGGAAGATAAAGAGAATGACCTTGAAGAGGAATGGGTTATGGCAATGGATCAATTTTTGCAATTGACAAGTCTCCACCATAAGATATCTGAAGATAGTGTCAGGAATGTGGATACCTATGTGGGTTAGTGCAGAGCAGCCAAGACTGAAGGTGGTAGGCTTAGGACAAATGAAAAGGAAGAGACTGAATTTATCTATTTATAATGATGACTAAGCCAGCCCTACTTTCCCCTCAAAGACTCAGGCTCAGGGAAAGAGTAGAAGACAGTGAGGCAGAAGTCTAGACTACCTCTTTCCAGCCATGCTGAAGTGTCACCTTTTTATCCTATTTCCCTTGGGTAAACAAAAAAGACAGAGAGAAAGAAAGAGAGGTGCCTGGTTTACAATGGGAATGTTAAAAGTAAAAGTAATGTATATACCACAATTATGTTATACAGTGAGGGGTGATAATGACAATAAGTAACACTTACTGGGTGACTACAAAATCCCAAGCACTGAAAAATTTGACATGTATAATTTCATTTAGTTATTATGATAACTTTCACAAGGTAGGCACTGTTAGTATATTTAGGTAACAGATGGAGAAATAGAGATTCAGAAAGGTTAAATAACTGGTCAAGATTACTAGGTTAGCGAGCTGCAGAGCCAAGATGCTAACTCAGACCTGTCTGACTCCAAAGCCCTTACTATCAATCCCTGTATCACATTGTCTCCATGTCTGAGAGACTAAAAAGGGCTCTGGTGGCCCTGACTATGTAACTGTAAGTGCATTCCAATCTGACTACAAATCTGGGAAAAAAAAGTGACACTGGGGTGGTATGGGAAGTTCTGAGAGTAAGATGAAAATCAAACAAAATATATTTGGCCAAAGATTAACTAAATGAGCCTTTTTTTTAGCCTTCTTGGGCCATTTTGTCAAAGAAAAATTATATTAATGGTAGAAATGAGCCAAGTGAGGTGGCACTGATCTCTAGATATGGTGTATGAGAGTCCTCAGGCAACAAACAACTGGTTACAGAATGCAGGAGGAATTTCTTTCTCTTCATGAATTTCTTACTATATCTAAAATTACTTCTGTAGCATGGCCACGATCTATAAAACAACACAAAAGGGAAAGGAGTTCTCCAGCTTGGAGAAAGTCTGGCTATAACAGTTCCATTGGCATGAGGGATATCTGTCTAAAAGCCTTTTTCATTATTTGAAAAAATGAATAGATTGAATAGGCATGTTACCTTCCTTGGTTTGTATCACTTCTAGTTCCCTTGGAAGCAAAAAGTAAAAAGTAATGAATGAAAATGCATGAAGGTTAAAAAGAAAATGGAGGCCAGGTGCAATGGCTCACGCCTTGTAATCCTAGAACTTTGGGAGGCCAAGGCGGGTGCATCACCTGAGGTCAGGAGTTAAAGACCAGCCTGGCCAACATGGTGAAACCCCGTCTCTACTAAAAATACAAAAATTAGCCAGGCATGGTGGCGGGCACCTATAATCCCAGCTACTCGGGAGGGTGAGGCAGGAGAATCACTTGAACACGGGGGACAGAGGTTGCAGTGAGCCAAGATCATGCCACTTCACTCCAGCCTGGGTGAAAGAGTGAAACTCTGTCCAAAAAAAAAAAAAAGAAAGGAAAAGAAAGAGAGAAAGAGAAAAAGAAGGAAAGGAAAGGAAAGGAAAGGAAAGGAAAGGAAAGGAAAGAAAAGAAAAGAAAAGAAAACAGAAAAGAAAAGAAAATGGAGATTTGCACCATACATTATTCTATATGCATGATTTCTCCTGTATACTAATAATGCAACCCAGGTCATTCTACTGTCTATTGTCATTAGAGACAAAGCAAAAAATGTAGACAAACATACCTAATATCCCTTGTTTTCTCTGCCCTGAATAAAAACTAACAAATACATACTTACCTTCGTCTCTTGTGAGAATCTGAATGTGCTTGGGATGTTGGACCTCACGAATTTAGACATGTCAAGTGGAAAAGAACAAAACGTCTTGGTTACAATGTTTAGGGGCCACAAAAAAAAATAATTTTTTAAGCAATAATTTTTTGGCATCTCTGTTTCTAGCTGGTTTGATTTTTTTTTCCTGCCATCCATTTACCAAACTCACTCCAAATTCTACTCTGGTATTTTACTCCTCTGCTTAAAACCTTTCCATGGCTTCATGTGGCCATAAGTTAAATCCAAACTCCTCGATATGATATACATGGTCTTACATGACATTGTTCCTATATATATATCCCTGCTCTACCTCTCAACACAACACACTTGGCACTCAAATCTCCAGCTCTACTGGACTTCTTTCAGCTCCACAAATTACTATAGTCTTTCTTATCCTGACCTTTCAGATACACCTGCTTCTGTCCAGTAAATACTCTAGTTTAAACTCACACCATCTCTGTCCTGGATTTGTTCAATGGCCTCCCACTTGATCCTTACCTCTACTTTTTCCCACTCCAATTCATTCTCTAGTTTACAGTCACAGTCATGCCCATTCTAACTGGTTTACTGTTACCTCTCTTAAAGTATTCTCCACAAAACAGAAATTCAATTATGTCACACTCATCTTCAAATTTTGGGGGGAGCTCACCATTTCATTGAGGATAAAAATTAAAACTCCTTACCATCAAATATGGTCATCCATGACAAAAGAACCTACCTGCCTTTTCAGCCATGTATCTTCTCACCTCTTCACCTGCCATCTGTGTTTGAACAATATAGAAGTACCTACAGATCCCTCCAAATGTTGAGGTTTCCCCCAAAAGAAACCTAATTCATAGAAAAACTAGATGGTCACCACTGAGATGTGCTTTCAGAAGCTCCAGAAAGACTCTCTGCACAAAATATTTCATTCTTTAGATATCACCCACTCCCATACCCACTATTTAAGTACCCAAATAAATACCCATCAATAGAGGTTCATTTCTTTGGCTTTGTAATGTATTATGCACCTGATATGGTAAATTCAACTATTATTAATGTGCTTTAATGTACCTTCATTTATCTGATTGCTATTCTCTATGAAAACTAGCTTTAAGTAATATAATAAAAAGCAGGGGCTTTATTAATATTAATAAAATAATCCTATGTATCTGTGTAGAGTATAATAGTACAGAATAAACTTTCCATCATCTCATTTAATTCTTGATTCTATGTGGTAGATATTTCATAAATGGACAAGCTGAGCTTTACGAAAGATTAAGAGAAGAAGGAATAATGGTGGGGGGGAAGGTAGTAAAGAAAAAAGTGAGGAAAGGTTGCCAAAAGATTTCTATTTAAACGTTTTGTCTAGAAGCAGTGAGGTTCCTCTTTGTTGGCTACTTCACTGGCACTCTCTCCATTGCACCAAACATTTGGATAAGTGGAACATCAATATGCTTGGGATTTTGTAAAAGAAACATCTAGCAAATGAATTTTTAAATGCTCTGGATATGCTGGTGTTCTGAAGATACGTCAATAAAGCAAAAATTTCACAGAAAAAGCAAAACTTTTTCTTAGAACCCAGTGGCTGAAGGGCAACATCAGTACAGATTATACCTGTGATATCAAATGTATTATTATGAGTGCAAGTTATGTGTTCAGCAATGAAAAATTGAGGCAAGTGACAAGTTTGTGAGTAGATTCATAATACAAAATGCTTCACTTATTCCCCCCAAATGAAATTGTTTCTTGATTCAACAAATGTTAATCAATGTAGACAAAACCATTGTTGAGCTATATTGAACACAAAGAGAATATGAAATAAATACATTTTTAAAAGGATAGAGAGAAAGATAAAAAGAACAGGGCTCTCAGAAAATGTACTTTTTATAAAACATTCTGCTTAAAAATATTAGACAAATAGATTATGAATGTAAACAGTTTTTTTAACTTTGGGGAAGATAAACAAGGCCAAGTTTTTATTCAGGCATGCCCAGATTAACCTTTATATATGTTTCACTACAAATGGAATTTCAAGAACTCAGAGATTTAAAAAAATAAGTGGTTGTACTATACTATAAAATATATTAATGTTTTGTTAAAACTGTAATTGAAACAAAGCATATAAACAAGACCCATAGATATCAACACTTAGATTAAACACACATAAAAAACAAAATTCCATAAGAATCTGTTCTAAAAGGATATCTGTTCTCGTGAAAGTTGATAGTTATGAAGAACTTAAACAAAGAAACACTAAGTTCTTTTAATTAAATGCACACATACCTAATACCAACCTTCCCGCCTTCAATTTATTCCTTTAACAAATACGTATTAAGTCCTGACTACTATGAATCCATTATAATTTTAGGTGATAGGACACAAGAGCGAGAAAAATGCAGTGCCTATTTTTAAAGAACTTGCAGTTAAATAAGATAAATTGTATTACACCAGTAATTGTCACAAAATGAAAAGAGAAATAATACAGTCCAATATAGAGAGCACTAGGGAGGGGTAGATTTGTGGGAGGGCTCACAGAAGAGTGAGGCTACTAATAAGAATTGCAAAGGAAATATACTTGGAAATGTTTTGACCTCATTGCAGTGCTATGCCCAAAGCATGATCATATAAGTCATTACTTCCCCGAAGAGTACGAAATTAAAAGGAGTTGCATAGAGCAAATATTTGGTGGTGGAGTTGAGGAGGAGGGTTAGAGGTTTAGATTACAGGTAACGGTAGATGAAATACTGGACTGCCACCTGATTCTCTTCTTTCATTATCTTGCAATTATCTTATTACCTGTAGCCAAGAAATGAAAAGAAAATTGACTATCTAATGACTGTCAGGCATTTTGAGTTCTAAGAGAACCAATGGACATTAAGTGAAAGACAGTGAGGAGAGCTATATTTCTGCTTAAATGATTTTTTATAAAAAATCTGTCTTAGCTTTGTCACTAAGTTTGCTTTACTCAATACTGGTAAAATCTCAAAAAGCCTTTAAAAATGAGGTATATATTCAGATCAAATTTTTGGCTCCCCGCTCCCACCCAGAATAGTTTCTCCATGGGATTTTGAAGCTGACTGTTTAATCATAAGCAAGCAGGGTTGATGATAAAAAATAAAGAAGTAAAGAATCTCACAGCTAAATATAATCATTACTATATTATTTTGACCCACCTTAAGTGATGATGGAAAGAATTGTTGAGTATTAAAAATACTTGGAAAAAAAGAGGACCTCATAAGACCTTAGTATTGAACAATGAACAATGACATACAATAAGTGTGATTTTCATCAGGTTTTGGTCTAAGGTGAGAAGTGTTTCCTTCTACCTCAGCCTAATCTCACAACTCCTGGTGTGCCTAGAAACACACATGCATCCAGAGGCATTTTCCTCTATAGGATCTCCTCAATCATTTCACTTCTACCCAGAATAATATCAGAGGGATCAGAAGAGAAGGTTTATAAAGCCATCTCTGTGTCTTACAAACTGTGTGACCTTAGACTAATTATTTAACTTTCCTGAGCCCTAGTGCTTTTGATTCTACATAGCTAATAGACTTGAATACCTTATATATTTGTGGACAGCATTAAATGAGATAACCAATATGAATGCACTTTGAAAACTCTAATATGCTATGCAGAACAAAGGGTACCAGATTATTATCATGAAGGATGTTGGCTGTAGTGTCTGAGAGGTTCAGCTGTGTCCAGCAGAGTCACACGGGGTAAGCAAGACAGAAGGTGAAATACATATGGAACATATGTAAAGACACATACACAAACAAACGTATACACACACATTCATAAACACAGGTTCACCCTAAATTTATTATAATATACAGTAAATTACATTTTATCTGATGGATCATTCTTTCCTAGTAATAACTTGGAGATACATTAGCTGTTTGGGGCTGAAAAGAAATTCAGTTTGGTATACTGTGACAATAGTAATAGAACCTGGTAACCATTAGTGCTCATTTAATATATGTTCATGACAATGCACTAAATAATACCTTTAAACTTCTCCTCAGGGCTGTAAGATACATTCTCCCTCCCTTGTCATTGATTCAACAATCACTATTCTTCTGAATCAGAGATGAGGATTAAAAGAGCTAAGGCTTCAAGACCTCTCCCCATCTCCATTTTTAAAAATGAGCACATCATACATGATACTATTATATGACTTTAAGGTGGGTGAGTTTTCAGATATTAATTCTCACAAGAATTTTAACCCAGTTCTGATGGAAGTTTAAAAGCCAAATAACATGTATTTTCACCATGTCCTTCAACACTATATCATTTTTGAAGCCAGAGAAGTAACTCTTACGTGGATACATTCCGGGTCACAGTACAAAGGTAAGCAGTTGTTTAACCCCAGAAAACTCTTACTTTAGTACCTTTCGTATGACATCATTTGGTGATCAGGCACTGCACAGTCATATTTAGACCTGGTCCTGAGTTGAGTTTGTTCACCTTAGCAGGGACCACTCATATGGACGATGGATATCAGCCTATTCAAATAAAAATTGAGACTGACTACCCAGCATCAAAAACCAAGATCTAGAATTGGAAAGAGAGCCTACTTGACTAAAAACATCTTCTCTTGAAAATTCCACCCAATATCATCTGGCCTATGCTGTATTTAGCCAGGTTGTAAGAAAAGCCACTTAAAGATATGAGGATAATGCCATTATGCCTAGAGCTGGGGAGGTACTGATGGAATCACTGAGAATTATTTCAGCAGTCAAGGAACACAGCGTGTGCTTTATTGTAGTATAACAGCACATAAGGCATCAAATCCCAAAGAGTAGAAATTATCCTATGGTGTATACACACCCTCAGAGTCCTGCTCATAAATGCATCAGAATCAAGACTTTTAAAAACAACTTCCATATGTGGATCCTAACCTATTTGTGTCACCCATTGTGCTGTAGCCTTCAGTGTTATCCAGCTAAAGTAGCAATTATTGCTGCTTTACCTGCTATTTTCCAATCACTAGAGTAGTACAAAGGGACAGAGGTGAGGTTCCCATGGGAACCATATGCTGGTATTTCTTGGCTTTCATAAAATAAAACACCATCAGAATTGCATCATCAGCCCTTAGCTATTCATCCATACAAGTGTAGGTGGATACCAATGTGATATGAAAATAATAAAACTGACCCAACAGCAATTGGACATGAACTCTGTGGGGTTCTTTTAGTTGAAGAGAGGAGACAAATTGAGTTATCTCTACTCTCTCATTCAGGCTATTTAGTTACCAAGGAATCTATCTCTTTTAAAAGGAGACGGGCCAGGTTAAGAGCAGAAAGTAATTGGGTCCTCCAAACATTTTATTGTCTAAATCTTGCCTTGAACAAATGCAAAGTAAAACATGCAAATGAGGGTAATTCTGTATTTATGACCTAGCACTGAAAAAAACAGATGTCAATTCAAATGTAATTAGGAAGAAAATCGGTAAGTTTGTGGATGATTGGTTAAAAACATAATACCAAAGAGAAATTGCTTTGTGTGACCGTAATATCTAAAACAGTTAAAAACTTGCATAGTTTATGTTAACCCACAAGCCTAGGCATTTGTCTCTATCACAGATCTCCTGTTTCACCGAGCAAAATTGACTGACGGCCCTAGCTGCTGCCCCTGTGTATTCATCATCATGTTTGCAAGGTGATAACTCTTCTAATGGGCTGGTCCCAGCCACTGACTTAGCATGGCAAAAGGACCCGTTACTGTAAGTTGTGGGACTCCTCCAGTGGGTAAGTTTAGCTCAATAACTGTTTTGAGAGCCCCAAGCTACATTGGAGTTCCAGTACCAGAGCAGCTACCAAGACTGCTCTAACTGAAAATGAAGGGGAGGTCCACATGGGTATTTAAAGGAATACACCTTTTACCTGCCGTATGGTCTAATGCCTACTTGTTTGACCCACGGATGGGGGGCCTTTCACACAATAACTTGCTATATGGCTGACAGTCTTGTGGCTTTTGTCTTACCCCTGTCCAGTTTATGCCTGTCTGACCTTCTCTCTGGCCCTAGGAACCTGACCTTGTGTTCTCCCCAGCATCTTGGGGAAAACCCTACTTGGGGAGGTTCCTAATTCTTCAGATGGAAGGCACAAATTCAATACACTACCAAAATAAGAAAAAAAGCTCAAAGGTTTTTTTCTTACAGATCCTGGGCAAGGAAGGTGTAATGAGTTGTCAGGACAGTCCTTTGTCCGCGGGTCATGTGAGGCAGGAATGAAAAGTCAGGCAGAGAGGGTGTGGTAACTAACCACATTTTCTTTATCCATTCATCCACTGATGAACTCTTAGGTTGATTTCTTATCTTGTCTGTTTTGAATAATGCTGCATTAACATGGGAGTACAGCTATCTTTTTGACATACTGATTTCATTTTCTTTGGGTATATACCCAGCAGTGGGATTGCTGGGTCATATGGTAGTTCTACTTTTAATTTTTTGAGGAACTTTCATACTGTTCTTCGTGGTGATTGCACCATTTTACATTCCCAACAAACTTGTACAAAGAGTTCCCTTTTCTCCACTTCCTTGCCAACACTTATTATCTTATGACTCTTTGATAATAGCTGTTCTAGTTGAGTGAACTTATCATGCAGAAGCCCAAATTCAGGCTCATGTACCCAATGTGTAGCTGATGCCACTGAAACACCAGTGCTTGAAGATTAAAGAAGGTTTATTTGATTTGGCCAAAGCAAGAATGCAGGAGGGAAAGATATCTCAATCCTGCCTTAGCAAAAAGAAGCAGGGAGTTTTTATGCAGCTATAGAGTAAGGGAGGGGGATTTTCAGGGAATCCAGGGGAAAAGTCTATGTTCCTTCAGTCTCAGATAACAACCAGACTACTGGGTGTCAGCAGCTGATCACAATGTCTTTCAAAGCATTCATTCCTTCTGCAGGTTTCTGATCCTGAAAATATCTCCTCCTGCTTGACAAAGAAACAGTACACCGGCAGTTTATTGGGAAAAAAGTGCATTGGCAGTTTATTGGGCAAAAAGTGAGTGGTTAACATGTCCAAGCAAGCAAGGGCCTCATTAGAATTTTCATCATTTGTCACTAAAAATTCTGGGGTGCTGAAATCTCAAGGGGCCCAGTTACAATCTTTCACTGTGGTTTTAATTTGCATTTTCCTGATTATTACTGATGTTGAGCACCTTTTTATATACCTGTTGTAGACCAGCCTTATTTCTGTACTTTGCATGTACCAAGGTTCTTCTTGCCTCAGGGACAAGTTTTGCATCCTGGCATCTAGGATGTTTGTTGAGAACTCAGATGTCAAGAGTAATATTCGCTCCTGTGGAAGTAATATGTCTTGTCTTTTCTCTGGCTGCTTTTACTTAATCCATTTGTTTTCATTTTTTTCAACAGGTATTACTAATATATGCCTATCTATAATTTTCTTTGTATTTATACTTCTTTCAATTAGCTTCTCGGATCTGTCAGGCTTTTATCAGCTTTAGACAATTTTCAGCCAAATATTGCTTTCTATCTGACTCTTCCTATCTTCCCTTTCTGAGCCTCCAGTTACATACATGTTGTAGATTTGCACTGGCAAATCCAGAATCGATTTTTGTCTCCCCAGTCTGTGAGCTCACCAAAATTATCTGTTGGCATCTCTGACTCTTAGCTATTGCCTTCAGCTTCTCACACTTTCTTGCCCTTTAAGAAAAATTGGCAAATGCCCTCGCAGGGAAAGCAGTGTACAGAGAGTTGGCCTCATGTCGGTGAGCTTTTATTCTCTCTGGGATCTTGACTTGTTAGTTCCTGGCTGACTGGGAAGCAACTTGTGCCCTCAAATAATTTTTGTTTAGGTATTTTATTTTGTTTTTATAGTTTTTCTTGGCATATATGTTGGTTGGTAAGATGTTACTCGTAGAATTCATAGCTGGAAACAGAATTATATTATTATTTTAAGTAGAAGTTTGAAATTAATTATTGCTAGAATAACGTATGAGTCTATGTGCATTTTGAGTAGGTAGCCACCTTCATGCCACCAGATTGAAGGATTCCCAAAGTTTTACTGCCTTTACATATTTTCTCTGTGTAATGATATCACTATTGTACTTGAAATCTCCCCTGTTGGAGAATTCCATTAGAAAAATTCACTATGCCTCCAGTTTCCAACAATGTTATCTGGATGGGCTTTGCACTTTCCACAGGGTACTTCCTTAGAGCATCTCCCTCAAGAAGATACACAGAAAAGATATTGGTGGTCTCAGGCTTATTCATATGGTGCCAGTGGCTAGGTAACTAAGAGTTATCTAAGAAGAAATTTGCAAAGTCTCTTGAAACCCAGGCTCAGAATTATCAAAATATCACTGATCCTAAAATCTCTTGTAAGTCACAAAGCTAGGCCAGATTCAAGCAGCGCAGAAGGGGCCTCCATCTCTTGACGGAAGAAGTTGCAAAGAATCATGCTCATTTTTATCATTTTCTGGCAACAGGTTAGACACAAGCTAGTTCTGTGCGGTTTTTGAGAAGTACGTTAGTCTAGGCCCTTCAGAAACTTATACCAAGGCAGGTTAATATGTGCAAGGATTTAACGAAGGAAACGCCTGAAAATAAAGGTGAAGGATCCAGAGAAGTCATAAAGAAGACATTGCATGTGTTACCATATTGCAGACCTGACACCTATGAAGGAGAAAGAAAAGGAAAGAAGATTAAATAGGAAGAGCCTTACATTGAAGCAAAGTTCCTAAAAACAGTCTGAAAACTGGGCGAAAAATCATGACTTCTTATTGCGGAAACCTCAGCCTCTTGGTCCCATACTCTTGTTTCTTTCAGCTTGTAAATGTTGATAAATGCCTTTGTTGTCTGTCCATTTATGTTGCTCATAAAGACACCATGTTCCAACCATTTTCATAACTCCCTGTGGGTAAAGCCCTCTTGGCTGACTCTCTGATGTTATTGGTTCTTATCATAATTGTGGCCTCCTGGCTTCTGGCAGTTAAGTCTTACCCCTTGTCTTCTGTTACTGCAGGGCCCTGTCATCCCCATGGCTATTAATGAGCCCATGTCTGTGACTACCTCTCCTACTATCATTCCTGTTCTTTACAGGACACCCACCACTGAACTTCCTAGTGGTGCTGTTGCCCCTCTCAGGAGTGAATTCCTGATGACCCTGGTAAACAGTTGGTTCTCTGTGCCCTCCTGTGAAGCACTATCCTTGGTTGGGTTTTCTGGCCTCCCATAATATAGTCATTCTGGCCTGCCCACTTCCCTGAGACTTTGTATTTCTTCCTCTAATGGATGCAGGGCACCTTCTACTCCCTTCACTTAGCAAGAGCCATTACCTTCTCCAGGCTTCTGAGAACCACACTAGCAGTGAATTTGCCCTGTCCTCTGGGGTTATTGCTAGAGGGTAAAATTCTATGTCCCCACAAGTTCCACTAAATCAATAAATTCTTGTTTATCCAGTCTTATATTCTGATAACCTTGATCAAACACCTTCAAAGCCTGATCCAGGTGGACTTTTCTGATTCCTGTAAGTACATGCTAGCTAATTCTTGCAATTCCTTCATTACATAATTTCTTTTATTCCTTATTAGGCCCAACATGTTCCCAGATAGGTTATCTTGGAATTTAACCCTGGTTATATATCTTTAGCCAGGAGAGTGGACTGGAGCAGCTCTTGGGGTATGGGGAGTGAAAAGATAAATGCTATAATCTTGCAGGAGAGAGGCCTTTGCAGCATCTCCCAGCACAGTGGTAGTACTAGCTCTTACAGAAAAAGATGGGACAGCTCTGCAAGGTCTAAGGGCTTGGGAGTCTGCAAAGTAAATGTTCTCAAGGGAATCCATCCATATGTCCCCCACTACATTTCAAGATCCTAGGTTTTCTTACTTAGGACCCTAACTTTACCATAATAAGTTTGCCTTGGCTGAACCTTTAAATGTCTCTGAAACTCTGTGATTCTTACTATAAGATCCTGTGTCTGTTCTCAGCTGTTTGGTCTTTCACTGCAGAAGATAAGGACCTCTATTAATCTACCAGTAAAGAGTTTATGTGGTTGTACCCCTTAGCTTTTAACTGTTTGTTAACAGCCTTCAATTTTTCATTAGCTCTTTCTAGGTCATCCATACAACTTAGCAATAAACAGTCTACTCCTTCGTTCTTGTAAGAATACTCTTCCCATACCTGTCAAATGTCTGAGCTATTGTTTCTGCAAAGGCTTTCCCGTTTTGGTTTCTGGGACACATTTCCTCAGGTCACTACCAGTGAAATTATCATTTGGGTTGCCACTTTGTATCAGGATAGTATACTCTGTCCACTAAGTGGTGAGTAAGCCAGTCTTCAAACCCCATATTACTGCCTACTTTGTACTGGCTACCATTAGCACCATTCATGTTAGGGTCCTCTGAGAAGAAACCAAGATGAGGTTAGATTTGCAATAGATTTATTGAGGGAAATGCTTTTGAAGGATCAAGGGGGAAAAGTTGGATAAGTCTGAGAGAGCCATCAGATTTTGGTGTAGATCAGACACCTGTGAAGAAGAGAGGACAGTAAAGAGGACTGGGTAGGAAGATCGCAGTACAGTTCAAGCAAGAGAGTTTTGTCCAGGACTATAGGTATTCTTGTAGTAAATTCTTTTATGTTGCCTCAACATCCATTTTGAAATACTAATTTAACTTTCTCATACCAGAAGCAGGACTCAGTCATCCTTGACACAGTTTCCAGTTCCACACCTCACCCAAATGGCTCAAGCCAGTGGCGAGAGATAAGAACTTAGAGACATCCCGCCTATCGAGCAGACTGGGCTCCCTACTTTCCCACCACTTCCTTTAAAAGAATCATTCAGACATTTGTCTGTAAACTTAAAGTGACCCACATGCTATTCCGTTATTCTAGCTACCTCATTTTATTGCACTTCACTTTATTGTGCTTCTTATAAATTGAAGGTTTGTGCTAATTATGGGTTGAGCAAGTCTATCATCACAATTTTTCCAATAGCATGTACTCATTTCATGTCTCTGTATCACATTTTGGCAATTCTCATAAAATTTCAAACTTCTTCATTATTATACCTGCTATGATGATCTGTGATTGGAGATCTTTGATGTTACTATTGTAATTGTTTTGGAGTACCACAAACCATGCCTTTTTAAGACAGTAAACTTAATAGATAAATGTTGTGTGTGTTCCTACTGCTCCACTGACCAGCTTTTCCCTCTTCTCAGGCTTCCCTATTCCCTGAGACACAATTATATTGAAATTGGGCCAATTAACAACTTTACAATGACCTGTAATTGTTCAAGTGAAAGAAAGAGTCGAATGTCCCTCAGTTTAAATCAAAAGCTAGAAATGATTAAGCTTGGTGAAGAAGGCATGCTGAAAGCCAAGACAGGCTGAAAATTAGGCATCTTGTGCCAAAAAGCCAGATTGTGAATGCAAACTAAGTTTTTAAAGGAAATTAAAGTGCTACTCCAGTGAACACATGAATAATAACAAAGTGAAATAGTCTTAGTGGTGATATGGAGAACGTTTTAGTGGTCTCGATAGAAGATCAAAGCAGAAACAACATTCTCCTAAGCCAAAGCCTGGTTCAGAGCAAGGCTCTTTTTTTTCAGTTTTCTGAAGGCTGAGAGAGTCGAGGAAGCTGCAGAAGAATAGTTGGAAGCTAACAGAGGTTGATTCAGGAGATTTAAGGAAATAAACCATCTCCATAATGCAAAAGTGCAAGGTGAAGCAGCAAGTGATGATGTAGAAGCTGCAGCAAGTTATGCAGAAGATCTAGCTAAGATAACTAAGGAAGGTGGCTACACGAAACAGTAGATTTTCAGTGCAGATGAAACAGCCTTCTTATGGAAGATGATGCCATCTAGGACTTTCCCAGCTAGAGAGGAGGAATCAATGCCTGACATCAAAGCTTTAAAGGACAGGCTGACTCTCTTGTTAGTGGCTAATGCAGCTGGTAATTTTTAGTTAAAGCCAATAATCATTGACTATTTCTGAAAATCCCAGGGCCCTTAAGAGTTATGCTAAATCTATTCTGCCTGTGCTCCATAAATGGAAAAACAAAGCCTGGATGACAGCAAGTCATCAGCATGGTTTACCGAATACTTTTAAGCCCACTGTTGAGACCTACTACTCAGAAAGAAACAGATTTCTTTCAAAATATTGCTGCACATTAACAATGCACCTGGACACCCAAGAGCTGTGATGAAGAAGCACAAGGATTTAATGTTGTTTTCATGCCTACTAACCCAACAACTATTCTGCCATCCATGAATCAAGGAGTAATTTCAACTTTCAAGTCTTATTATTCAAGAAATACATTTCATAAAGCTACTTTGCTGCCTTATAAGGCAATTTATCTGATGAACCTGGGCAAAGTAAATTGAAAGCCCTCTGGAAAGGATTCACCATTCTAGATGCTATTAAGAACATTTGGCTGGGTGCGGTGGCTCACGCCTGTAATCCCAGCACTTTGGGAGGCCAAGGCGGGTGGATCACCTGATATCAGGAGTTCAGGACCAGCCTAGCCAACATGGCGAAACTCCATCTCTACTAAAAATACAAAAATTAGCCGGGCATGGTGGTGGGCACCTGTAATCCCAGCTACTTGGGAGGCTGAGGCAGGAGAATTGCTTGAACCTGGGAAGCGGAGGTTGCAGAGAGCCGAGGCCTGGGCAACAAGAGTGAAACTCCATCTAAAAAAAAAAAAAATTGTGCTTCTTGGGAGGAAGTCGAAATATTAACATTAGCAGAAGTTTGGAAGAATTTGATTCTGACTCTCATGGATGACTTAGAGTTTCAAACTTCAGTGGAGGAAGCACAGCAGATGTGGTGGAAATAGCAAAAGAACTACAATTATAAGTGGAGCCTGAAGATGGAACTGAATTGCTATAATCTCATGATAAAACTTGAATGTATGAGGAGTTGCTCCTTATAGAAGAGCAAAGAAAGCGATTTATTGAAAGATCCTGTGAACATTGCTTTAAATAACAAGAAAGGATTTATAATATGACATAAATTTACTTGATAAAGCAGCAGCAGGATTTGAGAGAATTGACTCCAATTTTGAAAGAGCTTTACTGTGGATAAAACGCTATCAAACAGCACTGCATGCTACGTAGAAATCTTTTATGAAAGGAAGAGTCAGCTGATGTGTCAAACTTCACCGTTGCCTTATTTTAAGAAATTTCCATAGCCACCCCAACCTTCAGCAACCACCACCCTGATCATCAGCAGCCATTAACATTGAAGCAAGATCCCCCAAAACCAGCAAAAAAATAATGCCTCACTGAAGGTTCAGATGATTGTGACCATTTTTTCACAATAAAGTATTTTCTGAAGTGTGTAGTGCATTTACACATACTGCTATAGGACATGTAATAGAGTACAGAAAACAGTGTAAACGTAACTTTTATATATACTGGGAAGCCAAAAATTCATGTGACTCACTTTATTGTGATACTCACTTTATTGTGATGTTCTGGAATGGAACTCACAATATCTCTAAGGTATGCTTGGTATAAATACAATGGAATACTATTCAGCCATAAAAAGTAGGAAATCCTGTCATTTGTAACAACATGGATGAACCTAGAGAACATATGTCAAGTGAAATAAGCCAGACACAGAAAGACAAACACTACATGAGATCTCACCTGTGTGTGAAATCTAAAATTGTCAAATTCACAGAAGCAGACAGTGGAAGGGTGGTCTTTAGGTGCTGGGCTGGGTCTCTAGTGGGGGAAATGGCGAGATAATGGTCAAAGGATACAAAGTTTCCGTTATTCAAGACGGATAAGTTCTGGAGACCTACTGTACAACATGGTGACTATAGTTGACTGTAGTTAACAATATTATATTGTATACTTGAAATTCCTAAGAGGGTTTCACCTCAAGTGTTCTTACCACAAAAAAAGAAAAAGAAAAAAAATAACTATGTGAGATGATACATATATTAAGTAGCTTGATTATGGTTATCATTTCACAAAGTAGTATAAGCATATATCAAAACATCACATTGTATACCATAAATATATGCAATTTTTATTTGTTAATTATATGTCAAGGCTGGGAAATAAAGAAACAAAAAAGGAAAACCACATAGAACACATGTTCTTCAGCCGAGGCTTCTTGTCTTCAAAATCAGCTTATTATACAGTATTAAAACATCCAATATATGCTTAGATGCCAATATTTAATTACTTTGCTCTTCATTAACTACTGAACGAACATATTTCTAAAGAAAAAAAGAAATAACACTACTGTGACTGAAGAATAAGAGAGAGTGATGGGGAAAGAGAGAAGCCATGAAGCTGTAAATGTAGGCAAGGACTAGATCATGCAAATATGGGTTTGTATTGCATTTTATTTTTATTTTATTATAAGTAAGCTGTGCAGAGAATGGATGGAGGGTGTAGCAGTGAATGGCCAAATAAAAACAGGTAGGATTGTGGAGCAGAATGCCTTGCCAGAAATACAATTTCCTATCTTCCTCACTTTAAAGCACCTTAGGCTATAGTGAGAGTTTAGTCTCTATCTAAAGGAAATAAGAAACCAAGAGTTTAAACAAGATGAATGATTCTTGTTATGGCCCAACAGTTCCTCTCATGTGTAACTTTCAAACCCATCCTCATTATGGTCCTCCCTCCTCTGAATACTTCTTGGTGTACCTATATTCTACATAAAATGTGATACCCAGAACAGACTATTACACTAAAAATATAAGCTGACCAATTGCAGAGTAGAGTGGGACCATGGATTTCTTTAAACTACACACTATATTTTTATCAACACAAGCTAAGTTTTGATTTGCTTTGTTCAGCAGCCTCTAAAAATTATTTTTTCTTTCATTTCCAATGTCTTGCTTTGAATTAAAAAATACCAAACAGGATAGAAGCAGCCAAAATATATCAAACTCAAATGTCACACAGATTTTGCAATCATTCCCTAAATGTTATACCCCTGTTTTTCTCCATTCTGACCCTCTACTCAGCCCCTGCTATTTTCCTAAGGTTGAGATTTTGAATTTAGACTTTGGTTACAGAAACTCCAACAGGCTGACCTTGATTCATATGCAGATTCTGTTCCAAGGTTAGAGCTCTGTAAGCAGGATGGTTGCAAAAGCCTCCCTGGAATAAGATTTTTAGGCATGTTTAATTTAAAACACTAAATATTTCATCTCTAAAATGTGGAAGAGCTCATATCTGAGCTTTTAGCTTCTTTTTCTTTTCCAGATAGTTAAGAGTTGTGAATTTTAAGACCTCCAAGAAGTTGGCAGAGGACATGACATGGGAAACTTTTGCAGTGTTGATTCCTCCTGTGGGGCTAGGGACTAGTAAGGAAATTTGTATTCCAAAGATGCCAGTAGGAAGAGTTCTACTGTCCATCCCACTGCCTCATATACTGGACAAAATGAAACACTGAGCGTATCAGTCAAACTTTTTAAAAAATTCAACCCAATGCACGTAAGCTATGTACTATGAGGCAAGCACTGTGCTTGCTTCTGGAAATGCAGTGGTGTATGAAGCAGTGAATAGGACACTGTCCTAGCCCTTAGAGGTCTCTAAGTACTGATCATTTAAGATCAGTACTCATATCTTATTTTTTTATTCCATTGAAAACAAATCTTTCTCTCTTCCCCCACCCCCGCACACACGTGTGGGCACAAACACAGATTCCCTTTGTTTTTCTCAACAGCCATGGCCTCACTCAAAGACCTGCTGAAAATATCATATCACCTTAGTGTGAACAGGAAGTCTCATTTGTGCGTGCTCCCAAAATACTCCAGCTCCAACAGCACCTTAACACACTAGTGTGAACACTCAACTACATTTGTGCTCTAATAATAACCTTTTAGGGATGACAGTTTTACTGCTGATAAGTAGTGTACCATGATGGATTAGTAGTTGCAGCTAGCCATCACTGCTTTTTGCAGTGTTTTAATGGATTGTTAGGTGCTTTGCTTTCATGTTTCTTTTCTTTATTTTTTCTTTCTGAGCAACAACTTTAAGATCAGAAACACAAAATGCTTCAAGAGTTTAAAAGTAATAATAAGGAGTGAGAAACATGACTGAGTTGGCATGCACAACCTATAGTCACGCAGTCCTATAAAACTCATTTATTTTATACAGCACTACTCCTGGAATTTTTAACTGTGTTTATCACAGGACATCCAAGTTTATGTTAACCAGTTGCTTACTGGTGACCATAAATTGTAACCATGTAATTGAGCTCCTCAATATGCTTCTGGGGATGTATGCTTTTCAAGATATTTGAAGTTGGTCTGTGGAGTTCTGTGCCTCATTTCTTCATGTTTGTGTGCCCAGGACATGGGCATCTATCCTACTGAGGAGCCATAATACCCCATCTACGATATGCCCATTTGTGCAAATTTTGATCAACTCTGTACGCTGAGTGCCTTACTCTTTCCCGGTTCTCCAGGAAGGAAAAATGCCTGCTTTTATCTTCCATGTGATAGAATTAATACTAAGTATTCTCTCTGGGGCCAGTTTAAAGGTATAATAAAGATAATGGCTACCAATTAATGAGTACTCATTAAATATCAGGCACCATTCTAGGTTTTTTATATGGGCATCCCAATGTTAACCACAACAGCTCTACAAAGTAACTAGTCTCAAACATATGTTTCTTTTCCCGTATTTTACAGCCATCAATTGCAAAACTGAGATTCAAGCCCACAGCTACTACCCACTACCTATATGAAAACTAGTCTATGTTTAGAGATTCACTAAAATAAAGAAATTATTAACCCAATGACAACTTGAATATCAACACCTGTTAAAGTGGTCTATTAATGATGAAAACTTGGAGTTATCCGGAATAATGAACAAAGCAATTAAACACTTTCAATGGTACCTGAATAAACTAAGATTTGAGAACTTTTCCCAAGTTAATTAGAAAAGCCAAAAACAGTAGATGATTTTCCTTAAAGTAAGGGAAACCATCTTGTTTGGCCCATTTATCCGAAGTTAGAACCAACTGTGCTGATAGCTTTAAATGGTCCTTGATATTTCAACACATTAGAATATGGCCTGCTGCTTCATTTGCAGATAAGACATATCTATGTTCAAGTAGGCTAGTTTTTGAATACAGACAAAAAAATTTTACATACATGTATTAACATGTACCTAAAGCCAGATATATAAGAATAATTATCTGGACTGAACCAAAGAATATTAAGTTGAACATTGTACATGAAAGATTGTTGAGCTTTATGATAAAATTTAAAATTCACAGAAAGAAAACTCCACAATTTTTGTTACCCCAATGTTACCCTTAGAAAGCTCATTAACACCATAAAACAACCAGGTCATACAATAGCTCTGAGGATGTGCTGATTTTTAGGGGAAATTATCTTCTAAATGACATTCATTCACATAAAACTACCAACTTGATTTGAAACACTTATTATTCTCCAGTACTTGACAGTGGCTTGAGGGAATACAGGTTACAGTTTATAAGAAACAGAAAGGTTGCTACCTTGATAATTATGTTGACGTATACTAAAAGTCATTGCTTCTTTATTAAAAAAAAAAAAAAGGAAATATCTTATATCTCCTTTTAGAAGGAGCTAATAGTAATCTCCTTTTTCATCACTAGATATCATGAGTAAAAAACTGCCTTGCTAAAAGAAAAACGTTTTTCAGGGAGTGAGAAAGAAAGAGGGATTATTTTCAAAGTTCTAGCAGCTCTCGCTTTTAGAAAACATATCACTCATATATGTGCCTCTCAGAGCTTACAGGGTAGACATAAGTTGTGAGGCTGTAGAAATTAGGTAAATTGGTCAAGCTCTCTGATTTTGAAAGAGAAATCATGAGAAAATTGTTGTCAATAGACAAAAAGTAAGAATATAAGTACTTAACCTCTAATGAAACTTGAGTAATTCTGTCACTGAGCTGGACATAATCACATAGCCTTACTTATTTTAAAGTAACCGGAATTTTAAAATGGCATCAATGCTCTTGGACATTAAGTCTTTGCCTTTCTTAAAGAGAGAGGAGTAAGAATTTACTATTTTC
The DNA here is from genome assembly GCF_000001405.40 of Homo sapiens. Classification (NCBI taxonomy): domain Eukaryota; kingdom Metazoa; phylum Chordata; class Mammalia; order Primates; family Hominidae; genus Homo; species Homo sapiens. Next base: position 100,007,013 of record NC_000023.11, read on the forward strand.
CAGTATGCTAATTTTCTTTTCCCCCACTTCCTGTGAACAATAGAGGAGAAGTAAAATGATTTCCTTTCAAAGTAAAAGATCTAAGATTACCTAATATTTATTGAATTGTATGTAATGCTATGCCAAACACTACCTGATTTAATCTTCACAACAATGCTGTAAAGCAGATACTGTTACTCTCCATGTTTTATGGATAAGGAGATGCAGACAAGATACAGAAGAAAAATAAATAAGGTTAAGTGACTTTCCCAAGATTACGTAGCTGATAAATATCCGAACCAGCATTTGAACTCATATTCAGACAATACCACATCTCAAAATAAGGAAAAGAAAGGACTAAACATGTATAGAATAAAGAAAGCAGCTGAATTTAACATTCTTAGGTCAATTTAAAATTGGAAAAAAAATTGAAATTTTTGCATGGAAATTAACTTGGCCCATGGGGTGTTTCTTAAACCTAGACTATAAGTCTTTTTATATCCCAGGCATCTATCCCAGTGCCTGGAATATAACAATTTCTCAAAAAATATTTGCCAAAAAATACCTGATTGCATGAGTAAATTAATAAATGCCATAGTCATTTTCATAAACTGGTATCTGGGGTCTTACAGGGACAGATTTCAAACTTTTGCTCACAGGTTTGAGCAGAATAATTGAAATAGAAACAGCAATGGGGATTTACAGGAGTCTGTGGGTAGGCTATGCAAGTTCTTAAGACCCTTAGTCAAGATGTCAAAGACAAATACTGAAAACTGGCTATTAAACTCATTCATTTGAGATGCAGACCTGGAGGTGCTAGATGAGCCTGCAGCCTTCTTTACCAGATTTTATTTCTGTGCTGAACAGCTGATTCCAGCTTTAGTTTAGAGATGAGCTGCCCTTCCTAACTAACTATTGATTAACATATTAAGAACAAACCCTTATGTTCAGTTGAGGATAGCATCATTATTTCATAAAGCTTTTTTTTTTTTTCTTTTTGAAGTGAGAAAAACACAGCATAAACTGAACATTTACTGCAGGGAGATTTTCTCCTCGTTATTCAAGGATAAAATGTGACTAGGATGATGGGGTCAGCTATTCTCTAGCAACACAAAGCCATATCTTTAAGTAGATCAAAACAGGCAGAAGGTATTCTGCAGCCTTTGCTAGGCATGTAGTCATATTCCTGGTTGAAGACACTGTTTGAGTATATGCAGCCCTGCCCCAACCCCCATTTCCTTTTGATCAATCAATAGGTGACAAAGATAACTCAGCAAGTTAAAATCAGTCTCTTTTCAATCCCATACAATATGGATCCCAAATCGACTGCCATGAATACAACCTAGAGAAAAAAAAAAATGTTCCTTTCAAACCAACTGGCCCTGAATGCCTGCTTCCTTCCTGGAGGTGCTGAGTGTCCCCACTCCACAAGAAAAAAGGTTACCCCACTGCTTTCCCCAACCAGCTGAAGTAAAAAGGAGACAAATTTATTTGGGCATAAATTACTGGGAAAAAATCATCTGAAAGCCTCTGTGCAATTAACAGAAAAGCTGCAGCTTTTAAGGCCAAAGCTGAACAAAGCCATTAAACATGCTGAAGGTGTAGGAGGCTGTCATTAAACACATTGGTAGACACACATACAGGGACATTTAAGTCTGACCTCCCTGAGCGAAACCACTTCGTGTTTAGCTAATTTTGTCCAATTTTGTGATCTCTTATAAAAGAGAAATTATGCAAATAGAGTTTTATTTGGGGTATTTTGTTTTCTGTTAATGCACAAAACATCACACTATGGCTGTTATTGTCTAAAGCAATTCAGAGGGGCCACCTTCTCAACAACTCAACACCTCCCAATGCCTAGGAATGGCACCCAAGCTTCTAGGTAGGAAAAAAAAAAAATTCCCAGATGAATCCATCGAAGTGCAAAGTTTAAACACATCTAGCAAGTGACTGTCATGGTCCCATCAGCACAAAAAGCCTCTCAAAGATTTATCCCTTTTCATGTTAACAGTTTTTCTATTTCTAGTGGACACATTGTCACTGCAACTCCCCCTACCCTAGCCTGCACATTTAGCTTATTATTATCCTAAGTGCCTAAATTCCTCTTCCAGTACAGATCTTTTCCTACTGTGGAGAAGTCAGCTGGTAGGAAAAAGTCAATGTTTTCTCCTTGTTAAGGTTGGCGTATGAATGGATCTTCTAATTGTGAATTAGAGAGCGCTCATAACATTAACGTGGATTACTATGACCTAAGGATCCAACCAACCAAATACGATACATAAACATGAACACAGATATTAACACATGTCACAAATCAGCGCAGTCTCTTTGTACATGGAAAGTTCAAACGTCCCCTTGGCATAGCCAATTCTACACTCACCCTTGCACTACAAATACTCTCACTTCTCCATTTGAATACCATATGATTGCTGCTAAGTTAATATCTATCAAAACAATTGTATCTCCTCCAAAATCATCTCCCCTCATCTTTTTATTTTCCCTATTCACCCAGTCCTGTCCCTCATTTTCTTCCCTCTATAACCATTCTCCAAGATGCAGCAATTCTTTCATTTTGATATCTTCTTGCCTATGGCTTCCTTTCCAATCCAACCACACTACCCTGGAACAGATCACTTTCACCTTCTGCCTAAAGTAACAATTATTCTGTCTCCATTTTTCCTCCTCTCCAAACCACATTCTAAATGATGAAAACATTAATTATCATGAAATGGCACTGTGCATATGTTATTTCCTCCTTCATAAACTTTAATGGCTCCCCATGGACTAAAGAATAAGGCCTACCACAACTATATCTCTCACTATCCTCCTATACCTACCTCTATTCCAACTAAAACAAGTAAAAATGGAACTGCCATTTAATCAGTGCTTACACGTACCAAACATTGTGTGAGGCACTTTACACATATTTAACGTAATCCTCACACCAACACTATAAAGGAAATCCTATTATCAGTGTTTTGATGAAGTAGACACTGAGGATCAGATAAAAGAAATGATTTATCCAAGGTCATACTATACTTGCTTGGCTGATACAGGATTTTTAACATATATCTGCCCTATTCTTATATCAGTACTCTCTTCATAGCACCTTTCACTTAAACTAGTCTTTTCATATTTTTCAAAACAAGTCATGAACCTTTCACCTCTGCCCTTTTATTCATACTGATTTGCTTGTCAGAAATGCCCTCTTCACCTCCTCTCAACACTTACTCCAAAAACTGACTCACCCCATGTGTACCGGGGCATTCCTTTGAAGCCGAGCACACACATGATCACATATGTTCAACTCAGTTTTTTTCCCAGTATATGCTACCTAAGATTATTACTGATTCTTTTATGAAACCATTATTTTTTCTGAATGAATTATAAGCTGTTTTTTTTTTTTTTCTTTTTTTGAGACAGGGCCTCACTCCGTCACCCAGGCTGGAGTGCAGTGGCACCATCGGGGCTCACTGCAACCTCTGCCTCCCAGGCTCAAGTGGTCCTCCCACCTCAGCCCCTCACTGGCTGGGACTACAGGTGTATGCCACCATGCCCCAATAATTTTTGTATTTTTTTGTAGAGACGGTTTTTAACCATGTTTCCCAGGCTGGCCTCGAACATTTGGGCTGAAGTGATTCACCTGCCTCGTCCTCCCGAAGTGCTGGGATTACAGGTGTGAGCCAGTGCACCTGGCCATAAGCTTCTTATAAGCACAAATTTGGCCTACTTATTTATGCCCTATACATACTAAGCATCTAGTAAATGTTTGCAGTTGTCGGTGTTGATGAAGGTAATGATTATGCTTAATTTTGTAAGTTTCTTCATCCGGCTTTCCTGATGTAATCCTAAATTGAATCTTGGTGACTTTACATATAACATCAAAATCCAAAGCCAGTCCTTACAATGAAAAAGAAGAACCTCATAAAAAATTAGCAAGGAACACTGCATTCCCAAGAGTTCCAAGCACCGCATTAGGCACATAGAAGATGTACGTAAAATACTTGCCAAATTATTGATTTGTGTCAGAAATGTCAGGTCCGTGCGCACACACGCACACTCACACACACACAACAGAGCTCAGGACACTGGGGTTTTAAAATCTAGAGCATGTCTGAAAGCTGAGACCATGTTGTCTCTGTACAACTGAAACAAATAAAAATAAAACAACTAAAATAATCAAGCTGGAAAGTCACAAAGCTTAAAAATTGGCAGGTAGTCTAACCATACATCACAATCATTATGGCACTTAAAACAGTTTAAAGCAGAAGTGATGATGAGATTAATTAGAATTTGACATATTCTTGAAAGAAGAGGGGAAAGCTTGCTGGCATGCTGACATGGTTTTATGATAGATAAACTCAATTGTTTTATTTCTACATATTTTATACTTTGTATCTTCAATCATAAATGCATGTGATAAGATACATAAAAAAAGCATATTCAGCATTTACATTCAATATAATCATTTCACCATGAGTATCTATATCTAATAAAATGGGCCTTTCAATGGTTTGTTGTAATAGCAAGAGCACTTAACTAGGAGTCAGGAATCTGGATTCCAGGGCCAATTATAGCTGTGTGATTTGAGACAAATAATTTCATCATTCCAGAAAGTAATTTATGAACATTCCATAAAATAATCTCTGAAATACTAGCTCTGATATTCTGTAAGTCTTATTTCATTATACCAATACTCTCTGATGGCATTTACAAAGGGACAAAAAAAGAAAAATATGAGAACTAAAATAGTTGAAATGCTACTTGCATAAATGCATACATACATAATACATGTAAAGCAATAGCTACAGAGAAATAGATACAAACTTTTTTAGGTGTACAAATTTTCTCCATGTGTGGAGTATGCTATTTTACTAGATTATGTCCTTTTCTAAGTCAAAACTCTGCTCAAGACTCATTTCCTCTACCACACAAGTCCAGAATAATTCCTCCTGGCATCAGTTACTCTTATCACTCCAGCAACCTGTCAGCGTTTTAGCTTAAGAAGTTGGTCATATAAAGGTAGTAGAATGGATTGCTACATGAGTGTTTGTCTTATGTGCCACATACCCCAAGTATAGGAACGATTGTCCTTTTCTTGGGAATGAAATGTAGCATAACTGAGAGAGTATAGCCTTTCAATAACATAAGTATCAAACAATAGATAAAAATACTGCAGAAAAATAAAAGCAAATATTTATTTGACCTAAGACTAGAAAAGCACTCTGTATAACAGCAGTGAAAAAAAATGCAGAAAAAGATGGGTTGATTTGACACAAGAAATTTAGAAAGTAAATAAAGTGGGACAGATTATTTGCAGAAGCAAAATACAAATGACTATTCATCATATAAGAAAAAAACATCAAGTATCTCTACTAATCAAAGAAATACAATTAAAATGAGGTATGAGTATTGTCTATATTATTTACAACTATTTTCTGATAGTTAACGCTAGCAAGGAGACAAGAAAAGAGACATTAATAGACTGACATGAGTGTAAATTGGTAAAGCTTTTTGAAAATTGAGCATATGTTATAAAAAACCTTAAAATTGTTTAGATGCTTTGCCTGAGTAATTTTATTCTCAGAAACGTATCCTATAAAATAATTATAGTCTCAACAAAACAAAGATTTATACCCCAAAGATATCCATTAAAGCATTACTTATAATAGTGAAAAATTAGATATCTAAAATATCCAGGTAAACAAACAATGGTGAAGCTATTGGAAGAAGCATTAGTCACTAACATAGTATTTTTTTAAAATAGCTAATAAAATGGTAATGTGTTCTCGATATTATGTTAAGGAACAATAATCAAGACACAATTATATATGGCAGTGTGATACCGATTATGCTGTTTTTTGTGTGTGTACATTTTAATGCACATTAACATATTAACAGTAGTTGTCTCTATATGTTGTAATTTGGGGTGACATTTCTACAATTTGTCTTTTACATTTTGCAATTCTCTACTGTAAGCTTGTATTGCTTTTACAAAAAGAAAAAAACTCAGGGACTTTGGATTCATACACATTTGAGTTCGAATCATAGTTCTCCCATTTCTTAGCTGTGTGACATTGGTAAATTAATAAAAACCTTCAAATTTTAGTTTTTTAACTTATACATGGAATTAGTACCATCTGACCCCCACAACTGGCTCTTGGTTAAATGAAATAGTATTAGTAATATGTATTGCACAGAGTTTTTACATTTTGTCTTTTTTTTCTATATATTCCCCCCATAACATCTAGGGCATTTAATCAATGATCCTACATAATAAACAGAAGTTTACAAGTGGAAATAAAAAAGCTATATAAAAAATAGAAACTCATTCATTCACTATAGAGGAAAAGACTAAATCTGAAGTCACAAATTTAAGGCATTTAGACAGCAAGAGTTCCATGGGCACCCATTCCCCTTCATATACACACACTCTGATATGATTTTTAAGTTGTTTGTCAATATTCAGAACTCAAAAGAGTATACAAAATAATCTGGATTTCTTGAAAATCTAGCAACAATGGGTGCAAGTTCTCATTTAGCAATCACTAGAGCTGAGAAACAGTGACTCTGTTTAGATAGATATATGCTTTAGGGGCTCACCACAATCTTCACCAGTCTCTCTTATTTCCCCAGTACCAGGTCCACAGTACTCATGTGCATTACCTTTCTGATTTCTGTTTGTGTTTGTGACTCTCCAATTTAACTCGTCTACCAAAATCAACCAAGGGGGAAAGATCTTTCTTCTTTACTCATAAATTGAAGTAAAATTTTAGGTTTAGTACTACTACTTGTTCATATTTATGTTTTATTTTCTTACTAATACAGTAGAAATATATTAAAATGTTTAAATGAAAATGATTTACAAGCCAGTATAAACACCACAATGTTAATGGAATTATCTTTCCTATCTGGAAGCTTTAATGGCATTTTAACCACTTAAAATAATCTCTAATATTTGTTAAAATAAAGCCCTTCAAATATACAGTTTGATAGAAGAAATAAGACCTAGTGTTTGATAGATCAGTAGGATGAGTATAGATTACAATAACCTACTGTATACATCAAATTAACTCGAAGAGAATAATTCAAATATTTCTAGAATAAAGAAAAGATAAATATTTAAGGGAATGTTTATCCCAATTATACTGATTTGATCTTTACAAATTATATGAATGTAGTCATCACATGTGCGTCCAAAATATGTGCATCTATTATGTATGAATTAAAAAATCAAAAAATTTTAAAAGAGAAAACACAAATAAAATAAAGCTCTTGTAGCATTACTGACAAGAAAGTTGAATTATTTTTCTTTTCTATGGGGTCCTACATTAATTTACACCAGTACCATCCAGTATCCTTCACGTGGCATGGGTGAGGAATTAAACCAATGTCAGCCACTGTAAGACTGGCTTAGCCCAGAAGAAAGAGAAATATATACATCCATACATACATACATACATACATACACAGAAGACAACCAACAGAAGGTCAATGGCTGACACAGTTATGGTTTACCCAGCCCTATTTATTAATTATAATGTTGATGTGGATTTTATTTGTTGACATAGAAATATATCTACTCCACAACATAGTATTGAGTGGAAAAAGTAGTTTATAGCAACATACATAACATGATGTCATTTCACTTTAGTTCCAGCAGTCATTCTTCAGTCTGTCTTAGTTTTCCAAATTTTTGTGAGCTCCCATTAGTTTGTTTTTCTATTAGCGTTTTAGTAGGAACTGGGAGAGGTATCTTAAGTGATGCTTAGCCAGGTGCCGTTTTAAACTCAAAGTCTCCATAGCAATTATTAGAATCTTTCTTTTTCTGCAAGCCAGAGGACAGAATAATTGTGGATATGTTAATAGAAAAGGAATATTATTACTTGTTTAAATTAAGCTGGGCGGGGAGGGCAAGGATGTGACAGCTGCAATTACATTGCCCTTTACCAAACCAGGAGGCATTTCCTATTATCACCTGCTTGTTACGCTCAAACAGCAGTTCTGTGCCTTAGGGTGGTAATCTCCTTTAGGAGAGAGAAAGGGCAAAGACAGTGCCCCTATCTCCATGGTCAGTCTTACCTAGGAGATTGGCCTCTTAAAAGTTTATCCCAAAATCAGGTTGATCTTTGTAGATCACTTAGCTAAACACCTAGGCACACATCATCTGACTCCAAGATACAGGACTGATATGGTTTGGCTGTGCCCCCACCCAAATCTCATCTTGAATTGTAACTCCCACAATTCCCACATGTCATGAAAGGGACCCACTGGGAGGTAATTGAAACATGGGGGCAGGTGTTTCTCATGCTGTTCTCGTGATAGTGAATACATCTCATGAGATCTGATGGTTTTAAAAACGGGAGTTTCCCTGCACAAGCTCTCTCTCTTTGCCTGCTGCCATCCATGTAAGATGTGATTTGCTCATCCTTGCCTTCTACCATGATTGTGAGGCCTCTGCAGCCATGTGGAACTGTAAGCCCATTAAACCTCTTTTGTTTGTAAATTGCCCAGTCTTGGGTACATCTGTATCAGCAGTGTGAAAACAGACTAATACAGTAAATTGGTACCAGTAGAATGGGGCATTGCTGAAAAGATACCCAAGAATGTGGAAGTGACTTTGGAACTGGGTAACAGGCAGAGGTTGGAACAGTTCGGAGGGCTCAGAAGAGGACAGGAGAATGTGGGAAAGCTTGGAACTCCCTAGAGACTTGTTGAGTGGCTTTGACTAAAATCCTGATAATAATATGGATAATGAAATCCAGGCTGAGGTGGTCTCAGATCGAGATGAGGAACTTGTTGCGAACTGGAGCAAAGGTGACACTTTAGCAAAGAGAATGCCAGCATTTTGTCCCTGCCCTACAGATTTGTGGAACTTTGAACTTGAGGGAGATAATTTAATGTATCTGGCAGAAGAAATTTCTAAGCAGCAAAGCATTCAAGATGTGACTTGGATGTTGTTAAAGGAATTCAGTTTTATAAGGGAAGCAGAGCATAAAAGTTTGGGAAACTTGCAGCCTGACAAAGCAATAAAAAGGAAAATCCCATTTTCTGAGGATAAATTCGAGCCCTTTGTCAGAGGCCTCCACGACAGCCACTCTCATGACAGGCCCAGAGCCCTAGGAAGAAAAAATGGTTTCATGAGCTGGGCCCAGGGTCCCCATGCTGTGTGCAGCCTAGGGATTTGGTGCCCTGCGTCCCAGCCACTCCAGCCATGACTAAAAGGGGCCAAGGTACAGCTCGCGCCATGACTTCAGAGGGTGTAAGCCTCAAGCCTTGGCAGCTTCCATGTGGTGTTAAGCCTGTGGGTGTACAGAAGTCAAGAATTGAGGTTTGGGAATCTCCACCTATATTTCAGAGGAAATATGTGTGGAAATGCCTGAATGTCCCGGCAGAAGTTTGCTGCTGGGGTGGTGCTCTCATGGAGAACCTCTGCTAGGGGAGTGCAGAAGGGAAATGTGGAGTCAGAGCCCCCACCCTACTGGGACGCTACCTAGATTAGCTGTGAGAAGAGGGATACTGTCCTCCAGACCCCAGAATGGTAGATGCACCTACAGCTTACACAGTCCACCTGGAAAAGCCACAGACACTCAGTGCTAGCCTGTGAAAGCAGCCAGGAGGGAGGCTGTACCCTGCAAAGCCACACGGGTGGAGCTGCCCAAGACAGTGGGAACCCAATGGGAACCCACCACTTGCATCAGCATGACCTGTATGTGAGATATGGAGTCAAAGGAGATCATTTTAGAGCTTAATTTAAGATTTGACTGCCCCACTGGATTTCGGACTTGCATGGGCCCTGTAGCCCATTTGTTTTCACCAATTTCTCCCATTTGGAGTGGCAGTATTTACCCAATGCCTATATCCCTACTGTATCTAAGAAGTGGCCAATTTCTCCCATTTGGAATGGCTGTATTTAGCCAATGCCTATACCCCCATTGTAATTAAGAGGTAGCTAACTCACTCTTGATTTTACAGGCTTATAGGCAGAAAGGACTTGCTTTGTCTCACATGAGACATTGGACTTGGACTTTTGAGTTAATACTGGAATGAGTTAAGACTTTGGGGGACTGTTGTGAAGGCATGATTGGCTTAGAAATGTGAAGACATAAGATTTTGGAGGGCCTGGGGGTGGAATGATATGGTTTGGCTGTGTCCCCACCCAAACCTCATCTTGAATTGTAACTCCCACAATCCCCATGTATCATGCAAGGTACCCAGTGGGAGGTAACTGAATCATGAGAGTAAGTCTTTCTCATGCTGTTCTCTCAATAGTGAATAAGTCTCATGAGATCTGATGGTTTTAAAAGTGGGAGTTTCCCTGCACAAGCTCTCTCTCTTTGCCTGCTGCCATCCATGTAAGATGTGACTTGCTCCTTCTTGCCTTCCACCAGGATTGTGAGGCCTCCCCAGCCATGTGGAACTGTAATTCCATCAAACATCTTTCTTTTGTAAATTGCCCAGTCTTGGGTATGTCTTTATCAGCAGTGTGAAAATGGACTAATACAGGGACAACAATTAGACAAAAAAAGAAATACATGTTATTGTAGCCCTAGCTTAAAATGTTACAGCCAACCCATTCCCAGCCCTCCAACCTGACTAATTACAGCAGTCTAACATCTTGCACCTGAATATAATTAGGCCACACTAAAATGAAATCAATCAGGGCAAGGAAAATGCTATCAAAAAACAGAAAAACAGGAAAAGATCATTCTAAAGAGATTGCTAATTTCAAATAAATGATGGAAGGGAGAGAAGATGTAAAAATTCCTTGGACTGGCAAATAATGTTGTCAGGGGAAAAGATTTCCTAAAATAATCTATAATATTAGCTCATCATATAGTTTACTAATGAAACTTCAAAAACGCAGTAATTTTGTTTTTCCCTTAGTACTGAGGCCACATTAGTGTACTTTTCAAAGATATACGACACACAGCATTAATTCACCAGTACAAAAGAGTCACATCACAAATATTAAAACGATCAGTTTTTACCATGTCCTCTACCCTGTATCCCTCAAGATGAATTTATTATGTCGTGTGCTGTTTGAGTGAGGAGAGGGGATACACTCTTTTGGCTTAACCAAAATAATTAATATAACTACTGTATTAAGTGTTATAGAAATTTTATAATAAGATTAAAGTATTACACAAAACATGACTCAACTTTTTTAAACAACAACAATAACAAAAAAGGAATCAAATACAAAACTCAGGAAAACAGCCAAGACTTTGAAACACAATTACAGATATCATGACTATTTTATAGCAGAATGCCCCTCGGGACAGTAACCAAATTCTAAAGGATGCAATAATTTTTCCTGAAGGGAAGGGATGCTACAGAGAGCAATAATAGGGTACCAGGTGCCAACAGAGGAAAAGAAAAAAAAGAAATAGGCCTGGATCCAAGAATATCTAGATAAGATCCTTATCCAGGGCTTTTGTCACAGTAGAAGCCTTGTGATCTGTTTAGTTTTTAAAAATAAATTTGATTTATATTTTCCAAAGATTCTCAGAACACATCTCTTCTAAGTGAAATTCAGAGAAAATCTCACCTAACTTGTCGTTTAATGAAATAATTGGCAAAACCCCAGAGCCCCCAACCTACTGTGAATCACACACAAAAAAGTCAAAGTTGACTTGCCCTCATTTGTGTAACGGAAGTTTGAGGAAAAAATTAATTTCAAAAGCTTCTCCTACTAATCTGCTAACAAGCTATTGAATTATCTGAGTTTATTTTAGCTCATCTGGATAAATATTAAAGGTAATCAAAATAACAAAAACGAATAATAAACTCTGATCCCATAAACCACATTTTAATACACTAGAGGAAAAGTGTGTGTGTGTGTGTGTGTGTGTGTGTGTGTGTGTAAAACACTTATATAAACAAAGAAAGTCTTCCAAGTAGACTCAAATGGTGATTTCTCAGCAAGGCAATGTGAGAGGCAGTAGACCAATATCCACTCATACATGCCCCTCAAAACTCCATGATACCAGGCCTGTACAATGAATACCAGATTTATTTGACTTCTACTTGTAAACTAAAACTGCATACTGGGATGCCAGAGTTGGAGGAATAATGAGCAAAGGCACTATTATCATACCTTCTTATAACTTTGACCCTAGTTATATTTGCAATTCACTACCCCCTTACATGCTCTTAGTGACTCAAAGCATATGAAGCAGCCTGTTCCTTTTAGCACTATCACCATTAAGCATAAAATGCAATAAACTTGTCCATGCAAAATACAGTTTTCCCACTAACAGTTTATACTTCATTAGCACATTCCCCCCATCAAGAAAGAAATTCATTCTGAGACTAATGTTATTTACTATTTAAATCTGTAACTTGGGGGATAGAAAAAAATAAACACTTACTTGTACTTTCTGTCACCCAAATGTGTACATGTAAAAAATACTAATCTCTTTTGAACTATAGATTACCTCAAACATCTTGAGACTGATCAGAGACCTGAAAATAAAAGGCTCACAAGGGAAAAGTTCTCAGGGTGGCATACTAAAAGAGAAAAACTGAGTTGACCAAAATGACCTTCTTCCCTTTCCCCTAATCATCCATTTCCCTCAGATTTTCCATTTCTGTTTGTTCGTCTACTTTCCCCATTTTCAATTTTATTGTAGATTTGTAATGTTCGATACGCCATGTATTCAAGTTCTCTGTACAGTGCCTTAAGCTTTTAGGGAGGAAAACATTATATAAATCTAACAATAAATAAATAATAAATAAGAGAAATAACTGGCTATGTGTGAGTGGGTCTAAAAAAGATCTATGGGGTGTGGTGATGAATAGAGGCTGAAAATAAGTCCACAATGTAGTTTCATTGTTTGTAAAGCCAACCCAGTGCTGGGAGGCACAAATAAAAATGTAGTTGCAATGCAACAACCAAGTCCTAAAGGTACCTTGCAAATAAGTCTGTAGCTAAAAGGTGACAGCTAATAGGGTGGTATCCACTGACTGAGCATCCTAACACCATTACTACATATTTTTGGTGACAAATAAATTGGGAAACTCCAATGTGAAGCTTAGGAACAAACTAAGATTGAAATCACTGAGTTTGCAGTTAAGCAGAAAGGTGAGAAGCAAATTTAACATGCGTTGAACACCTGCTTTACTAGAACTTTTACATACATTATTTCACATAATTTTTACAAGAATCTTATGAAGTATGTATTATCATCCCCATTGAATAAATGGGAAAATTGAGATTCTGGGAGGATAAATCACTTATTCAAGATTACATAACTAGTAAGCAAGTGAGCTGGGATTCGATCTACTGTGCATCTAATTGCAAAACCTATGAGTTTTTTACTCACCATGGCACCTTAATAAAGTAATTTATTTGACTTCTAGGAACAGAACTTACTATTTCTGAAGAAACTCTTCTAAAGTAAAATCCCCTGAAAATCACAATTCTATAAAAGCATGAGAACACCCGCAAAAGTTTTCAACTTTTTAAGAACAATGGAAATTATCAAACAGTTTGCAACAATTCTAGAAGTGTTTATTCAAGAAAAATGACTTAATGTTAGTAAGAACGGTGAGTTTTATGACATTTCAACTTGCTCTATTCCCATCTATCTCTCTCTAGTTCTCTACTAACCTGAAAACTAACAGCCTCACAACTGCTGTATCTGTGCACACCAACAGCCCAGCAGACACTGGAGGTGTCAAAATGGGTTTGGAATTCCTTAAAAGCCTTATTCTAAAATAATTGTCACATTTTAATCTGTCAGGCAACCACCTAAACAGCTACATTCTTAAGACTTCTCTGTATTTGACCTGACTCAGAGCTCACTCTGTGCAAACAGCTCTATCCCTAGGGTGTTTGTCCAAAACAATCAGCAGCAATTGTTTAATATTGTAGCTGCCTGCAGTAGAAATTCCAGTTATGGGTAGTAACAAGATGACAAAAAAAAACTTAAAAGGGAAACTGGAAAATAATATGTCATGGGGAGTTTTAAAAACCTCCAACGCATGCCTATGAATCTGGAAAGCCACATGCATATTTAGGGCTGTGTCCATTGCCAGACATGAGAAGGCCCTAATTTATCCATCTGATTGATGTTGATTCTATCTGTAAGCAGGTAACATGCCCCCAAAAACATACAGAGCCTTTGCAAAGGTAGGGGGACATATTGTTTCAAGACACCTAAGGTAATCTCTAGCCAATCATTAGCTGACAACTAAGATAACTAAGTATAGATATCAGTGGTCACACGTGACAAAGAATACTTGTTTTACAGATTTAATTCAGAAAAGTAAACTAACAAAGGGCAGTATCAACAAACAGAAACAACAAAAAAATTCAGGGGGTGAGGATTCAGTTAATCCAGTTTCCAGAGTTACCACATTATATTTTCTAAATACTTAGTTTCCAACAAAAATCACAAAGAAACAGGAAAGTGTGATGCATACACAAGAATAGAAGCAGTCAATGGAACAATCCCTGAGAAAATCAAGACATGGGCTATACTTAATAATGACTTTAAATCATCTGCCTTTCATATACTGAAAGTTAAAGGAAACTATGTGCAGAGAATTAAAGGAAACTAAGAAAACAATCTCTCACCAAATAAAGGATATTAATCAGAGATAAAAACTAAAAAGAAACACCAAATAGAAACTTTAGAAAAAAATATGCAATAATTAAAATAAAAAATACGCTACAGGATTCAACAGCAGATTTAAAGTCAATAGAACACTCTACCCAATAACAAAAGAACACACATTCTTCTCAAGTGTATGTGTAACATTCTCTATGATAAACTATCTATGAAAAATAATAACTACAACATTTCAATACATAGACAATACAATTAAAATATAAAAAGAAACAAAAAAGGTAAAAAGTGGGGGGATGAAGTTAAACTTCAGAGTTTTTATTAGTTTTTTTGTGCTATCAGTGTTAAGTTGACACCAGTTTAAAATAGTGAGTTGCAAAATAATATTTCCAAGCCTCGTGGTAACCTCAAATTGAAAAATATATAATTGATATGCAAAAAAGAAAAAGTAATTAAATCACACCACCTGAGAAAATCACCATCACTAAAAGGAAGAGAGGAAGGAAAGAAAGAAGGGAGAGCCCACAAAACAATCAGAAAACAAATAATAAAATGGCAGGAGTAAGCCCCTACTTATCAATAATAACACAATGGACTAAACTCTCCAATCAAAAGACATAGAGGGGCTGAAAGGATTTACAAACAAGACCCCATGATATGTTGCCTACAAGAAACACTCTTCATCTATAAAGATACACATAGTCTGAAAATAAAGGGATGGAAAAAGATATTCTATAACAATGGAAACCAAAAAAAGTAGGAGTAGCTATACTTATATCAGACAAAATAGATTTCAAGACAGCAACTGTAAGAAGAGACAAAGTCATATAATGATAAAGAGGTGAATCCAGCAACAGGATAAAATGACTGTAAATATATATGCACCCAACACTGGAGCATCCAGATACATGAAACAAATATTATTAGAGACAAAGAGAGAGATAGACCCCGTACATTAATAGCTAGAGACGTTAACACCCCCACTTTCAGCATTGGACAGATCTCCCAGACAGAAAGACAACAAAGAAACAGTAAACTTATTCTGCACTATAAAACAAATGAATTTAATATATATGTACAGAACATTTTATCCAAAAGCTGCAAAATACACATTCTTCTCCTCAGCACATGGATCATTCTCAAGGATAGACCATATGTTATGTCACAAAACAAGTCTTAAAACAATCTAATCATGAAAATAATATCAGCATCTTCTCTGGCCACAATGCCATATGACTAGAAATCAACAAGAGGAACTTTGAAAACTACACAAACAGGTGGAAATTAAATCATATTCTCCTGAATGATTGGTGGGTCAGTGAAGAAATTAAGAAGGAAATTTTAAAATTTCTTGAAACAAAAGATACTGAAAACATAGCGTATCAAAACCTATGAGATATAGCAAAAGCAATACTGAGAGGAATGTTTTCAGCTATAAGTCCCTACATCAAAAAAGAATTAAAACTTCACATAAATAATCTAATAATGTATCTTAAAGAACTAAACAACCAAGAGTAAAAAAACCCAAAAGTAGTAGAAGAAAATAAATAATAAAAATTCGAGCAGAAATAAATGAATTTGAAATGAAGAAAACAATACAAAGGATTAATGAAACAAAAAGTTGTTTTTTTGTTTGTTTGTTTGTTTATTTTTTGAGACAGAGTCTCTCTCTGTCACCCAGTCTGGAGTGCAGTGGCACGATCTCGGCTCACTGCAAGCTCCACCTCCCGGGTTCACACCATTCTCCTGCCTCAGCCTCCCGAGTAGCTGGGACTACAGGCGCCTGCCACCACGCCCAGCTAATTTTTGTATTATTAGTAGAGACGGGGTTTCACCGTGTTAGCCAGGATGGTCTCGATCTCCTGACCTCGTGATCCGCCCACCTCAGCCTCCCGAAGTGCTAGGATTACAGGCGTGAGCCACCACGCCCGGCCAAAAAGTTGTTATTTAAAAAAGATAAAAATACTCACAAACCTTTACCCAGACTAACAAAGGAAAAAGAGAGAAGATGCAAATAAAATCAGAGATGAAAAATGAGCTATCACAATGGATATCACAGAAATTAAAAGGATCATTGGTGGGTGGCTACTGTGGAAAACTATATGCCAAATTAAAAAATCTAGAGGAAATGGACAAATTTCTAGACACATAAAATCTGCCAAGATTGAACCAGGAAGAAACCCAAAACCTGAACAGACTGATAACAAGTAATGAGCTTGAAGACTTAATAAAAAGTCTCCCAGTAAAGAAAAGCCCATGATCCAACAGCTTCACTGCTGAATTGTACCAAACATTTAAAAAAGGACTAATACCAATCCTACTCAAGCTATTCCAAAAAAATAGAGGATGAGGGAATACTTCAAAACCTTTCTACAAGGCCAGTATTATCCTGGGACCAAAACCAGACAGACACAACAAAAAAAGGAAACTACATGCCAGTATCTCAGATGAATATTTATGCAAAAATTATTAATAAAAAAGAGCAAATCAAATTCAATAACACACTAAAAAGACCATTTGTCATGACAAAGTGGGATTTTTCCTAGGGATGTAAGCATGATTCGACATACGCAAATCAATCAATGGGATACATCATATCAACAAAATGAAGGACACAATCCATATGATTATTTCAATTGATGTCAAAAAAATCGATGAAGTTCGAAATCCCTTCATGATAAAAACACTCAAAACACTGGACATAGAAGGAACATACCTCAACATGGTAAAATGCATATACAACAGACCCACAGCTAATATCTTACTAAATAAGAAAAAACTGAAAGCCTTTCCTCTAAGATCTGGAACACAACAAGGATGCCCAACTGTCACCACTGTTATTCAACATTATTCCTTTGCCGAGGAAAAAAATCAACAAATTGAAGAGGCAATCCACAAAATGGGAGAAAATATTTACAAACTACCCCTCTGACAAGGAATTAATCACCAGAATATATAAGGAGCTCAAACAACTCTATAGGAAAAAATATAATAATCCAATGAAAACATGGGCAAAATATTTGAATAGACATTTGTCAAAAGAAGACATACAAATGGCAAACAGACATATTGAAGACACTCAACATCATTGATCATGAGGAGTGCCAATCAAAACTACAATGAGATATCATCTCACCCTATTTAAAATGGCTTTTATCCAAAAGACAGGCAATAACAAACACAGGTAAAGATGTGGAGTAAAAGGAACCCTCATAAACTGTTGGTGGGAATATAAATTAGTACAATCACTATGGAGAACAATTTGGAGGTGCCTCAAAAAACTAAAAATAGTGCTACCATATTATCCAGCAAGCCCACTGTTGGGTGTATGCCCAAAAGAAGGGAAATCAATATATTGAAAAGAGATCTGCACTTCCATGTTTCTAGCAGCACTGTTCACCCTAGCCAAGAGTTGGAAGTAACCTAAGTGTCCATCAACAGATGAATAGATTTTTTTAAAGTGGTACATATACACAATAGAGTAGTAATCAGCCATATAAAAGAATGAGTTTCTATAATTTGTTACAACATGGATGGAATTGGAGATAATTTTGTTAAGCGAAATAAGCCAAGCACAGAGAGACAAATATTGCATGTTCTCATTTATTTGTGATATCTAAAAATCAAAACAATTGAACACATGGAATTCGAGATTAGAAGGATGGTTACCAGAGGTTGCGAAGGGTAGTGCAGAGTGGGTGGGAGGTGGAGGTGGTTAATGTGTACAAAAAAAGTTTGAAAGAACGTATAATACTCAGTATCTGATAGTACAACGGGGTGGCTGTAGTCAAAATGATGTAATTGTACATTTTAAAATAGAAGAGAATAATTGGATGGTTTGTAACACAAAGAATAAATGCTTGAGCAGATGAATACCCCATTCTCCATGATGTGATTATTACTTATTGCATTCCTGTATCAAAATATCCTATGTACCCCATAAACATATATACCTACTATGTACTCACAAAAATTAAAAAGTAAAAGAAAAAAATCTTGTATGCAAATGTTCATAGCAGCCTTATTATAGCAGCCAAAATGTGGAAGCAAACCAAATGTCTATTAACTAATAAATGGATAAATAAAATATAGTATAGTCATACAATGGAATATTATTCAGTTATGAAAAGCAATTAAATACTTCTTTTTGTTACAACGTGATGAACCTTAAAAACATTAGGCTAAGTGAAAAATGCCAGACACAAAGGCCGCATACTTTGTGATTCCATTTATTTGAAATGTCCAGACAACAAATCTATAGAGATAGAAAGGAGATTGATGGTTGTCAGAGTTTGGCAGAAAGGGGGATTAGGGAGTAATTGCTAATGGGTAAGAGGTTTTTCAGGGGGCTAATGAAAATACTTTAAAATTAGGTAGTGACGATGGTTGTACAACAACTCTGTGAATATGATTTTAAAAATCACTTAATTGTGCAATTTAAATGAGCGAATTTTATGGTATGTGAAGTATATCTTAATACAGCTTTTATAAATTAAAAGAATTTACCCTTCCTGGTTTTAACCTTAATTATTTAGAGTCAAAAACATAAGTACCAAGTGTAGGAGTGAGGAGCCAGCACAAGGACAGTTGAGCTCATGCAGAGAACACAGAATATAAAATAGGTACTACAGTGCACTGGATGAAAGTCATCAGAAGCACATGTTCAAGATGGAGTAAAGAGTCTGTACCCAAGTATGAATTCAGAATAACGCCATTTATTATATCTGAATAGCCACGCTGGAGTAAGGGTGTGATGCCAAGGTTTTCTTTGACCTTTTGTCAAGCTTTTTACTCAGAAGGTAAAAGAAGCAAAGAGAGGATTTGTTAGTCCAAATCCAATTCCACTAGAAAGGATCAGTGAAATGGAAATGAATCTTGGGAAGGGGAAGTAAGTGATCCTATCATTTCAGGGTTTTGTGAAAGCCAAAGAAGTAATGGGTGGGTAGATTTCAATAACTGTGTATAATTCCATGATAGGAAATTCGAAGAGGGTCTTTGGCTCAAAGTTTGTGAGAAGTGAAATCAACAGTACAATCAAGAAATAACAAGGTCAAGGACGGTGTTTCATGCCTGTAATCCCAACACTTTGGGAGGCTGAGTGGGGAGAATGGCTTCAGCCCAGGAGTTTGAGACCAGTCTGAGCAATATAGTAAGACTCCATATCTACAAAATGTGTGTGTGTGTATATACATATACACACACAAACATATATATATACATACATACATATATATATATATATATATATATAGAGAGAGAGAGAGAGAGAGAGAGAGAGATCTTTCTATCTATCTATCTGTCTGCTAGTCATAGTGGAGCGCAACTGCAGTACTAGCTACTTGGGATGCTGAGGTGGGATGATACCTTGAGGCCAGGAGTTGGAGGCTGCAGTGAGCTATGTTTGTATCACTGTATTGCAGCCTGGTCAAAAGAGGAAGACTCTGTCAAAAGGGAGTGGAAGGGAAGAGGAGGGGAGGGGAGGGGAGGGGAGGGGAAGGGAGGGGAAAGGAGGGGAAGGGAACAGGAACGGAAGGGAAGAGAAGGGAAGGAAGTAAAAAGGAAGGAAGGAGAAAGGAAAGGAAAGAGGGAAGGAAGAAAGGAAGGAAGGAATAAAGGAAGAGAGAGAGAAGAAAGAAAGAAAGTGAGAAAGAAAGAAAAGAAAGGAGAAAAGAAAGAGAAAAAAGAAAGAAGGAAGAAGGAGAGAGAGGGGAAGAAGAAAGAGAGGAAGGAAGGAAGGAGACACAAAAGGAAAGTATTAATTGCCTGAATAATATTGTGTAGCTTATTAGGTTTTAAATAACATAAAGAAGAGAAAGGAAGATGAAACAACTGAGAACAATTCCTTATGTGTGCATAGCATTTTATAAGACCAGTGCTCTAACCCTTGAACTATGGAGCCAAGTGCATAGTATTTTATAGTTGGTATTGTCATTCATTCATTCATTGATTTATTCATCTACTCAGCAAACATTGGTATGTATGAAGCACTAGACTGGAGTTACAAAAATGAATCAAATTTGTCTCAAGGAGTCAAAGCCCAGGCTGACGTTTAGAGTTTAGGGAGGGATGACAGGCATAGACATAAACAATTATAAAACAATGAATTAATGTTGTCAGTTATTAGTTTTTTTTAAAGCAGTCAAAATCTGTGTCAAGTAACAGGAGCACAGAGGAAAGCAAAAATATAACTGCTCCTTTAAGGAAGTTAGAGGATTAAATGCATGCAAATGTTTGGGGAAGTTTCAGAGAGATGGCACTTACTTGAATGATAATTAGGAATCAATGAGACTGACAAGAGGAAGCAGGTCAGCAAATCATTTCATGAAAAGAATACTGCATGTGTGCTAACACAACATTTACAAAGCTTTTACTTATCTATTATCTGATTTGATCGTCATAATATACCTGAAAAACAGGTAAGGAAATTTTTATGATCCACGTTTTACAGCCAAGGAAACTGAAGCTCAGATTAGGAGTGAAAGCAATTTCCTTACAAATGGCACAATTAACGTCTCCATCCAGATTTTCTTTATACTTTTTCAATAGGAAAAAGGAAAAATGAAATGTTATCTGGACTCATAAGAGCAGTCAGAAAGGTAAAAGATGAGAGTGAATTTTGAATAAGAAAATGGATTTTTGGTTCCTTTTGTATTTTTCCCCATTTGGAACAAGATGAAGAATTGAAATAGACCCCTGCCTGGATTAGATTAGAAAGAACTTCCCCACTCCTGTTTCATCCATCAAAGATAATGATTTCCCAGCAGAAACTGGTAGAATAAACCTCCTTAAGAGAAAATGTTTGAAGTCCTTAATAAGTAAAAACACCTGTAGCTCTAAA
Organism: Homo sapiens; assembly: GCF_000001405.40. NCBI lineage: Eukaryota > Metazoa > Chordata > Mammalia > Primates > Hominidae > Homo > Homo sapiens. Next base: position 100,028,406 of record NC_000023.11, read on the forward strand.
GGGATTTTTTTTTTTTTTTTTTTTTTTTTTTTTTTTTTTTTTTTTTTTTTAAAAAAAAAACTCCTGGCCCAAGGAAGTTACACCTGAGGATCCTGAGTGACCATGTAACTTCCATATAATCACCAAATACTACTGTTAACTTCGAGAAATTATGAAAATCTCGATAGATACATTCTGGAAGTCTAGAATCAGGCAAGTATTCTAATTTTCAGTATGTACAAGAATACATAAGTCAAATATAAAAAACAATCAGCTTGACGTTTATTCCTGGCAATATTCTAAAATGGAATATTAAATAGTTTGTGGGCACTTAGAAAAGGAAGTTGTGATTTATTCAGAGCCAACATGGATTCACCAAGACCATGTCATGCCAAGTCTACATAAATCACCCATAATTTGCCTCTAACTCCAACTGGTATATTTAGGATCTTTTTAATTACCTATTATTTTTACATACTTGATATGTTATAAATTTGCAGTTTAATGTCTTTCTTTTTATTTAACATTATTTCTCTCAGTATTCATCCAATAAATATGTATCTAATTTCTACTCTGTGCCAAACACTGTGTTGTGCTCTGAGCATAGAATGCTGAATTATAGGCCATTTCCCCACTTATTAAAATTTATCCATATTCAAATTTAATATTTAAATATTTGAAATTTAATGTGAATGATAGCCTATTATGCATGTGTATCACTATTTAATTATCCTCCCAATTATGATTTTTTTAATTTTTTTGGCTATTATAAGCAATGTTATATTAAATATCCTGGCAACAAAGCTATTTTTGAGTTTTGAATTTTTCCTTGGGATGTATTTCTTAGAAATGTGATTACAAAGTCAAGGGATATGAGCATTTTAATGCCCTTAATATATATTTCCAAATTGCTTCCTACAAAGGTATTACCAATTTCTAGTCCCATCACTATAAGTGGATGTCCATTTCACTGAACACTTGCCAATACAGAGCATTTATTTCTCAGACAGATTGGTTAAAACAAATAATATGTTAATTTCAAAATTTGCAACTGTCTGAACAGCAGTGAGATTGTACTTCTTTTTTATATTTAACTATTACATTTAATCCCTCTTCTTTGATGTGTGTGATCATGTTTGTTGACAGTTTTTACTGGGCTTTAATGTTTTCTTAATGATTTGCATAAGCTCATATAATATATATGAAAATAACACTTTTCCAGTCATATTTTTTGTAAATGTTTCCCCAATTTGTCTTTTTATGTTGCTTTTATATTTTTGGCATATGGAAGTTTTAAAAATCTATGGTCAAATCTATTGGTCTTCTCATTGATTTTTTTCCATTGCCTTTATACTTTAAAAGTCCTTTCCCATTCAAAGATTTAAAAAAAAACAAAAACTCTATTTATGTCTTTTTGTTATTTCATATTTTTACACCTCATTTCCCTTTTAAATAGAGTAATTAGGCTGGAAGCTCATAGATGCACTTTAGACACAGTTTACCTGGATTTCCAGAAGACATTTGTGAAAATCTTCAATATCTGCCATCTCGCTGGCTATTTTCCTATGCTTACAATGATGTTCAATTTGTCCCTATTCTGAATGCAAAAATATTTTTTTAAAAAAAACTTTCTTAAAATGCTCTTCTTACTTGACCTTCATGGCAAAATTGTCCTCTCTGGATTCTCCTGATTCCTCTTTTGACCATTCCTTCTGTTTTTGTTTTACCCCTTTTTTGGCACCTTAAAGGCTGGTGTTCCCTTAAATTCTGCCTTTAGTTAGCTACACAGTCTCTCTGGTGATTTCATCCACTATCATACCTTCAACTATCATCTACATGTGGATGTTCACAGCTCAAATTTCTCCCATGAGTTCTACATCTTTATATACAAGTGTCCTCTGGACATACCCATCTGGTTGTCCTACTTGGGAACACGATGGATGATCTTTCACAAGCTGCCATCAACTTTTATTTACATAATTATCACCTTCAATTTGTCACTCAGTCCACCTTTTAGAATGTACGCACTTTACATTTCTCTCGTATTTAATTATCAACATTTGCTAAATATGCCCAGCCTTGTTCTTCACACCGTACCTTTTGGATGCTGTTCTCCTTGCCTGAGACATCCTTTTTACAAACTCCTACTCATGTTTTCAAGACCCAGCGTAAATGCTAGTTCCTCAATTATGTCTTATTTATTTTTGTCATATGTGATTATTCCAGTTTCTGTATTCCCAAAATACTTTGTTTTTATTTCTTACCAAATTATATTTTAATTTATCCAATTAAATTTTGGTATTCTTTGACAGAATATGAGCTTCTAAAGAGTAGGGTACATGTTTGTATCATTCTTATTGGCCCAGTATCTAGGATTTTACATATATAATTTGGCTCAATGAATGTCTATTGAACTAACGATATATTTGTGGACAAGATAGAGAAATGAGAGCTGGATAATATTATTCATTAAATAATTGGTTCTCAACCAATTGGATACTCAGAATCACCTATGGGATTTAAGAGACATACTTCAGTCCCATTATCCAAAGATTATTATTCAGTAAATTTAGCAAAGGGTCTCCAGGTATATGTATGTTTTAAAATGCCATATGTCATTTTGATGCACCACCAGTGTTAAGCACCTCTAAGATAGAGTCATGAATGTACGTGCTCTTTGATAATTGATGTCAACTGGGAGGAAATATCTTTTGGGATGTGAAAACATGCATGTGTCCTGAAAAGGATGTATGCTGAACTGCTAACAGTGGTCTCCTGTGTGATATGGTTCTAGAAGTGAGGAAAAGAGAATGTTTTCAATTCATATACAATAAAAAAGAATAAAGGATGAATTATAGGTGATTGTTAATTTCGTGTATGTGTTTCATATGTCATAGTTTCTTATATATTTCAAAATGTTTATACCATATAACCCAGCAATTTAGTTCCTCAGAACTGATCTTCAAAGGAAGAAAAAGCTGTATCACAAAGTTACCCATAATAGTGATATTTATAAAAGCAAAATTCTATAAACAACCTAAAAGCTTCATAATAACGTAATAGGGAGATGAATTAGGGCACATCAACATAATGGAGTATTTTTTATAAATTTAAAATACCTATTAAGACCACAATGTAGCATCATAAAAATTATTCACAAAACAATGTTTACTAAAAATATAAAAAATAAATTTCACATATATATCCTAATTAAGACTATATAGAACACAAACATGTGGATGAAACTTAGAAGGGATAAAGTATAATATACTATATAAGAGTATGGGTTCTTGATTCACATTATTTAGGTTCAAAACCAAGCTTTGCCAGTTGTGTATCTTAGACAAGTCACTTAACTTCTTTGTGACTCAGCTTCCTAATCTATAAAACGAGGATTATACTAACCGAGTGCAATTGTTTAAGGATTTAACGAGAATATACATACAAAAGGACTTAGAGTAATGTCTGGCACATAACGATACTACTCATACTGTGTCTATTGTTGGCTATGCATTTTCTATGGGTTTTATATATATTAACATGTTTATGCCTTAAAATAACTCTATGAGGTATTTAATGTGTTGAGTCAGTCCTGTTTAATCACTGTCTTCAACCCTCTGTTGTAACATTCCAGGGAACACTCCACAATTATTTTACTCATTCTGAATTATTTTGCTTTGAACTCCCACATTTAAATCTACCATTCTATTGGAGTCTATCTAGTAGGAACCATGGGATCACTTTATTATTTTAAAAAGTCATTCTGTCACAGAGACACATGCACACATATGTTCATTGCAGCCCTATTCACAATAGCAAAGACAAGAAATCAACCTAAATGCCCATCAATGGTAGACTGAATAAGGAAAATGTATGTATATACCATGGAATACTATGCAGCCATGAAAACAATGCAGTCATGTCTCTTATAGAAACATAGATGGAGCTGAAGGCCATTAACTAATGCAGGAACAGAAAACCAAATACCATATTTTCTCATTTACAAATGAGAGCTAAATGATGAGAACACATAAACACACAGAGGGAAAGAACAGACACTGGGGCCTACCACAGGGTGGAGGGGGCGGTGGGAGGAGGGAGAGGATCAGGAAAAATAACTAATTGGTACTAGGCTTAATACCTGGGTGATGAAATAATCTGTATGGCAAACCCCCATGACACAAGTTTACCTATATAACACATGTGCACATGTACCCCTGAACTTAAAATAAAACTTAAATTAAAAAACTACATTCCCCAAAGTGCTTCATCACCTATCAACACTACCAATTAAGAAAGAAAAAGAAGTCATCACAAAATCCTCTGCCAGGCAATACTACTTGAGTCATGGTCTTCACATCTATGTACCAGGGTTTAATTTCTTCCTTTTTCCCTCCAACTTGAAAACCTGAGGCAACTGACTTTTACTTTTTTCGGTTTTTTTCTTTTTAAGCTAAGCAGCAATTTGTCTAAATATCTGCTGCTTGCATTCTGACCATCCAGTTCCTGGAGGGAACCTGCATTATTCTATACAACTACCATCTTGTCTCTACCCTTCCATACCTGACCCCCATCTTTCTCCCCACAAATCTAATCGCTTTTGGAGGCAAGTACAGTGACATTATGTGGGTTAGTAAGAATCCATTGTTCTTCCTTTACACCTCAACTCAGGTGTTTTTTTCTCAGGAAGGTTTTCCCCTCTCTCCCTGACAGGTCAGTTCTCATGTTCTCATGACACTTACACCTCTCCTTTATAGCATTTTTATTCTTGTGATTATACATGCACTTGTATGATTCTCTAATGTCTTCTTCTCCTATTAGACTGAAAGCTCCATAAGAGAAGGTCTAATGTGTGTTTTTGTTTGCCATTGAATACCAGCACAGAACATAGAGCCTAGAACGTAGCACATGTTTAAAAAAATATTTTTTGAATAAATGGTGAATAAATCAGTGAATGAATGACCCTTTACTTCTGATATATAGATTCAGAGAAACAGAGTCCATACTCTCACATCTGTAGAATGCCAGGGGATCCCAGGAGCAGGCTTGCATCAAAATTTTCCAAGACTGGATTCAAACTCAAGCCATGAGGTGACCATACTGCTTAAGCCATCATAGGGATGCAGTGGGCACAGTGCCATACACATAGTTTGGAGTTTAATAAATTATTGTTCATTCACTGACTTAGCAGACAATGAAGAGTGATTTCACTATTGTGCTAAATGAGATAAATTAAGAAAATATGTAGAAGAAATCTTCTTTTCTAAAGGAGTATTAAAAACGGAAATGGAAAAAAATGGCCCATATCCACACTAGAAATTGAGGAGGACCAAAGCAAGTACTATTGGCAGAAACTGCCCTTTTCTCTGTATAATTAGATTTCAAAAGTTTGAGGTTCATCAAAGAGTAAAAGTCCTTTGGGGAATTGAGATTTTGAGATGTGATTCCTTTGTACCCATATATTAATCTTAGGGTACTGTGTCCAGAGTTAGAATACACAATTTTTTAATGGCATAAAAAGCTTGAATAGTATCTGGAAAAGAGTGACAAATGTGACTAAAATATATTCAAATAAGGTCTAGGGAAAATTTGAAACTTCAGCCCAGAGAAGAGTAGGCTAAGAATGGTGGTTTCATAACTGTTTTCAGGGTTTTTGCTCTCTTTTTTCTTGTTTATCACAGAAAAGTAACAATTTTCCATATCTACTAAGGGTGGATCAAAAGAAGCTGCTCTTAACAGCAACTTAACAAGCTTGTTTAACATAAAGAAGAATGCCCCAAAAGTAAGAATTGCTAGTTACATAAATCAGTGACTGATGGGTGTCAGGAATCTCTTTTAAGAAGATCTTTAAGAAAACAGATCAATTCCTCCTAATTTTAAAGGCTTTCTGGTGCTACTTAAAGTCAGGGACAGGACTGGTGTGGCTGCTATAAGGACTATATGACCTTTTAAGTCCTTTCCAGCCCTGGATAGGTATAAATGATGAAAAGTGAACTAAAGTATATAGTGCATTAAAAGCTTTAACAAACATGGCCCTCCAGACAAAATCATCGTGCTGATTATATGAAATGCCTAGATATTGCTTCCCAGCAGAAATCAGTAGAAGCAAATATTTATTGCATCCTGATAGGGGATAAAAGTCACACTTAACTATAAATTGCTATGAAATGTAGAGGTATTGTACCCAAGCATTAAATAAATTGTATTGAACATAAGCTCAACAGGTCAAGCCTAAGAAATGTGAGCTGTTTCCACAATTCAGTCATGGGGAAAACATGAAAGATAATACGTGGTATTATTTCTGCCAAACACGTAACATGCATCAAGGTGAGATAATTGGATTAACACACCTCAGAAGAGGTGTGTTAAATGGTCATAGGGCTGCTGTAGAACAATGAGGTTCAACAGAAACTCAATGGCTGCTTGTACAAACCATCATCAAAGAAAAGAAAAAAAGAAAACAAAATTCCAGATGCTTTCCCTCATACAGCATTTATAGTTTTTCATTCCACCCTTGATTGACATGCACAACTTGTGTCAGTATACACTGAGGTTTTTCCCATGTGGACTTAGACAGCATATAGTCCTTAATATTCATATTTTAATATAGTTGAAATGTCACATTATATTAACTACATTATATAAAAACTTGCAAACGTTCTGAGTTAAATTACAAAAGCAAATTTATTATTATAGCACAGAAATGATAGAGGTGTGTATATATATGTATTTATATATACTCACAAAAACAAAACAGATGCCTTAACTTTTTTCATAGTTTTACACACTGCAAGGTAACAATATGTGTAATCAGAGAAAATGATTGAATGAATCAATCTTAAGGTATTCATGAAAGGTTGGCAAACTAAAAGCATCAGCTCCAGGGCACCCATACAGCTAATCAGCTTTAATTTTAGGGTATTTTCCCACTCACACTTTTATTTGAAGACTCACATAAAAAATCTTTGTAATCCTGTGTTTGGAAACTTTCCATTTGCTTATCTTTGGTTATTTGACACCTCATCTTGATGAAGCCAAAGAAATCAGACAGACTGGTGAGTGAAAAATGAAAAAAAGTTTTTAAAAGTTCTAAGTCTTTTTCTTTTTTACCTTTTATTTTAAGTTCAGGGGTACACATGCAGGTTTGCTACATAGGTAAACATGTGTCATGTGGGTTTGTTATGCCGATTATTTCTTCACCCAGGTATTAAGCCTAGTACACGTTAGTTATTTTTCCTGATCCTCTCCCTTCTCTGACCCTCTACCCTCTGGTAGGGACAGTGTGTGTTGTCTCTGTCTATGTGTCCATGTGTTCTCATCATTTAGCTCCCACTTATAAGTGAGCACATGCAGTATTTGTTTTTCTGTCTCTGAATTACTTTGCTTAGGATAACGGCCTCCAGCTCCATCCATGTCCCTGCAAAGGACATAATCTATTTCTTTTTTATGGCTGCACAGTATTCTATGGTGTATATGTACCAAATTTTCTTAATTCAGTCTGTCATTGATAGTATTATTTTAAACTCTGTTAGTATGCATTTATACTAACTCCCTTCAAAAGACAGTATTCCTCAGAAACATGTAAGTGTATCTTATTGGCTCATGACTGTTAGATAACTAATTTCAAAAGAGAATTTTCAATGATGATGGTCTGTAATCATAATTATATGGGAAGTTTAGAGGTAAAGAGTAAATTTTATGGATTTTAGATTTGCTTTTTATCTGGCAAAAACAACCACTCCCATCTACCCCTGACTTCTTAATCGGGTGATTTACCATTTAATAAGAATTTCCACAACTTCATTAAAAATTTATATTTGATGTCTCAACAACCTGGATCCCTCCAGAAGCTCACTCTGTAGCCAGTTAAGCCCAAGCCAAAGAGCCACTGAACCGTGGGAATGAACCACTGACCATCCCTCACCAGAATAACGCTAAGGCAGGCCTGTGGTGACCTAAAACTCTGGGGCCTTCCCCATGGATAAAAAGCAGCACTGTGAAGCTTTTTCCTTGGTGTATATAGTCTTCTGAAGACCCGAAAGCATTAGTATTGTTTCCAACATCATTTATCCTCTACACATTGAGTAATTAATACACTAACAGAAACCACTAAAAATATAAAAGCAAGCAATGTAAACCTATACAACTGTCTCATCTATAGTTTTGGAGAGATTATTTTAAACAAAGAGAGACACAAAAGTTAGCTTAATTTAAATACTGTTGTTTTCAGTCTCTGCTATCCTTTGTTGGCAGCAGAGAAACCCACATCAAAACCAAGATTTCTTCCTCCTTATAAAAGAGACATATATACACGATTCTTGCAAAGAAAAATTTCTCTTATCATATATCATATTTTGGAAATGGAGCTCAGTATATCAAAGACAAATTGCTCTAGTGAGCTAGTCTTATAGTTCAAAATATATGAAAGAGAGGGAAAAAGAGGGGAGGATGTCAGGTTACTAAATTTATAAATGTATAACTCAATGAGATTTTCCCAATTCTCACTAGATGTTCTAAGTTAGTATTGAATAGACCTGGTGGCTCTCATTGCCTTTGCACAGATTGTGTTCCAGCTGTCTTCCGATATTTGAACACTCAGGTCTTGGTCCCACGCTGTGCAAACAGTCAGCCTCCCATGTATTCTGTATACCAGGAGTAATTTATTAATCCATCTATAAAGGCAATCACAGTGCATGCAAGAAAGGGTTATATAAAGCTCTAAAATTGAAAGAATTAGCTCCAGTAAACTTGGTACCAGTTCCAAACATCACTATTATGTTTGAGCTGATTTATAAATCCTGTGGATCTTTGTCTGGTAATCCATCACTTTTGTGAAGTTGGAAGAGGGAACAAAAGTCTGGATGACACAGTCTCTGCATAAATCTCAAGCTGTTGCAATTTCTTTACCTTGTTGCTTCGTATTCACTAAATAACCTTGCAATTTGGGATCTAAGACAAGTGGGAAGGAAAGATGGGCACTGTGAAATTCAGCCAGTGCCAACCAGGTGAGCATAAGATGAAACCTTCAAAATGCTTTTGTAATTTGTTATCAATTGTACATCTGACGGAATTTCTTCAAGAGTGGCCCTGAGGGCCCATTAAAATAAAAATGGTTGCAATTTTAAGAAGAAACATAAAAGACTACACACTGGGCACAGTGTACACTGCTCAGGTGATGGGTGCACCAAAATATCAGAAAGCATCACTAAAGAACTTATTCTTCTAACCAAACACCACCTGCTCCTGAAAAACTTATTGAAATAAAAAAATAAATCAAAAGAAATTTTTTAAAGCGAAGAAACAAACCAAAAAGCAAAATCCCAACTAGTTGCATTAGAATTCTCTTTTTGAATATTAAAAAAGAAGAAACAGCCATGTAATGGCTCAGAATGTTCTTTGGAGATTGTGGCCAGGCTTTGTTTATCTGGGCCTTTTCTCACCTGGCTCCATCTTCATACACCTGCCACCAATGACACATCAGCTCATTCCTCCCATCCATGATTCTTCTTTGACAAGGAAAGATTTCAACTTAAGTTCCTGCAGCTCTGTTTTTTTAGCCTCTCTTTGCATCTTTTTCTCACGTCTTCTCTCCCAGTTCCACTTGAAGCTCTTTCTACTATCACCACCAATTAGTCTCTCATTGTAGTACTTCCTTCTTCCACTCATATTCTGAATACACAATGCACCCCACTAGTACTTAATTAAGCAAAGTGCCTGTGTTTGCTCTGATTATACAATTTACAAGACCAATAATCTGTGAACTATTTCTACATACCATGATTGTCGATTATGATTATGATTTATGATTATGATTCCACCTACTCATGATTGGTGAAAATTGTCATCAATTCAGACATGCTATCTCCAACTGCAGTACCTTGACTGGGAATTTGGCCTGAACAACCAAGGCCTCCATGAATGAGAAAAGAAGGCATAATGTTCTTTGCTACTCAATTATCTTTTTCACAACAGAAAAAATATAACTCTTTATGGAAATAGTGTAACACAAAAAATATAAACTGTTTTGAAAAGTATTCCTTATAACATCATAGACAATTCAGAGTAAGTTACTGAACTTACCAATTCATATTCTCAGTTACTGCATAATTGTCGAGAAATATCACACTGAATGTGTGAAATTGGAGTTAGCTCTACTCTGGGTTTAATCATGGTTCTGGTACTAGTCAATGAAGCATCGAAAGTTGAGGTACACTGCTCTCGTCTTTGATAACATTTGGATAAAACATTGTTGCAGCACACATTACTTTACTTCCCACTACGTTTGCTTGTTTGTGTGTTTGCTTGTTTGATGTTATTAGACTATTTTTGTACTTAAGTGTATTCTTTCTGGCAAAAGTAATCCAAATTGTTATCCTTAAATTTGGCTGTTTCCCAAATCTGAAAGCTGTTAAGCATGTTTGTTCTTGTCAATCATGCTACAACATGTAAACTGTTGATTATTTTCTTAATTCCAATGCCCAGAGAAGAAATTTAGCACTCTCTATTCTCACTTATGCTTTTACTCCCTAATCCAAATGCTCTCTCAGTACTTTTCTTCCAGTGTCATCTCAATCCCAAGTTTTCCTAATGTCACTGCTTCCACTGCCAAATAAAGCAAAGAGATCTATTTCAGAGATTTTCAACATAATGTTCCAATAATTTTGTCTCTCCCTCTTAAATCACTACAGATCTAACTATGTCTCATTCTCCTCCAGACCTAGTAACTAGATGACAACATACACCTTGAGATCATTCCAAAGATGTCAATCATTTCAAATTTGGTAAATATGGAATCACTTGCTTAAAAGTCTGATGCAGCAGACGAAGAAATTTTGCTTGATTGGCTTCCCATTGTAGCTTAATTAACCAATCGTATTTTTCTTTTTCTAGGGACCGATACCATTCACTCTTCCCCTTTCTCCTCCATTCAGTCTGGAAAGAAATGGAAGTGGCATCAGCTTTCTCCTATACCCCACCTGCATACGTACCTTCTAAATTTTTATTCCTTTTCTCCACATTTCCTCTCTTCACCAACTGGCCCCAACTTTAGCTACCTCTGTCTCCTATTTGATTACAAATTTATCACAATGCCAAAATTATTCATGTGGGGGCACTATTCTCATCTTCCCCCTGCTTCCCTTCCTCTTTGTCTCCAACAGATCCTATCCTTGAATTTGAACCTACAAATAGTCATCTAGTTATACAGAGCCTCATTCTACTTAAGACTCTTCTCACACCACATGCTACAAGTACTTGGAAATACACACCACCTTCTCAACAATTCTGACATCCATTATTTAGGAATTTCACCATTCTCTCTAGGAACTGGCCTGAGGACACTTGTAATATGAGACTAATAAATCTCATAGACAAACAGAACAAGTAAGGTGTGACTAAAAGTGACAATTTGAACATGTGCACAGTTTACGTCCTGTGGTCTATTCATTTTGGAAAAGCTTACTACAGTTCAGTTTTTAAACTTTTATATATGGAATAATTTTAAATTTAGAGAAAAATTACAAAGCCATTACAGAAAGTTCCAATTACTCCTCACCTAGTCTCCCCTACTATTAGCATCTACATAACCAGGATGCATTTGTCACAACTAAGGAAACAACTTTGGTACATTACTACTAACCGAATTCAAGACTTTATTCAGGCCAGGTGCAATGGCTCATACCTGTAATCCTAACACTTTGAGAGGCCAAGGCAGGAGGATCATTTGAGGCCAGGAGTTTGAGATCAGCTTGGGAAACATAATCAAACCCTCATCTCTAAAAAAAAAAAATTTTAATTAAGTTGGGCCTGGTGGCACGTGATGGTAGTCCAGACTACTTGAGAGGTTGAGGCCAGAGGATTTCTTGAGCCCAGGAGCTCAATGCTGCAGTGAGCTGGGATAATGCCACTGCATTTCATTCTGGGAAACAGAGTATAACTCTGTCTCAAGGAAAAAAAAAAACCACTTTATTCAATTTTGATTAGTTTTTCATTATTGTCTTTTATCTGTTTGAAGATCCCATATTTTACTTAGTAATCGTGTATGTCTCTTTAGCTTTCATTGACCTATGACAGTTTATCAGTCTGCTTGTTTTGCTTGATGAACCCCCCCGGTTTTTAGGAGAACTGTCTGGTATGGGTTTTGGGGAGAAAGAATACAGAGCTATAGTGCCATTTTCATCCCATCATATAAGAGGTACATGTCTTATCATTGATGCTGTTAGCCTTAATCACCTGATGTGTGTCAGCTTTCTCTTCTATGAAGTCACTTTTCCCTGCCTCTTTTCATACACAAGTATTCTTTGCTAATGACTGTATTAGTCCATTCTGACATTGCTATAAACATCTGCCTGAGATTGGGTAATTTATAAAGAAAAGAGATTTAATTGGCTTATTGTTCCAGAACCTGTACAAAAAGCATGGCCGGGGAAGCCTCAGGAAACTTACAATTATGGCAGAAGGCAAAGGAGAAGCAGGCACGTCCTACAAAGCTGGAGCAGAAGGAAAAGAGACTAAAAGGGGAAGTGCTATACACTTTTAAACAACCAGATCTCATAATAACTCACTCACTATCATGAAAAGAGCAAGTAAGAAATCCACCCCCATGTTCCAATCATCCCCAACCAGGTCTCTCCCCAAACACCGACAATTACAATTTGACATGAGATTTGGTTGGGGGGGACATAGAGCCAAACCATGTCATTCCACCCAAGCTCTTCCTAAATCTCATGTCCTTCTCACATTTCAAAACACAATCATGCCTTCCCAACGGTACCCCAAAGTCTTAACTCATTCCAGCATTAACTCAAAAGTCCAAGTCCAAAGTCTCATTGAAGACAAAGCAAGCCCCTTCTGCCTATGAGCCTATAAAATCAAAAAACAAGTTAGTTTCTTCCAAGACACAATAAGGGGTACAGGCATTGGGTAAATGCTGCCATTCCAAAAGGGAGAATTCAGCCAAAACAACAGGGATACAGCAGGGCAGGCAGACATTAAATCATAAAGCTCCAAAATAATCTCCTTTGACTCCATGTCTCACATTCAGGCCACATTGATGCAGTGAGTGGGCTTGCAAGGCCTTGGGCAGCTCTGTCTCTGTGGCTCCGCAGGACTCAGCTGCCCTGGTTGCTCTCAAGGGCTGGTGCTGAGTGCCTGCAGCTTTTCCAGGTGCATGGTGCAAGCTGTTGATGGACCTACCTCTGGGGTCTGGAGGATGGTGGCCTTTTTCTCACAGCTCCAATAGGCAGTGCCCCAGTTGGGCTCTTGGTCTGGCCCACAAAACCACTTTTCCACCCTAGGTTTCCAGACCTGTGATGGGACGGGCTGCCAAAAAGGTCTCTGAAATGCCTTGGAAGCACTTTCCCCATTGTCTTAACTATTAACATTGGGCTCCTCTTTACTTATGAAAATTTCTGCAGCAGGCTTGAATTCCTCCACAGAAAATGGTTTTCTCTTTTCTACCTCATAGTCAGGCTGCAAATTTTTTAAACTTTTATGCCCTGCTTCCCTTTTAAATATAAGTTCCAGTTTCAGGTCATTTCTTTTTTTTTTTTTTTTTTTTTCCTGATATGCATTTTATTTTATTTTATTTATTTATTTTTATATATACACCAGGTCATTTCTTAGTTTGTGCAAATGAGCATAGGCTTTTAGAAGTAACCAGGCCACATCTTGAACACTTTGTTGCTTAGAAATTTCTTCCATGAGATACACTAAATCATCTCTCTCAAGTTCAAAGCTCAACAGATCCCAAGAACAGGGGCACAATGCTGCCAGTCTCTTTGCTAAAGCATAGCAAGAGTGACTTTTACTCTAGTTCTCAATAAGTTCCTCATGTCTATCTGAGACCACCTTAGCCTAGACTTCACTGTTCACATCACTCTCAGCATTTTGGCCACAACCATTCAACAAGTATCCAGCAAATTCCAAACTTTGCTTCATCTTTTTTGTCTTCTTCTGAGCCTTCCAAATTTTTCCAGCCTCTGCCTGTTACCCAGTTCCAAAGTCACTTCCACATTTTCAGGTATCTTTATAGCAATGCTCCACTTTTCTGGTACCAATTTTGCAAGTCACTAATTCAAGTCCCCACTCAAGAGGATAGAATTAATTCCACCTTTTGGAAAAGAAGTTATCTACATAAACTATTCATTAGAGACTTATCTGTACTCCTTTATTTATTTGTTCATGAACATATCTATTTATTCAATAATTTATTTTTATCCTTTTGGTCTGTGTCTATTTACTTAATACTATGATTATAATTTAATACTGTTATTTATTGTATTGAACAAATTGTTTCAGCTTTGGCCATTGTGAGCCTTTTCAGATTGGCTCTTATGTCCTTTGACATCCTCATCATTTTGTTTTTGAATACTTCCTTAATTTATGGCTCTATAAGATATGACAGGCTCATCTTACACATCCTGTGCCCCAGCCCTAGGATTCACCATTTCTCCAAGAAGCCCTGTTTCTTTGATTACAGAATAGTATCAAAAATAACAAGCTTGTTCACCATTACTTTGCTCCTTCTTCAGATACCTCCTGGCGCAGAACTGTCCAACTCCGCATAAACCCAGAACTTAATGTTGCTTCTGCCTTAGCCCCATCTCCATTAACTTTGTTGGAAAGTATGCCACTCCCAGCTTTAGCCTAACATTCTTATAATCAGGTGGAGCATTCTTTTGCCTAACAGCAGTAACAAAAATCCCTGAAAAAAGTAAGAAAGTGGAAAGGTAAAATGCCTCTGTGCTAAAGCACAGTTTATAACCTAAGAAAAGGAATGGAAGTAAATTAAACAAACATTCTTTATGGAAGAGTTTTGATTGCTTCATGAAACGTCATCTCTCACAAAACAAGTAAAACAGAAACAAGTTAAGCCTGAAGAGTGAACTAACACTGATTCATGTCAGATAAAGTATTCAAATAATATAGGTGTAAAAACTGATAAGCAGCCGAACGCAGTGGCTCACACCTGTAATCCCAGCACTTTGGGAGGCCAAGGCATGCGAATCACGATGTCAGGAAATCAAGACCATCCTGGCTAACATGGAGAAACCCCGTCTCTACTAAAAATACAAAAAATGAGCCAGGTGTGGTGGCGGGTGCCTGTAGTCCCAGCTACTTGGGAGGCTGAAGCAGGAGAATGGCGTGAACCCTGGAGGCGGAGCTTGCAGAGAGCTGAGATCGCGCCACTGCACTCCAGCCTGGGCGACAGAGCAAGACTCCATCTCAAAAAAAAAAAAAAAAACTGATAAGCAGAAAATTTTTAGACTTTTACATATTGGCAGAAATATTTTCAGAATATCCTTGTCAAACCTGTTTTATTATTATATTATACTTTAAGTTCTAGGGTACATGTGCACAATGTGCAGGTTTGTTACATATGTATACATGTGCCATGCTGGTGTGCTGCACCCATTAACTCGTCATTTACATTAGGTATATCTCCTAATGCTATGCCTCCCCCCTCCCCCCACCCCACAACAGGCCCCGGTGTGTGATGTTCCCCTTCCTGTGTCCATGTGTTCTCATTGTTCAATTCCCACCTATGAGTGAGAACATGCGGTCTTTGTTTTTTTGTCCTTGCAATAGTTTGCTGAGAATGATGGTTTCCAGCTTCATCCATGTCCCTACAAAGGACATGAACTCATCATTTTTTATGGCTGCATAGTATTCCATGGTGTATATGTGCCACATTTTCTTAATCCAGTCTATTATTGATGGACATTTGGGTTGGTTCCAAGTCTCTGCTATTGCGAATAGTGCTGCAATAAACATACGTGTGCATGTGTCTTTATAGCAGCATGATTTATAATCCTTTGTGTATATACCCAGTAATGGGATGGCTGGGTCAAATGGCATTTCTAGTTCTAGATCCCTGAGGAATCGCCACACTGACTTCCACAATGGTTGAACTAGTTTACAGTCCCACCAACAGTGTAAAAGTGTTCCTATTTCTCCACATCCTCTCCAGCACCTGTTGTTTCCTGACTTTTTAATGATTGCCATTCTAACTGGTGTGAGATGGTATCTCATTGTGGTTTTGATTTGCATTTCTCTGATGACCAGTGATGATGAGCATTTTTTCATGTGTCTGTTGGCTGCATAAATGTCTTCTTTTGAGAACTGTCTGTTCATATCCTTTGCCCACTTTTTGATGGGGTTGTTTGTTTTTTTCTTGTAAATTTGTTTGAGTTCATTGTAGATTCTGGATATTAGCCCTTTGTCAGATGAGTAGGTTGCAAAAATTTTCTCCCATTCTGTAGGTTGCCTGTTCACTCTGATGGTAGTTTCTTTTGCCGTGCAGAGGCTCTTCAGTTTAATTAGATCCCATTTGTCAATTTTGGCAAATCTGTTTTTTTTAACCTCCAAAGAATATGGTTATTTTTGAGAGACCAGATGGCCAGTAATTTGTAATTTTAAAAAGGCATAAATTAGGTGTCACTGCCATCAATACTGAGTCACATATTAATGGTTATGGTCAGCTACTTCAAGAGGTGTGTCTATTGAGCAAGCCTATCAAGAGATAACCACCAAGTATTTGATAGAAGAGAACCAAAAATTCATCAGAATCCTTCCTTAAAAGTTTCTCTCATATGCAAAGACTATTTTGACTGTGAAATTCACATCCCTTTATGGAAAATTCAAGCTTTCCTTTTGCAATTCAACATCTTTGGCTTTGAAACAAAGGAAGACTCTTTGGGGGAGGAAAAAGATCTCCTTTGAAAGTAGTATACGTAGACAATTGCTGTCTAGGTGTTAATGAATATTCACTAATTTATACCTTGTATGAAAGCTAAAATGAATTTTGATTTATGTCAAGTATCTCAATAAATCCTATAAATTTATTTTTACTTATCTCAATCATAAAAAGTAAAAACATAAAGGAAGTCAGACCTCTTCTTAGCTCAGTCCAGATTGGCTCAATCATTATTTCTTGGTTAAAGAAACCATGAAGACATGTCTTATTTATTTAGAAAAAATAGACTTTTGTCTTCAATCTTCCTGTAGATGAAGCAGACTCCAATCAAAAAGAGATTTTTACCTAAAAACTGTGTTCCAGGCCAATAAATAAAGCTGACAAGGTATCTACCTGCTCAAAACTAGAGAGGAAACTACAGACTTTTTAAGGATAAAAAAGGGAAGTTTTGAAAAATCTTAACTGTCTCTGTTATGCCCTTTTCTTAAACTAAATAAGGTTAGGTTAAAGATGAGTTTCTCATTTCTTCTTTGAAACTGCATGATGAACAACAGATGCGTAAAACACGGCGTGTGTTTCAAATGCTATGCTGTAAACTAATCCAAGCTGGAAGAATTGAGACAAAAAGAATAATCATGCTTTCACTGAAACCTTTCTGAAAGACTGACTAAAATCATGGAGAGTGTTTTCCTACTGTGGGAAAATCAATTTTCAGACATTGGTACTAATGGTAACTAACTGAAATTGTAAAAGAAGGTGAAATATGTAGAAAACAGCCATGTTGGAGTGGGGGAAAAAACTGAACTGAAGTAAGAAATCAATCAATGAGGTAGGAACCAACTGAATTTCAGAAAGGGTATATCATCTGTCACCAGATGAAGAATGAACCCAAAGAAATGATAGCTTCAGGAATCAAGAAAAATGACAGTGAAAGAAAATTCCAATTGCAATTGGGTGTATGCACAGCGGGAGATAAACTGGGAAGAAGACCCAAGAGATAATAACATTGTCTATATTTAATTTGGCAGTATGAGAACGAGGTAGACATCTTGTAAAGGCTGTTAAAACTGAAGAGAAAAACACTTGGCAGCTTTAAAGATAAAATTAATGTCTATACATAATGGCTTACACTATGCATGTTCTGATAAATACTCAGTAATTTATTACACATTATAAATTCCACAAGTATTAATAGTCCAGTTTCATACCTATTTTTTATTTTGGTGTCATTTAGAGTTCTTAATATAGTACCCCAAGAAAGTTCTTTTTAAACTAAACCTTAGAGACAAAAAAATAAGTGTAGACAGAACATATCACATTTCCAGAATTAACATCCAAAAACACATATTCTAAAGCCTCCCAATGAGAATGGAAAAACTATCAATTAAATAAGACATTATACTCATGAAGTGTCAGCATAGACAATGGTTATTTCAGGAATACCACATAAATGTCTTAGTTTTATTCTATTGCCTTTTAAAATTTTCTCCCTTACAAATAACAGAAGTGTTTGAGAATTACTTCTTTGTACCATGAATCCAAGGTTTCTTTCTCTAAATGCTAATTTTGAAAGACAAAAATTACACACAAACATACACACACACACACACACACACACACACACACACACACACACACACATCTTTCATTAGCCAGGATTATCCAGAAACACAGAACTAATAGGAGGATGGATGGATACACACATAGGTAGATAGATAGGTAGGTAGGTAGATAGGTAGGTAGGTAGGTAGATAGATAGATAGATAGATAGATAGATAGATACATAGATACATAGATTTTAAAGAAATGGATCACACAATCGTGGAGGCAGAGAAATCCCCAATCTTCTACCTGCTAGCTGGAGGCCCAGGAAAGCTAGTTGTGTAGTTCCAGTCCAAGACCAAAGGCTGAGAACCAGGAGAACCAATTATGTAAGTACTAGCCCAGGTCTGAATGCCTAAGAACCAGTAGAGCCAGTGGTGTAAGTACTACTCCAAAGACAACAGACTGATGTTCCATCTCAAGCAGTCAGGTAAAGAGAGTAAATTCTACCTTCCTCTGTCTTTATGTTCTATTAAGGCCCTCAATGGATTGGATGATGCTCACCCACACTGGGGAGGGCCATCTGCCTTACTCAGTCTACAGATTCAAATGCTAATCTCATCCAGAATCACCCTCACAGACATACCCAGAAATAATGTTTAACCCAATATCTGGGCACTCCATGACTCAGTCAAGTTGACACATAAAATAATTTATATTACATCCCATGTACAGATGTGTTCATTTTCAGACACATACACTGATATGGTTTGGCTGGCTCTATGACCCCACCCAAATCTCATGTCAAATTGTAAACTTCAGTGTTGGAGAAGGGGCTTGATGAGAGGTGACTGAGTCATGGAGGCAGACTTCCCCTTTGCTGTTCTCATGATAGAGTTCTCATAAGATCTGGTTGTTTAAAAGTGTGTAGCACTTCTCGCATCACTCTCTGTCTCTCATGCTGGCCATGTGAAGATTTGTTTGCTTCCCTTTCACCTTCTGCCATGATTGTAAATTTCCTGAGACATCCCCAGAGGCAGAATCCCATACAGCCCACAGAACTGTGAGTGGATTAAACCTCTTTTCTTTATAAATTAACCAGTCTTAGGTATGTCTCTATAGCAGTGTGAGACCTGACTAATACTGAAAATTGGTACTGGGAGTGGAGCATTGCTATAAAGATACCTAAAAATGTGGAAGGAGCTTTGAAACTGGGCAATAGACAGAGAATGGAACAGTTTGGAGGGGTCAAAAGAAGATAGGAAGATAAGGGAAAGTTTGGAACTTGCTAGAGACTTGTTAAATGGTTGTGACCAAAATGCTGATACAGATATAGACAATGAAGTGCACGCTGAGGTGGTCTCAGATGGAGATGAGGAACTTACTGAGAACTGTAGTAAAGTTGTTGGTATGCTTTAGCAAAGAGACTGGTGCCACTGTACCCTGATTTAGGGTATCTGATGAAAGAAATTTCTAAGCAGCAAAGTGTTCAACGCTGCTTTGTAAAGCCTATGCTCATTTGCATAAACAAAGAAACGACCTGAAACTGGAACTTATATTTAAAAGGGAAGCAGAGCATAAAAGTTTGGGAAATTTGCAGCCTATGTGGTGGAAAAGAAAAACTCATTTTCTGTAGAGGAATTCAAGCCTGCTGCAGAAATTTGCATAAGTAAAGAGGAGCCGAATGTTAATAGCCAAAACAATGGAGAAAGTGCCTCCAAGGCATTTCAGAGACGTTTGTGGCAGCCCCTCCCATCATAGGCCTGGAGACTTAGGAGAGAAAAGTGGTTTCGTGGGCCAGATGAGAGAAAAGTGATTTCGTGGGCCAGACCCAGGGCTCCACTGCTCTGTGCAGCCATGGGACATGGCACCCTGTGTCCCAGCCATGCCAGCTGCAGCCATGGCTAAAAGGGGCCAAGGTATAGCTCTGGCCATTGCTTCAGAAGGTGCAACCCCCAAGCCTTGGTGGCTTCCACATGGTGTTGAGCCTGCAGGTGAACAGAAGGCAGAAGGTGAGGCTTAGGAACCTCCACCTAGATTTCAGAGGATGTATGGAAACACCTGAATGTCCCTGCAGAAGTGTGCTGAGGGAGCAGAGCCCTCATGGAGAACCTCTACTAAGGAAGTGCAGAGGGGAAACATGGGGTAGGAGCCCCACTGGGGCACTGCCTATTGAAGATGTGAGAAGAGGGCTACCGTCCTCCAGACCCCAGAATGGTAGATCCATCAACAGCTTGCCCTATGCACCCCAAAACATTGCAGACACTCAACACCAGCCCTTGAGAGCAGTCAGGGCAGCTGAGCCCTGCAGATCCACAAGGGCAGAGCTGCCCAAGGCCTTGCGAGCCCACTCATTGCATCAGTGTGGCCTGGATGTGAGACATGGAGTCAAAGGAGATTATTTTGGAGCTTTATGATTTAATGTCTGCCCTCCTGGGTTTCAAACTTACATGAAGCCTGTAGTCTCTTTGTTTTGGCCAAATTCTCCCTTTTGGAAAGGGAGCATTTACCCAATGCCTGTACCCCCACTGTATCTTGGAAGTAACTAACTGGTTTTTTATTTTGCAGGCTCATAGGCAGAAGAGACTTGCCTTGTCTCAGATGAGACTTTGGACTTGAACTTTTGAGTTAATGCTGGAATGAATTAAGACTTTGGGATACTGTTTGGGGAAGGACCTGGTGGGAGGTGATTGAATCATGGGGGCAGACTTCCCCCTTGCTTTTCTGGTGATACAGTTTTCACGAAATCTGATTGTTTAAAAGTTTATAGAACCTCCCTTTTCACCCGCTCTCTTATGCTGGCAATGTAAAGATGTCCTTGCGTCCCCTTCACATTCTGCCATAATTGTAAGTTTCATGAGGTCCCCCTAGAAGCAGAAGCCTGTACAGACCATAAAACTGTAAGCCAATTCAACCTCTTTTCTTTATAAATTACCCAGTCTTAGGTCTGTATAGCAGTGTGAGAATAGACTAATACACACACCCATCTGCAAATAAATAAATCCAAACTAGATCCTTCCAATTATGTGGAATCACTTTTCTATATGAAAACAGGTTGAATTTTGTTAAACTATTTATTTTGACAAAATCTTTAAAAATGTTTATTTTAAATTGAGGGACAATTATTTGTAAATCAGAACTTCTCAAATTTTCAATAATATTTATAAGCTTATCTGTATAATGAATATATTTAAAGATGTAAGTATATTGCAGCTAATGCTCTACGACTGGTAAATGGCTAATGTTAGCAAAAAAAATGGTTAATGTTTAATATAATCTGAAACTCACAAAATAATTCTTTCCCTTTGATGTAAAAATCAGTCCAATTTATTGGATCAGTTATGAAAAGTACAACCATAAAAATACTTCATGGAGGTTTTTCTGTTGGTTCAGTTTCTGTTAAATGTAAGAGAGCTGACTGGGCACAGTGGCTCACACTTATAATCCCAGCACTTTGGGAGGCCGAGATGGGCAGATCACTTGAGGTCAGGAGTTCAAGACCAGCCTGGCCAACATGGCAAAACCTGGTCTCCACTAAAAATATAAAAATTAGCCAGGCATGGTGGTACATGCCTATAATCCCAGCTACTCAGGAGGCTGAGGCAGGAGAATTGCTTGAGCCTGGGAGACGGAGATTGCAGTGAGCCGAGATCACCCCACTGCACTCCAGCTTAGGAGACAAAGTGAGACTGTGTCTCAAAGAAAAAAAAAAAAAGAAAAATATAAAAGAGTTATCTAGCTATTGTTGAAAATTAAACTCAGACAAATATTAGCCTTGGTATTTTCTGTATGAAATAGTGTATTTGTATGTGTATCTGCATATCTCTTGGTATACATACATGCATAGAGAGTAGGATGGTGTAATTTTAAAAGTCACTAAAATAAAAGAAAAAATATTATTTCTCTGCTCAGATCTTACTCCATTACATCTATGAACTTAGATAAGTAATTTAACCTTTCTGAGACTCAGATTTTTTATGTGTAAAATGAAAAGGCTGGACTAGTTGATTTCGCTAAAGTTCCTTCTTGTTTTAATGTTTCTGTTATTCTCTGATTTTATATGCATATGTTATTATTAATAATTAACTTTATTAGGTGAGTTGTAAATCCAGGATGGACTTAGATGTAAATAAACAGCTCCAATTAATAAACTGATATACGTGGAGTCAAGATGGCCGAATAGGAACAGCTCCAGTCTACAGCTCCCAGCTTGAGCAACGCAGAAGATGGGTGATTTCTGCATTTCCAGCTGAGGTACTGGGTTCATCTCACTGGGGAGTGCCAGACAGTGGATGCAGGACAGTGGGTGCAGTGCACCATGCTCGAGCTGAAGCAGGGCGAGGCATCGCCCCACCCAGGCAGCACAAGGGGTCAGGGAATTCCCTTTCCTAGTCAAAGAAATGGGTGACAGACAGCACCTGGAAAATCAGGTCACTCCCACCCTAATACTGTGCTTTTCCAATGGGCTTAACAAATGGCACACCAGGAGATTATATCCCACACCTGGCTCAGAGGGTCTTATGCCCACGGAGCCTCGCTCATTGCTAGCACAGCGGTCTGAGATCAAACTACAAGGCGGCATCGAGGCTGGGGGAGGGGCGCCCACCATTGCTCAGGCTTGAGTAGGTAAACAAAGTGGCCGGGAAGCTCAAACTGGGTGGAGTCCACCACAGCTCAAGAAGGACTGCCTGCATCTGTAGGCTCCACCTCTGGGGGCAGGGCACAGACAAACAAAAGACAGCAATAACCTCTGCAGACTTAAATGTCCCTGTCTGACAGCTTTGAAGAGAGTAGTGGTTCTCCCAGCACGCAGCCTGAGATCTGAGAACGGGCAGACTGCCTCCTCAAGTGGGTCCCTGACCCCCGTGTAGCCTAACCGGCAGGCCCTCCCCAGTAGGGGTGGACTGACACCTCACACGGCCGGGCACTCCTCTGAGACAAAACTTCCAGAGGAACGATCAGGCAGAAGCATTTGCGGTTCACCAGTATCCACTGTTCTGCAGCCACAGCTGCTGATACCCAGGCAAACAGGGTCTGGAGTGGACCTCCAGTAAACTCCAACAGACCTGCAGCTGAGGGTCCTGACTGTTAGAAGGAAAACTAACAAACAGAAAGGACATCCACACCAAAAACCCATCTGTACATCACAATCACCAAAGACCAAAAGTAGATAAAACCACAAAGATGGGGAAAAAACAGAGAAGAAAAACCGGAAACTAAAAATCAGAGCGCCTCTCCTCCTCCAAAGGAATGCAGCTCCTCACCAGCAACAGAACGAAGCTGGACGGAGAATGACTTTGACGAGGTGAAAGAGGAAGGCTTCAGAAGATCAAACTACTCCGAGCTAAAGGAGGAAGTTCGAACCAATGGCAAAGAAATTAAAAACTTTGAAAAAAAATTAGATGAATGGATAACTAGAATAACCAATGCAGAGAAGTCCTTAAAGGACCTGATGGAGCTGAAAACCACGGCATGAGAACTACGTGACGAACGCACAAGCCTCAGTAACCGATGCGATCAACTGGAAGAAAGGGTATCAGCAATGGAACACGAAATGAATGAAATGAAGTGTGAAGAGAAGTTTAGAGAAAAAAGAATAAAAAGAAACGAACAAAGCCTCCAAGAAATATGGGACTATGTGAAAAGACCAAATCTACCTCTGATTGGTGTACCTGAAAGTGACGTGGAGAATTGAACCAAGTTGGAAAATACTCTGCAGGATATTATCCAGGAGAACTTCCCCAATCTAGCAAGGCAGGCCAACATTCAAATTCAGGAAATACAGAGAACACCACAAAGATACTCCTCAAGAAGAGCAACTCCAACACACATAATTGTCAGATTCACCAAAGTTGAAATCAAGGAAAAAATGTTAAGGGCAGCCAGAGAGAAAGGTCGGGTTACCCACAAAGGGAAACCCATCAGAGTAACAGCTGATCTCTTGGCAGAAACCCTACAAGCCAGAAGAGAGTGGGGGCCAATATTCAACATTCTTAAAGAAAAGAATTTTCAACCCAGAATTTCATATCCAGCCAAACTAAGCTTCATAAGTGAAGGAGAAATAAAATCCTTTACAGACAAGTAAATGCTGAGAGATTTTGTCACCACCAGGCCTGCCCTAAAAGAGCTCCTGAAGGAAGCACTAAAAATGGAAAGGAACAACCGGTACCAGCCACTGCAAAATCATGCCAAATTGTAAAGACCATCGAGGCTAGGAAGAAACTGCATCAACTAACGAGCAAAATAACCAGCTAACATCATAATGACAGGATCAAATTCACACATAACAATACTAACCTTAAATGTAAATGGGCTAAATGCTCCAATTAAAAGACACAGACTGGCAAATTGGATAAAGAGTCAAGACCCATCAGTGTGCTGTATTCAGGAAACCCATCTCACATGCAGAGACACACATAGGCTCAAAATAAAGGGATGGAGGAAGATCTACCAAGCAAATGGAAAACAAAAAAAGGCAGGGGTTGCAATCCTAGTCTCGGATAAAACAGACTTTAAACCAACAAAGATCAAAAGAGACAAAGAAGGCCATTACATAATGGTAAAGGGATCAATTCAACAAGAAGAACTATCCTAAATATATATGCACCCAATACAGGAGCACCCAGATTCATAAAGCAAGACCTTAGTGACCTACAAAGAGACTTAGACTTCCACACAATAATAATGGGAGACTTTAACACCCCACTGTCAACATCAGACAGATCAACAAGACAGAAAGTTAACAAGGATATCCAGAAATTGAACCCAGCTCTGCACCAAACAGATCTAAAAGACATCTACAGAACTCTCCACCCCAAATCAACAGAATATACATTCTTTTCAACACCACATCACACCTATTCCAAAATTTACCACATAGTTGGAAGTAAAGCACACCTCAGCAAATGTAAAAGAACAGAAATTATAACAAACTGTCTCTCAGACCACAGTGCAATCAAACTAGAACTCAGGATTAAGAAACTCACTGAAAACTGCTCAACTACATGGAAACTGAACAACCTGCTCCTGAATGACTACTGGGTACATAACGAAATGAAGGCAGAAATAAAGATGTTCTTTGAAACCAACGAGAACAAAGACACAACATACCAGAATCTCTGGGACACATTCAAAGCAGTGTGTAGAGGGAAATTTATAGCACTAAATGCCCACAAGAGAAAGCAGGAGAGTTCTAAAATTGACACCCTAACATCACAATTAAAAGAACTAGAGAAGCAAGAGCAAACACATTCAAAAGCTAGCAGAAGGCAAGAAATAACTAAGATCAGAGCAGAACTGAAGGAAATAGAGACACAAAAAACCCTTCAAAAAATTAATGAATCCAGGAGCTGGTTTCTTGAAAAGATCAACAAAATTGATAGACTGCTAGCAAGACTAATAAAGAAGAAACGAGAGAAGAATCAAATAGACACAATAAAAAAATGACAAAGGGGATATCACCACCGATCCCACTGAAATACAAACTACCATCAGATAATACTATAAATACCTCTACACAAACAAACTAGAAAATCTAGAAGAAATGGATAAATTCCTCGACACATACACTCTCCCAAGTCTAAACCAGGAAGAAGTTGAATCTCTGAATAGACCAATAACAGGCTCTGACATTGAGGCAATAATTAATAGCTTACCAACCAAAAAAAGTCCAGGACCAGATGGATTCACAGCCGAATTCTACCAGAGGTACAAGGAGGAGCTGGTACCATTCCTTCCGAAACTATTCCAATCAATAGAAAAAGAGGGAATCCTCCCTAACTCATTTTATGAGGCCAGCATCATCCTGATACCAAAGCCTGGCAGAGACACAACAAAAAAAGAGAATTTTAGACCAATATCCTTGATGAACATTGATGCAAAAATCCTCAGTAAAATACTGGCAAACTGAATCCAGCAACACATCAAAAAGCTTATCCACCATGATCAAGTGGGCTTCATCCCTGGGATGCAAGGCTGGTTCAACATACGCAAATCAATATATGCAATCCAGCATATAAACAGAACCAAAGACAAAAATTACATGATTATCTCAATAGATGCAGAAAAGGCCTTTGACAAAATTCAACAACCCTTCATGCTAAAAACTCTCAATAAATTAGGTATTGATGGGACATATCTCAAAATAATAAGAGCTATCTATGACAAACCCACAGCCAATATCATACTGAATGGACAAAAACTGGAAGCATTCCCTTTGAAAACTGGCACAAGACAGGGATGCCCTCTCTCACCACTCCTATTCAACATAGTGTTGGAAGTTCTGGCCAGGGCAAGCAGGCAGGAGAAGGAAATAAGGGGTATTCAATTAGGAAAACAGGAAGTCAAATTGTCCTTGTTTGCAGATGACATGATTGTATATCTAGAAAACCCCATTGTCTCAGCCCAAAATCTCCTTAAGCTGATAAGCAACTTCAGCAAAGTCTCAGGATACAAAATCAATGTACAAAAATCACAAGCATTCTTACACACCAATAATAGACAAACAGAGAGCCAAATCATGAGTGAACTCCCATTCACAATTGCTTCAAAGAGAATAAAATACCTAGGAATCCAAGTTACAAGGGATGTGAAGGACCTCTTCAAGGAGAACTACAAACCACTGCTCAAGGAAATAAAAGAGGATACAAACAAATGGAAGAACATTCCATGCTCATGGGTAGGAAGAATCAATATCGTGAAAATGGCCATACTGCCCAAGGTAATTTATAGATTCAATGCCATCCCCATCAAGCTACCAATGACTTTCTTCACAGAATTGGAAAAAACTACTTTAAAGTTCATATGGAACCAAAAAAGAGCCCACATTGCCAAGTCAATCCTAAGTCAAAAGAACAAAGCTGGAGGCAACATGCTACCTGCCTTCAAACTATACTACAAGGCTACAGTAACCAAAATAGCATGGTACTGGTACCAAAACAGATATATAGATCAATAGAACAGAACAGAGCCCTCAGAAACAATGCCACATATCTACAGCTATCTGATCTTTGACAAACCTGACAAAAACAAGCAATGGGGAAAGGATTCCCTATTTAACAAATGGTACTGGGAAAACTGGCTAGCCATATGTAGAAAGCTGAAACTGGATCCCTTCCTTACACCTTATACAAAAATTAATTCAAGATGGATTAAAGACTTGAATGTTAGACCTAAAACCATAAAAACCCTAGAAGAAAACCTAGGCATTACCATTCAGGACATAGGCATGGGCAAGGACTTCATGTCTAAAACACCAAAAGCAATGGCAACAAAAGCCAAAATTGACAAATGGGATCTAATTAAACTAAAGAGCTTCTGCACAGCAAAAGAAACCACCATCAGAGTGAAAAGGCAACCTACAGAATGGGAGAAAATTTTTGCAACCTACTCATCTGACAAAGGGCTAAT
Source organism: Homo sapiens (assembly GCF_000001405.40). NCBI lineage: Eukaryota > Metazoa > Chordata > Mammalia > Primates > Hominidae > Homo > Homo sapiens. The sequence continues at coordinate 100,056,031 of NC_000023.11, forward strand.
ATCCAGAATCTACAATGAACTCAAACAAATTTACAAGAAAAAAACAAACAACCCCATCAAAAAGTGGGCAAAGGATATGAACAGACACTTCTCAAAAGAAGACATTTATGCAGCCAACAGACACATGAAAAAATGCTCATCATCACTGGTCATCAGAGAAATGCAAATCAAAACCACAATGAGATACCATCTCACACCAGTTAGAATGGCGATCATTAAAAAGTCAGGAAACAACAGGTGCTGGAGAGGATGTGGAGAAATAGGAACACTTTTACACTGTTGGTGGGACTGTAAACTAGTTCAACCATTGTGGAAGTCAGTGTGGCGATTCCTCAGGGATCTAGAACTAGAAATACCATTTGACCCAGCCATCCCATTACTGGGTATATACCCAAAGGATTATAAATCATGCTGCTATAAAGACACATGCACACGTATGTTTATTGCAGCACTATTCACAATAGCAGAGACTTGGAACCAACCCAAATGTCCAACAATGATAGACTGGATTAAGAAAATGTGGCAGATATACACCATGGAATACTATGCAGCCATAAAGAATGATGAGTTCATGTCCTTTGTAGGGACATGGATGAAGCTGGAAACCATCATTCTCAGCAAACTATTGCAAGGACAAAAAACCAAACACTGCATGCTCTCACTCATAGGTGGGAACTGAACAATGAGAACACATGGACACAGGAAGGGGAACATCACACACCGGGGACTGTTTTGGGGTGGGAGGAGTGGGGAGGGATAGCATTAGGAGATATACCTAATGCTAAATGACGAGTTAATGGGTGCAGCACAGCAACATGGCACATGTATACATATGTAACTAACCTGCACGTTGTGCACATGTACCCTAAAACTTAAAGTATAATAATAATAATAAAATAAAATAACAATAAATAAATAAATAAATAAACTGATATAGGAATCTGTGAGATAGCAAGGGAAAAGTTAGCTTAGTTGCAGAAGTATCTCAATACAACATATCCAAAATGGATAAATAAGATGAAACAAGGAGTGAAGCCAAATGCACATTTTGAAGCAAGTTATACTTGCTAGAAGGAAACAAATTTAGTTTCTAAGGAAATAGCAGCAAATATCAAAAGGGAAACATGTCCGTCTATGCAATTTTTATTGTCCTTGAGATTATTTTAAGCCATTCAGAGAAAGTATCACTTTTCCTGTTATCAAGAGAAGAATTCATCTATGGTTCCTCTTTATGATGCTGTGAAATGTAGTAAAGAACACTAAACAGCAACCTTCCATGAAATACAACAACTACTTTCAAGGGGTAGTTCATTACAATATTCCTTATATAAGGACTTCAAGCCTGTACTTTTTTTTTTGTCCACCCTGCCCAAGCCTATACTTTCTGATGATTAGCTGAATAGAGCTATGGAGCTATTCTATCATGCTCATTTAAATGCAGAGGTACATGTTATATATTGTCCAAGGACACCCACCTTAATAGAAGAAAACCATAAGTCTGTCTGGGGGCATGCCAAGAAAGTATTACAGGCAAGTCAGAGGTTGTCTCATTTAAAAATTTGGCTACCCTGGGAAACAAATGGAAGATCAAAGCTACAATAATTTTAATCTGTAAAAAACAATATAAGTACATATGTGTAACCAAATACCCACCTAACTATAAAGCCAACCTTGTTATACAGCAGATGTGTTTTAACAAATCTCATTTCCTGGGCATATGGCCCTCTTTCATTGGTAAACAAAAACCTCTCCCCAGCCCCCTTGATGTTGGGCAAGGCAATCTAATTGTCATTCATCGATGAAATGTGATTGGAAGTGATATGGGTCATTTATGGCTTGAGGCAATGAAAAGTCCCCAGATAACTCTCCAATCTTCCTCTTCTCTTGTTAGGATAATACTGGAGAACACCTCAGGTTGGGATCATAGAATAACAAGATCCTTAGATTGCCAAGTAACTTCCTGAAAGATCGACATCCCTGGGGAATCACCCAGACATCCAGCAGACTTCAAAAAAAGTAAAAATAAACTTTTGTTACGTTAATCACTGAAGAATTGTTACTGTAGCATGAGTTTAGACTATCATAACTAATACAGCATCCATATAAAGTATAGTTCTCTGATGAATACCCAGATAAACTGGTTGCAAAGCATACTTCTAAATAACTGAAGGAATGCACTCCATAGGCTCGCTATTCATGTCAAATAAATGTTGGGTAATAGCTACCAAATAAACAAACAAACAAAGTTGGTTTTGGGGAATTCTGTGAATTCCTTCTTTCTGGCAGTAATTAAATAAGCCAGTGTCCAGTAAAGCCACTGTATCAGACAGGATCCTGGCAGTAAAGAGGCAGTATATTCAAATGGAATAATTGAGGACAATTTAATGACGGGATACTTAAAAATTGTTGACAGGGTTAAAATAAAATAATATGGTAAGAAAAACCAAGTTCTCATTAATACTCTAGACTAGCAAAGGTATAGATACATCATCACCTTAAAGCTAAAGGGATAATGAGAAAAAAATGGTTCCCAGTATCCAAATAAAGCTGAGACTCTAGCCTTTGGGAAAAAAAATGAACCCACAGTCAACTTGTAACCTGATCTCTCTTTTCTCCAGCCTTCTGATCTTCTGTGAGTGCATTGGCTATAAACAACGAGAAGTGAGAGCAGAGTGGAGACTGTTGGTACCGTCCAAATAGGCCCACCGTCCAAGGCACAAAGGAGGGTGGAGAAGGCTGGAAGATGAATCTGCAGGGACAAATCCAAGATAGCCAACCAAAGCCATGCTATCTGCATGGTGGATAATTTTTATCTTTCTGTTCTCAATAGAGGAAGAGTAAGACTATCACAATACCTCAGAAAAAAACATTCTGAGGTCCTAAGAAAGGATAGAAAGGAAGTGGAAAATAGGGACAGATAAGAGAGACATTCTGCAGGTTGAATAAATAGACTCATGGTAATTGATTGTGAAGAATGAAGGCATTAAAAAAGAAGGTAAGGAAATGCTTCTAATTTATTTGAGAGAATGAGTCAAGAAAACTAGTGGTTCTGGCTTGGCATCCTGTAGCCAATCTGAATAAGGCCAATGTTGGAGGACTCAGGTTATTCAGAACGACAAACAGACTTGCCAACTGCTGGAACATCAATGTAGTTGGATTAGGAAATAGAACCAAGCCCTCTTTTACTACCTATCCCTCAACTTTCTCTTGACGAGGAATTTACCCTCTGATCAAAGTAAGATGTGTAATCTGCTCCTTACTTAGATTCATTTCATATGTGCTCCCATGATCTATAGCAGAAAATGATAATTCAGGGTACATTCACAAACAAGAGACATAGCTGCTTTTGCCTGTAATTATTAATCATTTACACATGACATTATCTTTGCAAAGTATTTGGCAACCATTAATTAAATCTCATAACACTCCTGTAGGTAGCTTTCTAATAAAAAGAAACATTCACAGAAGCCCAGCCCTCATCAAAACTGAGAAAAGGGCACATAATTTCTTCAATATACCCTTCCTCTTCCAGGCACCAAGGACCTACAAGCTACTCCCATATAGCCCATGTCTTCCTGCCACAAAGGTCCTCCTGGACCTAGAAGGTGGCCATCCTATGCTCTCAAATTCCCTTTTCCCAACTCCCAAAATCTAACCCCTCAGGGTAGTAGCATTCATTTACTGAAATAAACTTAATTTTGTCTAACTTGTTACCAGATACAACAGTATCTTAATCCCAAAGAGATGCAATAAATGGCAGATTTCATAAACTGTAACAGAAGAGGGTACCAATACATTTTTTCATAAGGGAAAAAAGTTTGCTTCATTTTTTTCCCAAGTCTACATTATTGAAGATTAGTCTTGGGTATACTTGCTTCAAATATATAGCATGATTATGACAATCGAGAATACAAGTGCAGGGCTCTGGACAATATGGATAATGCTATCCAGATTGAACAATTTGGACAGAACTTCCTAACAGGAAGAGCTGGAGAATGGACTTACCTGGGCCTACCAACCGTGGCCATTCCAAATTACTCATCCTTTGAACAGGAAGGGAAAAGTCAATGTCTTCCTTCCCCACATCCTAAACCTACTACTTCATCTATAATTTGAATCTCACCTAATAGCTTCACCATTTACATAGTTTCCAAAACCAGAATCCTTGGATTTTTCCTCAACACCTTCTTCTTCATCATACTACATATACAAAACAATCACCAATCAAGTCCTGTTGATTCTATCTACAAAATTAAAAATGAAAATTGCCAACTCTCCTCCATTTTCCTCCTATTCCCTTACTTCACACTATTGTCATCTCTTTTCTGGAAGATTAAAAATTTTCTGGCCTTGGCCTCATCCAATTTCTTCTCTGATACCAGGGTAACTTTTAAAATATGAATCTGGAAAACACTATTTATAATAGTTCAGACTTCACTCCCTCTATGAAGTCTACCCCAATGCCTTAGGCATAGTCGTCTCCTTCTGTGTCCATCTCTCTATTGTAGCAATTAATATATCACACTGTTATGCATCTACTTTAATATCTATTTCTTCATTACATTTGGAGTATAGGGACTACATCTTCCTCATCTCTTTATATCCAGAATTGTGCCAAGACATATATTTTTTGCTACACATTTGTTAAAATATTTGCCATTATAATTGCTTCAAAAGGTTAACACTTGGAAGGTCTTAATTGAGATGCAAATATTACCTAATGGGTAATTACCCACTCAGCTATTAATGCATTAGTTAGGCCATCCCAGTAACCCCATCACAGAGCAAGACCCCAAAAGGGTGGATACCAGGGTGTGTAGGTGATGAAAAGTGATCTGGAAAGGTCTGAAGCATTGAAATGATATAAGCTGAAGAAGATCAGCACACAGAGGTTTTACAGAGCCACAGTCTTTCCCAAGGATCGGTGTACATAAAAAAGAAAAAATATAAAAATTATGCATAAAAGTGGCCAAAGGTGAATTCAAGTCAAATGGTGCTACATTTTCTATCATGCTCAGGATTGGCCTTGAATACAGTTAGGTGCTACTTCACTTTTCCCAAAAAAGGATCTAATTAGTATGTATTACTCATCTCCTTTAATGCTAAATGGACCCCACATTCTATATTATTCTATCATGCTAGAATTGGATGAAAGATTTGTCATCATCATTCATTCACTCATTTATTCATCCATTTATTATTTCACTTCTAAGGTCATCTATTTCTAGAACAAAAGGCTAAGCAAACCCCCTCTGTACACTCAAGCAAGTAGAAGTAGGCTTGTGGGATTAGAGGAATTAGACCTTCTGGTTTGCATTATACCTTAAAGCTATCCCCTAACCTGTTCTTAAATTGCTCCAAGCTATGATTTGATAAAACACCAAGGGCACAATGTTGAATGGTTGGATTTATCCTATGGCATAGAAAATTCATAACAATATGAGGAAAATTAAGTGATAGACAGCTTTCATTTATATATACACATATCATAAACCTTAGTATGGGAGCCACAGATCTATTAGGCATGGCACTCCAATGTGGTAAGACCTAATTACATTTTTCTGATAAATAAGCCTTGGGATTTTTAACATCTTGAGGATATGTGAATGTGCAGGAAATGATCACTAGGACGGTATCAAATGTTGGTAGTTGGAATCCACTCCAAAAATTAAAAAATGCATCAATTAGTTAATGAAGTGACTAACAATTACTGTTGGATCACCTGTTCCTTTTAAACTATGGATGACAAATTTGCTTCTTTGGTGGTGCTGATTCTTTATTGATGTGCTTTTGACCATGACTCTGGCAAAATGAGTGCATGGACTCATTTCTGATTTCCACGCACAACACCACAAGAGCTGTCCAGAGATGCAGCAACCTCTGTGACATAGGAGGGAAGACCTTAGATTCATGGTGAATGATGCTTAAACTTGAACCTCAACTGTATACATAAAGTTATCGTTAAAATGACCATGGCCCATACAGCTTTTTTACAATTGTCACAACTTTTTGCAATTGTAACAACAAAGCAAATGATGCTATAAGAAGATGAAGAGATAGAGAAGGAAGCAGAGAAGCAGAAGCAGTGGTGGAACAGGCAAAAAATTCTGCCTGGATGCAATAGTCCCATATTTGCAATACTTACCAACTTTTCAGGTATGTAAACTTTCAGACAGAAATATAAACAAGCAAAAATACCCAAGTATTCATTCTTTAAATATCTTGTTTAGGTCTTAGCACAGAAAATCATCCCATTGCATTAGGTTTGTTTCTAGCTCATGATATGAATAAACAACACTGTGTTCCCTTGATGTTTCTCAAATATATGCCAAGAAAAACAATGTATTGATACTCTCATGTTAATGTACTATAATTTTTTACATTTCATATACCTAATTATATTTTCTCTTGATAGTGATGTAAGGCTTCAGTACTAAGGATTGAAAAGGCAGCTCTAGTATTTATATATTTAAATTATTTTAAAAAATACATTACACAGACAGTTTTCTGTTGTGGGCTTACCTTGTAAATGTGCTTTCCAAACAAATTCATTAATTCAAATTCTGCTTCCTATGCAAGATTTTCAAAAGTATGACTGATTGACACTTTTAAAATGAACATGAAGGTTATATTAACCAAAATAACATAGCCCAACTAATAAAAAGAGGTCATCTGTATTTATTAACTTAAATGTCTGGCCATCACTGTGACCTACAAATTATATTGGACATTGGCACATTGAATGCTTATTTACTGAGCCCTACATTCAGGCACTGTGTACAGAAAGAAGGGAGTGAAAATTAGACAAAGTTCTTTCTTTCAAGAAGTTCACAGTGCAATACAGGAGATACATGCAAATATTTATCATACGGTAATATAATGAAGCTATGTAAATGATTCAGTGATATCACAAAGCATATAATTAACTCTGTCCAAGTGATCAGGAAGTGTTCAGCTAAAGCCTTCATCATCTTGAAGCACAAACATTTTCTAGGTAGACAAAGGAAAAGAGATCACTACATGGAATAATATGTGCAAAATCTCAGAGGCAATGAGAGCCTGAACTAAAGCAGTGACATTGAGGATGGAGTGAAACGGAAGTGAACACAGTAAAAGAACATCAGGAGAAAGAGTGTCTAGCATCTTCCATCCTAGGGAGAATATGAAGAGATGAAATCAGCAGAACTGACTTCACAGTGACTACTTTAGAGCAGGGGTCCTCAATCCCCAGGCCGTGGACCAGTACCAGTCTGTGGTCTGTTAGGAACCGGGCCACACAGCAGGAGGTGAGCAGTGAGCGAGCGAGTGAAGCTTCATTTGTATTTACAGCCACTCCCCATCATTTGCATTACCACCTGAGCTCTGCCTCTTGTCAGATCAGCAGTGGCATTAGATTCTTATAGAAGCCTAAACCCTATTGTGAACTGAGCATGCAAGGGATCCAGGTTATGCACTTCTTATGAGAATCTAATGCCTGAAGATCTGTCACTGTCTCCCATCAATCCTAGATGGGACTGTCTACTTGCAGGAAAACAAGCTCAGGGCTCCCACTGATTCTACACTATGATGAGTTGTATAATTATTTCATTATATATTGCAATGTAATAATAGAAATAAGGTGCACAATAAATGTAATGCACTTGAATCATCTTGAAACCATCCCCCACCTCTGGTCCGTGGAAAAATGGTCTTCCACAAAACCAGTCCTTGATGCCAAAAAGGTTGGGGACCTCTGCTTTAGAGTAATAAAGTTTAAGATTGAAAGGTGAGATGTGACAGAATAAACTTAGACTAGGAGTCCAAAAACCTGGCTTTCAGTCCCGTTTCTGCTGCTAACAAGCTCCATGACTTTGAAGGAGTCATTTCTCCCTCTGGATCCTAATTGCTCATCTGCAAAATATAATGAGTTGCTCTATGACCTGTGACATCCCTTCTATCTCTGTCATTCTATGGCTATAAATAATGGTTTTGAGACAAGAAGGCAGGCAGTTCTTAACTTATGTGACTCTGTAGTTCCCAAGGACAGAAAACCAAATTCCTGGAGTAGCAGGTGGGATGGAAGACACAAATGTCACTTGAGAAGAATCGTACATAAACATGAGTGTAGTCACCTCTCATTTTCAAGGCACTGATTATTCATTTTCCAGATTATCCGTGACCTCCGCTTCTCCTCCTCCTGACTGCCTGGCTTTTAGGCATGTCTTTGTTCATTAAGATCTCCAATGTAGGATGAGAAGGGAAGGAGGAAAGCACAAGCACCACAGTGGGCTGCTTATTAGCAGATCTGTCTTTATTTAAAGTGGATTTAGGAGGAAGAAGATTGAAGACAGAAGCTGAAAACGAGTCTTTATGATTATCAATGGATTTCAATTATACAGGTTGGCCTTATTTCCACAGATAACTGACAGTTTAATATCATAAGTTACTTGCGAAGAATAAAAACAAATTGTAGAAAAGTGAACTTTAAAATTGTAGGAGACGGGAAGCAAAATAAGAGCTCATTTAAAGATCAATTTTACTTCTTGGTGTGAAAACAATGTTGCACCACTGTTCTCCCCAGGACCTTCTCCAGAGACTGGATTTGCTTAGCCTAAAATTATTTGGACAATAAAAGCCTTCATGACTTCTTTTGGAAAACTGTCCGGGCTCAAGCTGAGTCCTCTATCAGGATCCTGGAATAAGCAGATGAAGTTTTTTATTTATTCTAGAGAAGAAAATCACAGGGTCTTGTAATTTATTGAAACACCGACATGGGCATCAAATCTACATTATGGAGATGAAAGGGGTACATTGGAGCTATAATGCTCCAGTGGAAATGTTTAGCTCTCCGGGAGAGGAGCGGGTAGGTAGATGCAGTGAGAGGTTCTGTGCTCCTCAGGAAACTGAACACTTTCCCTGTGGAAAGCCCAAATGAAGATACTAAGACAAATAAACAAAAAAACAGAATGCCTATTTACCATTCACCCATACAATATATTCAATAAATATAAATCAGAATCAGGCAGACTGGCCTGGCACTACAGGGAAAGCAAACAAAAGAAACTATGTAGTGAATCTGGACTTTGGAGGACTAAACTACCACGTAAGTATCTAAACATCTAGTTAAGAAAGCAGTTTTGTGACATGTGAGGCTTTAACATATACAAATACATTATATATTGCACTTTTGTTCATCAATATCATATAGCAAAGTATTCTTATATCTTTCTTGATCTCTTACCTTTACCAATCATATGGAAATTGTTACCACCACTCAAGGGCAGATTGAGTAGTAGAGGAACACTCAAGTGTTTTAATAAACAAGAATTAAGCACCAAGGTGATTTAGATACTCCAGAGAGCATAAGATCAATGCAACAATTCTCCAGACTATAAAACATCAACTGTTTGAATAATAAAAATTATATGTCACGTTTTACAGTTTGCAAGCATTTTCTTACACATTATCTCATTTAAACTTTATTATTATTATTATTTTTGAGACAGTCTCACTCCATCACCCAGGCTGAAGTGCAGTGGCACAATCTTGGTTCACTGCAACTTTGGCCTCCCATGCCCAAGTGATTCTCATGTATCAGCCCCCCGAGTAGCTGGGATTACAGGCGCGTGCCACCACGTCCAGCTAATTTTTGTATTTTTAGTAGAGAGAGGGTTTCGCCATGTTGGTCAGGGTAGTCTCAAACTCCTGACTTCAAGTGATCCTCCTGCCTCAGCCTCCCAAAGTGCTGGGATTACAGGTGTGAGCCACCGCACCCAGCTTTATTTAACCATTATAGCAGCCTTGTACCTTAAGTACTGTCATCCCTATTTTACAGATGAGAAAACTGAAACATTGAGAAATTGATTAACTAGGTCACATAGCTGATTAATATCAAAATTTGAATTTGAACTTCAGTCTTCAGATGCCAGGTCCAGTTTCTATATTTCAGTTATTATGTTGATTTTAAGATTTTATTCAGAAGAAGGGAACAACAGACACCAGCACGTACTTGAGGCTGGAAGGTGGGAGGAGGATGAGTATCAAAAAACTGTTATGCTTATTACCTGGTACTATGCTTATTACCTGGGTGACGAAATCTGTACACCAAACCCCCATGACACACAATTCACCTATATAACAAACCTGAACATGTACTGGTGAACCTAAAATAAACATTAAAAATAACCTATAAAAGCACCAAAAATGGTAGTCTTGGACAAAAATAAAATTTTTTTCAGGAAGAATAAATATTCATCTAAGCTAACCTGGATTGGACCAGTGAGGCTTGTATTTAAGGAAGCTTGATAAGCCAAAATGCTCAGGGAATAGGGCTTCTGGTTATTGAAATCATTTTTTGTTTCAATGTTTTTTTGTTGTCCATTATTATAATGTGCCTTCATTCATTTTTGTGACATAGGACATAAGGCATATAAAAGAATCCTTAGTGACTGGCGTAGTAAACTAAACAAATATATGTTGATTGATAAACTGCAGGGCCTCTTAAACCAGCATTCTGGCCATTCATTATTATTATTTAGGGGTATAAGTAAACGTATAGAATTCCAAACCAAATTTATACTGACTTCAAGACACTCCAAGGAAGTTGTTAGAATAAATCATTGATGAAAGTTTATTGTCTTGTTTCTTTCTTCCTGCAGTCAAGGTCAAAAAAAAAATCTGTTAGTGATTTTGATGAATTTAATCTTTACTGCAATATATAAATATATTTCAGTGAAAGTTCATCTCCTTTTCAGCACATGGAGACACAAAGCCAAGAGTCACCATACTAAGCAAAATGTAAATGAATTGAGAACCATGGGTCAAGTGAAAATCTCTTCCATTTTTTTGAGTCCTCTATCAGGATCCTGGAATAAGCAGGTGAAGCTTTTTATTTATTCTCGAGAAGAAAATCACAGGGTCTTGTTATTTATTGAAATACTGAAATGGGTATCAAATCTACATTATGGAGGGGAAAGGTGAACATACTAGAAGACAACACTAGAGCCATCCTGGTGTGCTGAGGCATAAATCAAATGGCTGCTCTATGAAGTGGAATCAAGGTGCTTAGGGAACTCAAGATGGACGTACATTAAGTACATTACAATGCATTCACAATGACAACTTCAACAAACAGTACTGGAATCTGTATGCAGAAGGAAGTTTATTTGAATGTATTTTTTCCTCCAGTGAAGGAGATTTAGAATACTGGAACTTTAACAATTTTGATTAACATCTTTCTAAGGTCTTTTTAGCACTCTCTTCATCAAAGGGTATGAAGAACAAATCTTCAAAGCCCTCCCTGCTGGGATTTTGCTTGAAACCAAAGATATTCTCAAACAATTATTTTCTCATTAACACAAGGGAGAAGCAGGACTGCCACCACCTCTTCTTTGCCTGTGGCCCCTAATAACCCTAAACAATATTTCAGAAGCTACCTCCCTCATTATTTATTATTTTCCAGTGAAATATTTTATCTTACAAAGATCAAGTATGTCTTGCATTAATTCATATTATAAGCTAAATTTTGACATGCTCTGATCTATGTGTTTTATATATGATAGAGATCTGAATGCAATATACTAAAGCTTACAATTAATCTATGTGCATTGCAATACTCAATAAAAAAGCTAACAAAATTTTTTCAATTAGCATAGGAATTAACCTTCATTTTTATCTAGTATGCTAAATCAACTGAAGAGTAATTACTCTGAAGACTAGGCTAAATGATACCTACTTAGTTTCCCAATTTCTTCACGTAATATGAATTGATGAACTTTTGGACAGCCCCATGCTATACCTAAACTCAGTGATTCATTCTAAATTTCTTTCAATTATCTCCATAAAAACAAACTGTATTTTAGAAGATAGGTTAAACCCAAGTGATCTTCAATGAACAATAGTTATTTTTAAATATTTACCTCTCACAGAAACTAGAAAACATTTCAAACTGATTTATTTTAATTCTTCAACCAGCAAATTAAATCTGAGCAGTTAAATCTTAGCCCATTTGATTTTGTATTTTATTATACACTTATAAAAGGATTTAATTAAGTTGTAATAATAGTCACATCCCAAGGACTACTGTTGTCCACACAGTTTGAAAGTAAAATTGACATTAATAAAACTTGGGTGGCTGGGAAACAGAAACCATCTATGAACAACCTAATTCTAGCCACAGAAGTAACACTGTAACTGGACATCCAGGGCCCATAAGAAGTCAGAATAAAAATTCAAGTTGCAAAATGATTAAGCATGTTCCACCTTCTTTCATAGCCCCTTATTAGGTATCTATGGACTTCTGAGCAGAGCTAGCATTTCTGTTGAGCAAAGGCAAAGGGATTAGGACTTTTGACCAAGTCTCCAGTACTAAGAAAGTAAGAGTATGTTAATCAAATTTTTATATAATCTTTTTTTTTTTTTTTTTTTTTTTGAGACAGTCTCGCTCTGCCGCCCAGGCTGGAGTGCAGTGGTGCAATCTCTGCTCACTGCAACTTCTGCAACTTCTGCTTCCTGGGTTCAAGCAATTCTCCTGCATCAGCCTCCTGAGTAGCTGGGATTACAGGCGCACGCCACCACGCCCGACTAATTTTTGTATTTTTAGTAGAGACGGGGTTTCACCATGTTGGTCAGGCTGGTCTCGTACTCCTGACCTTGTGATCCGCCTGCCTCGGCCTCCCAAAGTGCTGGGATTACAGGAGTGAGCCACCGCGCCCGGCCTTTATATGATCTTAAAACTGGCAGTGTTATAGATACAGAAATAACATACAAATTGGCACTGATAAACTGGTAAAATGGTCCTACAAAGGGGAATAATGCCAACAGGAGAAAACATAAAGCATTAGGAACAAGCTTGGACTTAAAGATCAAAAAAAGATAACCACAGATACAGGATGGAAGAGCCCCCATTAAAAATTAGTATAGCTTGAGAGACCTGGAATTTATAACTGACTATAAGCTAAGTATGAATCAGCATTGCAATACTATTGCAAAGATGCCCCAGGAATGTACTGAAAAATAATACACTGAGCAAGTAGCTAACATTTATTGGGCTTTTTCTGAGTGCCATGCAGTTTATTAGATGTTTTGTACATACATCTCATTCAATCCTTCCAATATCTTATCACATAAAGTAATATATTTAGCATATATATAGCACCTATATAGGTTTTATATATTTATTTATGTACACAAATGTATTTATATATGTTTAGCAACATCTCACATGTGAGAAAACTGAAGTCCCAGTCTTAACTCTTTCTTAGAATTCCTGTGGATATTGAGAAAATGTCTACTATAGTCTTGCAGAGTAAGGTGTTGTTAACACTGGAATCTAAATTAAGTCTTTTTCTTCTCCCTTGTATAATCTTTTCTTTCCGAATAAAAGTGCACAAATGGCTATATAGGACAAATGATTTTGCCTTGTGATCTACTTTGATTTATTAGTAAAACTACAATGATGAATCATATTTAATTATGATCATTAAGAGTGATAAATCAAAACATGCAAATTGCCTGTTCATCACAGAGATCATGAAAAATGTGCATTTTTGAATTCTGATGCTGAGAGAAGTAACCAAGTTTTCTGTCTGATCCAAAACAGCTTGCATTCCCTATTGAAACGTCAGAGAATGTCGAGAATCTGAGCGTTAGATGAACTTTAGAGGGTCCATCTTCCAGCCTTCAGGCAGCTGGATAGGAAACATTCCAGGACCAGTTATCAAGTCTCTTGAAGTCAATCAGCAAAATATTTTAGCTCTAATAATATCAATCTTTCACATGTTTTTCATTCTCTCCATGTTTACACAGTACCTAAAACAGCTCTTAGATTATTTTGTGAATTGTACAGCCTTCTGTAGCCAGCTTTGAAGCAATTTTTTAAACCAGGAACAGGCTAATCAACAGTCTTTGGTTGCCCATAGTGAGTTTTCTACACCTTGATAACCATAAAGGTTTTCATTATTTTCAATAGAAATTTCTACTGCTTCTGTTTTAAGCACTTTTCCATTTTTAAATCTCTGAATAAAAAAGCTATTAAATATCTCTCCCCATAACAACCATTGAAGATGAGATTCCAATTACCTCTTGCCTTTAAAGTAAAATCCCTATCCCAGTAGCATGTTCTCATATGAAAAGAAAAACCCATTCTAATCTTGTTTACTACTCTTCTCTGAATTTTTCAGTTTTGCATCTCTATTTTAAAAGTATGGTGAAGTTGCCACATAGTAAGCACCAATATATGATAGCTATTATTACTATTATTATACCAGATGAAAAAGGAAGATACACTAGACCAATTATCAGAACATGACTGTTGAGCATAGTTCAAACCAACAGTTTAAATCTGCGAACTGGGGTACTCAGGAAGGAAAAGCTGGAACTCAAGAGTCAATACAGAAGAACAGTTGTCAGCATTAGAATACTGTGTCACAGGTCCTGTAGGCCACTAGTCTGTATAGTACAGACAAATACAAAGTGACTTAAGAACACTATAGGAGCCCAGAGATCAGTGCTAGGCAATCGTTTCCTGAGTAGACCAGCAGGGAGAATAACAATCAAAAGCTTTAAAGGGGGATTGGTTTGGGAACTGAAACAAAGCTGAAACTACAGGGGGGTAATTCACTAGGCCACACTGGGGGAATCCCAGAAGGTAGAAGCAGAAAAAAATTGAGGTTTCTTTGGTAAGAACTAAGATAAAGGTGTGCTCTTTGATAAGAGAAAGTACTTTGCACATAGCAATAGACACGTACTATTCTGCTGTTTACTGTGAGTCAAGTACCATTATAGATACTTTATTTTGACAATAAGAAAACATTAGAATCCCAAGAGTCTTGTGTACCTTTATATAAGAAATTATCCAAGTTATACTCTCCAAGGGTGAAATTAAGGAATTAAACTGCCCAACAAACTACATGTTTTTTATTATGCCAACAGAGAAATGCTGAAAAAACAATTATTGCTAACAACATGGAAATCTAATCCACTAGAGAGTTCTCCATGTTTTATAGAACCTCAGAGCTAAAAGGAACCTGAAAGACCATCGAGGTCAATCTCCTATTAAATTCATGAAAGAACTCTACCACCACCCAGACCTCTGGTCATTTAGCATTTATTTAAACACTTCTATAGAACTGAGGCGCACATTAAATTTTCAAATTGTTTCAAGTTTTATATTTGAACCAAACTCTGCCCTCTGATACTTATTCATCTTTACGAGTTTGCATAGATGTGGATCCAAACAGCCACTAAAGAGAAATCTAAATCTAATCCTTCCCCCGTCTGAAAATCCTTGTCAGTAAAGGGCACTGACATTGCCTTGCCAACTGGTAAAGACTTTAACCTCCTACATCAAAGCTTTTCTTGATCATTCATATATTGTATAAGTGGTAAATATGGTCAAGTCCACATGAAAACCAACTTCTGCTACTGAAGTGGCACAGTTATTAGATTTAGAACTCTCTTCAGTGAAATATTATGTCTAATTCATTACCGTGTCCTGAATATCACCAGACCCTGGAACATATTAGATGATGAACACCTATTTTTGATTGAGGCAATGCAGTTTCAACAGAAGCAAAAATACATATATAATCAAAGGTCAAAACATGTTTTGACTACAGTACAAGGTAAACTAAGCTAAGATCCTAGAAGACAGGTTGTCCTATTATTTCCAAACTATTCCTGACTCATTAAGGGCAATATTTTAATTTATAATATCAGGCTTATACATGCTTTTTACTTTCTGTGTATATTTACACATTGCCTAAAAATCATTACACTAAATTGTTTTACAGAATTGTACAAATGTGTAGACAAACAAAATAAGAAAAATAAACTTTTAAGCATTTTTTAAATCTAAAGGGAAATAATATGATTCTTTTACAAATCGAATGTGATGTTTACTACAAAAGAAAAATGATGATGGTGGTGATGATGATGGTGATGATGATGATGATGATGATGATGATAGCAGCTAACATTTATTGAGCATTTGCTACATGCCAGATACTGCACTCTTACATACATTATTTCATTTAAGCCTCATGAGTCATATAGTATCATCTCTGTTTTAAAGACAGAAGATAATACAGTGTAGAGTTTATGTGACTTACCTAAAGTCACACAGCAAGTTTGGAGCTGGAATCAAACTCAGGTCTATCTACTCTTAACATGTGTTAATTATATCTTTGAAAACAAACCATAGCAAGAATCCTTAAGAACATGACTAGTGACTAGATCCACTTCCATCCTTGTTCTTATGTTCAATCCTTTAATGATTTCACCTTGTTTAAAGCTAGATTGTCTCCATGAATTTTTGTCTACTTAGGCCCTGTCAAAATTATATGCAGTAACCTTAGGAAGCCAAAAGAGGCACCACTTACCTAAAAATTGCTCCATTTAGGATAGGAAAGCAAATTACCTAATTACCAGGCTATATGCCACTTTCTAGAGTTGCTCTCCTTTCTCTTGCTGCAATAGAATGATAGATGGAAACTGGCCAAGAGAAAAATCACTGGTGATGAATTGTGGTCACAAGCCACATGAAACACATTTAAAAGTGTCTAGAAATAAAGTTGAGTTTGTTCCAGGTAGAAACACAGACACACCCAAAAACATCTGCACCAAACAATTCTATCACAGAACTGCCTATCCCAGAGACTAAGTTCAGTCCAGAGGTTTTGAAAGCAGTGAAAATGTGATCCAAGGAAGCAAGGTCAACCCCACAAAACATGTCATCACATTTGCTCCTTCAATATGTACCTATGCTTTTTCCTTTGGAGAAAGGAAACAAATAGCCAGAGAAGTATTGCAGTATTATATTTTCCTGTTAATGTATCTAACCAATACAGAAGTAACATGATGAGTGGTGTCAGCACAGGATTTGGAATTGGACAGGCATGGATTAAACTTTCCAGTTCTGCAATGGCCACTTATTATAACTTATATGATGAGTGGTGTCAGCACAGAATTTGGAATTGGACAGGCATGGATTAAACTTTCCAGTTCTGCAATGGCCACTTATTATAACTTATATGGTGAGTCAGCATTAGCTCTCTGATCCTCATCTGTAAAATGTATGTATTACATATAAATATTATATAATTATATGTGTATGTATATATACTTGTTATATTTATATACACACATACATGTATACACATCTTCATAGGTTATAAACATTAATAATATATAATAATAAAGTGCCTGCCATATAGTAGGTTCTTGATAGCAAATTTAGTGGGTATAAATTTTTCTCCACACACTTGTGCATATTAGAAACATCAATTTTTGTTTAACCTTAACCAAATTTTACTCTGAGCCCTCATTCTACTGGACCTGCAGTAAATTAAATGGCCTTCATTACTGTACATCCCAACAGTCTCCCATAGAGCAGAACATTGGGGAAGGTTGCTGATTATAGGTTTACACCAGGCACCACTTATAAATTCTCATTGGACTTTTAAAATTGGACCACTCAATAGCTTCTGTACAATCCTGGACATAGGAATTTTTGTGAAGAATAGGCCTCAGATTTAGCATCCTTAGGTATACCACACAGCCTTCTAGACACACACACACACACACACACACACACACACACACACACACAGCTCAAGCACTTCAGTTTTCTTGATAACCCAATCCACAATCCCCTAACTAGTTTCAAAGTCTGTTCCTTCACTATCCTGCTGCTTCTTCCAACCCACTTTCAAAGGCCTCGCTTCTGGACTTCTCCTTCCAGTTAAGCTCTCTGGAAAGTCTCTTGAGTTGAGGCTTTCCGAAAGCCAATCATCGTATTCATAAACTTGACAAGATAAACTACACGCCACCCCTAGGCAAAGCCACAGAATGTTCTATCTCCTAGAAATAAAAAAGAAAATACAACAAAAAATATATAACTATTTTTTGTTTCTTCTAGAAAATAAGAAAAATAAATAACCCACACTATTTTCAATGATCCTGCCCCACTGTTGTCATAGTATATCATCACCAGACCAAATGGCAAAGTAGGAGAAACGGGTCCTTCATTCTGATGTCTTCTCTTCTTCTCCTTTAGAGTCCTTCACTCCTAGGCAGGCACCCAAAGCCCTTATAGGTCTTGGTGCCACATCCATGCCTATGGATACCAACTCATCTTGGTTTGCCCAGGACTGATAAAACTGAAAGTCCTGCATCCCAGGAAACCCCCCAGTCTTAGGCAAAATGGGAAGATTAGTCACCCTAGGCATAACTTCCCTCCAGAGGTATCACTCCATCTAATGATCTTTGGTTCCACTGTTAAAATCCATGCTCTCTTTGCTAGCTAATCTGATAAATAAATTCAAAGTAAGGTATTAATGTATCACTTCTCCCAAAAAAATCAGCAATTTAGCTAGGATATACAAATCATAACATAGCTATATTAGGTGGTATGGCAGGGCTGATGCCAGAAAAATACCAAGGGGCCAAACATATTTTCAGAACACTTGAAATCTCACCACTTGGGTGCCACCTATTTGACCTATGGGTGGAGCTAACACATGAATCTAATTGAATTATTAGACTCTCAAACATCTTGCTTTAAAAAACAACCCAGGAACTTTTAAAAATAAAGTCAAATACCTCATGTTCTCACTTATAAGTGAGATCTCAAAAAGAATGTGCAATGATAAACATTGGAGAATTGGAAGGGGGAGGGTGGAAGGGAGGTAGATGATGAGAAATTACTTAATGGGTACAATGTACCTTATTTGGGTGATGGATACACTAAAAGCCAAGACTTCACCACTACCCAATATATTCATGTAACAAAAATGCACTTGTACCCCTTAAATTTGTTATTTACCTGGATCTCATCCCAGAGCCATCAAGTCAAAATTCCTGGGGTGGGGAGTGATCCAGGACTCAGGCACTGGATTTTGTTTTTAAAGTTCCCTAGGTGATTTTAATGTGCAGTCAAGGTTGAGAGCCACTATCTTAGAGCCTTTGAGAGTTTAGGCAAGCAGACATCACCTCGTATACTCTTCCCAATGAGCAAAGTAAAAATGGGAAACTAAAGGCTGCCTTTATTAGATTTTTTGCAAAGACTGATCAATTCCTCCTTGCCAAATGCATTGTATCCCACAATGAAAACACTGTAATAGATGCTCACTTATTGATTGAGAACAAGAGTCCTCTGGTGTTTTCACCTTTATCTTTTGGACACCATATTATAGCTTATTTATAGACATCCAATCCTCAATCACACCTGCACTAGAGATGTTCATTCAGTATATGCTTCAGCATCCATCCCATGACCCTGGAACCTGGACTATAATAATTAGCAACCTGGTGACAAGGCAAGTTACAAGGCATTCCTGGCACCTGCTGAATCTGGAAATATCCATAATATTACCCATTTGAGCTGCTGGTTGTGCTGCCTTTGCTGGGTCTTGATGAGCTATGTTAAAAAGTCTCTGTTTGATACTTTCTTGCAAATTCAAACAGATGCTTCCCATCTTATGACTCAATGATGCATAATGCAAACCTAAAGCAGTAAAATTGAGGGCACTTAAGTTTTTAATCAAATTAGAAGTCCATGACTTGACTTCTGTGGCACTAGCACTAAAGGTGGCAAATAGAACCTTGGCTCAGAGGATTTTAATCTCAGTCTTGACAGAGAGGAGCCTACCTATTTTCCTTGAGAAGCATTTTGCCTTCATTGCCTCTTTAATTCTTTTGAGATCATAAATGTGATTGCTCACTGGTGATGTGTTGTGCTGATAGATGCACTTGCCCATTAAGTTTGACCCTAGACTATCATCAAATTTCCCATAGTGCATCTACCAAGTTTCATTACTGACTTGGGTCAGATTGAAATTATCAGGCTAAAGCTAAAGTCCCTTGACCCAGTTCATTCCTCCTTGCTATCATTCTGTAAGGGATTTCATTTTTTTCCTTACAGAATTTTGCTGCAGAATCTGAGAAGGTTAGGAAAACAGGATATTCAGATGAAAGGAAGATAATGATAATTGGATCTCTACCCCACCCCATCTCACCCCCAAACTAATCAATTTTTATATTGCCAACTGTGTCAATTCTTATATTTATAATAAATTTTCAGAAACACAAAATGGTTGCATGATCTTCTGTGAAACTAGTACTAAGTGGGTGATACTTTCTTAACGGATGCATAAGCCTCTGACAGAATGATTCTGTGAGGATCACAGACAACAACCAGCACCCCTTCACTGCCAGCAGATGGCTCAAGTGAAAAAAGAGTTGCACCCAAAAGGCCATGTTGTGTGTGGTGCAACTAGCAAAGTCCCTAATCACCACCCATTACGACTTAAGAAGTAAAAGTATTATATAACTGAGGATATCCAGTTAATAAATATTTCTTTATTACCTACTATGTACAACTCACGGAATATCCATGCAATCTATGCCCAAGGTATATTAAAGTACAGGAAGAAATAACCTAGTCATTATTCAAATTTATCTACAAGTATAATTTCCCACAGTTTTCTTATTCTTTACCAAAAACAAAATATAGAAAGAGTTTTGCTATAATCATCACTATCTGAGTCAGCCTTATCCCAGCATCTATGTGCTGTTGATAGTAACAGTCCACTGCCACATAGATGCTGAAGATACCCACAAGGATTTGAATTCCATGTGAGGAATAAATAATGAAGAACCTAATGGAGCATACACTCATCTCTAATTAAATGATCTCTTTAGTCATTATATTAGTCAGGGTTCTCCAGAGAAACAGAACCAATAGTATGTGTGTGTATGTGTATCTGTGTATATGTGTGTGTATATATGTATATATTAAATATGTTATATCTGCGTATATGTGTATATAACATATATGTATATACACATATACACACATATGCAGATATAACATATTTAATATATGTATATATAACCATGAATATAATGATATAAAATATTTAATATATGTACACAAATATATTAATATAAAATATTTAATATATGCATATGTAAAATATACTTAAAATATTTAATATATGTATATATATCCTTAAAGAAATTTATTACAAGGATCATCTCATAAAATTATGGAGGCCATAAAATATTATAGATATAAAATATTTAATAAATATTAAAACATTTATAAAATATCTAATATATAAAATATTTAATATATGTGTATATATATCCATAAAGAAATTTATTACAAGGATTGGATCATAAAATTATGGAAGCTGAGAAGACCCAAGATCTGCAGTTAGACCCAGGAGAGCCTATGGTGCACTTCTAGTCTGAAAGCTGCCAGGCTCAAGATCCAGGAAGAGCCAACATTTAAGTTCAAGTCTAAAGGCAGAAAAAGACCAGTGTTCCAGGTCAAAATCAGTCAGGCATAAGAAGCGCCTTCTTATTCGTGGGAGGTTCAGCCTTTTTGCTCTACTCAGACCTTCAACTAATTGGATGATACCCACTCATACTAGGGAGGGCAATCTGCTTTACTCAGCCTACCAGTGCAAATGTTCATCTCATCTAAAAACACCCTCACAAACACACCCAGAAGAACATTTGACCAACTATCTTGGCACTCTGTTCCAGGTCAAGTTGACACATAAAATTAACTATCACACTAATGAAAGACTTTGGTCGAAAGTCTTTTTTGAGTCTATGACTCAAAGCTGGAAGTCTAGGTGTGGAAAAATCTAATAATTTTATATCAATTATTATAAAAGCTACATTAAATATTACTTGAAGAAGAAAATGAGAATCACCAAGAAGAGTGATTTTTCCAATCACTGTTAAGGATTCTATTAATTCACATGCTACAGAATTTCAGGAGTGTCAATAAAATACTAAATCAAAGTGATTAGAGCTGTCACTAGGTATATGACTCTTGATCTTATTTCAATGAACTTGTACAATGAGCTGGCACAGTTGATTGTTATCTTCTTGACCTACTTTCTTCTCAAAAAGTAGATGTTTCTCTTGGTAGGTGTTATAATTAGTAAATATTTAGTAAAATACTAGTAGGAGTAGGGATGGGTATACTAAATAAATGAGTGGGTGAAATCAACATCCAAAACACTATCTGTCCCACGTGAAAGTAAGGAAGAGAACAAAGACCCCAACATATTATTACTAGTTTTAGCAATTTTTCCAAAACTTGAAACTGTGGTTAGCCGCAGAAATAGAGAAGGAAGCCCCATATCCCAGTATTTTCCCACTGGATGTTATCAGAGGTGGGGCATGAAAAGAAGTTGACTTTCTTTTTTTTTTTCCTCTTTCAGTGAAATGGTCTGAAAAAAATAATCCAGGAACCACAGATGTGCCAATGCAAGCCAGAGAATGCCAAACTAGAGAGAGCTCCTGTTTATTACTATTTCCACCAAGCAATATGCTTGCCATTTATGGAAAAATCACAAAGCAATTAAAGAGAACTCACACCTTAGTGATATATTGTTCTGTGTAATTGGTTCTTGAAGATTTTTGCAAGCTTTATCCAAGAGGTTAGGAAATGCCGTTATGCCTTATTGCCTATTATCCAACTCAGTTTTATGATGACATGCTCTTCCCTTCTGAATACTTTACCTTTCCAACTGGTGAAACAATAAAAAAGAGGCTTTCCATTAAAAAATATTTTCCTTGCCACAATGCTGATTCCTCATTCAGCATCATTACTTCACAAATCAAACAATCATATTCCACAGTATATCAGATAAAGGAATACAAACAGGTGAAAACTGCTAACTTATTTCTCTCTCTAATGATGCCACAGAGGCAAATATAGCTGTTTTCCTACAGACGATGACAGTGGAATAAATAGATAAATATGTGCAATAGACACAAATTGCAAATATTACACGTTTACCAGGACCTGAATGATTGGTGAGTTACTGTATGGAGCACATCTCTAGTTATGATTGATGACATTGCATAAAACAAAGCTCTGTGGGAAATTTAAAAGGAAGAGTTAGGAAAAAATTAACCACTTCTAGACCCTAAAATATAGCTCTATTTAAGAACACACTGCACAAGAAGTCATTCTTTTTCCAGGAGGTTTACCTTTCAAATGTAAAATCTGTGGCTTTTGCCTTTCAAATTGGCAAATGTTTTTAAATGCTCATAGCCAGTGCCTGTAAAGGTACAGAGAAACAGATACTCTTATTCATAACTGGAAGAAAATGTGAACTACAAGGAGGGAATTTTATAATTTTCCAACATGTATCAAAATGTATACAATCTTTGCCCCTGGGATTTCTTGCCTATAAATGTTTCATAAGGAAATATTATAGAAGTGTAAAAATGAGAAAATATTAACTATAAAACTATTCATTACAGTATTTGGTATAGAAAAGTTAGAAACAATGTATTTGTGCATTTATAAGGATATCAGTTAAACAAATTATTGTATATCCATATGATAGAATAAGGCCACAAAATGTACTGTAAAAGTTTACTTAAAGAGATGAAAAATCCCATGATATAGTAAGTGAAACAAGTAAGTTACCAAAGAGTATGATCCAATTTTTACAAAAGTATATAAAATATTAACATTAATTCCTCTTGATAATAAACTTGAGTGCTTTTATTTACTTTTTTGTTTGTATTTTCAATAATTATCATTTACTATATTTAAATGAGAAAAAAGTTATTTTAAAAATTGGATATCTGAATTTTTGTTCAGGAACTGGCTCACAAGGAAAAAAGCTAAAGCAAAGCACTTCTAACTAGACTCCCTGGTAGATTTCTATAAATGTTAGCAAGATGAAATAGCCTAATCAGAGGCTGAACAGAATTCTGAACACAGATTTTCAGTCAACCAATACATTGCAGTTGTTAAATATTTCAATTTTCAGTAGTTTGATAATTTTCCAATATGATAATACTTAATTCTGAAAGCATCAGTATATTTAACAAGATGTGGGTTATATAATATTGCTAGTTGACTTGAAGTGAAACAAATAACAAATACGGAGTCAAAGATATTAATGAGAATTTGTGCAAAGGATAGGAGTAAGATGACATTAAGGCTGCCTACCCCGTCTTTTGGGGCTAGGCTTCTTATCTAATCTCAAATATTTCTTATTCACAGTTAAACAATATATCATCATAAATTTTTTCTGCTGTCCCCTGGCATTTTTTCATTTTGACCCAAAACTAAATCCTAAAGCCCATTTTTGTAGAATAAATCAAACTGTCAATTCCCTGCTGGAATCTACAGGCTTAGTCAGCAAACAGCCTGTGTATTGATATCCTTGCTCTCATACAAATTTCAAGCTGAGCTGTGTCATCCTGGTCAGTATTTAGCTAGGGGATTTCTAGTCCAGGAACAAGTAAGAAAATAGCTAATGGGAATCATTCTTCTAAATCAGCAATCCCCACTTTGATTTTCAAAAACACTTTTCCTTTCAAAACCAGGTTGCCGTTCATCACTAGTAAAGATATGACTTATTATTTCAGGAACCTGATAGGAGAAGTCTGATACCTAAGCTAGGTATCAGTCAAAATAGGCTAGGTTATGCTGCAGTAGGGATAACAAAAATAAAAACACTAAAATGTCTGTGGCTTAAAATAATAAATGTGTATTTTCTGCTGATGCTACCTTTCTATCATGGGTTGCTGGAGGTGAAGGTGGTACTAGAAGAATGATTTTCTCATTGTAGTTACTCAGGGATCTCTCAGGGATTCGGGCTGAGAATGCAGCCACCATCTGGAACATCTCCAGCCAGAGGGAGACAGAGGGAAAGAAATCTAGAAAGCATCTCACTCGGGCGATTAAATGTTCTCTGCTTTCTGGCCCTGCAATGAGGTATATGACCTTTGCTCACAATCCATTGGCCAACACTATGCAGTTCCACCAAGCCACTGGGGAGTCAGGAAGCACAATCTTAAAATGGGGACAGAAAGGGAGAGGAATGACAACTATTTGCAGAAAAGCACCAAAGACTATCTGCTATCGTTTGGATTTTCTCTCCTCCAAACATGTTGAAATTTGATCCCCAGTGTTGAAGAAGGGGCTAAATGTGAGGTGTTTGGGTCATGGGGACAGATCCCTCATGAAAAGATTAATGCCCTTCTTCAAGGGTGAGTGAGTTCTCACTCCATCAGTTCCCAAGAGAGCTGACTGTTAAAAGAGTCTGGCATCTGCTCCCCTCCCTTCTCTCTTGCCTCCTCTCTTGCCATGTTATCTCTACACAGCCAGTTCCCCTTCAACTTCTACCATGAGTGGAAGCAGCTTGAGTCCTCCACTAGATGCAGATGCCCAATCTTGAACTTTCAAGGCATCAGAATCATGAGCCAAATACGTCTTTTTTCTCTATAGATTACCCAGCCTCAGGTATTTCTTTATAGCAACAGCAACACAAAAAGGACTAAGACACTATCATACCAAATTTTTCATTTTATCATTTCAATTTCAGTTTACCAAAGCTGTTTCATGTGTATGTCTGCATGTATGTGTGTGAAAGAGGATGCTTTATATACCTACTTGTAATTTATCATTCTCCCTTCTTCTCAGTTTCATTTTCCCAGTTTTTCCTCATCTTTTTTAGGCTGTTCATTTGGTAATAGTCTTTTGACAAATATTGGTGTTGTTCAGTAATAACTTTATGAATAACTCTGATTTATAAATTGCCATGCTGTATATTCTCTTAGGTCAGATCATTTAAGATTGGAAGGTGGTTAACCAAAGGCTTTAAAATGACTAAAATTCCTAGACAAATACTCACAAATTTATTCCATAACTAAGGGCTCTTGCAACATATCAATAAACAGAAATGGGGTACTAGACAGGATGTAAAAACAGAAATTCAACACTAGTGAACAATTCAAGGGCCTGGATAATGAAATTGAAGTACAAGATTTAGTTTATTTACAAGGATAAGGAAATATCCCAGTTACTGAGACAATACCAGACACTGGATGAGCACCACAATATGTTGCTGAAGAATGGAAGCACTATACCAAACTTCCCTAAACTCCTTCTGATTAAAAATAGCCTTAGTACTACCAGAGATGAAGGTAAAGGCATTCCTGATGGTTGGGACTAACTGGCTACAGGAACTGAAATGATGTGGAGATAGAGCCTCAAGCAGATGGACTCCACCAGGAGTCACAAACTCAAATATCAAACCTAAACCAGGCAAGAATAGCAAATGTGTGAAGCTGGCTTTATACAGCTCAATGGGTGCTAAGAATCCTGTACTGGAACCAACTATGACATCTGCGAACTTACATTGCCTTTCAAAACTGTTCATACCAAGCAAAACGTGTCCATACCTACAAACTATCATGAATTTATAGGTACTGGCCCAGTAATTCTAGTCTGGTCCCTCTATCTTATTTTATCTTTTCAGTTTCAGCTTATTTACCCCCATATTCTCTGAAGACTATATTTGGACCATATGCCTCTAGACTTCTTGCATTACCAGTTGCCTTGGAAACAACATGAGCTTTGTACATCCTGCATTGTTTCTTCATTAACTGTACATTTGTTCTTTTCCATTCACCCGACTTTCTGATTAAACTTTTATCCTGATCATTGGTTTTACTGAATCTGGTTTGCTGCTTTGATTCAGACTTTCTTTCTTGGGTCCTTCAGTAGATCTTATTTCCTAAAACCTTGCTTAAAACAAAACTTCTCCCATTCTAGCTTCTTGATGGGCATCCATAATCTACTGCAGCAACATGATAGAACATTTGTTGGATATCTACTGTGCATGAAGATTGACTCTTAATAGTGTGAGTTAGGTGTCTGAATGCAAATCATGATCTCACTCTTTTTCAATTCCTAGGTTTCCACTCCCACTCACTCCATTCCAAAGAACTGGAATTTCCCCTGACCTTAAAATCTCCCCTTTGCTATAGCAGATTGTTTTTCCTTGTGAAGACATAACAATTGGTTAATGTTAGCTTGAGTAGATTAGTAGGAGACACAAATTAAGGTGATCCTCAAAGTTACTTCCCAGAAACAGCACAATAATCTACAAATCATATCCAAGTTCCCCAAATTAGCAAGCATGCTAACTAAAGAAAGGAGATACACTTTCCTGGATCCATTCATATTAAAAGAAACTGTAATTCTTAATCTTTTCGTCCAAGTAAAGACTACTAAATTAAATGCAAGGAAAAACAAGTTATGAGAAAAAATATAATTTAAGATTCTACAAAATCTCAAAAATTTCAGTCCTGAAAAAACAAGGCCCATGTAGGAACTGTTTCCCAAATTTCTTGACAACACACTTTTCAAATTGTTCTGTGAAATATTTCTCTTGCCAATAGGAACAAAGGAATGTGCAGGTGTGCATTAGTCATTGAGGTCTACCAGAAAACCAGCCCCCACCCATAGTTTCCAGGTGCAGAAGGAACCAGGGCATGGCTTGTAAGCTGTGACAGTTAGAGCACTGAACTAAAGTGCATGGAAAATTTCTTTTAAGAGTTGCCAGAGCTTGGTGGGTAAAGAGACTGATGGCAGTACTGATCTGTGGGTGTGGCTAGAAAGACAATGGGGGGATTAACAATCCCTTTTACACTGGGCAAGCTGGAAAACTGTTCATTGACTAGTGGCAGCAACTGCTATTTTGGGAACTAGACTTATTTGTCATTCTTTGTCTTGGATTTCTAGCCAGTTCAAAGCCTTGGCTGAGCTGCTTTCTCATCTCCCATTCAAAGGGTTTGACCTGGGGATAGAATACTTGGCAGCTTTTAATTAGTGCTCTGCAAGTCTTAGTGCAACACGGCCTTAATCACTGCTTTCCAGGACATTCACCTATTTCTTTTTTATTTTTATTTTTTGGACCTTTTCCTTGCTGAATATACTGAGACCTCTTGCCTCTTTTAGCTGTGTGTGTTCTGGCCCTTTAAACTCATTGTTAACAGTTTAAAATATAAACCATGTTACTTAATGGTGAGTCACAAATACCCACTTATATGGAGGGCAATAATTTTAGAAATTCTCCCTCCCTCCCATCCTACTCATTCTGAACCTCTATGCACTTACCCTATTTCCATCTAGCTTTGAACCTTGCCTTGACCTGCCTTTGGTCTCTAAGTTTGACACATTGACTTGATATCTCTGGCATTGTAACCCATTTTCCTCAGTGGTCTTGTTTGACTTTCCCTTGGGTTCCTAGTACCTGTGCTATTAATATCTTCAGTATGTGTCCCTGCTACAGATTTAATCCTGGAAATCCTGATACTGATTTTGGTCTTTAATTAGCACTATAGTCCTCAGTTTCCCAGAGGGTTTATTTTCTCTGAAAGGTAGAAGGCATGAACACATCTGTGACCATATTCTCCTCCCTCCCTGTCTAAATTTCATCCCGTTACTGACTTCCTTGAAAAGAACTCAGGCTTTAGAGTCAAAATTACCTGCAAGTTTGAACCCCAGTTCCACCACTGAATAATGGCATGGCCTTAGGCAAGTTACTTCACCTCTCTGAGCCATAAATTCTGTAAAATTAAGGTGTTATTCCCTCTAACAAGATCATGTAACAGTTTACGATATTTGCAAAGCACCTAGTAGATCTTAGGCACTCAATAAATGTTAGTTCTCTTCTCGGAGTTAATCCGCTAGTATCTTTTCCACCTCCCAAGTGCAAGTAGTCTTTAAGATTCAGTACTCTGGGGCACGACCGCTCCATCACACCCATGATTAACAAAAGCATAATTCTAACATCATCAGCAACCAGAAATTTTGTATAAACTAAAAGATTAAGGAAAAATATTCAGAACAGAAGCCAGTAAGCAGAACAAAGAACACTGACAACTTAAGTAATGAGTTGCCTTGGCCTAAGAGTTTTTATACACTGCCCTTTCGAACATTAGCCAATCCCCAAACATGAATAATCTGGGGAGTTTCAATAGAGCCAAGTGGGAGCACATGGTTGAAATCAAGAGCTAAGAGGAAAGGATAGTGAAAGCTTATTGTAGACAATTACTCTCAAAGGAAGATCTTGAGAACAAGTGTGTCAGGATGAGCCAAGAGAGATGCTCCTCTCACTAAGTTTCTTCTATTTCTAAATATAGTCAGGCCAAAGCTATTATGCCACCAGTTAATGTAGAGGAACTGAACCCAAAACTTGAACATATTAAGAACCACCAAAATGCAGCCATGTAGCTGAGTACAGAGAAAAAGAAGGCACTACATAGAGCTTTCTGAATATGTCTTCCAGACTTCTTATGATCACATGTAACTTGTAGATTTACAGAAGAATTCTAGGTTCTTCAACAATCATTCCTGAGACAATTCTAGGCAAAAAAAGGGTAATAAACAGCCTCCCTTCCCTATGTGATAATGTAGGGGCTATCAATCACAGTGATCTCCCTCCCTGACAATACAGATGGCTATGTGACCAAAGTTCAGCCAAATATAATACCATATCCTTGTAAGAGATTGGTTTATGTTTGGGTGCACAACTCATACTGTGCCAGAGCCCTTCCATAATATATAATATAGAAACAATAGTAAGTAAAGGGGTTCTCTTCTGTTTTCCTACCAAACATGAGGAAGTAGGCTTGGAGTAATCTTTCTTATTGTATAGAAAAAGCCTGACCCCACCCTAGCCCCCACCCCCAAAAAAAACAAAATTACAAAAGGAAACTAACTTGAAATAAGGAAAGAAAGGCCAAGTCCTGACAACATCTAATGAGCCCCTTGATCCAGATAGATCTCAGGCCAGAATCAACTATTGGACTTTATAGTTATATGAGCTGTTATGGAATGAGTGTTCACACTCCCCCAGCATATAAGTTGAAATCCTAATCTCCAATGTGATGATATTTGGAGGTAGAGTCTTTGGGAGATGATAAAGTCATAACGGTACAGCCTTCATGAATGGAATTAGTGACCTTATAAAAGAGACCTCAGAGAGCTCTTTCACCTCTTCCACCATGTGAGAACACAGGGAGAAGATAGCCATCTATAAACCAAGGAGTGTGCCCTCACCAGACACTGAATCTGTTGGTTGTCTTCTTATTGGACTTTCAGCCTCCATAACTGTGAGAAATGAATGTGTGTTAAGTGCCCAGTCAATGGTAATTTGATATAGCAGCCTGAACTAATTAAGACATGAGTCAATAAAGTCCTTTTGGCTTAAGTTAGTTTTCCGTTGAGTTTTAATTACTTACTACCACAAGATTACTCACTAAACTTTTTCAAGCCCAACTCCCTCCCCTACAATAATAAAACCTTGTTTTTAAGAAAGAATAATAGCACTGTGTTAGACTACAATTTGGAATCATGGCAGCTGCTTCTACCAACTTGCTTACACTTTTTAATCCAAGCGTTTGCACATACATAAATATACTGAAATGTTAACATTTAAAATATTAATTAAAATGAAATAATAATTACAAATCCCTAAATCCAGATAATGCTGTGTTCAGCAAGAATTATTTCATATGCATCAAAATAAGCGCATAATAGAACCCTATTCACATGACAATTTAACCAGAGATTTTCTATTGTAAATCAAGTGAGATAATGTTATAAAGTTTTGAGGGTTTGTGTTTTTTGTAAATTTTAATTAACTAATTATAAATTTTAGGTTACAGTAAGCTGAATATAGTAGAAAAACACATCTATCTTTGGCATAACATATATTTACTAAAATTCCATCAGAAATAACAAACTCATAACAAGCCAGATCACCCCAACTACTCTCTAAACATTTATTCAATAGCTATTCCTCACAGGATACAGATATCTTACAAATTTTAAATATTTGAAATGTGTCACTTAGGTTATGACCACTTCTTCTAATTATGACAGAGTAGCATGTAGTGATTTAATTACACAATAAAAACACCTAGAAAAGCTAGATAAAGTACTAAAGAAAATCTGTCTGAAAGTTTCAAATAGCTTCCAAGACAGGAATTGTGGGGACCAAGATCCCAGAGAAAAGGTAAACTCATTGAGGTAAGCCCAATATTCTGCATGCCTTGCAGCATTGGCTGATATTTAGGCTGTACAAGGCTAGAAACTAAGCAGATCAGAAAACAATTGAAAAGCTCAGTGAAGTTATCATCTACCTAATGGATCCGGGTAGACAAATTTGGAGTTCAAGGTCCTCAAAAGAGGAGGAGCTCAGGGAAACCCAACAATCCCCCGAGAGAAAGATACTTGGAGTGAAAGCAAATTAGAAGTAGGCCAAGCTTTATAAAGTTTGAAATCCAGTCTTGATTCAGCATAGCTACAGATTGGATTAAGGTGATTAGCTCCCACTCTGGCTACTTGTCAAAAGATAAAGATTTTTCTCTTTGAAAGAATATCACATTACACAGAAGCTCTACTGCTTTTATACACAATGTCTAGCATTCAATCAAAAATGAATTTAAGGGAGGATTGGAAGTGGCTGAAGAGAGGATTAGGACAGCAGGAGATAAATTAGTAAGAAATATCCAAGCTGAACCATGATAAAAATAAAGAATTGAAAAAACTGAAATTCTTAAGAAACATATAGGATGTAATCGAAACTCCTCATATGTATCTACTTGTTGTCCAGGGATAAAGAAGAAAAAAAATTGGACAAAAGTATTTAAAGAGGGCGTGGTGGCAAATTTTTTTTAATTGATTTAAAGCATCAAACCAAAGGGTTAAGAATTGTTGCAAACCCTAAGTGAATAAAATAGAAAGAAACTCTCATCTAGGCACATCATAGTAAAACTATTGGCAATCAAAGGAAAAAAGTCTTAAAAGCAACCAGAGAAGAAAACAGAACATGGGCCAGGCGCGGTGGCTGATGCCTGTAATCCCAGCACTTTGGGAGGCCGAGGTGGGTGGATCACAAGGTCAAGAGATCGAGACCATCCTGGCCAACATGGTGAAACCCCATCTCTACTAAAAATACAAAAAATTAGCTGGGTGTGGTGGCACACGCCTGTAGTCCCAGCTACTCAGGAGGCTGAGGCAGGAGGATTGCTTGAACCCAAGAGGCAGAGGTTGCAGTGAGCTGAGATCATGCCACTGAATTCCACTCCAGCCGGGCGACAGAGCAAGACTCCATCTCAAAAAATTAAAAATAACAAAAACAAAAAAAGAAGAAAAAGAAAACAGAAAATGTTCATGTTTCAAATGAACAATAAGCCTGATGGCCAACTTCTTGACAGAATGATGGAAGCCAGAGACAATGAAATAATATCTTTAATGTTCTGAATGAAAATAGCAGCCAACCTAGAATTCTATTACCCAGAAAAAAAAACAGCCTTCATAATCGAAGGCAAATCAAAAAGACACCTCTAGACAAATAAAATATATTTCAGTACCAGCCAGCAGACTCACACCAAAAAAAAAAGAATCCCAAAGAGAGATCTTCAGGCACAAGGAAATGATCCCAAATGGGCACACAAAAATTCAGGAAATAATAAAAAGCACTTGAAAGACAGACTATATGGATAAATGTAAATCAACATTAGATATATAAAAGAATAATAGTAAATTGTGGAGTTTAAATGTATGTAGAATTAAAATATATGATGACAATAATGTAAATGTGGTAGAGGTAATTTGGGATTGTTGTATGAGTAGTAGTAGTAAAGGTATTATAAAGTCTTATAATTGTAAAAAAAAGTAGTCAAATACTAAATTATATCAGGGTATACGTGAGGTATGATGTAATCTATAGGTAATCACTGAAAGAATAGTAGAAGTGTATATAAATAACAAGCAATTAGAGGGTGAAATGGAATAATAAAATATTTGGTTGATTCAAAAGAAGGCAAGATGAAAGGGAACTAGATTATAGAAAATACTGGATAAATATAAAGCTAATGGCAAGATTACAATTTAAACCTAAGTATATTAGTAATTACATTAATTGTAGTAGATTATGCACTCCAATGAAAGAATAGTTGAGAAACCCAGGTGCTTGATACAGGAAGATGTTAGCATTTACAAGAATGGTCCACTGAAGTTGTAAGTGACCTTGTAGATGGGCCCAAGGCATATAAGCTAGAGCCTCAGCAACATTTGATATACTAACAAGTGCACTCCTTGTTATATGTACCCATATGCAAACCAAAAAAATGCACATGTGAAGCAAAAAAACATGAACAAGAATGGTCATAGCAGCCATCTTCATGAGAGCAAAAATATGGAAACAACACAAATATCTACCAATAATAGACTGGATAAGTAAATTGTGGCATAATCATATAGCAGAATACTAAACAGCAATTAAAATAAACTACAGCTACAACCAAAAATATAATTAAATGTTTTAGATATGCAAGCCTAATATTCAGCTAAAAAACAGCAAAGAGCATATAATGTGTGATTCATATACATAAATTTTAAAAAGTAAGCAAAACTAATCAACTGGGATAGAAGTCAGAATAGTGATTTGGGAAGATGACATAGTGACTAGAAAGGGGCAACAGGGGAACCTCTGGGATACTGGTAATGAATTATTTCTATCTCAGTAGTGATTTTGTGGGTATGTTAGTTTTGTTAAAAATTCACCTTCTGTACACTAGTGAGTTGTGGACTTTTCAGTAGGCACTTTAATATAAAGCTTACTTAAAACAAGAATTATTAACACAGAACAGATAATGCATGGTGGAGTGTTTCAATCATTCATTTATCCTTTCAATAATTATTTATCGAGCACCTACTATAAGTTAATTTGCACTATAGCATTAAGAAAACAAGTATAGGCCAGGTGAAGTGGCTCATGCCTGTAATCCCAACATTTTGGGGGACTGAGGTAGGAAGATGACTTGAGCCCAGGAATTCAAGACCAGCCCTGGCAACATAGCGAGACCCTGTCTCTACAAAAAATTTAAAAATTAGCTGGGTGTGGTGGCGTGTTCCAGTAGTCCCGGCTACTTGGGAGGCTGAGGTGAGAGGAATGCTTGAGCCCAGGAGTTCGAGGTTACAGTCAGCTATGATCACTCCACTTCTCTCCAGCCTGGCCAACAGAGAAAGGCCCTGCCTCAAAAAAATAAATAAATAAATAAATAAATAAATAAATAAATAAAGTATAAATACTGGTTTAGGCAGTATTTCTTTTTATGATCTTTGATAATAAGTTCTCTGACCTTTATCTTCCATAAAAACAAGCAAATTGTGCTTATTACATTCTAGGGTCCCTTCTAGTTTTAAGGTGATATGAGTCAGGACTTGGACCAAGAATCTCTAATGGTAGTTTTATTATAATATCATTAGCAATAGAGTGAAAGTGTCTGTATCCACCACTACAGAGACATTCTACTTTTTGTCCTTCTTCAATAAAATAGAAAAAAAATGTCACTTCCAGTATCTTTATTCTTATTTCTGAAAAGGGGACCAAATATTTTTGCCCCCGTTTTTATCCTGAGTATCACTTGCTTAGGCTTGTCACTGTTTTCATGCTGCAGACAGACAGTGAGTCTTCAAAGATATGCCCACTGGGAAAAAATGCACTCAAAACATGTTATTCATTTCCCCTTTATGTAACTCAGAAACAAGTAAATAGATTTAATTCTAACTTTCTATGAGATTTAGCCCCTGGGCCTAGACCAAGAGCTACTAAGTTCAGTCAAAAATAAAAATTTGTGGTGGAAGTGGCCAACATGGACAACTTGAAGCAGCTAGTGTGCGTGGCTCTCACAGAGAGGAATGAAAGGGGCAAGTAAATACAGCACATTCAACTGAAACATCCAGGTACTTGCTCTGGGACTAATCAAGGAAACAACTCAACCCACAGAGAATGTTGAAAAGGAAGGCCGGATGATGCCCACCTGGGAGTGACAGGAAGCCAAGGGAACCTCTCCCACCCAGGGAAGCAGTGAGTGAACGGGTAATCCCAGGAACTCATGCTTCCCCCACAGATCTTTGCAACTCTCAGGTCAGAAGAGCCCCTTGTGAACCCACTCCACCAGGAGCTTCAATCTGACACACAGAGATAGTGGAGTCTCGGCAGAGCAGCTGCTCAGGCACACTTGGAGACTTGGGAGTCTTAGATACCCAGGCTTTCTGGCCTTCCAGGCAAAAGTAGTTACAACTCCAGCAAAGTGGGAAGTTAGACCCCGTATATACTCCTAGAAAAGGGGCTGAATCCAGGAGGTTGAGCAGTGACATTCCGCAGACCCGACTTTCATGGCACCTCACAGGATAAGACTCACTGACTTGGAACTCCAGCCAGCCACCAGTAGCAGAACTGCACTTCCCTGAGATGGAGCTCCCAGGGGAGGGGCAGGAGGTTATTTTTGTGGTTTGGGCAACTTAGTCATTCCAGCCTTTAGGCTTTGGAGAGTCCAGACTGACTGGGGGAGGAAGTGGTACCCCAGCACAGCACAGCACAGCTACTCTACAAAAACATGGCCAGATTGCTTTTATACACAGGTCCCTGATCTCATTCCTCCTCACTGGGCAGGACCTCCCAACAGGGGCCTCCAGCCACCCCCACCAGTTTTCTCCAGTTGACAGAGATTTTAAACCTCCCTGGGACAAAACTCAAAGAGGGAGGGGTGGGCCACCACCTTTGCTGTTTGGGTGACTTAGCTATTTGAGCCTTCAGACGTTGGAGAGTCCAAGGTGATGAGGGGCTAAAGTGGACCCCCACCACAGGATAGCTGCTCTATAAAACATGGTCAGGCTGCTTTTTAAAGCAGGTTCCCAATCCTGTTCCTCCTCACTGGGTGGGACCTCCCAACTAGGGTCTTCAACCACCTCCTACAGATATCTTCAAACCAGCAACAGGTCCATACCTCCCTGGGACAGACCTCCCAGAGCGAGGAAGAGGCTGCCATCTTTGCTGTTTTGTAGCCTTCACTGGTGACACCTTTGGGTACTAGAAAATTTGAGGCTACTAGGGACAGGAGCAGGCCCCCAGCATACTGTAGCAACCCTATGGAAAAGGGGCCAGACTGTTACGTGGGTGCACATTTTCATATCTCCTTACCAGGTAGGGCCTCCAGGCACCCCCCACCAGAGCTACTGAGCCAGTATCAACTCCCTGAACAGAGTCTCCAGGGACATCTGAAAGCCTCTCTGCCACTTCCTCTGCAGTGGAATTGCCCTTGCTAGCCTCGGACTAATGAAGGAGCAAAGAAACTAAGTGCCTTATCCACACCTTCAACAAGCTTCAGTTGGCCCAAGGAGAGGAGGCCAGTCCATCTCCCATAGGTCCCACACACCACCCACTGCTCATCACAGACAGGGAACACCCTGGCTTGTGCCCACAGCACAGACACTCTGTCCTGGGCTGATTGCACTGAGTGATTGCTGACCTGCATCTCTCTTGGGTGGAGCCCCCAGGAGATAAGCAAAAGACCCTTGGCCATAGTCATCACTAAGTTCCCTTCCTCTGCTGCCTCCAAGTTGGGGAAGGAAAATAAACATGGAGATCACCCCAGAGCTGCAGTGGGCAGCCCAGGAGTACCAAGCTGAAATCTGCAGTCAGCATTCAATGGGGAGAGGAACCCACACTTTCAGAGCATAACTGTGAGGAAACATGGGGAGCCACACACGAGTCTACCAACTGACAAATAAGCCTAAGTGTCACCTACTGGATCACACCCCAAAGATTCAACACCAAAAATACCTTGCTAAAATACCCCCACTCTGAAACCAGGGACAAGAAGTCAGCTTCAAATAAAGACCCTGCACAAAGCCTTGGTCTAGTGAAAACATCCAGACAAAAAGTCTATTGACTGTACTCAATCTACACTGCAGTTAAAGGAACATCCACACACAGAGATGAGAAAGAACCAACACAACAATTCTGGTAACTCAAATGGCCAAAGTGTCACATGTCCTCCAAATGACCAAAACAGACCTCCTACAAGACTTTTTAACCAGGCTGAGTTGACTAAAATGACAGAAATAAAATTCAGAGCATGGATAGGAATGAAGATCATTGAGATTCAGGGGGATGGCAAATCCCAATCTAAGGAAACTAAGAATCACAATAAAGCAATACAGGAGCTGAAGGATGAAATAACTGTTGTAAAAAAGAACCTAACGAGTCTGACAAAGCTGAATAACACAATACAAGAATTTCACAATGCAATCACAAGTATTAACAGCAGAATAAACCAAGCCAAGGAAATAATCTCAGAACTTGAAGACTGGTTCTCTGAAATATGACAGTCAGAAAAAAAATTGAGAAAAAGGAATAAAAAGGACTGAACAAAACCTCCAAAAGGTATGGGATTATGTAAAGAGGCCAAATCTACAAATCATTTGCATCCCTGAAAAGGACAGGGAGACAGCAAACAACTTGGAAAACATATTTCAGGATATCATCCATGAAAATTTTCCCAACCTTGCTAGAGAGGCCAACAATCAAATTCAAGAAATACAGAGAACTTGTACAATATTCTACACAAGAAGATTATAACCAAAACACATAATCATCAGATTTTCCAAGTTTGAAATTAAAGAAAGAATGTTAAAAGCAGCTAGAAAGGGCAGGTGACCTACAAAGGGAATCCCATCAGGCTAACAGTGGGCCTCTCAGCTGAAACCCTACTAGTGAGAAGAGATTGGGGGCCTATATTCAACATTCTTAACGAAAAAATCTCCCACCAAGAGCTTTATATCCAGCCAAATTAAGCTTCCTAAACGAAGGAGAAATAAGATCCTTTCAGATAAGCAAATGTTGAGGGAATTTGTTATCACCAGAACTTCCTTACAGGAGATCTTGAAAGGAACACAAAATATAGAAAGGAAAGATTGCTACCAGCTAATACAAAAACACTTAAACACACAGATCACTGTCACTACAAAGCAACCAAACAAGCCAACGTGATAACCAGCTAACAATATAATGACAAGATCAAATCCATACATATCAATACTAACCTTGAATGTAAATGGGTTAAATGCCCCACTTAAAAGGCACAGAGTGGCAAGCTGGATAAAAAAGCAAGACCCAATGCTATGCTGTCTTCAAGAGATGCATCTCACACTTAATGACACACATAGGCTCAAAATAAAGGGGTGGAGGAAAATCTACCAAGCAAATGGAAAACAGAAAAAAGTAGGGGTTGCAATCCTAATTTTAGACAAAACAGACATCAAACCAAGGAGGATCAAAAAAGACAAAAAATGGCATTGCATAATGGCAACGGGTTCAATTTAACAAGACCTGACTATCTTAAATATATATGCACTCAACACAGTAGCACCCAGATTCATAAAAGAAGTTCTTAAAGACCTGCAAAAGACATAGACTACCACACAATAATACTGGGAGACTTCAACACTCCACTGATAGTATTAGACAGATAATCCAAGCAGAAAATTAACAAAGACATTCAAGACCTGAACTCAGCATTGGAACAAATGGATCTGATAGACCTTTACAGAACTCTGCACCTAAAACAACAGAATATACATTCTTTCATAGCCATATGGCATATACTCTAAAAGAGCCCATGTAATTGGACATTAAACAATTCT
The DNA here is from genome assembly GCF_000001405.40 of Homo sapiens. NCBI lineage: Eukaryota > Metazoa > Chordata > Mammalia > Primates > Hominidae > Homo > Homo sapiens. Next base: position 100,094,348 of record NC_000023.11, read on the forward strand.
TAGCAAATGCAAAAGAACCAAAATTATACCAAACACACTCTCGGTCCACCGCACAATAAAAATAAAAGTCAAGACTAAAAAAATTGCTCAAAAACAGACAATTACGTGGAAATTAAACAGCATGCTCCTGAATGACTTTGGGGTAAATAATAAAATGAAGAAAGAAATCAAGAAGTTCTTTGAAACTAATGAGAACAAAGATACAACATACCAGAATCTCTGGGAAACAGCTAAGGCAGTGTTAGGAGGGAAATTCATAGCACTAAATGCCCAAATCAGAAAGTTAGAATAAGTCTCAAATTGACAACCTAAAATCACAACTGAAAGAATTAGAGAAGCAAAAACAATCCAACCCCAAAGCTAGCAGAACACAAGAAATAACCAAAATCAGAGTTCAATTGAAGAAAATCAAGACATGAAAAACCATTCAAAAGATCAACACATCCAGGAGGTAGTTTTTTGAAAACATGAATAAAATAGGCCACTAGCAGGACAAATAAAGAGTAGATACACATAAACACAATTAGAAATGACAAAGGCAGTGTTACCACCGATTCCACAGAACTAAAAATAAACATTTGAAACTACTAAGTACACCTCTATGCACACAAACTACAAAACCTAGAAAAGATGGATAAATTCCTGGACACATACACCCTCCCAAGACTGAACCAGAAAGAAATTGATTCCCTAAACAGACCAATAACAGACTCTGAAATTGAATCAGTAATAAATAGCCTACCAACCAAAAAAAGCCCAAGATCTGATGGATTCACCACCGAATTCCACCAGTTGTACAAAGAAGAGCTGGTATTACTCCTACTGAAACTATTCCAAAAAATTAGGAGGAGGGACTCCTCCCAAACTCATTCTATGAGGCCAGCATTATCCTGATACCAAAACCTTCCAGAAATACATCAAAAAAAGAAAACTTAAATATCTCTGATGAACATCAATGAAAAAATCCTCGATAAAATACTTGCAAAGAGAATCCAGCGGCACATGGAAAAGCTAATCCACAACAATCAAGTAGGCTTCATCTCCAGGATGCAAGATTGGTTCAACATGCACAAAGCAATAAATGTGATTCATCACACAACCAGAACTAATGACAAAAACTACATGATTATTTCCATAGATACAGAAAAGGCTTTCAATAAAATTTAACACCCTTCATGTTAAAAACTCTTAATAAATTGGCTGGGCATGGTAGCTCACACCTGTGACCCTAGCAATTTGGGAGGTCAAGGTGGGCAGATCACTTGAGCCCAGGAGTTTGAGACCAGCCACAGGCAACATGGGGAAACCCCACCTTTACAAAAAATATAAAAATGAGCTGGATGTGGGGTCATGTGCCTGTATTCTCAGCTGCTTGGAAGGCTAAAGCAGGACAATCACTTGAGCATGGGAACCAGAGGTTGCAGTGAGCCAATATTATGCCATTGCATTCCAGCCTGGCCAACAAGAGTGAAATCCTGTCTCAAAAAACAACAACAACAAAAAAGAAACTCTTAATAAATTAGGTATTGAAAGATCATACATCAAAATATTAAGAGCCGTCTATGACCTACTCACAGTTATCATTATACTAAATGGGCAAAAGCTGGAAGCATTCACTTTGAAAACCGCCACAAGACAAGGATGCCCTCTCTCACAACTCCTATTTAATATATTATTGGAAGTCCTAGCCAGAGCACCTAGGCAGGAGAAAGAAATAAAGGAAGTCAAACTGTTCTGTTTGCAAATCAGGTCTGTTTGCAGACAACATGATTCTATATCTAGAAAACCCCAACATCTTGGCCCAAAGGCTCATTCAGCTGATAAACAACTTCAGCAAAGTTTCAGGATACAAAATCAATGTACAAAAATCACTAGCACTCCTATAAACCAACAATAGTCAAGCTAAGAACCAAATCAGGAATCCAATCCCATTCACAATTGCCACAAAAAGTATAAAATACCTAGGAATATAGTTAACCAGGATGGTGAAAGATCTCTATAATGAGAATTATAAAACACTATTCAAAGAAATCAGAAAAACACAAGCAAATGGAAAAAACGTTCCATGCTCATGGATAGGAAGAATCAATATTATTAAAATGGTCATACTGCCTAGAGCAATTTACATATTCGGTGCTATACCTATCCAACTACCAATGACATTCTCCACAAAACTAGAAAAAGCTATTTTAAAACTTATATGGAACTAAAAAAAAAAAGAGCCCAAACAGCCAAGGCAATCCTAAGCAAAAAGAACAAAGCTGGAGGCATCATGTTACCTGACTTCAAACAATATTACAGGGCTACAGTAACCAAAAAAGCATGATACTGTACAAAAACAGACATATAGACCAATGAAACAGAATAGAGAACCCAGAAATAAGGCCACACACCTACAACCATCTGATCTTCAACAAAGCTGACAATAACAAGTAATGGAGAGAAGACTCCCTATTCAATAAATTGCGTGGAGTTAACTGGGTAGCAATATGCAGAAGACTGAAACTGGACCCCTTCCTTAAACCATATACAAAAATAAACTCAAGATGGATTAAACGCTTAAGTGTAAAACCCATAACTATAAAAACCCTGGAAAACAACCTAGGCAATACCATCCTGGACATAGGAACAGACAAAGATTTTATGAAAGACACCAAAAACAATTGCAACAAAAGCAAAACTTGACAAATTGGATCTAATTAAACTAAAGAGTTTCTGCACAGAAAAAGAAACTCAACAGAGTAAACAGACAACCTACAGAATAGGATGAAATATTTGCACACTATGCATCTCACAAAGGCCTAACATCCAGCATTTATAAGGAACTTAAATTTACAAGAGAAAAACAAACAACCCAATTAAAAAGTAGGCAAAGGACATGAACAAACACTTTTCAAAAGAAGACATACATGTAGCCAAAAAGCATGTGGAAAAAAGCTCAATATCACTGATCATTAGAGAAATGCAAATCAAAACCTCAAAGAGATATCATCTCACACCAGTCAGAATGGCTTTTATTAAAAAGTCAAAAAATAACAGATGCTGCTGAGGTTGTAGAGAAAAGGGAACACTTATACGACATTGGTAGGAGTGTTCAACTGTTGCAGAAAGCAATTTTGGAGATTCCTCAAAGAGCTAAAAGCAGAACTACCATTCGACCCAGCAATCCCATTACTGGGTATATACCCAGAGGAATATAAATTATTCTGCAATAAAGATACAAAAATGCTGACGTTCATTGCAGCACTATTCACAAGATCAAAGACATGGAATCAACCTAAATGCCCATCAATGACAGATTAGATAAAGACAATGTGGTACATATACTCCATGGAATGCTATGCGCCATAAAAAAGAACAAGATCATGTCTTTGGTGAGAACATGGATGGAGCTGGAGGCTATTATCCTGAGCAAACTAACACAGGAACAGAAAAACAAATGCTGTATATTCTCACTTATAAGTGGGAGCTAAATGATGAGAACTTATGTAGAGAAAGAAGGAAAACACATCCACTGGGGTCTACTTGGGGGTGGAAGGTGGGAGGAGGGAGAGGATCAGAAAAGACAACTATTAGGTACTGGGATTAATACCTGGGTGATGAAATAATCTGTACAACAAACTCCAATGACTTGTGTTTACCTATGTAACAAACCTTCACATGAACCCCCGAACCTAAAATAAAAGTTTAAAAAAAGGGAAGGAAACTCTGACACATGCTACAACATGGATGAGCCTTGATGACATTATGCTGAGTGACATAAGCCAATCACAAAAAGACAAGTATTGTATGATTCCATTTTTATGGGGGACCTAGAGTAGTCAAATTCATAAAGACAAAAAGTAAAATGGTAGTTGCCAGGGGCTGGGGGGATGAGTCAACAGTGGAGTTGTTGTTTAATGGGTAGAGGGTTTCAGTCTTGCAAGATAAAAAAGCTCTGGATATGGGTGGTTGTGATGGTTGCACAATAATGTGAATGTACTTAATGCCACTTAAATATACAATTAAAAATGGTTAAGACAGTATGTTAAGCATATTTTACCACCATTAAAAATTTTTTAAATTAAAAATTACCCAAAAAGGTTACTTGGCTGAGAATAGAAAGAGGTGAGAAAATTGAAATTGCCTTTATAAATGAGAGCTCTAGCATTTTTGCCTGCGATCTCTCTATCTTATGATATGCATCTACAGCCAGATCAATGACAACAACATGTTTATTTGTTTTTTTTTTACATTCAAAATAATGGTACAATTAAAGAGAAGACTTCTACAGGTCTGTGGTGCCAGACCTACACATAGGGAAAATAGTTGACTGCTTACATACACGATTGGAAGTACTCTAAAAACCTTTACCTCAACCCCAAAATATAACCGTTTGAAAAGGAACTCATTAACCAACGTAGAGAAGAAATCTGAGCTCAAATTCAAGACACTGGTTCATACTGGAAAAAGCAGGCCAATTGCGAAAGCCAAGTAAGGAAGCCAGGGTATGAGTCCATGGTACTAGACTGGGCAAGAGCATCTAGGCAGAAACTCAGTCTCAGAATACAGGTAAGATTTACATTAATACCAAGAACACAGGCATTCCTGTTCTGGAATACATTCCAGGGTGAGAGATCAGACTATCATCTTAAAAATCTGAGTAAGGTCTTAACAGCACAAGCAGGCCTAAATGGCGAATCAGAGGCAAAGATATTCAATCAGGAAATGCCTGCCTTTTGGAATTTTTCCCCTCTTTCATCACTCTTGGTAGGGCAGATAACATTGTGTAGCTGTGTACTACTTCCTGTTGTGACACAATTCTCCATAGGTATCTGGTGTTTCTGCACATCTAGTGAGCAGAGGTACTGAATGGCTTTGTTCCAGACTAGCGTTCCAAGGATGTTTGCATAGTTAACAGCCTTAAAAGACTGAGACAGTGGCTCCCTCTGGAACAAAGAGAAGATATTACTGCTGATTATAAATTATTTGGGTTCCCTAAGCTCAAGATTCATCTCCTGTAACTGACCCACTGCGTGTGCAAATATCACTTGGCCCTCTTTATATTGCCCTGTGGGAATTGGGGCTGAGGAAACTGGTGCAAGGAAATGCTGTACTGTGACTACTGCTATTTGATGTGACTAATAAAATCCTTTGCCTCTTATTCAGAAATCTGTGTTTTTTTAACAGCATTTATGAAATTGTAACAGCTTGCAAGTAGGGCGAGATCTCAAACATATCAGTTCCTGACAACTCCTGAGGGAAGGCTCTACAGGTGCCTATAGTAAGGACCCATTTCATCTTTCGAGGCAATAATAATAAGATTAACAACAATATTAATAATAAAATATACTACTTGCACACGAACTTAAAAGTTTAAAGAAAAGAAAAAAGATTTTTAAAAGATACTACCATATTTTACCATTTATTATATCACTGATTGGTGGTTGTGTTTTTGGCAGTGGTATTTGGATTTTCTTAGTTGGTAAGGTAATTTTTTTGACTGATTCCACAAGTGATTACACAAGTGAAAAAACATTTAATAAAAATTTGTTTACTGAATAGACAAATGTATAAACAGCCTTGACACATTTGTTGTATTGGTCAACTCAATTAATTGCTGCCAGATGAATGAATGAATGAACATTTGCTGAGTGTCTAGCATTCATGTAGGTACTCTTCTACTTTGTCCTATCAAGTTCTCCACTTACCCAAGCAACCCACTTTACAGGTAGATTATTTAAAATAAGGGGACCCAGGTCATTGCAAAGAGGGCTTGTGGGGCTGTGAAACCGGGGGCTTTTAACGTACTGACCAAAGACGGATGTTCTCCATGAGAAGCTATAGTCACAATCATGACACAATTGATGACTGGTGATGTGGGAAGGTAAATAAGTGTTTCGAAATTTAAAAAAAAAAAAAAAAAGGAGACCTGATCCAAACTAACATCATGAATGATAACTCAAGTGTTTATCATTTATATCTTGGTATGATGTGAATAAGAAAGGGCATATTACTTCTGTGGCATTCTTCCCAAACATCCGTAACTCCAGTCTGATCATGAGAAATCATCAGCCAAACCCAGATTGACTGAAATTTTCCAAAATATTGTGTTCAGTGTTCTTCAAAGTGTCAAAGTCATGAAAAACAAGGAAAGACTGGTAAAAAAAAAAAAAAAAATGCCACAGGTTGGAGGAAACTAAGCAGACATGATGACAAAATAAAACATGAAATCCTGAATCGTATCCTGAACAGAAAAAGGACATTTGTGGGGAGACTGGTGAAATCTGAACACAGTCTGCAGTTTGGTTAATAATAATGTATCAATGTTAATTTCTTAGTTTTGATAAATCTGCCATGGTTATGTAAGATGTCAATGAGAGGAGAAGCTGGGTGAAGGTTACACAAGAACTTTCTCTATTTTTCCCACTCTTCTGTAAGCTTAAAAGTATTTCAAAATATAAAGTTAAAATATGGAAGGAAAAAGGTTAAAAGGGAAGAGAGAACAGCAGTTAGCAGGGCTATCATGTTTCTAGTTGACAAAGTTCTTCCAAAACAACCTTATATCGGCTGCTAGGCCTGCTAAACTTTCTTTTCCCAGCTCTGTAACTGTCTTCATCATGCTTCCTTCTGCAGTTTTAGTCAGAAACAAAATCAATTGAAAAGCAGACAACAAAGTGCAATCCCAACAACCTCTCATCCCCTGAACCCACTCCTGATGATTATCAAGTTGCTCCACATTCTCCAGCCTTTGAGTACATACTGGCTTTCTGAGTTCTGAGAAGCATTAGATCTTCCTAAGAATTCTAATGGCAGTTAAAAAAAAAAAAAAAGGCATATCATAGACTCTCCCCCAGTGAAGTGTATTTTGCTGTATTTAAGACACTTTGGAAAGTAAGGTTGTTGTAAGAGGTAATGTTCTAAAGAAAAATAAAAGATTGGCCTGTAGCTGATATTTCATAGTAGCTGCATGGCCATCTGGTTTGGTTTTGAATCATCCGAACTGATTTGCAGGAAAATGAAATACTAAAATCACCATGTAGTTTTAAATTCCAAATCCATCTCAGCTTTACCAAGTGGTTCCCCATCTGCAGAAGGGAACAGCATGCAGGCAGCCTGGCTCCAGCCTGACTCAAGCTATAACATATTTGCTTGTACCTGTTACTGACAGGTCCCTTACCAAACTTGTTTTGTAATGTCGGCTTGCAACCTTTAATGTTGTCACCTATGTCTTTCATGGCGCAAGTCTTTTGAACAAGAAATTCTTACACAAGTAACACCAAGACAGCACCAATTATTCTCATCTTGGGAACTGATTAACTCGTGACCAAAACTTCTAAAAAGCATTCCCAAAACCTCAGCTTGCATGTGGCTTTATGGATGAGTGGGATGCTTTCACACTGGCTTCCTTTGTACCTCAGATCTTCTTAGCATGAATTCCAAGTATCAGTTTTTACTTTCCAAAGTGGTGAGATTTCAGCATCCTCCATTTTTAAAAACTGGAGAGAGCAATCTAACTTTTAGGGGCTTTATGTTTTGCAATGAGAGGCACTGCTGTGCCTTCTTGATGAAAAGCACTTTGAATTGCCACATGAAATAGAAACCTTTAAGCTTTATTTATGCAAGACAGCAAGAAGCTTTGTGGCTTTTCATGAGGGCCTTTTCTCTGTGGCAGTAATTTTAATAAACTTGTGACAAATTCCTCTTGCTGCTCTGTCCACTTTAGACCCCCTTATTAATTTTTTCCACTTTTCACACCAAAATTTATTGAAAGAAAATCACCGTGACCCCACCTTCCCATCTCAATTCTACTCCCAGAAGTGACATTCTAGAGTGCAACCAGAAAACAGACCTGAAATGACCCAGATGTGTAAGCATTGAACTTAACACTGAGGATACTACTTTTAAGTAAGAGTGAAGCATACTTAAGGGTTAACAAAGAAAAGGGACTACACACTAGACTCATAGTGATTCTTTTTGGATTCCAACACAGGACCACTTTATAGGCTGAGGTGTCATTTCTCATTCCAGCAGTGCACAGGTTAAAGGCCATCACAGAAGACGATGCTGCATAAAGATACTTAAAGCCCAGATTTTTACCTATGATGAATGTAACTCAAAAATATTTCAGAAGAACATGAAGAGGTAACAGCAAAGAACTTGAGCTTTGTAAGCAGACAGACCTGAATTTCTGTCTTGACTTGGATACTCATCAGCTATTTCATGCTAAAAAGGTCAGGTAACCAGCCAGGCACAGTGGCTCACGCCTGTAATCCCAGCACTTTGGGAGGTTGAGGCAGGTGCATCACGAGGTCAGGAGATTGGGACCATCCTGGCTAACGTGGTGAAACTCCATCTCTACTAAAAATACAGAAAAATTAGCCAGGTGTGGTGGCAGGCACCTACAGTCCCAGCTACTCAGGAGGCTGAGGTAGGAGAATGGCGTGAACCCGGGAGGCGGAGCTTGCAGTGAGCAGAGATCCCACCACTGCACTCCAGCCTGGGCAATAGAGCGAGACTCTGTCTTAAAAAAACAAAAAGGGTCAGGTAACCTTTCTGAGCTTGTTTACTCAGATAAGAATCATCACTGTCCCTAGATTACAATGTTTGTTGTAAAGAACCAAATGAAAGTATCCATGGAAAGTATTTGTTATGCTGTCTGGCTTCAGTACAGATCACTAAATGACTTTTGTTACTATTAACATTATTATTATTATTATTATTATTGTTAGAATCATCATTATAATTATTTTACTAGCCTCAAAAATCGACTGTAGCAACTGTGGCATAAAATGGATAAAATAAGTGACTTTCAAATGAGCTGTACTTTTAAGTTGACACTAGACCAATAGAGAAGAAGAACAAACAATGAAAAAAATATGAAGGACCATTGTAGCATTATACTTCACAATCAACAGATCTGAATTCACAACTTGACTTGATCACTTACCAGCAGTGTGACCTTGAACAAATTTTTTAACCTCCCTGAGCCTCAGTTTTCTCACCTGTAAAATGAAGACAATACTATTCCTTCACAGTTATTTTAAGACCATATTGTATGTGTAACTCATTTGTCATAGGTCCATTATAGAGTAGGCATACAATACATGTTAGTTCCCTATTCCTTCTCTAAATTATATCACCAGCCCAATCAAGTCTTTTCCACTCTCCTTTTCCCTTCTTACCTCCAGACATTACAGTGGCATAAGAATTTTACAGTTCAAGGATTCAGTTTACAATTTCAGTTGAGAAGCTTACATAACTAAGAGTTATATACACTTATATATTATGTGTTTATATATATTATATATGTAAGTTTTATATATATGTGTATATTCTTCATTTCAAAAGGGTTGACTATTTTTGGAAGGTTCAAATTGGTAAATTACATTTCAGGAAGATCATGCAAATCTAGTTCAAGCATCAAGAATGTTGGAGGTGAAAAGGTAAGTTTCTATATATATGATTCTCCCAGGCAAACTTAGGTTGTGATTTTTACCTGGTCTCATTAACTAAAAAAGATTAAGATTAGTCAATGGTTGTATTGAGGATCATAGTAAACAATCAAGATTTATTGAGCTGGAAGGCAGCAACTTTCTTTTTGAGTCAGGGCTAAGCTAATATTCTAGCATAGTTCTGTGGGTTTTACTAAATTCTAAAGCTCACCCACAAGTCATAACCAACTTGACTCAATGAAGGTTATGTAGATGACACTGAAAAGCTGCAGAATAAAAAATTCTAATTACAGTATTGTACTATGAGGTGGCTATTGCTCCCACTTATGCTTCTCTGCCTATTTCCTTCCTTGGTTCCTCATAGCTGAGTACAATGGTGCCCTAAATTGCAAATCTAAATTGTTCCCAGCTCCTGATCCAATTCAAATTGAAGGAGATATCAGCAGATCCAGATGCACCATCCATTTTAGTTTGGATTTAGATCAGCCTCCCTGAGATCTGATGGCTCAGTTAACATCTCCAAGGCTTTTGCCTTTTCTCCCACATCCCCTTTGCTACCTACCGACCAACAATAAAAGTCAGTGGTGAACAGTAATTATTTGCATGGATTCTGAAGCTAGACTGCCTGAGTTAAATTCTAGCTCTGTCAACTATTTGCTGTGTGGCTTTGGGCAAATCATTTTACATCGATATTCCTCAGTTTCATCATCTATAAAATGGGGCAATGATAGTATCTAGCTCATAAACTTCTTGAGAGGATTAAAGATGAGAAGGCTTGTAAAGTGCTTAATGCCTGGCACATAATAAGCACTTCATGCTCATGGTAATGAATTTTAAAAGTCTGAGATCCATTTTCTCAGGGAAATGTTTCCCCTCTCCCTTTCTAATTGGTAGCTCTTCTTTCCACCCTCTCCTTCAACACCCACTCCCATGTTGACATTGTTCACTAAGCTTCTGACTTGGTCACTATTCTGAATCTCTACTAGATTTCACAACCTAATACCTCAATCCTCTTCTAGGTTTGGGCAGACTTGAAGAGAAATATGAGATGACGAGCTGAGTACCAACTGACTGACTTAACATCTGACGTTCCATATCTATGTTCCACCAGTCTAACCAGGTTTCCCAATACCTACAAGTTTTCCAAATTGTGACTAAGATAGAATGTCTGTCTCTGGAATATCATGTCCAACCCACCTAACTGAAGCTCTGTGGTCCTCTACCTTTTCCTCTTCTAGTTGCTGGTCCTCTAACTTTTCCTCCTCTCGTTGACCCAGGATGCCAGGAACAGACAAGGTGTAAAATCTAGTGATGTGGCCGGGCGCGGTGGCTCACGCCTGTAATCCCAGCACTTTGGGAGGCCGAGGCGGGCGGATCACGAGGTCAGGAGATCGAGACCATCCCGGCTAAAACGGTGAAACCCCGTCTCTACTAAAAATACAAAAAATTAGCCGGGCGTAGTGGCGGGCGCCTGTAGTCCCAGCTACTTGGGAGGCTGAGGCAGGAGAATGGCGTGAACCCGGGAGGCGGAGCTTGCAGTGAGCCGAGATCCCGCCACTGCACTCCAGACTGGGCGACAGAGCGAGACTCCGTCTCAAAAAAAAAAAAAAAAAAAAAATCTAGTGATGCAAAGCAATGTCTAAATAAGATGTCCTGTCCTCCCTAGGGCAGTATTTCTGAAACAAACAGGCAAAAATTCTGTTTCGCAAATGAGTAATCCCATCTTATTTGGGTAGAGTTCCTGGATGATTGAACAACACCAAAAGGCAAATGCTGATCTTATTCCAGACAGACTACAAGAATAGAGAACACCATTCAAAAACTAGAAAAGATATTACAAATACGAAAAATACATTAAATGTTCTTATTTGATGAAGGGAAATTAAGAACAGGAAACAAAGGGCTTTCCCTGCTGAGTCTTAAGTCTGAATAAACCTATTACAATAAATTAAAATATGTTATGTAAATCTTCCATTTGTATTTGTAGAATATTTTCCTTCCCAGGATCTCAAAGCACTTTGCAAACATTAATTACCTATCAGTATCTGCCTGTGGTATGACTATTATCATTGCCTACTAGATGATGAAACAAGAACAGAGAAAGGTTAAGAAACTTGCCCAAAGCCACATGGGGCAAACTCTGAACAAGAACCATTTGTTGTTTCTGTGTTTGCAATAATGAGCAAATTAAAAGTGCAATAATTTTCTTTGTAATTCAGAAAACAACACTTTTTTAACAGTCATCCCTAACCATAAAAAAGGAAGTCTTTTTAACTTCCCTTAATGTGGATACTTTTTTTCAGATAGTACCTAATTATGGTAAATTGCTTCATTCCCTAATTATTACTGCAAGGCAACTAAACATTGTTATGCTGACTACTCAAGAGTGGATTGTTAATGGCCTTAATCATCAGATAATCTGGCAATATAATCAATGTAACTGGGAGATACCTTGTGGAAACAACAAGTAAATCAAGTATAAAACATAAATTTACAAGGGAGTGTTCAGTTCTATTGTTTTATGTTTTGTATGATAAGTTGAAAAATCTAATTTCACAAAGAGGCAGAAGGAAATGTTAATACTATTTTGTACCCCTCTGCCAGAACCCCACATGCCTTGATGTATACTGCTGGATTCTCATCACACCAACTTAGAACATCTTCTCACCTTTTTGGCAGATATGGAAACAATTTGATAATATCCCGTTTGTATGGCTGTGGGATTTATTAGGCTGTACTTGCATTAGATAATACATGTTTTTCAAATAATGAAAAGCAAAAACATCTTCTTCCTAACCCTAGCTCTTCCATCTCTAGTTCACATGCCCCTAAATGGTAACCACTATTAATAATTTTTATTGTCTTTCAAGAGTTTGTTATTTTTATTTGTTATTTTTGTTATTGCATTTATAGACCAATAGAAATATATTTTCTTCTCTGTCTCCTACCCCAATCATAGATTACCACTTTGAATTTTAAATATTTTACTTAGTAATATGTCTTAGAAATATTTTCTTATCAGTGCCTAAAGAGTATCCTCATCCTCTAAAAAAAAAAGTTACAGTTCCATGGTATTCTATTGCCTCAATGTACCATACTTTATTAGCCAGTTCCCTACCAATATAAATTTAGAATTTGTCCAATCATTTCCTACTACAAACACTGCCACAGTCAGTAATATGGAACATATGTCATTTTATACATGAGAATATATTTGTAGAATATGTTCATAGAAAATATATTGCTAGGTTAAAAGGCAAATACACTATGGTTTTGGTGGATTGTCCTCCATAGGGATTGTATCAATTACATTCCACCAATAATGATAAATAAGAATGTCTATTTCTCTATGATATAGCTTGGATATTTGTCCTTGCCCAAATCTCATGTTGAATCATAATCCCCAATGCTGGAGGTAGGGGCTGGTGGGAGGTGTTTGGTCATGGGAGTAGATCCCTCATGGCTTGGTATGGTCTTCACAACAGTGAGCTCTCAAAAGATCTGGTCATTTAAAAGTGCATGGCACCTCCCACCCTCACTCTTGCTCCTGCTTTTGCCATGTGATGTGCCTGCTCTCCGTTTGCTTTCTGCCATGATTGGAAGCTTCCTGAGGCCTCCCCAGAAGTAGATGCTGCTATGTTTCCTATACAGGCTGCAGAACTGTGAGCCAATTAAACCTCTTCTTTTTTTTTTTTTTTTTTTTTTTTTTGGTGAATTGCCCAGTCTTGGGTATGTCTTTGTAGTAATGCAAAACAGCTTCATATCCCTCACAGCCATACCAACAGAATATTATCAAATTGTTTTCATGTCTGCCAAAAAGGTGAAAATGGTATCTCATTGCCATTCTCTAATTATGAGTGAGGTGAGCATCTTTTCATATGACTAAGAGCCTTTTCTATAAAATATCAATTTGTATTCTTTGTTCAGTTTTCAACTGATTGTTAGTGTTTTCTTATTGATTTATAGGAAACCTTTATATATTAGAGATAATAGCCCATCATGGATATAAACTGCAAATAAATTTTTGCCAGTTTGTCAATTATCTTTAAATTTTGGCTTGGTGGTTTGCCATAAAAGATTTTTTATTTTTAAGAAATAATATTATTAATATTTGATTGTTTTCATTTTATGTCATAGTTAGAAATGCTTTTGCCACACCCAGATCGAAAAACATCCCCTCTCTACAGTATAAAGATTTGGGGGGGCTTTATGTTGGTGTGTGGAGGGGAGTGAAATAGGAATTATAAAGATGACTTCAAAATAAAGATCTGGTCTTAAGAAACAAATATAAAATAAAAACAAAAGGACCAACCCTATTAAATAAAAGAGCAAATGAAATGTTTTGAAGCTGAACTCTCACTAGGATAACCAGAAGATACTTTATGTTTTTAGCATATATTATGGGCCAGGGGATGATCCTTTGAACCTAGAAGAGCTAACAGATGAATTGCACAGATCAAGAAGCAACAATTTTGGTTGCCTGTTGAAGAACCAGGGCCTCCAGATAGTGTAGAAGTGCTGTATATAGAGAAAAACATGACTCTAGAGAGCAACAATTCAGTAAATTCTCTACGGAATCAGCTCAATGAACAACTAACACAATATGTGAAGCTGTTAATAATGATCAATTTAGACCTTAAAGAAATGAGGAGGCACATGAAAGCTAGCATGAGTTTGTCAAAAACAAACCATGTGAAACCACAATTTCATCCTTCCTTCAACAGGATAAGTTTAGTATATATATATATATATAAAAACTTGGTGGAAACTTGGGCAAGCAAATAATTTTTTAAAGAGGCAAATTAGGTGAAAGTTCCATAGATGGATATGTTAGATGTAAAACTATTTCAAACAAATTGAGTAAAAAGAGTTGTTACTAACAGTCAATATTGGATTGGGTGGAGGTGTCAAGTAGGTCCCTTAGGGGTCCTCTCTGAGTTCAATACAATTCAATATTTTCATTTACTACTTTGAGAATAGAAGATAGAGGATACTAATAAAATTTGCAGGTGTTCCTGCACAATGCAGGATAGGCATAAAACAGAATGTGAGCAAGATAAACTTTTTAAATGGACAGAAATCAATAAAATAAGATTCAATAAAGCATTCATAAATGTAATGTGATTCACAAAGAATAATCAAATGCACCAATGTAAAATGGAATTACAAGAGAGTCTAAGGGTTATAGTAGAAAGTAAAATGAACATGTATCAGCAACAGGACTGTCAAACCCCAAAGGCAAGTGCTGATCAAATTACAAAAATGAATTTGTTTCCTAATAGAAGAAAAAGGGGAAAGGTTATGCTAGTCTATAAGCACTTTAGCATGTCTGTCCAGGGTGTCAACCTAAAAGATAATAGAGAAGTGGGGTACAGAGAAGTGCAAAATCAGAAGAATTCACATAGGAAAAAATAAAACAAGTATAAAACAAAGATAAATGTAGAAGCATAAGTGAAGGAAGTAAAAGTACATAGAGTTGATGAGAGCAGAAGCCAGATAAAGGCACAGGGAGAGGGTAAAGGAGTGGAAGAGAGGAAAGTGGAAAGCAGAGAAAGGCAATGGAGAAGGGAAGGGAAGGGAGAGAAGGAGGAAAGAAAAGGAAGCAAGATTTTTTGTAGGGTTTTTTTAAAATTATACTTTAAGTTCTGGGGTACATGTGCAGAACGTGCAGGTTTGTTACATAGGTATACACGTGCCATGATGTTTTGCTGCATCCATCAAGTCATCATCTACATTAGTTATTTCGCCTAATGCTATCCCTTCCCTAGCCCCCCACCCCTCTACAGGCCCCAGTGTGTGATGTTCCCCTCCCTGTATTCATGTGTTCTCACTGTTCAACTCCCATTTATGAGTGAGAACATGCAGTGTTTGGTTTTCTGTTCTTGTGTTAGTTTGCTGAGAATCATGGTTTCCAGCTTCATTCATGTCCCTGCAAAGGGCATGAACTCGTCCCTTTTATGGCTGCATAGTATTCCACGGTATATACATGCCACATTTTCTTTATCCAGTCTATCACTGATGGGCATTTGGGCTAGTTCCAAGTCTTTGCTATTGTGAACAGTGCCGCAATAAGCACATGTGTGTATGTGTCTTTAGAGCAGAATCATTTATAATCTTTGGGGTATATACCCAGTAATGGGACTGGTCAAATGGTATTTCTGGTTCTAGATCCTTTAGGAATCACCACACTGTCTTCCACAATGGTTGAACTAATTTACACTCCCAACAACAGTGAAAAAGTGTCCCTATTTCTCCACATCCTCTCCACAGCTATTGTTGTTTCCTGACTTTTTAATCGTCGCCATTCTAAGTGGTGTGAGATGGTATCTCATTGTGGTTTTGATTTGCATTTCTCTAATGAACAGTAATGATGAGCTTTTATTCATATGTTCGTTGGCTATATAAATGTCTTCTTTTGTGAAGTGTCTGTTCATATCCTACGCCCACTTTTTGATGGGGTTGTTTTTTTCTTGTAAATTTAAATTCTTTGTAGATTCTGGATATTAGTCCTTTGTCAGACCAATGGATTGCAAAATTTTTCTCCCATTCTGTAGGTTTCCTGTTTACTCTGATGATAGTTTCTTTTGCTGTGCAGAAGCTCTTTAGTTTAATTAGATCCCATTTGTCAATTTTGGCTTTTTTTGCCATTGCTTTTGGTGTTTTACTCATCAAGTCTTTGCTCATGCCTATGTCCTGAATGGTGTTGCCTAGGTTTTCTTCTAGGGTTTTTATGGTTTTAGGTCTTACGTTTAAGTCTTTAATCAATCTTGAGTTAATTTTTGTATAAGGTGTAAGGAAGGGGTCCAGTTTCTGTTTTCTACATATGGCTAGCCAGTTTTCCCAACACCATTTATTAAATAGGGAATCTTTTCCCCATTGCTTGTTTTTGTCAGATTTGTTGAAGATCGGATGGTTGTAGATGTGTGGCATTATTTCTGAGGCCTCTGTTCTGTTCTATTGGTCTATATATCTGTTTTGGTACCAATACCATGCTATTTTGGTTACTGTAGCCTTGTAGTATAGTTTGAAGGCAGGTAGCATGATGCCTCCAGCTTTGTTGTTTTTGCTTAGGATTGTCTTGGCTATGTGGGGTCTTTTTAGGTTCCACATAAAATTTAATGTAGTTTTTTTTTAATTATGTGAAGAAAGTCAATGATAGCTTGATGGGGATAGCATTGAATCTATAAATTACTTTGGGCAGTATGGCCATTTTCACAATATTGATTCTTCCTATACATGAGCATGGAATGTTTTCCATTTGTTTGTGTCCTCTCTTATTTCCTTGAGCAGTGGTTTGTAGTTCTCCTTGAAGAGGTCCTTCACATCCCTTGTAAGTTGGATTCCTAGGTATTTTATTCTCTTTGTAGTAATTTTTTTTTTTTTTGAGACGGAGTCTCACTCTGTTGCCCAGGCCCAGGCTGGAGTGCAGTGGCATGATCTTGGCTCACTGCAAGCTCCACCTCCCGGTTTCATGCCATTCTCCTGCCTCAGCCTCCCAAGTAGCTGGGACTACAGGTGCCCACCACCTCGCCTGGCTAATTTTTTTGTATTTTTACTAGAGACAGGGTTTCACTATGTTAGCCAGGATGGTCTCGATCTCCTGACCTTGTGATCCGCCTGCCTCGGCCTCCCAAAGTGCTGGGATTACAGGCGTGAGCCACTGTGCTCAGCCCTCTTTGTAGTAATTGCGAATGGGAGTTCACTCACGATTTGGCTCTCTGTTTTTCTATTATTGGTGTATAGGAATGCTTGTGATTTTTGCACAATAATTCTCTATCCTGAGACTTTGCTGATGTTGCTTATCAGCTTAAGGAGATTTGGGGCTGAGACGATGGGGTTTTCTAAATATACAATCAGTCATATGCAAACAGAGATAATTTGACTTCCTCTCTTCCTATTTGAATACCCTTTATTTCTTTCTCTTGCCTGATTGCCCTGGCTAGAACTTCCAATAATATGTTGAACAGGAGTGGTGAGAGAGGGCATCCTTGTCTTGTGCTGGTTTTCAAAGGGAATGCTTCCAGTTTTTGCCCATTCAGTAAAATATTGGCTGTGGGTTTGTCATAAATAGCTCTTACTATTTTGAGATACATTCCATCAACACCTAGTGTATTGAGAGTTTTTAGCACGAAGGGGTGTTGAATTTTATTGAAGGCCTTTTCTGCATCCATTGAGATAATTATTTGGCTTTTGTCATTGGTTCTGTTTATGTGATGGATCACGTTTATTGATTTGCATATGTTGAACCAGCCTTGCACCCCAGGGATGAAACCAACTTAATCGTGGTGGATAAGCTTTTTGATGTGCTGCTGGATTTGGTTTGCCAGTATTTTATCGAGGATTTTCACATCGATGTTCGTCAGGGATATTGGCCTGAAATTTTCTTTCTTTGTTGTGTTTCTGCCAGGTTTTGCTATCAGGATGATGCTGGTTTCATAAAATGAGTTACGGAGGAGTCCCTCTTTTTCTATTGTTTGGAATAGTTCCAGAAGGAATGTTAGCAGCTTCTCTTTGTACCTCTGGTAGAATTCGGCTGTGAATCTGTCTGGTCCTAGACTTTATTTGGTTGGTAGGCTATTAATTATTGCCTCAATTTCAGAACTTGTTATTGGTCTATTCAGGGATTTGACTTCTTCCTGGTTTAGACTTGGGAGGGTGTATGTGTCCAGGAATTTATCCGCTGGAAGCTGGACTTTTTAAAGGGGTGAAGAAGGACAAGGGGAGAATCCCTTCAAAAGAAGTTTTATTTGTGTGAAAGCACAAACGTGTTACCCCAAGAATTGGTGGTGGGCTTCCCAATTAATATTTTAATTGGAATGTTTCCAAAGAATACACTTGCAGTAATTTAGATCCTTCATTGAATATGATCTTCAGATCAGCAATTATAAAAAATGGCCAGAGGCTTATTAGAGATTTGGGGGCAAAATCACACTTAAAAGAGTAGAAGGAAGTACTTTTAATTTTTTTTTTTATTTAAAAGCTTCATGAGTTTCAAAGCAATGCAAATTAACCATAAGCATGTCAACAAAAAGAAAGCAAACAGAGCCATACATTTTCCTTATAAAGCAACATTTGTTATTTATTTAATTTCAGAAGTAAAATGTGGCCATAAGAAATTTTGAAAATTATTGGTAAATATTTTTGTAGTTAAAATTATCTATGGTCTCAACATCATTAACACTAATGTATTTACTTGACTCACTCAATATATATTTTTAATTTGTATCATTTTGTATATGCGATTGTATATCTGCATTTTTATTGTTTATATTATTAATATCTTCCCAAGAAGTGAATATTTTTTGAAAACATAACTATTAATAGCTGCATTGTATTCCATTTATAAATGTTGAAATCATCTTTCTATGGTTGGATATTTAATCATTAACTTTACATCATTATAAATAATGCTACATAGTTTAATATTTTCTTAGCATACATTCTAAGAACGCAAACATAAAATGTGAACATTTTATAGTTTCATATCTGTTGTGTGTTATATGTGCATATGTGTATATAAACATACATTTGGAAAGAGAGAGAAAAAAAAAATTGTTTTCCAGAAAGGTTGCTTGCACTCTTCCCAGCACTATATGAAAATATTCATTTCACTTTATGCATGCCAGTATTACATGAGCAATAGTTTTGTTTAAGTTGTATTTTTTAAGTCACTATATTTGATTTTTAAAATTTCTGTGAACTCTCTTATTTATGTATTTTGTCTAGTCAATGTCATTTTAGTTAAAGTCTTGTTAGTTATTTACATATTAAGAGCATTAGTCTTTGACCATATCCATCAGAAACATTTTCCTAACTTGCTTTCTGATTATAATATATTTTTATGCTTTTTAGTGCATAGAGAATGTAATAGTTACATACATAAACACATTGAATTTTTGCTTCATGATTTCCTCTTTGCTTTTATGCTTTGAAAGTTCTTTTCCAACCCATCATCAGTTATTCACTTATACTTTATTCTAGTATTTATGGTTTCATTTTTTATATTTAGCTCATGAATTAATTTGGAATTTATTTTAGTGCATGATGTGAGGCTTTCTTTTTCAAATAGTTAACCAGTTTTCTCAACATTGCAAAATAATCTAATTCTTACCTCACTGATTTGTTATGATCCTTTATCTTATACCAAGTGTGTTAATTAATTGGATGTGTTTTAGGGATTTCATGAAAGATAAACTGACACGGAATATCCAGACAATGCAGGATAAAGAAGAGTACTTCTGCAAAAAGTAGAGAGGAGTAAAGACAACAGAGGCAGCAAGGGAAAGAAGACACAGTAATCAGAGATGAGCAAGCAGGACAGTTGAGGGAATGTGATGAGTTTCCATTGCTTATAAGAGACTGTATAAAGTTACACAGACGAGAAAACGGACGAAAGTACTTGAGTAAATGTATGTGTGGTGAGGGTGGGGAGGAGCACAAAGAAAGACCAAAGGGAAAGAGAATAATAGACCTTACTCCATATGAAAGCTGACTATCTGTAAAAAAAATAGGCGGGAGGAGGAAGAGCTCTCAGAAGGAGGGAAGTAACACAGAATTTGAAGCATGTCAAAAGACACAGAAAGAAAAGCATAAAGACAAAAAAGATGTGGTAAAGAAAATGACAGAAGCTAAAGGTCAAGATCCAAAAAAAAAAAGAAAGAAAGAAAGTAGTATCAGGAAAGTTTTACACAAAGAATCATCAAAGAGGAACCAGGCTCATAAAGTAAAAATTGATGGACTCCTGAGGACATTAAAAAATGTCTAAGAAGCAGAAAGAAATAGAATACGACCAGGGTGAGGATGAGTCTCGTAGAACATTCTAATAACAAACAGGAAGTTAAAATGTGAGGGCAGCAGGAAAGATCTCTACCCAAAAGAATAGCATGTGGAGGAGGAAACACAGCAATACCTGATCTTTAAATATGCTAAACTGTCATGATGTAACATTTTTAGTCTATTGGCTAAGGCTTATATGTAAGTAGTTACTTTTTACATATAAGCCTTAGCCAATAGACTCTAAAAATGTTACATCATGACAATTTAGCATATTTAGAGAACACTTGGACACAGGGCAGGGAACATCACACACTGGGGCCTGTGAGGTAGGGGGATGGGGGAGGGATAGCATTAGGAGAAATACCTAATGTAAATGACGAATTAATGGGTGCAGCAAACCAACATGGCACATATATAAATATGTAACAAACCTGCAGGTGGTGCACATGTACCCTAGAACTTAAAGTATAATAAATAAATAAAGTATAATTTAATATACTTTGAATAATTATAAGGTAGTATTAAATCAAAGTTATATGAGGTAATTTCTTTTTAAATGAAGCCTTACTCTGTCACCCAGGCTGGAGGGCAGTGGCATGATCTTGGTTCACTGCAAATTCTGCCACCCGGGTTCAAGTGATTCTCCTGCTTCAGTCTCCCGAGTAGCTGGGATTACAGGGATGCACCACCACACCTGGCTAATTTTTGTATTTTTAGTAGAGACGGGGTTTCACTATGTTGTTCAAGCTGGTCTCGAACTCCTGATCTCAAGTGATCCACCTGCCTCTACCTCCCAAAGTACTGGCATTACAGGAATTAGCCATCACACCCGGCAGGAAGTAATTGTTTTTGACTAAGCTCTGCACTAGGCCCCAACAGGACAGACTAAAAATCAATCAAAATGAAGTCACCAAACCAAAAAAATAAAAATTGAGTCACCAAACCCAAACTCGTTGTTATCTGACCTTCGCAAACAGACCAGCTAAATCTTCAATCGGCATGATAATGAAATTCCCTCTGCTTCAATCTTTATGCAAAAGAAGCAGCCTGAAGTAACCTGATGTTAACTAATCAGCTATTTTCTCTGATCTGTCTCCCTGTCCCTGTCTTACAGGAAAAGTAGCTTTGAAACAACGAATACACTATTTGTTCTTTGCTTCTGCTTTCTGCAGCTCTTCTCTGCCTACAAAGCCAACCTCTTCTGCTCAACTCATCAGAATATTTATTCTATTTTATGGAATGAAGTGTTTCCTGATTCTAGAATTGCAATAAACCCAATACAATTAAATAAATTAATTAATTAAAAAGTAGTCAAACTATAGCTTTAAAATGTTTCATAGAGTCTTTTTTTAAAGGAAAGGGAATGAAAAAGGTAAAATAATTATGATCTTGGGTATTAAGACCCTCTGGAGAGAAAAAAACAAAGGAAATTCCAATGCCTATGAACTAGAGAGCCAGAAGAAAAAGCAGCTGAAAGGATAAAGCATATAACTTGTTCATTCCTCATCAATTAAACAAATATGTATGGGGGCCACCACATTAAGCAGTGTGGGGGTATGAAAGATGAATGCTAGCCTCTGCTCTCAAAGATGTCCTATCTAGTGTAGAAAACAAAATAATAAATACGACATTCCAATACTGTGGGATACATGCTATAATCAATTATGTACACTCTGTTATAGAAATAAGAGGAATGATAGACTACCTAACTTTGTGGGGGATGAGGTAAGGAAAGAAAGTGAACGTTGAGCTGAATCTTAAAGGTTTCTTAGAAGTTGGCCAACTAGTCCAGGAAAGAAACAAGGTATGAAGGTATGAGGATGGACGGTGTACTTGGAGTACAGAAAGCAATTAATTGTGACTGGATCATAGAATATGTAGGAGACTTTAGTAGAAAATGACGCCAGAAAGAGACAGAAAATAGGTCTTTCAACTATGCCAAAGACAATGGGAAGCCTTCAAAGATCTTTAAGCAAGAGAGTGAAACGATCAGATTTGCCCATTAGAAAAGCCAAGCTAGTTTTAATCGGAAGAAGGAAGGACTAGAGGTAAGGAATTAGAAGCTTTCACAATAGTACAAATACACCATGGAATACTATGCAGCCATAAAAAAGAATGAGATCATGTCCTTTGCAGGAATATGAATGGAGCTGGAGGCCACTATCATTAGCAAACCAACGCAGGAACAGAAAACCAAACACCACATGTTCTCACTTATAAGTGGGAACTAAATGATGAGAACACATGGACACATAGAGGGGAAGGTGGAGGGTGAGAGGAGGGAGAGGATCAGGGCAAAAAACTAATAGGTGCTAGGCTTAATAACTGGGTGATGAAATAATCTGTACAACGAACCCCCATGACACACATTTACCTATGTAACAAACCTGCACTTATACGCCTGAACTTAAAAGTTTAAAAGAAAAACAGAAAAAAAGATTATGAAGGCATAGATTAGAAAAATGACAGCAGAAATAGATAGAAA
The DNA here is from genome assembly GCF_000001405.40 of Homo sapiens. Lineage (NCBI taxonomy): Eukaryota > Metazoa > Chordata > Mammalia > Primates > Hominidae > Homo > Homo sapiens. The sequence goes on from NC_000023.11 coordinate 100,117,043, forward strand.
TGATTAGATTTGAGACATATCAAAAAGGAAAATTAGCAAAGCTCAGTAATAGACTGGCTATAGAATGTGAGAGATCATTCGGAAGATGCAGAGATGCTGCTAAGGTGTCTAGATTGCACTAGATGGATGATATTGGAAACACTGGAAAAGGTTCATGCTTGTAGAAGATTGTGAGCTTGGTTTGGGATTGAGTTTAAAGGGCCTTTGAAACATTCAGTGGACATGAAGAAAGTCTTGGATATATATGCTCGGAGCTCAGTAGAAGGGCCTGAGCTAGAGAAAGAAATTTAGGTCTACAAGTACAAAAAAAGAAATTGAGTGGATTTGAGCACTTTAAGTGATAAAGGAAACAAAATCTGTGATTTATGGGAAAGAGGACAGTAAAAGAAATGTGTCAAGAAAACAATAAAAATTTAGTATATAGAATTTATGGAACATGAATAGCCTATGTTGTTAGAAATTCTAGTGTTCTGTAAGATATGAAAGGAAGAGTAAATATGTATGCTATATGAGTAATTATTATTTTTAGAAAGCTTTGACAATAAAATTAAATTAAACATGCCAGAGTATTTTTGCAATGTTAAATATCAAGTACTAAGATTTTTCTAATGAACTGCTCTTAAATCTACTTATCCCCTGTCCAGACACAGTTATTTTCACCATCTGCCAGCAGCAGTCCCTCTCTTTAAAAAAAAAAAAACAAAAAAACTCTTTGTTAGTTTATTTTTCTTATGCTCAAAAATTGCAGAACAAATGAGAGAAGGCAGAGCATAGCTGCTAAGAGCTATCGGAATGAGTGACAGCCCAAAAATGGAAATGAATTTTGACAAACTCCCTCAGCAACTACATACTCCTAAAGATGGCAAGGGCCTATCCAGTATGTTTCAGCTAGGATTTTTTCTTTTCTTCCCTCTCTCTCACTTTTTTTTTTTTTTTTTGGAAATTGTCCAAGTTCTGATACGAACATGAAAGCATTGGAAATGCAATAAAAAAAATTGCAAAGACAGGGTCTCTTTTCAGGATTTGCCTGAAAGAGAAATAGACTTGAGAATCGTCTTGCATGATGATTCTCTTTACACAATAAGTCAGATTCAAGGTCACAGGCTCAGGGCATTAAAGATTGGCTATAGGGCAACTGTAGTTTTTCACATGATGTGGAAGATGCCATGGTTTTAACACTCCTTATTCCTGCAATTCAGCTTTATTGTTCACCAAATCAAGGCCCCACGAAATTAACATTATTATGGCACTAAAAGGACTGATTAAAATTTAAAAGATTTTAAATTTAATAAAATCATCCATGTTGCCCCAGATTTGAATTATATTTTCTCTCTGATTTCCAAACTAGAATCTTGTGTTCTTTTCTTTTCAGGATATTCTTTTTGGTGTTGACTGCAGCAGTCTATACACTAAAATACAAAAGCTACAATGAAGAGTCACCCTGAACAAAGCGAATACAAAATCATGTATGCTTCATGTTTTATTCTTTTCTGTTTAAGAAAGTACCTCAAAAACAAGAATACAACCTAGTGAAAGTATGACAGGGAAATAGTTCCTACATTATATAATTACTCAACATTTTAATTAGAAAAATTACAAGCCCCTGGCCACAAATGGTGGCTCACTCCTGTAATCCCAGTACTTTGGGAGGCCAAGGTGGGCAGATCGCTGGAGCCCATGAGTTCCAGACCAGCCTGGGCAATATGGTAAAATACTATCTCCATAAAAAAATGCAAAAATTAGCCAGGTGTAGTGGTGCAAGCCTGTGGTCCCAGCTATTTGGAAAGCTGAGTTGGGAGGATCTCTTGAGCTCAGTAGGTCAAGGCTGCAGTGAGCCATGATTGAGCCACTGCACTCCAGCCTGGGTGACAAAGTGAGACTTTGTCTCCAAAACAAACAAACAAAAAATAAAGAAAAATTACAAGCCCCCAGTAGATAAATGGCCAATAAAAAAACTGATAAGGCAGTTCTCACAAGAGAAAATATAACTAACAAACAAAGATATAAGAATATGTTGAATCTTGGAAGCAGTCAGAAGAGTTTAACTTAAAACTATAATGAGGTAATATTTTTAGTGACTTAATTTAATTTTTTTTCTAGTTTTCTGACAAGGTTGAGGTGAAATTAGTCAATTATTGCAGTGTTTTTGGAAATCAATTTGGCAGTATTTTTCAAGAAAAATCCAAATATTTATACCCTTTCACCCAGCGACTAAACTGCTAAAAGTTTATGCTGAGGAAATAATTCAAGGGGTTACAAAAGTTTTATGCAGCAAGATGTTCATCACATTGCTTATAATAGCAAAAAATAAGAAACAACCAGAATGACCCATGACAGACTAGCTAAATCATGCTGAATTGCCCTAAGGGAATATTGTACAGCCACTAGAAATTATGAGGAATATGTACTACATGAGAAACCCTTTATGGTATAACACCACATAAAAAAGAACACACAAAAGCATCTCCATTATGTTTACAACTTCATACAGTTGTGTATATGTAAAGGGCACATGGAAAAAAAACAATTAATATGTAGTGATATTGTGCTTTTTATTCCTGTATTCTTATTGTTTTTATAATATTGTGCACTGATAAAATCAGTAAAAATAAACAAGAACCTCCCTCCTGACTCTTCCACTTCCCCTTCCTTTCCTCAGTTTGACAGGCACCTGGTTTCTGATGACCCCTGGGATTTCCATATAAACCCCAGACAATTCTCTGGACTACAAAGGTCACCCCTGGAAAATCTGGCTGCCTAGAAAGGTCAGACTTTGCTTCTGGCTTGGACAACTTTCATTTTCTTCCCCAGTTTCCCTGCCAATGGCCTAACCTCCTCTTTGTTTGCCTTTTAAGCTGCTATAGTCATTTGGGAAAACACACTTGAAATGGATTTACTTTCTGGGGTTGAAAATGTAATATGCTTGGTGTGATAAATATGTCTTCTCTATTACCATTAAAGCAAGAGAGGAACAAGAGAATAATACAAGTGGAAATGAGATTCTGAAATATCTGGGGTGAAACATTTTTAAGCAAACCATGGTAGATCCTGAGCCTTTCAAAAGTTGATTCCTCAGACAATTTATTTCAGAAGATTTAGCTTGCTAGATAATTGGTCTTCTTTATCCTTATTGTGCGGCACTGCTGTAGTTCTCCTGAGACTGCCAACTTCCTCCATCTGGAGTCACAGCATGGACAGTTGTTTTCTGTCTGGACCAAATTACTTTAAGTGTTACATTCATGACCTAAATGGTTCAACATCTATTTAAATTCAACAGATTTTTGCTCCTTGACCTTTAGTAGATCTAATTCCAATTCTGATAGAGATTGGAATAACACAGTGGAGAAAGTGCTTGGCCTTTTTTGAATGATATGTATATGAGGGGGCACTATTCTAATAAATTAGATACTTTTATACAAGTTGTTGACAACCTGTACTTATTTGTTTAATCCTCCTCTTGGGCTTTTTTCATGTGCCAAGGCACTCAAAACATAAAAATGGCTTTGGCCTCTCTCAATACTGCTTCTAATGACCCCTGTTTGATTGCCTTCCCACTACCTCCATCCCTGAAGACAACATAAATGTTCATTTCAATCTAATTTTGTCTACATACAAATGATGAAGGGGGAAGACGCATATTGCGATTTTACTCCAAGCCCCATATCCATCTAAGGATGACCCTGGGCTCAAAAGCCCCAAAATATAGATACACAAAACTTGCCATCTACTCTCAGCTCCATTATCTTGTGCTTTCTTTACCTAAGTGCCTCAGCACAGCCAATCACTGGCAACATGGTGTTCGCTGGCATTCATAATGCTGATTTCATGGCTCTGTGCCAGTTTGAAAATGCCTTCTAAATCTTCACAGAAAGGAATTTTCTTCAGCCTAATTTACTTGTTGTATTTTATCATATTCTAATATACTGAAGAATGAAGCATGGAATTTCATAAGCTCACTGATAACCTTCTATTTCCTCAGCCATGCTGGGTCCAGGAGAATATACTTCAATCTCTAAATACAAGAATATGTGGCTGCCTGGCAATCAGCCCACTGGCTAAAGACCCTGCTGCCAGCCTTTCCCTAGAGCTGCAGAGTTAAGTCAGAAATACACAGGCAGGCTTCAGTAGGGAAAAACATACGTTTGTAGAACCAGCCTGCCTGAATTCCACTCCCAGCTGCAGCATGTCTTTGCTGTGACTTTCTCTTCCCAATGACAGTGTGATCCCTCAATATAGCATTTAGAGAGCATCAGATAAAAGGGGGTTATTTAAGGAGAAATTGTTATTTCTATTAGAACTGTTATTATGTCTTTCCCAGCATGAATGTCTGGGGAGAAAGATACTTTAGCCACCAAAAGGAGAGAAAAGATTGTATGCAGCCCCTTTGAAGTTGCTTGAAGAGAGTGAGATAGAGACAGATAGACAAAGACAAGACTGTTGCTCATATGTGTAACTGTTACAGCCCTGACTATCAAGTGAAAAGAAAGTATGTATGCATCTAATGGCAGCCCAGGGACTGATTTGTGTGTGTGTGTGTGTGTGTGTGTATGTTCTGAGATGGAGTCTCCCTCTGTCGCCCAGGCTGGAGTGCAGTGGCATGATCTCGGCTCACTGCAACATCCACCTCCAGGGTTCAAGTGATTCTCCTGCCTCAGCCTCCAGAGTAGCTGGGATTACAGTTGCATGCCACCACACCCGGCTAATTTTTGTATTTTTAGTAGATATGGGGTTTCACCATGTTGGCCAGGGTGGTCTTGAACTCCTGAATTCAGGTAATCTGCCCACCTCGGCCTCCCAAAGTGCTGGGATTACAGGCATGAGCCACCTCACCCAGCCAGGACTGAGTTATTTTAAGCAGGAGTATACCTAGATGGAAAAGAAAAACCATTGAGAAGGATAAGCTGGTAAAATGGAGGCAGTCCTTTATGTATCCTCCCAAATACATGGCTATTTGTTCATGTCTACTCTGATTCAAGTCCAGACTTTGACTTTTAAAATCACTTGACCACACTCAAAGTAGATTATCATCCACAGCTCAAGAAAAATGAGCCCTGTGATGGGCATGCCCTAGGGTAACCTACAATGTGCAATCCCTTGTGTAATCTCCTCCCCTGGAGGGAAGGTAAAACCTGTAAACTTCTAACCAATAAAATATGACAAATGTGATGGGATGTAGCTCCCCTGTTTCTGTTATTTAATAAAGCAATAGCAAAAGGGTTTTTCAGATGCAATTAAGGTACCTAGTTTATTTTTAATTAATCAAAGGGAGATTATTTTAGTTGGACCTGACCTAATCAGGTAAGCCCTTTAAAAGAGGGATGAGGGCTGCCTTCAAATGAGAGAGTCCAAGCATCAGAGGCTCTCCATTGCAGCCTTTCAAGAAGCAAGCAGCTATGGATTGTAAATTCACAAGGTACTAGATTGTGCCAACAGCTTGACTGAGCTTGGAAGCAGATCCTTCCCTAGTCGAGTCTCCAAATGAGAAGGCAGCCTGGCTGACAACTTGACTGCAGCCTTATGAGACCGTGAACAAGGATCCAGCTAAGCTGTGCCCAGACTTTTGATGCATGCAAACTGTAAGATTATAAATGTGTAATGTTTTAAGCCACTAAATTGAGAAATTTTAATGCAGCAGTAGAAAACAAATACAAACAAGCACATTTATTTTCCTCAGTTTTCTAAGGACTTCCTAAGAAATGTGGACGCAATGACAAGTGTGAGTAAGTGGGAAGAATGTTAGATGAGGCATGAAGGCATGGTTCAAGTCCTGATTTTCCATGACCTGGAGCAAGATACTTTACCCCTTTAAGCCTATAACCTTATCTGTCAATGGGGTTAATTTAATCTGCCTAGACTTTCTCACACGGTTCTGAGGGAAGACTCTGAAAACTGTAAAATGCTGAACTCATGACACTTACCATGCTCCAGGTAGTATTCTAGTTTTCCTATATGTATTAACTCATTTAATTTTCAAACAACCCTTTAAAGTAGATACTTTTTCACAATCATTATCTTCATTTTACAGATGAGAGAAATGAGAATCAGGGAGGTAAAAATCTTGTCTGAGATGGCACAATTATTAATAAGTAAGAACATTTAAACCCAGGCAGTCTCATTCTACATTCTGTACTCTTAAACATTACACTGTGCTGCCTCTTAAATCTTTAATAAGTCTAGGAAATCCACTCCCTCTGGAGCAAGCTGAACTGGGATACCAAGGTGTTCTGAAAAAGATTCACGATCTTCTGATGCGCATGATCCTTATAAGCCCTTACTTTGATGTATTCTTCCAGATTTATCTCAGTTTTTCTGATACACACAACCACACACTATTCAAAAGAAATTCGCCAGGAGGCAATAATCCTCTTTTTCTTCTATAAAGTGTATTGGCATCATCCACAGGGCTCAGTCCCACTGCCTCATACCCAGCACCACCTCCTTCTACTGTTACCCATTATTACTTACCTGAGAGCACATGAACATCTGCTTACAACAAACACACTTAATTTCTCCTCAAATACAGATTCACATAAAAACCAAACATAAAGAGAATAGGAGCATTTTCATTGAATTGCTTTTAGGTACACTGCATGATTTCCATTATGTCTACTGTCTGATTTTGCAAATCACTGGGCATGCAGAATCAGCTCTCAATTTATCAGAAAAAAAAAAAAAAAAAAAAACACCAGAGCTAGAAGAAGATGCCTTGCTTAAAGGATTATATGGCACATTCCCCCCTGGCTTTGGAAAGTTTATCTTTTACCTTTAAATCTTCCTGAGGTTAAAAAAATTCTTACCTTTTTTAATGGGCCATTATAATGCTTAAGCTAGTATCTAAAAGTTCCTCCTGAAGTCCAACCGAAACCTCCCCTGCTTCAATTTAAGCAGGCAAGATTCTATTCAAACTTCAGAATCAGCTTTTAAAAAACCACTTTCTCTGACACCCCTAGATTAAGTTAACTCCTTAACCCTTCAGCATTCTAGGCACACATACTTTTATTACCCTATTTATATTTTTTTTTAATATATTTGCCATCACACCAACAGAGGTAGGACACAATTTATCTTTGTGTCCATTACACCTGGCAGAGTGACTGACACATATTAGAAAATTGAAGGAAACATTTTTTTTTTTCTTTTTCTTTTTTTTTTTTTGAGATGGAGTTTCGCTCTGTCACCAGGCTGGAGCGTAATGGAGCAATCTCGGCTCACTGCAACCTCTGCCTCCCGGGTTCAAGCGATTCTCCTGCCTCAGCCTCCTGAGTAGCTGGGATTACAGGCACCCAGCACCGTGCCTGGCTAATTTTTGAATTTTTAGTAGAGATGGGGTTTTGCCACGATGGCCAGGCTGGTCTCAAACTCCTGACCTCAGGTGATCCACCCACCTCAGCCTCCCAAAGCACTGGAATTACAGGTGTGAGCCACCATGCCCAGCCTAGTTGAAGGAAATATTTTAATGAATTAGTGAATGAAGCAAATTGTATACTGCTTCATATATAAGAAGAGCAGCTTTCTACTCATAAAACCTTTCTTGCAAATACCAACTTTAGTTCTCTCGTTTTGTCCCTTACTAATTAAACAGCTCCCAATTTTTTTCCTGTCCATAAGACCTATTTTTCTAATCTGTAGGCCACAGTTTCCTTGACTAGTGATATCTTCATATCTATTTCAGCAAGACAATCAAGATCCGAGTCATTGTGCCATATATATTGATAACTATGTTTAAATGTACTTACACAATTAGCTTCCTTACAAAAAGTTGGTTGTGAAATGAAATAATACAAATCCATTTCTATATTAAATTCTCCAGGACAGCTTATTATTTGGAGAATAGCCAAATAATTTCAAAATTTTAAAAAGTGTTTTTAACATGAGTGATATTTCTCTAATTTTTTATTAAGAGGCAATATGATATAGTAGGAACCACATCAGATTTGAAGGCAGAAGACCTGAATTTAAACCCAAAACTTCCTGTATGCCCTCAGACATTTCACTTGGCTTTTCTGAGTTTTTCTCTTCTGTTAAATGGGGATATACTAATGAATAACTCACAGGATTGTTGTCAGGACCAAATAAACTAATAATGCATGTAAGAAGACTTTGCTCAATGTAAAACAAATACTAGTGATTATTCTAAGTAATAATAATAATGTAACAGGATGTTTTCTTAAAACTGGATTCCTCAACCTACCAGGAGAATCACTTCATGCATTTAGCACAAGTTGTTTTTTTCTCCATGGTACTGCATTGCCTGTTCATATTTAGCTTGAGATCAGCTGTGACTCTCAGATCTTTGTCTGTGATGCTTGGGATGAACCAGTCTTTTTCAACTCTGTTGTTGTGAATTTGGGTTTTCATCTCCTGTGATAGCCCATCCTTTCATCCTTTTTCCAGTAAGATACTTTTTCCTAATTTATCAAGGTCACTTTGAGTTTTTCTCTCTAACATCTGTCAAAATACTTAGTGACAGACACCCTAGAAATGTATAGATCAGCCAACAATCTGCATGTTCTTCCTGCATACAGGATGAATGTGACTATGGGGTTGTCTCTATAGTGGGAACAAAGACACAAGAAGCAAGTGTATTTGAAACAGTATTTGAGAATATCTATTGCAGATGGAAGAGGAAAACATCTCTCTCCGCTAGCAAACATAGCACAACCTTCCCACATACATACAGAGAGGCCAAAACAGCATTCAGACATCTTTCTATAAGTGAGCCTTTTGATAAATGAGCTTTTATTTGGCTTCATAGGCAGATACTGAAAGGGCTTACAAGTGGAGGGCACACCAAAGCCTGGAATATTTTAAGACAGAAGCAAAATAAACTACTTATTGGATGGTAATGATCTGAAGTGCTGCCATTTGCATATTTTATAGAATGAGCAGTGCTTTGCAAGAAGGCTAAAAACAATAGTTTTGAGGATTATGGTCAGGCGCAGTTATAATAATAGCCCAGGATTTTAGCAGTGGGATTAAAGTGAAATGACTGGGTAAGCCTAGTTTTAAATAAATGTCTAGATTTAGTAAGCACTACGACTTGGATTAGAGAGGAAGGAAAAAAAGAGGCATTTTAAAAAGAGTCCAAATATCTTGAGATAAAGCTACAGATCATGGCGAGGAAAAAGGAAAAAAAATGTCAAGTCCCACTTAATACATAATGGGTTCAGTTTTGTCAGGATGTTGCCTCTACTTCTCCCTAGAAGAGTCTGCATAGAATTAAAACTTGTTAAATGTATGACATGACATTGGAAGACAAACGTACTCTGGAAAAATCATAACTGCCAGAGTCCAAAAGGGCACTCAGACTTAAAAATAAGAAGTGGCCAAAGAACACTCTTACAGGAGCTTGAATTCCAAAGATCCTAAGGTGCAGAGGGAGATTTGAATATTTATAACACGAATACACAAAAATAAATTTGGCAACCATTAAAGACAATCTAAAAATTGAGCCAAAATTAATTGTGCAAGACACTAAATTGGCCAAAATAGTGGTGGGTGGGAGTAATAAATAGATTAATAAAGCACAGCCTTTGTCCTTAAATAGCTAACCATCTCTTTGGGATATGTATATAAAAACATTTGATTTTGGGGAGAGAAAAGAATAATGATGTATACTAAAACACAAATAATGATGGAAGATTGACTCTACTGTATACTGAAACACTCCAAAGCTACATTAATTAAATAATTAAAAAGCTACATTAATTAAAATAATTCGGAACTGGTGCAAAAGCAAACAGATATATCAATGGAAGAAAAGTGCAAACAGACTCTAGAGCTAAGACACCATATGAATCAAATAAATAAATAAAGTACCATCATAAATGAGTAAAAGCAAGGTCTATTCTATAAAGACAGAATGTAAGTTATGTCAGGAAATAATCCATTTGAAGCTTTGCATCCTACATCGACATAATGGACTAAAGAGTTAAGTGTTTTAACAATTTTTAAAGAAGAAAATATGTCAATATTAACCTGCTCTTGGAGTGAGAAACAACTTACTGAGCTTAATAGCAATAGAAGAAAAGACAATGGAAAAGATTGATAGGTACAACATTTAAAATGTTTAAACTTCTCCAGTGAGAAGGATTACATAAAAAATATTTAAACAAACTGAAAATTTTTGAAATATGTTCAAGAATTTAGAATAATATATAAAGAGCTCATTTGAATAAATAACAACAATCACAAAACCCCAATAGATTCATGAATCTATTATTCATGAATAGATTATTCATTAAGTATCCAAATTCATAAAAATATACAAAGAAGGAATATGAAAAAAAAGGTAATATGGCCAGAGAAAAGTTCCCAAAATATCTAGGATTTAGCCAATTCTGATAAGCTTAAATAATGGTTAAAGGCATCCTAGGAAGGAAAAACAGAGGTGAGAATTCAAATGGCATATCAGCCTAGCTAGAGTTTACATAGGGAAGTAGGCATAAACTGGCAACCCTCAACCATGTGTTCTTTTAACCATACAGCTTTTTAAAGGGGTTAGTACCATCTAAAAATGATAAGATTTTATATAAAAATCTGGATTTCTAATTTCTCTTTTAAAAATGAAAAACTCTGGCAACACTGGGCTTGCAGTCCCCACATGGCAACAATCAGCTTAAGTTTAGCCACAAGCTATATACTTCAAATGGAAAATTTGCTTCCCAGGTTGCCACAGTCCTCACCAAACCAGACTCACCAATTTGCGTTACCTGCCTGATGTTTATGGGCACTTGAGTTTCCAAACTCTCACAAAAGAAATCAGCGAGAGGAGAGGGAGTTCAAGAGAGTGCTTGGGGGTCAGATTATAGGTGGCTCTAAATGTGAGAATGTGAAATTTGGACCTTATTTAACAGGTAGCTTACTGCTATTAAAGGTATTTGAGTGGATGACGAACAACAATATCGAGAGCTGGACATGAGAAACCTTAAGCAGTGTACATCTTACAGAATGAATTTGAGGTAGAAAAAAAAATTTTGTAACAGCCCCAGTATGAAGAGATAAGACCCTGAAGAGTGGTATTAAAAGATAAAAAAGAGAAAGGGTTATATACAAGAGTAAAGAATTTGCACAGTGTGGTGACTGAACTCTTATGTGGAGCAAGAAGGAAAAGAACAAAGGAAGAAGACAGCTCAGGGAAAAGATGCCAAGATAACTAGATGAACCTTGGTGAGGAAGAAAATGATGGTGTTATTAAGGATGTAGGAAACTTTGGAGTCAGAGATAGTCTAAGCAAATACAATAAGTTCATGTCAACTGTTATGCAGGTTTTTATATCTGCTTGTCCTATTAAAATGCAGGACCATGTCTTATTCTTCACTGAATCTTAAGTACCTAGCATAGGGTCTGGAATAAAAAACATACCCACTAAATGCTATTTGACTCCAGTATAATTTAAGGTGCTATAGCAAAATATTCAAGTAAAAACGTTGAAGGTGGTAAACTGGAGCTCAGGAAAGAGGTTAGAGACAGAAATACAGGTCTAGGAGTCATCCACGCGAATAAGGAAATAAAAAATATAACAAAGGCATAAGACCACTGAGTGGAAATTGAGATGAACAAAAAGCAGAGGACTAAAGCTCAGAGAACAAGCACACTGAAGATAATATGGGAAGAAATCAGGAAGGAAAACAAAAGAAGAAGGATAAGCAAGGTAAAAAGAGATCCAGGATGATAGAAAACCAACACAGAAAATACTTCTAAAATGGAGGACTTGTGTGAAAATGTTTTTTTAAAAAAGCAAGAGGATTATTAATACAAATTTCAAATTAGCAATTACTTGGAGTATGGGCAGGGAGGAGGATGTAGGGAAAAGAAATAGAAGATAGGCAAATATTCTATTTCATAATCTGATGGAGATTACATGGGTATTTGCTATATTATTAAACTGTCCATGTTTAAAAAGAGAGAGAGAACTTAATAGCACTTCCAAATCTAGAAACTTATACTACGGATATATTCACACAAGCAATCAAATCCAAATGCATTGGCTTGTATAAGCATGTTCACTGCAACACTGTGATAGCAATAATTTGGATACAACCCGAATATCCATTGATGGGAAATCAGTTCAATGAGCTATGATTCATCCTTACAAGAGATCACCGCTCAGTCATTTTTTAAAGAGATAAATCTGTATATCAATATGGAATACTCTACAGGACTTATTTTTAAGTGGAAAAAGAAATCTATGGAATATATTATACATAATGTGACCCTGTTTGTATAAACAGATGTTTGATTATGCACAGAACATTTCAGGAAGGATATACAATAAATTGTTTTCAGTTATTGCTTCTTGGGATAGAAATGAGGGATCCAGCACAAGGTTGGGTAACTTTCACTTTTTATTTTACACCTCTCTAAATCATTCCCCAAGGAAGGTTGATTTGCCCACGGCAAAGTTGGATAAGAAGTGAGGAAGAAGAGAAAGACTTGGACAGGCCACTATATGTGATGATTTTAAAGTCACTAGGAGCCTTGAATAGAATACTTTATTTAGAGTGGTGGGGACAAAAGATAGACTGTGGGTAAAGGAAATCATAGTAACAAGAATAAGTTATTCTTTTGAAAAATTTGGTGGTAAAAGAAGGAAAAAACTAGACAGTTGCTAGTAAGAAAAACATAAGATAAATTAAGGGTTCTTTTAGGTCAGAGTTTTTATGATTACAGTTTTAAAGGCTTGTAGAACTGAGCTTGTTTATAGGAAAAAGGGAAGAAGTCAGTGAAAGAGAGAGAGATGTTAATGATATTAAAGGAGAGAGCCTTAAAACGTTCAGAATAAAGCCAAGGTGAGGGAGGGATGACCTGAAGCATTTCAAGGGAGCAGCTGAAAGAAGAAGACACTGATAGGCTCTCCCTTGAGAGAGCATGAACTCAGAGAACCCAGAGCAGGGACAGTTGATGTCTGGGGCAGCAGACTATCAAATAGGATTAGCACAGAAAAGCACTCTCTTAACATGGACAAAAGAAAGACTTTTTTTTAAGCCTATGGAAGAAGTTTCATGAGGAAGGAAAGTCAAAAGTGAACTCTAAGGGATCAAGGAGAGAACCAGAGAAAAGGACATCCAGGTACAGAAACTCAAAAGTATTTCACTGATATTGCAGGTAAAGGAGAAGGGAGAGAAATGCATGTGTATATATAAATTATATTGCATTCAGAGGACACAAGACAGGGAGAAGAGAAACAGTGGCACATCAAGTTGAATTCCAAAATATATTTATTATTATTATTGTTTATACATGTCAGGGGGAAACATGCACACAAGAAATAACTTTCCACAAAGTTTTCTTCAGGCCTTTGGACATTATCACACTGTGCTGCTTTTACTTTCCTCAGGGCACTTTGAAGTCAGCTCCTATGCAGGACCCTGAAATCTGGCCCACTGAGGGGCTTTGGCTTCAGGTGCCAGGAATTCTTACACTCAGAAGGGAGCAAGCTCTGTTTAAATGAAGCAGTCCAAGTTTTCCCTTCCATGTGCAAACGGATAAAAGAAGATAAGCTCAAATGTATCTTTTTTATAGAAATAATCTCCCCCTTGGCCTCTCTGGACGAGTCTGCTCAAAACCAGCTGAAAACAATGTCAAGGCTGCCCTCCCTGGCCTTTGCTTCTTGGGTTCAGAATTTATCTTCCAATAATGGTTTTTACTTTTTTGACCTGCTTTTTTTAAAAAAACAAGGTGCACCTTTTATTCCCCCATTTCCACATGCAAGGGCTTTATTTTCATGATGGACTGAGTCTCTTCACAGTGTCATGCTTGACATAATCCTTGAAAAAATCTAATGTGACATGACAGATAACACAGCCACAAAAAGCCAAAAAGAAAATTTTAAAGTGATCTTCTTAAAACACAGACTGTAAACACACAACTATTTTCTTAAACCTAAAGCATCTCACAAGATGAGGGTCTAGCAGCCTTTGTAGGGTAAAATTAACTAGTTAATTGAAAAAAAATAGTAGCTTGATGAGTGCATACACTTCCTAATAGAACATACAAACAAAATCACTTTATTTAGACACGAAAAATGGTTGATTACAGACAATAAAATGTATAATTGGGTCAAACGGATGTGAAGTATATTTAGGTACCATGTGGGATATTTCTTCAGTCAAAAACAAACAGACTTGGGAAGGGTAGATCCACCAAGTCAATACCAAAAGCAGCTGCCTGTGTTACAAAATGGGTAGGGTACTATGAAATTCTAAAGTAAGAGCCCCCAAGCCCTATTTCATTAGGATGGACCCTGATCGTTTCAGTTTTCTATGGTGAATATAGTTCTTGAGTTTAGTTAGGCCTTGTAAAGAAGGCCCTGGGGTTGGGAGTGTGCCAACCTTCAGAAAGCATGGTCCTTAAGTTTTACCAAGTGAGAATAGATAAGTGGAAAGAAACAAGTCACACATCAGTACCATTGACAGTCATTATTCATGGATTCCACATTTGTGAATTTGCCTACTTGCTAAAATTTATTTGTAACCCCAAAATCAATATTCATGGAGATTTTGCAGTTATTCACAGACACATGCATGCATAAAACACTGAAAAATTTGCAACACACCCAGTCATGTTCCCTATGGTGTTTAAACAAAATGGCACCTGCCTTCTTGTTTTGGTGCTCATATTATAAACAAGTATCCAGTTCATGGTATACTTAATGTCACATTTCCTTTTTTTTTTCCTTTTTGCTTTTTCTTGGTGATTTTACTGTTTTAAATGAGCCCCAAGTGTAGTACTAAAATGCTGCCTAGTGTTTCTAACCTCAAGAAGGCTGTGATGTGCCTTACGGAGGAAATACATATATCAGATAAGCTTTATTCAGGCATGCATTATAGTACTATTGGCCACGAGTTCAATGTTGGTGAATCAACAATATATATTAAATAAAGTGTCTCTAAACACAAATACATATAACCAGTTAAATTTTGATCCACTGACAAAAATTCTGTGGTCAAAGGCTATAAGGACCTAACCCTGTATTCCTCCTAGAGGCAATGACTCAGTATTCACTAACTCTGTATTTGCAATAACATTAGAAAACATAACTATCATAAATGAAAATTGACTGCATTTTCCCATGTTCTCATCCTATCCAAGAAATGCCATAGGGAGGGGAGTGGCTGTAAAAGTTAGGAATTCACCATCACTCATCATCACTCATTCTTTATTGGTCAACCAAGTGAGAATGCTACTATAGCGACACATTGTGAGAATACTAATGATAAGGAAAATATGTAATAGCTAATTGATGAATGCTATCTAGCACATAACATTTGAATAGGAATACAAGAAGCTATGTCCCAATTCACTACCAAGAACCACTGGAAATCAACAGACTAAAAAATTGTTGGAGTCCTCACAGAAAAGGTAATAATTCATATTTCCACCAGCAAGAATAGAGAGATCTTGTAATATACAGATTACAGGTTAAAGTCTTTAGAAAGCTATTGCCTTAGTATTGTAAATTAGTCCATTAAGCACACTACTAAAGCTTAAAAGCAAAGTTCAGAAGTAACATGAATGCATGGCAGAACAAATTCCAAAACACTTTTAAAAAAAAAATAAAACAAAGTGTAGCACTCAGCAATATAAAGTTCACAAGGTCTGGCATACAATCAAAAATTGCCAAGCTTACAAAAAAGCACGGAAATATGACCCATGACCAAGAGAAAAATATCTATTGATAGAATAATATCCAGAACTGACAGACATTGTGAAATTAGCATACAAGATTTTTTAAATGATAATATAAATATTTTTCATATTTTCAAAAAGGTCAAGGAAATTGTGAATATAAGAAGGAGAAAAATAGAAAGTATTAAAATGCCAAATGGAAACTAAAAAGACAATAGACTTGATTGTACAGAAAATAAGATATAGCAGAAGAAATGATCAGTGAACTTGAAGACATGGCAATAGAAACTATAGAAAATAAAGAACAAAGAAAAAAGTCTAAAAAGATACACAGATCATCAGAGTCTTGTGTGACAATGTCAACCAGACTAACATAAGTGTAACTGGAGTCCCAGGAAAATGAGAGAAGGGGCAAAAAAAAATTTGAGAAAGTAGTGGCAAAAATATTTTCCAATTTGATGACAGTTATAAGTGTAATAAACCAAGAAACTCAAAAAATCCCAAGCAGAAGAAACATAAAGAAAACCCCAAGGCACAACATAATCAAATTGCTGAAAACCAGTGATAATTTAAAAAATCCAAAATGAAGGCAGAGGAAAGGAACACATTACATATAGCATAGCAGAGATAACAATTACATCACACTTCTATTCAGAAACCATGGAAGCCATAAAATAATAGAGACACATTCCCAAAACACTGAAAGAAAACAAAAAAAAAAAGTGTCAACCTAGAATTCTAACCTCAGAAATGATAGGTTTCAAAAAAAAAGCCAAATGATTTTTTTTTCAGAATAGCAAAAGTTGAAAAAAAACTTGCAGTAAAAGACATATTAAAGGAAATTCTTCAGCCAGAGGAAAATTATATTAAATAGTAATGTGTAGCCACTCAAACACTGAAGAGTGCCAGAAATGGTAATATGGATAAACATAAAATATATTTTATCATTTTAAATCTCTTTATTAATTAACTGTAAAAGCAAAAAAGTAATGATAATAATATTGTGAAGGTTGTAACATATATAAAAGTAAAATGTATAAAACAAGAGCATAAAATATTGGAGGAAAATAGAAGTATACCCTTGTAGGTTATTATGCTATACATATAATAATATAAGATTATTTGAAAAGGTATACTGTGAGATCATAAAATGCATATTTTAAAGACTTGGGAAATTACTGAAAAATATATCAAAGACATTAGCTAATAAGAGAAGAAGAGTGCATGGAATAAAATGTTTTAAAAATGCACAATCCAAAAAAAAGTCAAGAGAAGGTAAAAGGAAATAAAGAAGAAAAGGACAAATAGAAGAGTCAATTAAACCAAAATATACAAACTAAAGAAATAATAAAGATAGGAAATTAATGAAAGAGGACACAGAAAAAAGTAGAGAAAAATCAATTATACCAAAATCTGGTTCTTTGAAAGAAGCAATAAAATTGATATACTTCTACTAGCTTCAGCAAGAAAAAAGAGTGGGAAGGCACAAATTACCAATATCAGGAATTGAGAAGGGAACATCACAACATATTCCACAGATATTTAAAGGGATAATAAGTAACTCATTCCAAGTAACGTTAAATAAATACATGCCACTCTTTCTGTCCAGCTGATTACAAATATAAACCCAGACAGAATTCATGGACCAGCCATTTGAAGAGAGAAAATTAAATTACAACAGATTGGAGGATACCAGAATTTTAAGCAAAACAAAACCAGTGGTGATTTTACCAATTGTTCTGTTCTAGTATTTCGATCCTCAACTCAATGAAGTCTGAAACACAATAGTGAGTACTATGGTGCAAACAGAGAGACATCCAGGAGAAACCTGACTCAAGGAATAGGAAAGAGAACTGGTAAACCTCAAAGAAAGTGGAGAAAACCACTAGGATTTTTTTTCTCTTCATTTTTTCTGTTCTCTCCCATCCAAGCTTTCAAGTAGTCCTGTAGTGACAATGGCAAGAAAAACATCCTCTCCATTAGGTGGGAAGCTAAGAAATCAACAGGATGAGACCAAACTCCATTGCTGTTTTTTCTTCTCTCTCTCTCTCCTGTCCTCCCACACCTTATCCCCAGAAGCAGCACAATATTGGTGGTTTCTGACTGGAAGAATTTATAAAGAAGCACCAGGGAACCAGCAAGTACCGAAAAATAGAGCATGAGGAGCGTAGGAAAGAGAACCCATAAAGTTGTTAAGAACACCTGGGCACAGCCCTGACCTGCACACAGATGGATATTATCCTAATTAGCATAAGAAGACCTGGAGGAGGAGTAGCCAAGATGGCCGAACAGGAACAGCTCCGGTCTACAGCTCCCAGCGTGAGGGACGCAGAAGATGGGTGATTTCTGCATTTCCATCTGAGGTACCGGGTTCATCTCACTAGGGAGTGCCAGACAGTGGGCGCAGGTCAGTGGGTGCGCGCACTGTGCGCCAGCCGAAGCAGGGCCAGGCATTGCCTCACTTGGGAAGCGCAAGGGGTCACAGAGTTCCCTTTCTGAGTCAAAGAAAGGGGTGACGGATGGCACCTGGAAAATCGGGTCACTCCCACCCGAATACTGCGCTTTTCCGATGGGCTTAAAAAACGGCGCACCACGAGATTATATCCCGCACCTAGCTCGGAGGGTCCTACGCCCACGGAGTCTCGCTGATTGCTAGCACAGCAGTCTGAGATCAAACTGCAAGGTGGCAGCGAGGCTGGGGGAGGGATGCCCGCCATTGCCCAGGCTTGATTAGGTAAACAAAGCAGCCAGGAAGCTCGAACTGGGTGGAGCCCACCACAGCTCAAGGAGGCCTGCCTGCCTCTGTAGGCTCCACCTCTGGGGGCAGGGCACAGACAAACAAAAAGACAGCAGTAACCTCTGCAGACTTAAATGTCCCTGTCTGACAGCTTTGAAGAGAGCAGTGGTTCTCCCAGCATGCAGCTGGAGATCTGAGAACGGGCAGACTGCCTCTTCAAGTGGGTCCCTGACCCCTGACCCCCCAGCAGCCTAACTGGGAGGCACCCCCCAGCAGGGGCACACTGACACCTCACACGGCAAGGTACTCCAACAGACCTGCAGCTGAGGGTCCTCTCTGTTAGCAGGAAAAATAGCAAACAGAAAGGACATCCACACCAAAAACCCATCTGTACATCACCATCATCAAAGACCAAAAGTAGATAAAACCACAAAGGTGGGGAAAAAACAGAACAGAAAAACTGGAAACTCTAAAAAGCAGAGCGCCTCTCCTCCTCCAAAGGAACGCAGTTCCTCACCAGCAACGGAACAAAGCTGGATGGAGAATGACTTGGACGAGCTGAGAGAAGAAGGCTTCAGACGATCAAACTACTCTGAGCTACGGGAGGACATTCAAACCAAAGGCAAAGAAGTTGAAAACTTCGAAAGAAATTTAGAAGAATGTATAACTAGAATAACCAATACAGAGAAGTGCTTAAAGGAGTTGATGGAGCTGAAAACCAAGGCTCGAGAACTACGTGAAGAATGTAGAAGCCTCAGGAGCCGATGCGATCAACTGGAAGAAAGGGTATCAGCAATGGAAGATGAAATGAATGAAATGAAGTGAGAAGGGAAGTTTAGAGAAAAAAGAATAAAAAGAAATGAGCAAAGCCTCCAAGAAATATGGGACTATGTGAAAAGACCAAATCTACGTCTGATTGGTGTACCTGAAAGTGATGGGGAGAATGGAACCAAGTTGGAAAACACTCTGCAGGATATTACCCAGGAGAACTTCCCCAATCTAGCAAGGCAGGCCAACATTCAGATTCAGGAAATACAGAGAACGCCACAAAGATACTCCTCGAGAAGAGCAACTCCAAGACACATAATTGTCAGATTCACCAAAGTTGAAATGAAAGAAAAAATGTTAAGGGCAGCCAGAGAGAAAGGTCGGGTTACCCTCAAAGGGAAGCCCATCAGACTAACAGCGGATCTCTCGGCAGAAACCCTACAAGCCAGAAGAGAGTGGGGGCCAATATTCAACATTCTTAAAGAAAAGAATTTTCAACCCAGAATTTCATATCCAGCCAAACTAAGCTTCATAAGTGAAGGAGAAATAAAATACTTTACAGACAAGTAAATGCTGAGAGATTTTGTCACCACCAGGCCTGCCCTAAAAGAGCTCCTGAAGGAAGCACTAAACATGGAAAGGAACAACCGGTACCAGCCACTGCAAAATCATGCCAAATTGTAAGGACCATCGAGGCTAGGAAGAAAGTGCATCAACTAACGAGCAAAATAACCAGCTAACATCGTAATGACAGGATCGAATTCACACATAACAATATTAACTTTAAATGTAAATGGACTAAATGCTCCAATTAAAAGACACAGACTGGCAAATTGGATAAACAGTCAAGACCCATCAGTGTGCTGTATTCAGGAAATCCATCTCACGTGCAGAGACACACATAGGCTCAAAATAAAAGGATGGAGGAAGATCTACCAAGCAAATGGAAAACAAAAAAAGGCAGGGGTTGCAATCTTAGTCTCTGATAAAACAGACTTTAAACCAACAAAGATCAAAAGAGACAAAGAAGGCCATTACATAATGGTAAAGGGATCAATTCAGCAAGAAGAGCTAACTATCCTAAATATATATGCACCAAATACAGGAGCACCAAGATTCATAAAGCAAGTCCTGAGTGACCTACAAAGAGACTTAGACTCCCACACATTAATAATGGAAGACTTTAACACCCCACTGTCAACATTAGACAGATCAATGAGACAGAAAGTCAACAAGGATACCCAGGAATTGAACTCAGCTCTACACCAAGCGGACCTAATAGACATCTACAGAACTCTCCACCCCAAATCAACAGAATATACATTCTTTTCAGCACCACACCACACCTATTCCAAAATTGACCACATACTGGGAAGTAAAGCTCTCCTCAGCAAATGTAAAAGAACAGAAATTATAACAAACTATCTCTCAGACCACAGTGCAATCAAACTAGAACTCAGGATTAAGAATCTCACTCAAAACCGCTCAACTACATGGAAAACGAACAACCTGCTCCTGAATGACTACTGGGTATATAACGAAATGAAGGCAGAAATAAAGATGTTCTTTGAAACCAACGAGAACAAAGACACAACATACCAGAATCTCTGGGACACATTCAAAGCAGCGTGTAGAGGGAAATTTATAGCACTAAATGCCCACAAGAGAAAGCAGGAAAGATCCAAAATTGACACCCTAACATCACAATTAAAAGAACTAGAAAAGCAAGAGCAAACACATTCAAAAGCTAGCAGAAGGCAAGAAATAACTAAAATCAGAGCAGAACTGAAGGAAATAGAGACACAAAAAACCATTCAAAAAATTAAGGAATCCAGGAGCTGGTTTTCTGAAAGGATCAACAAAATTGATAGACCGCTAGCAAGACTAATGAAGAAAAAAAGAGAGAAGAATCAAATAGACGCAATAAAAAATGATAAAGGGGATATCACCACCAATCCCAAAGAAATACAAACTACCATCAGAGAATACTACAAACACCTCTACGCAAATAAACTAGAAAATCTAGAAGAAATGGATAAATTCCTGGACACATACAGTCTCCCAAGACTAAACCAGGAAGAAGTTGAATCTCTGAATAGACCAATAACAGGAGCTGAAATTGTGGCAATAATCAATAGCTTACCAACCAAAAAGAGTCCAGGACCAGATGGATTCACAGCCGAATTTTACCAGAGGTACAAGGAGCAACTGGTACCATTCCTTCTGAAACTATTCCAATCAATAGAAAAAGAGGGAATCCTCCCTAACTCATTTTATGAGGCCAGCATCATCCTGATACCAAAGCCTGGCAGAGACACAACAAAAAAAGAGAATTTTAGACCAATATCCTTGATGAACATTGATGCAAAAATCCTCAATAAAATACTGGCAAAACGAATCCAGCAGCACATCAAAAAGCTTATCCACCATGATCAAGTGGGCTTCATCCCTGGGATGCAAGGCTGGTTCAATATACACAAATCGATAAATGTAATCCAGCATATAAACAGAGCCAAAGACAAAAACCACATGAGTATCTCAATAGATGCAGAAAAAGCCTTTGACAAAATTCAACAACCCTTCATGCTAAAAACTCTCAATAAATTAGGTACTGATGGGACGTATTTCAAAATAATAAGAGCTATCTATGACAAACCCACAGCCAATATCATAATGAATGGGCAAAAACTGGAAGCATTCCCTTTGAAAACTGGCACAAGACAGGGATGCCCTCTCTCACCGCTCCTATTCAACATAGTGTTGGAAGTTCTGGCCAGGGCAATTAGGCAGGAGAAGGAAATAAAGGGTATTCAATTAGGAAAAGAGGAAGTCAAATTGTCCCTGTTTGCAGACGACATGATTGTATATCTAGAAAACCCCATTGTCTCAGCCCAAAATCTCCTTAAGCTGATAAGCAACTTCAGCAAAGTCTCAGGATACAAAATCAATGTACAAAAACCACAAGTCTTCTTATACACCAACAACAGACAAACAGAGAGCCAAATCATGAGTGAACTCCCATTCACAATTGCTTCAAAGAGAATAAAATACCTAGGAATCCAACTTACAAGGGATGTGAAGGACCTCTACAAGGAGAACTACAAACCACTGCTCAAGGAAATAAAAGAGGATACAAACAAATGGAAGAACATTCCATGCTCATGGGTAGGAAGAATCAATATCGTGAAAATGGCCATACTGCCCAAGGTAATTTACAGATTCAATGCCATCCCCATCAAGCTACCAATGACTTTCTTCACAGAATTGGAAAAAACTACTTTAAAGTTCATATGGAACCAAAAAAGAGCCCGCATCGCCAAGTCAATCCTAAGCCAAAAGAACAAAGCTGGAGGCATCATGCTACCTGACTTCAAACTATACTACAAGGCTACAGTAACCAAAACAGCATGGTACTGGTACCAAAACAGAGATATAGATCAATGGAACAGAACAGAGCCCTCAGAAATAACGCCGCATATCTACAACTGTCTGATCTTTGACAAACCTGACAAAAACAAGCAATGGGGAAAGGATTCCCTATTTAATAAATGGTGCTGGGAAAACTGGCTAGCCATATGTAGAAAGCTGAAACTGGATCCCTTCCTTACACCTTATACAAAAATCAATTCAAGATGGATCAAAGACTTAAACGTTAGACCTAAAACCATAAAAACCCTAGAAGAAAACCTAGGCATTACCATTCAGGACATAGGCATGGGCAAGGACTTCATGTCTAAAACACCAAAAGCAATGGCAACAAAAGACAAAATTGACAAATGGGATCTAATTAAACTAAAGAGCTTCTGCACAGCAAAAGAAACTACCATCAGAGTGAACAGGCAACCTACAAAATGGGAGAAAATTTTCGCAACCTACTCATCTGACAAAGGGCTAATATCCAGAATCTACAATGAACTCAAACAAATTTACAAGAAAAAACAAACAACCCCATCAAAAAGAGGGCGAAGGACATGAACAGACACTTCTCAAAAGAAGACATTTATGCAGCCAAAAAACACATGAAAAAATGCTCATCATCACCGGCCATCAGAGAAATGCAAATCAAAAGCACAATGAGATACCATCTCACACCAGTTAGAATGGCGATCATTAAAAAGTCAGGAAACAACAGGTGCTGGAGAGGATGTGGAGAAATAGGAACACTTTTACACTGTTGGTGGGACTGGAAACTAGTTCAACCATTGTGGAAGTCAGTGTGGCGATTCCTCAGGGATCTAGAACTGGAAATACCATTTGACCCAGCCATCCCATTACTGGGTATATACCCAAAGGACTATAAATCATGCTGCTATAAAGACACATGCACACGTATGTTTATTGCGGCATTATTCACAATAGCAGAGACTTGGAACCAACCCAAATGTGCAACAATGATAGACTGGATTAAGAAAATGTGGCACATATACACCATGGAATACTATGCAGCCATAAAAAATGATGAGTTCATGTCCTTTGTAGGGACATGGATGAAATTGGAAATCATCATTCTCAGTAAACTATCGCAAGAACAAAAAACCAAACACCGCATATTCTCACTCATAGGTGGTAATTGAACAATGAGATCACATGGACACAGGAAGGGGAACATCACACTCTGGGGACTGTTGTGGGGTAGGGGGGGAGGGATAGCATTGGGAGATATACGTAATGCTAGATGACGAGTTAGTGGGTGCAGCGCACCAGCATGGCACATGTATACATATGTAACTAACCTGCACAATGTGCACATGTACCCTAAAACTTAAAGTATAATAAAAAAAAAAAAAAGAATAGGCAAATCCATAGAAACAGAAAATAGATTAGTAGTTACTAGGGCCTGGGGAAGGGGAAGAATAGGGAGAGATTGCCAATGGATAAAGAGGTTTTTTGGAGGATGATTAAAATGTTCTAAAATTGACTGTGGTGGCAGTTGCACGACTCTGATAACATATTAAAAATGATAGTACACTTTAAAAAAAAAAAGAAGAAGAAGACTTTGAGAACTCAGTTAATAAATAGACTTCTGCCCATGTTTCAGACTGGCCATTGAGTGTCACACATGGAAAAGTTTCAAACAGCATCAAAAATTGAACTGACATTGGAATCTCAGCACTTAGAAAGCAAGTTGGACCTTGCAATCTGAACCTAAGGAAGTCAATTGTCTGCTAAAACAAAAAAAAATCAATATCCTCTATAATACTGAAACAATACATAGAGTCTCAAACTAATATCTAAAATGTCCAGAATATAAACCAAAATATTTGGCATATGTATAGCTATGAAAATTTTAACTGCATGGAAAAATACAATCAGCATACAACAGTAACATTAAACAAATACAGATGCTTGAAAGCATCCATTTACAATGCTCAAATGAGTAATCACACTCTTGAAAGAACTATTAAAACAGAAAATAATCAGCCAAAGACAAGAACTTATGAAGAAAAATCAAATAGAAAATTTTAAACTGAAAACTATAAAAACTGAAATAAAGAAACTCACTGGATGGATTCAATAACAGAATGGAGAAGATAAAAGAGTGAATGAACTTGAAGACAGATCAATGAAAATTATCCAATATAAACAACAGAGAAAAAATGTTTTGGAAACAAACAGAGCTTCAAATACCTGTGAAAAACAACACAAAGTATAAATCTGTGTCATTAAAGTCCCAGAAAAAAAGGAGAAAAAATGTGCTGCTAAAAATTTTTGAAGAAATAATGGCCAAAAACTAACCAAGTTTGATGAAAGGTATACACTGTATTAATTTTCTATTGCTGCTGTAGAAAATTACCACAAGTTTAGCAGCTTAAAGCAACACAAATTTATTATCTCACTGTTGTGTAGGTCAGAAGTCACGTACACTGTGGTTCAGCTGTTTTATCTGCTGAGTCTCACAGGCCAAAATGAATGCGTCAGCCATCCTGGTCTCTTATCTAGAGGCTGTGGGTTAGAATCCACTTCCTAGCTCTAGTAAAATAAAGTTTCATGTAGAACTACCGAGGTCACCACTTTCTTGCTGGTTGCCAGCCATGGCTTGTCCTCAGTTGGCTGCATTCCCTGGCTCATGGCTCTTGTCAAAGCCAGCAATGCAAATCTAGTTTATCTCATGCTTCAAATCTCTCTGACTCCTGTCCTTCTGCCTCATCTCAATAACACGTCTTCTGCCATATCTCTACGACTTTTCTCTCTTCCGCTTCTACTTTTAAGGATTCACATAACTATACTGAACTTATCTGGCCTATCTTAAATAAGCTGATTGGTAACCTTAGTTACATATGCCAGATAACTCTATATATATGTGTATATATATATTTTTCACAGGTTCTGGAGATAAGAGTTATGGGCATCTTTGGAGAAAAATTATTCTGCCTTCCACATAAACCTGCATATTTAAGAAGCTGAGCACATCACAAACATAAGAAACCCCCAAAAATCTACACTCCTCAGGTACATCATAATCAAACTGCTAAAAACTAAATACAAAGAATATTGAAAGTAGACAGAGAAATGATACCTCGCATAAACAAGGATAACAATTCATATAGATAATGATCACTCATTAAAAACGAAGGGACAAGAGACAAAAGGTAAGTTTCACCATAATATTCAAATGCTAAAAGCAAAGAATTGTCAACCCAGAATTTTGTGTCCATCAAAATTACTCTTCAGAAATAAAGGGGAAGTCAAGATATTTTTAGATGAAAAAAATATGATAATTCATTACTATCAGGTATGGTCTAAAGACTTATTAAAGTAAGTTATTAAAGCAAAGGGAAATAATACCAGAAAGAAAATTGGAACATAAGGAATGAAGGAGAGTAATAGAAATGGTAAATAACTATTTTCACCATTAAGATACGATTTTTTAGCAGCGAGATACAAGATACAAGTTTTATGAGTAAAATACTACTTTTCTCCTTTTCAGTTCTTTAAAACATGTTTGATAGTTCAAACCAAAATATATAGCATTCTCTGAAGAGATCTGAAGATGTATATAGATGTTATGTAGAAAAGATGCCTACAGTGTAGAGGAGGAAGGGAAAATGTACTTATATGGTGGTTTCTACATTCCAATAAAAGTAGTAAAATATTGATATTAAATAGACTTAAAAGTTAAGTGTGTATTTTGTAATCCCTAGATAAACCACTAAAATTATTATACAAAGACATAGTCAGAATTTTAATAGATAAATTAAAATGGAATACTAAAAATTATATAAATAATTCAAAAGAGGGATGAAAATGAGAAACGGGACTACAAGACAGAAGGAACAGAGAAAACATAAAATGGTAGACATATCAAAAATTATATCAAGTGTAAATGATCTAAACACACCAAATAAAAGGTAGAAATTGCCTGAAAGGATGAAAAAGACATGATTCAATTATATGCTGTCTGAAGCAATTTACTTCAAATGTAATATAAATATATTAAAAGGAAAATAACAAGACGCCATACAAGCACAAAGCAAAATAAAGCTGAAGTGATGTGTTAATATAAAAGTAGACTTCAGAGAAAACAAAATCAGAGGATTAAAAACAGACATTACATATTGACAAATGAGTCAATTAACCAAGAAGACATAAAAATTCTAAGTACATATTCACCTAATTACAAACATTCAAAGAACATGAAGCAAAAACAGAACCAAAAAGAGAAATAGACAAATACAAAATTATAGCTGAAGTATTCGCTCCTTTTTTCAGTGACAGAAGTGGTAGACATAAAACCAGCAATAATAGAAAAGAACTGAATAACATAATCAAACAACTGAATCTAATTAACATTTATACAACAGTCAACCTACAACAACAGAATATACATTTATTCAAAAGGCACATGGGACATTAACCAAATGATATGGTTTGGCTCCACCCAAATCTCATCTTTAATTGTAATTCCCATAATCCCCACATGTCATGGGAGGGACCCAGTAGGAGGTAATGGAATCATGGGGGCAATTACCTCCATGCTGTTCTCATGATAGCGAGTGAGTTCTCATGAGATCTGATGGTTTTATAAGTGGCTTTCCCACTTCGCTTGGCACTTCTCCTTGCTACCACCATGTAAAGAAAGACGTGTTTGCTTCCTCTTCTGCCGTGATGGTAAGTTTCCTGAGGCCTCCCCAGCCCTGCAGAACTGTGAGTCAATTAAACCTCTTTCCTTTATAAATTACCCAGTCTTGGGTATGTCTTTATTAGCAGCATGAGAACGGAATAATGTAGTAAATTGGTACTGCAGAGAGTGGGGCACTGCTGTAAAGATACCCGAAAATGTGGAAGCAACGTTGGAAATGAGTAACAGGCAGAGGTTGGAACTGTTTGGAGGACTCAGAATTAAAAAAGGAAAATGTGGGAAAGTTTGGAACTTCCTAGAGACTTGTTGAATGACTTTGACCTAAATGCTTCATAGTGATATGGACAATGAAGTCCAGGCTGAGGTGGTCTCAGATGGAGATGGGGAACTTGCCTGGAACTAGAGTAAAGGTCACTCTTGCTATTCAAAGAGACTGGTGGCATTTTGCACATGCCCTAGAGATCTGCGGAACTTTAAAATTGAGAGAGATTATTTAGGGAATCTGGCAGAAGTATCTAAGCAGCAAAGCATTCAAGAGAAAGCAGAGCATAAAAGTTTGGAAAATTTGCAGCCTAATGATGTGATAGAAAAGAAAACTCCTTTTTTCCAGGGGGAAAGTCAAGCCAGCAGCAGAAATTTGCATAAGTCACAAGAAGCCAAATGTTAATCACCAAGACAATGAAAAAAAAATGTCTCCAAGGCATGTCAGAGACCCTCAGAGCAGCCCCTCCAATCACAGGCCCAGGGGCCTAGGAGGAAAAAATTATTTCCTGGGCTGGGTCCAGGGTCCCCTTGCTGTGTGCAGCCTTGGGACTTGGTGCCCTGAGTCCCAGCTACTCCGGCTGTAGCTAAAAAGGGCCAACTATAGCTCAGGCCATTGCTTCAGAGGGTGCAATCCCCAAGCCTTGGCAGCTTCCATGTGGTGTTGGGCCTGAGGGTGCACAGAAGTAAAGAATTGAGGTTTGGGGACATATGCCTAGATTTCAGAAGATGTATGGAATGCAGCCCCCTATAGCATCTTCACTGGGGCACTGCCTAGTGGAGCAGTAGGAAGAGGGCCACCATCCTCCAGACCCCAGAATGGTAGATCCACCGACAGCTTGCACCGTGCACCTGGAAATGCCACAGACGTTCAATGCCAGCCTATGAAAGCAGTCAGGAGGGGGACTGTACCCAGCAAAGCCACAGGGGTGGAGCTTCCAAAGTGTGTGGGGCCCACCTCTTGCATCAGCATGACCTGGATGTGAGACATGGAGTCAAAGGACATCATTTTGGGGCTTTAAGCTTTAATTACTGCCCTATTGGATTTCTGACTTGCATGGGGCCTGTAGCTCCTTTGTATAGGGCCAGTTTCTCCCATTTGGAATGGCTGTATTTACCAAATGCCTGTACCCCCATTGCATGTAGGAAGTAACTAACTTGCTTTTGATTTTACAGGCTCATAGGTGAAAGGGACTTGCCTTGTCTTAGATGAGATTTTGGACTTGGACTTTTGAGTTAATTCTGGAATGAATTAAAACTTTAAAGGACTGTTGGGAAGGCATAATTGTGTTTTGAATTATGAAGACATGAGATTTGGGAGGGACTAGCAGTGGAATAATATGGTTTGGCTGTGTCCCCAGCCAAATCTCATCTTGAACTATAGTTCCCATAATCCCCCTGTGTCATGGGAGGGACCTGGTAGGAAGTTATTGAATCATGGGGGCATGATTCACTTCCATAGAGTTCTTGTGATAGTGAGTGAGTTCTCATGAGATCTGATGATTTTACAAGGGGCTTTTCCCGTCCCTCACTCAGCACTTCTCCTTGCTGCTGCCATGTGAAGAAGGACATGTTTGTTTGCCCTTCCGCCATGATTGTAAGTTTCCTGAGGCCTCCCCAGCCCTGTGGAACTGTGAGTCAATCAAACCACTTTCCTTCATAAATTACCCAGTCTTGGGTATTTCTTCACAGCAGTGTAAGAATGGACTAATACACCAAAATAGACCCTGTTCTAGGTCATAAAACAAACGTTAACAAATTTAAAATAACTGGAATCATATAAAGTATACTATTTTACCACAATGCAATTAATCTAGATATCAATAACAAATAGACTAAAATCTCCAATCAATTCAAAATTAATACACTGCTAAATAATACACAGGTCGAGGAGGAAATATCAAGATAAATTTTAAAATATTTGAACTTAATATAAACGAAGCATAACATATCAAAATTTGTGAGATGCAGCTAAAGCAGTTCTTAAAAGAAAATTTATAGCATTAAGTACTTATATTAGAAAAGAAGGAAGATCACAAGCGAATCATCCAAGTTTCCACCTAAGAAAACTAAAAAAGGAAAAAATAAAATAAACCCTAAGCAAGAACAAAGAAAGGAGTAATGAAGATAAAAGCTAAAATCAATGAAATCCAAAAATTGCATAAACAATAGAACAAATTATCTCATAAGCTGCTTCTTTGAAAAGACTGATACAATTTATAAACCCATAGCAAGACTTATAAAGAAAAAAAGAGGGGGGCCACAAATTACCAATATGAGGAATAGAAAATATCACCACAGAATGCGCAGATATTAGGACAGTAAGAAAATATTACAAACAACTCAACATACAAAAATTTAACAACTTTGATCAGAAAGACCATCTCTTAGAAAACTGAAAATGACCAAAACTCACCCATGATAAAATAGATAGCTTGAACAGCACTATAACTATTAAAGAAATGGAATTTGTAGTAAAGAAAACAAAAAGGAAGAAATCTCTAGGTCTAGCTACCCACTTCTGGTGAATTCTAATAAGCATTTAAAGGAGAACTAATACCAGTACAGTACAGTATCTTCCACAAAATATGGTTACAGGAAACACGTCCCAACTCATTTTACAAGGCCTGCATTATCTTGATACCAAAACTAGACAGAGACACACACAAAAAATAAAACTACAGAACAATATCCCTCCTGAACACAGACACAAAAATTTTCAACAAAATATTAGCAGACTGAATCCAGCACTACATAAAAAGTACAATACATCACAACAATGTGGATTTTATCCAAGGAATACAAGCTGGCTCAATATTTGAAAAATTAACCAATGTAATCAAACATATTAGCAGTTTAAAAAAGAAAAATCACATGATAATGTTAACTGGTGCCAAAAAGAACCTATTTAATAAAATATCCATTGATAATAGAAACTCTTAGCAAATAAGAAACAAAGGAGACTCTCCTCAACTTGATAAAGGGCATTTATAAACTCCTACAGCTAATATCATATTAGATAGTGGAAAATTGAATGTTTCCCCCTAAGTTTGGAAACACTGAAAACTACAAAATCCCGCTGATATAAAGAAAGCCTCAATAAATGGAGATACTATAAATACTGAGTCCATGAGAGGATGGCACAATTTTGTTAAGACGTAAGTCCTACTGAAATAAATCTGTAGATTCAATGTAATCACAATGAAAATCCCAGCAAGTTTTTTAAAAATAGAAAGTGACAATCTGATTACACAATGTTATAGAAATTCAAAGGAATTAAGATAGTCAAAGAAATTTTGGAAAAGAACAAAACTAAAGGTTTAAACTATTTGATTATTGCATCTTTATAGTAAGTTTTAAAGAAAATTTAGTATTAAAGATTAAAAAAAGATCAATGTAACAGAATGTAGAGTGCACACATAGTCCCACACATATATAGTATTAATTTTCAACAAAGTGCCAAGTTAATTCATTGAGGAAAAAATTTTCTTTTAAATAAATTATACTGAAAAAATGGATATCTATATTTAAAAAATACTCTTGATCCTTACCTTACACCATATAAAAATTCACTTGAAATGTGTCATGTATCTATTTTTTTAATTTTTTAACTACTTTTTAAAAAAATGTGTGTATAGTAGAGACATACATATATTTATGGTGTATATGAGCCGCTTTGATCCAAGCATGTCATGTGAAATAAGCACATCATGGAGAATGGGTATCCATCCCCTCAAGCATTTATTCTTTGAGTTACAAACAATTTAATTACATTATTTAAGTTATTTAAAAATATACAATTATTATTGACTATATTCACCCTATTGTGCTATCAAATAGTAGGTCTTATTCATTCTTTCTACTGTTTTTGTACCCATTAGCCATCCCATCTCCCCCTCAATGCCTACCCAAACTCCGTTAATTATCTTTGTACTCTCTGTGTTCATGAGTTCAATTGATTTAAGTTTTAGATCCTACAAATAAGTGAGAACATGCAGTGTTTTGCCTTTCTGTGCCTGGCTTATTTCACTTAACATGACGAACTCCAGTTCCATCCATGTTGTTGCAAATGACTGGATCTAATTCTTTTTATGGCTGAATATTAACCCATTGTGTATATGCACCACATTTTCTTTATCCATTAATCTGTTGATGGACACTTAGGTTACTTACAAATCTTGGGTATTGTAAACAGTGATGCAACAAATATGGGAGTGCAGCTCTCTCTTCAAAATAGTGATTTCCTTTCTTTGGGGTATATACCCAGCAGTAGGATTGCTGGATTTATAGTAGCTCAATTTTTAGTTTCTTGAAGGGGCTCCAAACTGTTCTCCATAGTGGTTATACTGACTTTCATTCCCACT
Source organism: Homo sapiens (assembly GCF_000001405.40). NCBI lineage: Eukaryota > Metazoa > Chordata > Mammalia > Primates > Hominidae > Homo > Homo sapiens. The sequence continues at coordinate 100,148,883 of NC_000023.11, forward strand.
AACAGTGTACAAGGGTTCCTTTTTCTCCACATCCTCGCCAGCATTTGTCATTGCCTGTCTTTTGGATATAAGCCAAACTTATATCCCCACAACTTATATCCCCACAGGGAGGGGAAAATCACACACTGGGACCTGTCAGGGGGTAAGGGGCAAGGGAAGGGAGAATATTAGGACAAATACCTAATGCATGTGCAGCTTAAAACCTAGATGACAGGTTGAAAGGTGCAGCAAACCACCATGGCACATGTATACCTACGTAACAAACCTGTGCTTTCTTCACATGTACCCCAGGCACTTAAAGTAACATAAAAAAATTTTTTTTAACTCAAAATTGACTATTTCCAGAAAACTATAAAATACCTCAACTAAAAAGAATGCATAATGAAATTCTAATCTAATACAGGTCAAAAATGTAAAAAGTTTATGACCCTTAACAGGAAAAATAAAACAACTTTTGCTGGCCATTCCTGTTGAAATGAGAACCATAAAGTAACAGAAAAGTGGCTACAAACCCACCAAGAACACCAAACAGGGAGAAAATAAAAGTTCATTTTCATCTCTGTTATTATTATAAAATCCTGTGTGACTATAGGCCAAACTTCTGGTGGCAGAAACAGAGTTCTTTATAAACTGCAGATGTCCTGTTCATAAAAAAAAAATTCACGGGAGTTGCACTAGTTCTAAAGACTCGTCTGTTTTAGCTTACCTACTGTATGTATTCAGTCTAAGATAGATAAAGCCTCTTTCTGTAACCTTTGATTATTATTAGGCATCAAAGGTAAGAAAAGCAAGACGGGGTACAAAAATGCAAAATTTCCACAGTAATGACAATCTTTTTGTCTTAGTCCAAAAGGGTCCTGCAATCTCTCCCCTTTCAGTGATTTGACAAGTCTTTGTACTTAATCTTGGGTCAGCAAATCATGCAAGTGAAATCTGTCTCTGATATGTGAATGAATATCTTCATTCAGTTCTACAAGCTTCTCCGGGAATGAAATCAATTTTAGGAGTTCATTGTCATTTTTATCCATAAACCCACTTTCTATAGGGGTTCCATTAGAAAGGTGATATGCAAAGGTTTGTGGTGAGTTGTCAATTATTACAGTTTTTGAAAGATCTCTTGCAAGAATATTCAAGTTCTTTATATGATTTCCTTGTACACAAACACAATGTTCATGGAAAAAACGGTGCCTGACCAGTTGCTTTTTAGGGTCTACTATGTTCAGTAATGTGCCCGCATACACCTTCTTAGAAGCAGTAAAAAGAATAATCTCATACATCTAAGAAATTCATTCCAGGAATTCCCTGACAAAATGGTCTTAATATCACCTAAACCTGATAAATGACATCTTGGAAAAGGACTGGAAAAGTAAGTGCTGCCTCTTCTACCTCATTTAGACTACAGTGCACTACTGTTTCATCCAAGTGTAAATCTAGGGAGAATTTCGGTGTGCTTCTTGTTTTCAACGGAAGAACAGATTTCCTATTTAGTTGTTCTTCTGTCAGTGGTGGGACATGTTTGATGAAATAATAGGGGTCAAATACTTCCAAGCCTTCTTCATAGGTGGCCTCTGCGTGGGATGATGAATAACCACTATCTGGAATGACTGGTCCTGTAAGGGGTGGGATATCACAATTAACTGTTTCTTCTGCTTCTTCTAAACCATTGTGGTTTGTTGTTGTTGTTGCTGTTGTTGTTGTTTTGTATTTTTAAATTATACTTTAAGTTCTGGAATACATGTGCAGAATGTGCAGGTTTGTTACATAGGTATACATGTGCCATGGTGGTTTGCTGCACCCATCAACCTGCCATCTGCACTGGGTATTCCTCCTAATGCTAGCCCTCCCCTAGCCCCCCATCCCGTGACAGGCCCTGGTGTGTGATGTTTCCCTCCCTGTGTCCTTGTGTTCTCATTGTTCAACTTCCACTTATGAGTGAGAACATGTGGTGTTTGCTAAACCAGTATTTATTGATGGTCTCACCCGAACTGCTTGATTTGAGTAAGCTGCTCCATTAGTTGATGTAGTAGAACGGGTAGTGATCTCATCCACCCGTTCCATATTAAGTTGTTTTACTATTTCTTCAGCTCCAACAGAGTAGTCCTTGGAGGACTGCCAGAGGAAGGATTATTTTCTAATTTTCCATTTTATTTTACATGTTGATTTGTCATTTCATAACTACCAGTTTCTCAATTTACTTGACTTTTCTGTCTTACTCAAGATATCTATTTGTTAGGTTTCTCTCCTGCTCTTGGTGTTGACGTGATCAAATTATTATCTATATCACGTTCAATTATACTCCATTTTGAAGGATTTTCTCTCTCTTCCTTAGGTGTGCTTCCTTTAATGAATTTTTTAATTGAAGACCAGCCAGTTTCATTCTTTGGTGGTTTTTCTCCTCCTGAAGGCAGGCTATCATCAACCTATGAATATTTCCTCTTTGCTCTGGCAGTGAGTTGTGTTTACTGCTGAGAAGCTTTCCATGTTCTCAGCCTCATCTTTTATGGGTGCCACATATAAAACTGACTGTGATGACAGAGAAGTGTCCTCAGGCTCCTGTAACGGTCTCGACTGGACAATACATGGTGTCTTTCCCACTTGCTCTGCAGCAGCAACAGAACCAGCTCCTCCAGCCAGTTGCCATTTCCTGCCTACCTGAAAATGATCTTATTTCTCCTTTGCTTATGAAGCTTAGTTTGGGTGGATATGAAATTCTGGGCTGGAAATTCTTTTCTTTAAGAATGTTGAATATTGGCCCCCAATCTCTTCTGGCCTGCAAGATTTCTGCTGAGAGGTCTGCTGTTAGTCTGATGGGCTTCCCTTTGTAGGTGACATAGCCTTTCTCTCTGGCTGCCCTTAACATTTTTCTTTCATTTTGACCTTGGAGAATCTGATGGCTATGCCTTTTGGGAATAATATTCTTATGGGGTATCTTACTGGGGTTCTCTTCATTTTCTGAGTTTTGACGTTGGCCTGTCTAGGTTGGGGAAGTTCTCCTGGATGATATTTTAAAATGTGTTTTCCAATGGTTCGACTCTCCTTGTTTTTTTCAGGTGCCCCAGTGAGTCACAGATTTGGTCTCTTTACATAATTCCATATTTCTTGGATTTTTTTTCATTCCTTTTATTCTTTTTTTCTCTATTCTTGTCTGTCTTATTTTAGAAAGACAGCTTTCAAGCTCTTGAGATTCTTTCCTCCGCTTGGTCTATTCTGTTATTAATACTTGTGATTGCATTGTGAAGTTCTTGTAATGTGCTTTTCAGCTCTATCAGGCCAGTTACATTCCTCTCTATACTGGCAATTTGGGCTGTCAGCTCCTGCATTGTTTTATCATGATTCTTAGGTTCTTTGCATTGGGTTAAAACGTGCTCCTTTAGCTCAGTGAACATCATTTTTATCCACATTCTGAAGACTAATTATGTGACTTCAGTCATCTCAGCCTCAGCCCATTTCTGAACCCTTGCTAGAGAGGTGTTGTGGTCATTTGGAGCAGAGGGCACTCTGGCTTTTTGAGTTTTCAGCATTTCTGTGCTGACTCTTTCTCATCTTTGTAGGTTTATCTACCTTAGATCTTTGAGATTGCTGACCTTTGGATGGGGTTTTTGTATTTTTTATTGTTGTTATTGTTGTTGTTTGTTTGTTTTTCTTTTAACAGTTAAGCCATACTTCCGTAGAGCTGCTGCAGTTTGCTGGGGGTCCATTCCAGACCCTAGTCACCTCGGTTTTTCCAGTACCTGAAGGTATCACCAGTGAAGGCTGCAGAACAGCAAGGATTACAGCCAGTCCCTTTTTCTGGAAGCTCTGTCCCACGGGGGTACTTACTTGTTTCCGGCCTGAACATGCCTGTAGGAGGTAGCTGAAGACTCCAGTTGGGAGGTCTCACCCAGTTCAGGAGGAATGAGATCAGGGACCCACTTAAAGGAGCAATCTGGCTGCATATTGGTAGAGCAGCTGTGCCGTGTTGAGGATCCCTTCAGCTCCCTATCAGTTTGGACTCTCCAAGGGCCTCATGCTGGACTGGCTGAGAAGCCCATCAGCAAAGGTGGCAGGCTGCCCCACCCCCAGGCACCCTGTCCCAGGGAAAAATTAGAACTCTGTCAGCCACAGAACACAGGTGGGGGTGGACAGAGGCCCAGACTGGGAGGACCCACCCCACGAGGAGTGGATTGGGGTCCCATTTGAAGAAACAGTCTGGCCACACCTCGTCAAAACATCCATGCCATGCTGGGAAGCCACATCTGCCCCATCCGCATGGACTCTCAAAACCCCACAAGATTGAACAGTTGAGTCATCTAAACAACCAAGATGGCAGCCTGCCACTCCCTCTGGGCACTCCTTCCCACGGAGAAATCAGAGCTCTGTTCATAGAATATGGGTGGGCAGCGGTGGCCGGAAGCCCCAGCTGGGAGGTCCTGCCCAATGAGGAGGAATGGATTGAGGTCCCACCTAAAGAAGCAGTCTGGCCATGCCTCAACAAAACAGCCATGCCATGCTAGGGAACCACCTCTTCCCTGGTCAGCTTGGACTCTTCAAAGCCTACAGGCTGGGACTGCTGAGTCACCCAAACAACCAAGGTGGTGGCTCACCCCTCCCTCTGGAAACTCCATTCCAGGGAGAGATCAGAGCTCGTCCATAGAATATGGGTGGGTGGAGATGGCTGGAGGCCCCAGCTGGGAGGTCCAAGTTAGTGAGGAGGAATGGATCATGGTCCCACTTAAAGAAGCAGTCTGGCCACATTCTGGAAAAGCAGGTGTTCTGCACTGGGAGCAGGGAACCTTCCTTGTCCAAACCATTTGGACTGTCCAAACCATTTGGACTGTCCAAAGCCCACAGGCAGGAACAGTTGAGTTGACCAAACAGCAAAGATGGTGGCCTGCCCATCCCCACAGGGGCTTCATCTTGTCTCAGGCAGACTCCACCCTGTTGCTGGTGAATGGATATAATTCCAAGCCAGTGGGTCTTATCTTGTGAAGTGCCATGGAAGTGGGGCCCATAGACCAATGCTGCTCAGCCTCTGGATTCAGCCTTCTTCCTAGGGGTATGTATGAACCTCTCACCTTCCTGGGGATCCTGGGTCTGCAGTATGTAATGCTCCTGGGTCTCTGTGCATGTCTGAGCAGATGCTCTGCTGAGACTCCACACAGCTCTTTGTGTTGAACCCAAGGCTCTGGTTGTGTGGGCTCACAAGGGGATCTCCTGGTCCAAGGGTTGCAAAGATCTGTAGGAGAAGCTTGGTTTCCCAGGGTCATACATTCACTCACTGCTTCCCTTGGCTCCATGTCACTTCCAGGTGGGCCATCACCACACCCTGCTTTTCTTTATTCTCCTTGGGTAAAGTTGTTTTCCTGATCAGTCCCAATGGGAATAACTGGATATTTCAGTTGAAGGTGCTATATTCACTCTCCCTTTTAGTTCTCCGTGAATGCCATGCACCGCAGATGCTTCTACTTGGCCATCTTAACCAACCAGCGCTAGTAATTTTTGTGTGTTGATTTTGTATCCTGCAACTTTACTGAATTTGCTTATTAGTTCTGAGTTTTCTTGTGGAGTCTTTAGGTTTTTCCAAGTATAAAATCATATGATCTACAAACAAGAATAATTTGACTTCTTTCTTTCCAATGTGAATGCCCTTTATATCTTTCTCTTGTCTGATTGCTCTATCTAGGGCTTCTAGTACTATGTTGAAGAACAGTGGTGACAGCGGGCATCCTTGTCCTGTTCTCAATCTTAGAGGAAAGTTTTTCAGTTTTTCCCTATTCAGTATGCTACTAGCTGTGGGTCTGTCATATATGGCTTTTATTATGTTGAGGTATGTTCCTTCTATCCCCAGGTTTTTAGTGTTTTTGTCATTAAGAGATGTTGAATTTTATCAATGCTTTTCCAGCATCAATTGAAATGATCATACGGTTTCTATCCTTCATTCTGTTAATATGATGTATTACATTGATTGGAGTATGTTGAACCAAACTTGCAACCCTAGGATAAACCCAACTTGGTCATGAGGAATGATCTTTCATTGTTGAATTGGTATTGTGGAATTTGGTTCACTAGTATTTTGTTAAGGATTTTTGCATGAATTTTCATTAGGGATATTGGCCTATAGTTTTCTTTTTATCATGTGTCTGTGTCTGGTTTTGGTATAAGGGTAATACTGACCTCATAGAGGGAGTTTGGAAGTGTCCCCCTCCTTTTCTATTTTTGGCATAGTTTGAGTAGGATTGATATTAGTTTTTTAAATGTTTGGTAGAATACAGCAGCTAAGCCATTAGGTCCCAGGATTTCCTTGGATGGAAGACTTTATTATGGCTTCAAACTCATTACTCGTTACTGGCCTGTTCAGGTCTTGGAGTTCTTCCTGTTTCAATCTCAGTAGGTTGTGTGTATCCAGCAATTTGTCAATTTCCTCCAGATTTTCCCATTTATTGGCATATACAGTTCCTCATAGTAGCCAGTAATGATCCTTAGAATTTCTGCAGTATCAGTTTAATATCACCTTTTTCATTTCTGAATTTATTTATTTGGATCTTCTCTTTTTATTCCTTAGTATGGTTAAAGGTCTATCAGTTTTATTTTTCAAGAAAGCAACTTTTTGTTTTATTAATCTTTTGTATTGTTTTCTTCGTTTCAGTTTTATTTATTTCTGCTCTGATCTTTTTTTTTATTGTTATTATACTTTAAGTTCTGGAATACATGCACAGAATGTGCTGGTTTGTTACATAGGTATACATGTGCCATGGCGGTTTGCTGCATCCATCAATCCGTCATCTAGGTTTTAAGCCCCGCATGCATTAGATATTTCTCCTAATGCTCTCCTTCCCCTTGCCCCCCACCCCCCGACAGGCCCTGGTGTGTGATGTTCCCTTCCCTGTGTCCATGTGTTCTAATTGTTTAGCTCCCACTTACGAGTGAGAACATGAGGTGTTTGGGTTTTTTTTTAAGAAACTGATGTTTATTTTCCATCAACCATTTTTCCATGTTGCTTAAGAGCCCATGCAAGAACAGCTTAAGACCATTCAGTGGTTGCTCCTACCCGTTCAGTGGCCTGAGCAGTGGGAGCTGCAGACCAGTCTTCCGTGGCAGGCTGAGCGCTCCAGTCTTCAACAGGGAACTGCTGAATAGGCACAGAGGGCACCCGCACACCTTCAGACCAGTCTGCAACCTCAAGCTGAGTAGCAGTGAACTCAGGAGCTGGAGCAGTCCATTCACCCTGAAATTCCTCCTTGGTCATTACCTTTTCAGCAGCAGCCTGCTCTTCTTTTTCAATCTCTTCAGGATCCCTGTAGAAGTAGAGATCAGGCATGACCTCCCATGGGTGTTCATGGGAAATGGTGCCACGCATGCGCAGAACTTCCCGAGCCAGCATCCACCACATCAAACCCACTGAGTGAGCTCCCTTGTTGTTGCATGGGATGGCAATGTCCACATAGCACAGAGGAGAATCTGTGTTACACAGAGCAATGGTAGGTAGGTTAACAGAAGATGCCTCCATGAGAGGCTGGTGGTCAGCCCTGGGGTCAGTAACCACAAGAAGCCGTGGGTCCCAGAAGGCTGCCTGGATCTGGTTAGCGACGGACAGTTCCAGGAGTGAAGCAGCCAGCAATTGGAGTGGCTCCAGTGGCAGCAGCAAACTTCAGCACGGCCCTCTGGCCAGTATTCCTGGAAGATATAACACTGACATCAGCAGGGTTTTCAATGGCAACAATGGCACGAGCTGCCAGCAGAAGCTTCTCCCAGGTCCGCTTCAGATTTATGATGTAGATGCCATCACTTTTCCTTTTATAGATGTACTGTTCCATCTGGAAGTCAAGATTGGTGCCACCTAAATAGGTTCCTGCTGCAAGGAACTTAAGGACATCCTCCTCCTTCATTTGCAGGATATCAAGCGCTCCGGACATTGCGAAAGTTTCCCTTTAAGTTACGATGGGAATCCAGAACAACGCCATATGGACCCCTCTGTAGGTAGCGCAGAAAGCGGTGTTTGGTTTTCTGTTCCTGTGTTAGTTTGTTGAGAATGAGGGTTTCCAGCTTCATCCATGTCCCTGTAAAGGACATGAACTCATTCTTTTTTATGGCTGCATAGGATTCCATGGTATATATATGCCACATTTTCTTTATCCAGTCTATCATTGATGGGCATTTGGGTTGGTTCCAAGTCTTTGCTATTGTGAATAGTGCTGCAATAAGCATATGTGTGCATGTGTCTTTATAGAAGAAAGTTTTATAATTCTTTGGGTATATACCCAGTAATGGGATTGCTGGGTCAAATGATATTTCTGGTTCTAGATCCTTGAGGAATCACCACACTGTCTTCCACAATAGTTGAACTAATTTACACTCCCACCAACAGTGTAAAAGCATTTCTATTTCTCCACATCCTCTCCAGCATCTGCTGTTTCCTGACTTTTTAATGATCGCCATTCTAACTGGCATGAGATGGTATCTCATTGTGGTTTTGATTTGCATTTCTTTAATGACCAGTGATGATGAGCTTTTTTTATATGTTTGCTGGCTGCATAAATGTCTTATTTTGAGAAGTGTCTGTTCATGTCCTTCACCCACATTTTGATGGTCTTTTTTCTAGTATATTCGTTTAAGTTCCTTGTAGATTCTGGATATTAGACCTTTGTCAGACGGGTAGATTGCAAAATTTTTCTCCCATTCTGTAGGTTGCCTGTTCACTCTGATGATACTTTCTTTTGCTGTGCAGAAGCTCTTTAGTTTAATTAGATCCCTGTTGTCAATTTTCCTTTTGTTGCAGTTGCTTTTGGTGTTTTAGTCATGAAGTATTTGACCATGCCTATGTACTGAATGGTATTGCATAGGTTTTCTTCCAGGGTGTTTGTGATTTTAGGTTATACATTTAAGTCTTTAATCCACCTTGACTTAATTTTTGTATAAGGTGTAAGGAAGGGGTCCAGTTTCTGTTTTCTGCATGTGGCTAGCCAGTTTTCCCAGCACCATTTATTAAATAGAAATTCCTTTCCCAATTGCTTGTTTTTGTCAGATTTCTTGAAGATCAGATGGTTGTAGATGTGTGGCATTATTTCTGAGGCCTCTGTTATGTACCATTGGTATATATATCTGTTTCAATACCAGTACCATGCTGTTTTGGTTACTGTAGCCTTGTAGTATAGTTTGAAGTCAGGTAGCATGAGGCCTCCAGCTTTGTTCTTTTTGCTTAGGATTGTCTTGGCTGTACAGGTTCTTTTTTGCTTCCATTTGAAATTTAGAGTAGCTTTTTCTAGTTCTGTTGAGAAACTCAATGGTAGCTTGATGGGAATAGCACTGAATCTATAAATTACTTTGGGCAGTATGGCCATTTTCACAATATTGATTCTTCCTATCCATGAGCATGGAATGTTTTTCCATTTGTTTGTGTCCTCCTTTATTTCCTTGAACAGTGATTTGTAGTTCTCCTTGAAGAGGTTCTTCACCTCCCTTTTAAGTTGTATTCCTAGGTATTTTATTCTCTTTGTAGTAATTGTGAATGGGAGTTCACTCATGATTTGGCTCTCTATTATTGGTGTATAGGAATGCTTGTGATTTTTGCACATTGATTTTGTATCCTGAAGTTGCTTATTAGCTGAAGTTGCTTATCAGCTTAAGGAGATTTTGGGCTGAGACAATGGGGTTTTCTAAATATACAATCATGTCATCTGCAAACAGAGACAATTTGACTTCCTCTCTTCCTATTTGAATATGCTTTATTTCTTTCTCTTGCCTTATTGCCCTGGCCAGAACTTCCAATACTGTGTTGAATAGGAGTGGTGAGAGAGAGGACATCCTTGTCTTGTGCTGGTTTTCAAAGGGAATGCTTTCAGCTTTTGCCCATTCAGCATGATATTGGCTATGGGTTTGTCATAAATAGCTTTTACTATTTTGAGATATGTTCCATCAATACCTAGTTTATTGAGAGTTTTTAGCATGAAGCCATGTTGAATTTTATCAAAGGCTTTTTCTGCATCTATTGAGATAATCAGGTGGTTTTGATCATTGGTTCTGTTTATGTTGTGGTTTATGTTTATTGATTTCTATATGTTGAACTAGCTTTGCATCCCAGGGATTATGCTGACTTGATCATGGTGGATAAGCTTTTTGATGTGCTGCTGGATTCAGTTTGCCAGTATTTTATTGAGGTTTTCCACGTTGATGTTCATCAGGCATATTGTTCTGAAATTTTGTTGTTGTTGTTGTTGTGTCTCTACCAGGTTTTGGTATCAGGATGATGCTGGACTCATAAAATGAGTTAGGAAGAAGTCCCTCTTTTTCTATTGTTTTGAATAGTTTCAGAAGGAATGTACCTCTGGTAGAATTCATCTGTGAATCTGTCTGGTCCTGGACTTTTTTCGGTTGGTAGGCTATTAATTACTGCCTGAATTTCAGAACTTGTTTTTGGTCTATTCAGGGATTCAATTTCTTCCTGATTCAGTCTTGAAAGGGTGTATGTGTCCAGGAATTGATCCATTTCTTCTAGATTTTCTAGTTTATTTGTATAGAGTTGTTTATAGTATTCTCTGATGGTAGTTTGTATTTCTGTGTGATCAGTGGTGATATCTTATCATTTTTTATTGTGTCTACTTGATTCTTCTCTCTTTTCTTCTTTATTAGTCTGGCTAGTGGTCTATCTATTTTGTTAATCTTTTCAAAAAACCAGCTCCTGGATTTGTGAATTTTTTGAAGGGATTTTCTTGTCTCTATCACCCTTAGCTCTGCCCTGATCTTAGTTATTTCTTGTCTTCTGCTAGCTTTTGAATTTGTTTGCTCTTGCTTCTCTAGATCTTTTAACTGGGATGTCAGGGTGTCAACTTTAGATCTTTCCTGCTTCTTGATGTGGGCATTTAGTGCTATAAATTTCCCTCTTAACACTCCTTTAGCTGTTTCCCACACATTCTGGTACATTGTCTCTTTGTTCTCATTGGTTCCAAAGAACTTGTTTACTTCGGCCTTATTTTCATTATTTACCCAGTAGTCATTAAGGAGTACGTTGTTCAGTTTCTATATAGTTGTGCAGTTTTGAGTGAGCTTCTTAATCCTGAGTTCTAATTTGATTGCACTGTGTTCTGAGAGACTGTTTGTTATGATTTCCATTGTTTTGCATTTGCTGAGGAGTGTTTTACTTCCAACTACGTGGTTGATTTTAGAATAAGTACTATGTGGCACTGAAAAGAATGTGCATTCCCTTGATTTGGGTTAGAGAGTTCTGTAGATGTCTATTAGGGCTGCTTGTTCCAGAGCTGAGTTCAATTCTTGAATATCCTTGTTAATTTTCTGTCTTATTGATCTGTCTAATACTGACAGTGGGGTGTTAAAGTCTCCCACTATTATTATGTATGAGTTTAAGTCTCTTTGTAGGTCTCTGAGAACTTGCTTTTTGAACCTGGGTGCTCCTGAATTGGGCACATATATATTTAGGATAGTTACTTCTTTTTGTTGCATTGATTCCTCTACCATTATGTAATTCCTTGCTTTGTCTTTTCTGATTTTTGTTGGTTTAAAGTCTATTTTATCAGAGACTAGAATTGCAACCCCTGCCCTTTTCTGCTTTCCCATTGCTTGGAAAATAGTCCTCCATTCCTTTATTTTGAGCCTATGTGTGTCTTTGCATGTGAAATGGGTCTCCTGAACACAGCAAACTGATGGGTCTTGACTCTTTATCCAATTTGCCAGTCTGTATCTTCTAATTGGGGCATTTAGCCCATTTACATTTAAGGTTAATATTGTTATGTGTGAATTTGATTCTGTCCTCATGATGCTAGCTGGTTATTTTGCACATTAGTTGATGTAGTTTCTTCATAGTGTGATAGGTCTTTATATTTTGGTGTGTTTTTGCAGTGGCTGATATCGGGTTTTCCTTTCCATGTTTCGTGCTTCCTTCAGGAGCTCTTGTAAGGCAGTCCTGGTGGTGACAAACTCCATCAACATTTGCTAGTCTGGAAAGGATTTTATTTCTTCTTTGCTTATGAAGCTTAGTTTGGCTGGATATGAAATTGTGGGTTGAAAATTCTTTTCTTTAAGCATATTGAATATTGGCTTCCACACTCTTTTGGCATTTAGGGTTTCTTCAGAGAGATCCCCTGTTAGTCTGATAAGCTTCCCTTTGTAGGTAACCTGACCTTTCTGTCTGGCTGCCCTTAACATTTTTTCCTGTGTTTCAACCTTGGAGAATCTGACAATTATGTGTCTTGGGGTTGCTCTTCTCGAAGAGTATCTTAGTGGTGTTCTCTGTATTTCCTGAATTTGAATGTTGGCCTGTCTTGCTAGGTTGGGGAAGTTCTCCTGGATAATATCCTGAAGTGTGTTTTCCAACTTGGTTCCATTCTCCTTGTCACTTTCAGGTACATCATCAATCATAGGTTTGGTCTTTTCACATAGTACCATATTTCTTGGAGGCTTACTTCATTCCTTTTCATTCTTTTTTTCCCTAATCTTGTTTTCATGCTTTATTTCAGTAAGTTGATCTTCAACCTCTGATATTCTTTCTTCCACTTGATCGATTTGGCTATTGATACTTGTGTATGCTTCACGAAGTTCTCATGCTGTGTTTTTTCAGTTCCATCAGGTCATTTATGTTCTTCTCTAAACTGGTTATTTTAGTTATCAGTTCCTGTAACCTTTTATCAAGGTTCTTAGCTTCCTTGCATTGGGTTAGAGCATGCTCCTTTAGCTCAGAAGAGTTTGTTATTACCCACCTTCTGAAGCCGACTTCTGTCAATTTGTCAAACTCATTCTGCGTCCAGTTTTGTGCCCTTGTTGGAGAGAAGTTGCAGTCATTTGGAGGACAAGAGGCATTCTGGGTTTTTTTTTTTTTAATTTTCAGCATTTTTTGCACTGGTTTTTCCTCATCTTCGTGGATTTACCTACCTTTGATCTTTGATACTGATGGCCTTTGGATGGGGTTTGTGAGAGGGCATCCTTTTTGTTGCTGTTGATGTCATTGCTTTGTTTGTTAGTTTTCCTTCTAACAGTCAGGCCCCTCTTCTGCACGTCTGCTGGATTTTGCTGGAAGTCCACTCCAGACCCTGTTTGTCTGGGTATCACCAGCAGAGGCTATAGAACAGCAAAGATTGCTGCCTGCTCCTTCCTCTGGAAGCGTCATCCCAGAGGGGTACCTGTCTGATGGCAGATGGAGCTCTCCTGTGTGAGGTGTCTGTTGACCTCTCCTGGGAGGTGTCTCCCAGTCAGGAGGCACAGGGGTCAGGGACCCACTTAAGGAGGCAGTCTGTCCCTTAGCAGAGCTTGAGCACTGGGCTGGGAGATCTGATGGTCTTCAGAACCAGCAGGTAAGAATGTTTTAAGTCTGCTGAAGCTGCACCCACAGCCTCCCCTTCCCCCAGGTGCTCTGTCCCAGGGAAATGGGAATTTTCTCTATAGGTCCTTGACTGGGGCTGCTGCCTTTCTTTCAGAGATATTATTCCCAGTGAGGAGGAATCTAGAGAGGCAGTCTGGCCACAGCCTCTTTGCCATGCTGTGGTACGTTCAGCTTCCTTAACACTGTGAGGGGAAAACCACCTACTCAAGCCTCAGTAATGGCAGAACCCCCTCCCCCTACCAAACTTGATCATCCCAGGCTGACTTCAGACTGCCGTACTGGCAGAGAGAATTTAAAGCCAGTGGTTCTTAGCTAGCTGGGCTCCATGGGAGTGGAACCCACTGAGTTAGACCACTTGGCTCCCTGGCTTCAGCCCCCTTTCCAGGGGAGTAAACGGTTCTGTCTCACTGGGGTTCCAGGTGCCACTGGGGTATGAAAAAGAAACTCCTCCAGCTATCTCAGTGTCTGCCTGAACAGCTACCTCGTTTTGTGCTTGAAACCCAGAGCCCTGGTGGTGTAGGCACACAAGGGAGTCTCCTGGTCTGTGGGTTGCAAAAACCATGGGAAAAGCATAGTACCTGGGCCAGACAGCACAGTCCATCATGGCTCCCCTTGGCTAGGGGAGGGAGTTCCCTGGCCCTTTGCACTTCTAGGGTGAGGTGATGCCCCACCCCGCTTCTGCTTGCCCTCCGTGGGCTGCACCCACTGTCTAACCAGTCTGAATGAGATGAGCTGGGTACCTCATTTGGAAATGCAGAAATTACCCACCTTCTGCATTAGTCTCACTGGGAGCTGCAGATCGGAGCTGTTCCTATTTGGCCATCTTGCTAGACTCCCCTGCTCTGATCTTTATTATTTCTTTTCTACTAATTTTGTGTTTGGTTTGCTCTTGCTTTTCTAGTTCTTTAACGTGCATCATTTTTGTTCATTTGAAGTTTTTTCTCATTTTTGATGTAGGCATTTATAGCTATAACCTTCCTTCTTCCTACTGCTTTTGCTGTATCCCACAGGTTTTGGTATGTTGTGTTTCCATTATCATTTGTTTCAAAAAATTTTTCTGTTTTTCTTAATTTCTTCATTGACCCACTGATCATTCAGGAGCATATTGTTTAATTTCCATGTATTTTCACAGTTTCCAAAATTCTTCTTGTTATTAATTTCTGGTTTTATTCTATTGTGGTCAGAGGACATGTTTGATATTATTTCAATTTTTTGAATGTTTCAGAACTTGTTTTGTGACATAGCGTATGGTCTATCCTTGAGAATAATCCATGTGTTGAGGAAAAGAATGTATATTCTGTAGCTCTTGGATGAAATGTTCTGTAAATATCTATTAGATCCACGTGGTAAATAGTGCAGATTAAGTCTGATGTTTCTTTGTTGATTTTCTCTCTAGATGTTCTGCCCAATGTTGAAAGTAGGGTGTTGAAGTCTCCAGTTATTATTGTCTTGGGGCCTATCTCTTTCTTTAGCTCTGATAGTATTTCCTTAATACACCTTTGTGCTCCAGTGTTTGGTGCATATATATTTAAAATTGTTATATCATCTTGCTGAATTGACCCCTTTATCATTATATAGTGACCTTGTTTGTTTCTTCTTATAGTTTTTGTCTTGAAACCTATTTTGTCTGATACAAGTATAGTGACTGCTCTTTTTTGGTTTGCATGGGCATGGAATATCTTTGTACATCCCTATATTTTCAATCTATATGTTTCTTCATAGGTAAAGTGTGTTTCTTGTAGGTAATAGATCAATGGGTCTTGGTTTTTCATCTAGTCAGCCAGTCTATGTCTTTTGACTGAAGTGTTTAGTCCATTTACATTCAACATTATCACTGATAAGTAAGGACTTACTACTGCCATTTTGCTATTTTTGTTGTTGTTTTGTGGTCTTCTCTTTCTTCTTTCTTTCATTTTTGTCTTGCTCTAGTAAAGATAATTTTCTCTGGTGATATGATTTAAGTTATTGCTTTTCATTTTTGTGTATGCATTGTATGTTTTTTGCTTTGAGGTTATCATGAGGCTTGCAAATACTATATTATGACCCAGTATTTTAACCTGATAGCAACATAACAATCTTTGTATGAACAAACAAGCAAAAAGAAAACTAATAAAAGTCTACACCTTAAATCTGTCCCTCCACTTTTTAACTTTTTGTTGTTTTTATTTATATTTTATTGTACTACCTATGTCTTGAAAACTTGTTGTAGCTATTATTTTTGATTGGTTCATCATTTAGCCTTTGTACTTATGATAACAGTAGTTTATACACCACAATTACAATGTTATAATATTCTGTGTTTTTCTGTGTGCTTACTATTACCAGTAAGTTTTGTACCTTCAGGTGATTATTTATTGCTTATTAATGTCCTATTCTTTCTGATTAAGGTAGTCCCTTTAGCATTTCCTATAGGACAGGTCTAGTATTGATGAAATCCCAATCCCTTAGCTTTTGTTTGTCTGGGAAAGTCTTTATTTCTCCTTGATATTTGAATTATATTTTAACTGGATATACTATTCTAGGGTAAAAGTTTTTTTTTTCCTTCAGCACTTTAAATATGTCATGCCTCTCTCTCCTGGCCTATAAGGTTTCCACTAAAAAGTCTGCAGCCAGATGTATTAGAGCTCTATTGTATGTTATTCGTTTCTTTTCTCTGGCTGCTTTTAGGATCCTCTCTTTATCCTTGACCATTGGGAGTTTATTAAATTCCTTGAGGTAGTCTTCTTTGGGTTAAATATTGATAGCTTTCTCTAGGCTTCGGAAGTTCTCTGTTATTATCACCTTGTAATGCTCCCTCTAATCCAGCTCTACCAAGAGGGCAGTCGCTGATCCCAGCAGTCCAAACATAAGTGCCTGCAAACCTTGCCACCAAGGGCCAAAGTGCTCCCAGTTTCCAAGCAAACTTGAAAGGCAGCCTAGGCCATAAGGACTGCAACTTGTAGGCCAGTCCTAGGGCTGAACTAGGCCCAGAGATAGTGGACTGGGGGGCACGCTGGAGGCATCACACTACCTGACTTCAAACTATACTACAAGGCTACAGTAACCAAAACAGCATGGTACTGGTACCAAAACAGAGATATAGATCAATGGAACAGAACAGAGCCCTCAGAAATAACGCCACATACCTACAACTATCTGATCTTTGACAAACCTGACAAAAACAAGCAATGGGGAAAGGATTCCCTATTTAATAAATGGTGCTGGGAAAACTGGCTAGCCATATGTAGAAAGCTGAAACTGGATCCCTTCCTTACACCTTATACAAAAATCAATTTAAGATGGGTTAAAGACTTAAACGTTAGACCTAAAACCATAAAAACCCTAGAAGAAAACCTAGGCATTACCATTCAGGACATAGGCATGGGCAAGGACTTCATGTCCAAAACACCAAAAGCAATGGCAACAAAAGCCAAAATTGACAAATGGGATCTAATTAAACTAAAGAGCTTCTGCATGGCAAAAGAAACTACCATCAGAGTGAACAGGCAACCTACAAAATGGGAGAAAATTTTCGCAACCTACTCATCTGACAAAGGGCTAATATCCAGAATCTACAATGAACTCAAACAAATTTACAAGAAAAAAACAACCCCATCAAAAAGTGGGTGAAGGACATGAACAGACACTTCTCAAAAGAAGACATTTATGCAGCCAAAAAACACATGAAAAAATGCTCACCATCACTGGCTATCAGAGAAATGCAAATCAAAACCACAATGAGATACCATCTCACACCAGTTAGAATGGCAATCATTAAAAAGTCAGGAAACAACAGGTGCTGGAGAGGATGTGGAGAAATAGGAACACTTTTACACTGTTGGTGGGACTGGAAACTAGTTCAACCATTGTGGAAGTCGGTGTGGCGATTCCTCAGGGATCTAGAACTGGAAATACCATTTGACCCAGCCATCCCATTACTGGGTATATACCCAAAGGACTATAAATCATGCTGCTATAAAGACACATGCACACGTATGTTTATTGCGGCATTATTCACAATAGCAAAGACTTGGAACCAACCCAAATGTCCAACAATGATAGACTGGATTAAGAAAATGTGGCACATATACACCATGGAATACTATGCAGCCATAAAAATGATGAGTTCATGTCCTTTGTAGGGACATGGATGAAATTGGAAATCATCATTCTCAGTAAACTATCGCAAGAACAAAAAACCAAGCACCGCATATTCTCACTCATAGGTGGGAATTGAACAATGAGATCACATGGACACAGGAAGGGGAATATCACACTCTGGGGACTGTGGTGGGGTGGGGGGAGGGGGGAGGGATAGCATTGGGAGATATACCTAACGCTAGATGACGAGTTAGTGGGTGCAGCACACCAGCACGGCACATGTATAGATATGTAACTAACCTGCACAATGTGCACATGTACCCTAAAACTTAAAGTATATTAAAAAAAATTAAAAAAAAAAAATAAATGCTCCCTCTGTGGGTGGGTGTTTGCTGAGTTCAGTCTTGTTTTCCTTTCTGGTCTAACAGGACAACACTGAGTTTAATGCCTCAGAGTTGCTGTGTTCTCCCTCTCCCAGTGCCCAGAGAGGCTCCCTGCACCACACAGCTGTTGCTGCGGCGAAGGTGGGGTGGCGTCAGTGATTCAGGACTGTGTTTTCTGTCTCTTCAGTGCATCTTTCAGCGATAAGGAGTTAAAACCAGGTACTGTGAGTGCTCAACTAATTTTTGGTTCTCATAAAGGTGTTTTTTTCTGTGTAGATAGTTGTTAACTTGGTGTTCTTTTGGGACAGTAGGCACCATCAGTGGAGCTTTCTATTCTGCCATCTTGCTTCACCTCCCTCTTGCATCATGTATTTATATGTAAAACCTAAGAGTATACAACTTCCTAAAGAAACCATAGGAGAGAATTTTTGAGACTTTAAATTTGGCAAAGATTTCTTGAATGTAATATAAAAACCACAAATCAAAAACTGGAAGCATTCCCTTTGAAAACTGGCACAAGACAGGGATGCCCTCTCTCACCGCTCCTATTCAACATAGTGTTGGAAGTTCTGGCCAGGGCAATTAGGCAGGAGAAGGAAATAAAGGGTATTCAATTAGGAAAAGAGGAAGTCAAATTGTTCCTGTTTGCAGACGACATGATTGTATATCTAGAAAACCCCATTGTCTCAGCCCAAAATCTCCTTAAGCTGATAAGCAATTTCAGCAAAGT
Source organism: Homo sapiens (assembly GCF_000001405.40). Classification (NCBI taxonomy): domain Eukaryota; kingdom Metazoa; phylum Chordata; class Mammalia; order Primates; family Hominidae; genus Homo; species Homo sapiens. The sequence continues at coordinate 100,167,382 of NC_000023.11, forward strand.
CTCAGGATACAAAATCAATGTACAAAAATCACAAGCATTCTTATACACCAACAACAGACAGAGAGCCAAATCATGAGTGAACTCCCATTCACAATTGCTTCAAAGAGAATAAAATACCTAGGAATCCAACTTACAAGTAATGTGAAGGACCTCTTCAAGGAGAACTACAAACCACTGCTCAAGCAAATAAAAGAGGATACAAACAAATGGAAGAACATTCCATGCTCATGGGTAGGAAGAATCAATATCGTGAAAATGGCCATACTGCCCAAGGTAATTTACAGATTCAATGCCATCCCCATCAAGCCACCAATGACTTTCTTCACATAATTGGAAAAAAACTACTTTAAAGTTCATATGGAACCAAAAAAGAGCCCGCATCGCCAAGTCAATCCTAAGCCAAAAGAACAAAGCTGGAGGCATCATGCTACCTGACTTCAAACTATACTACAAGGCTACAGTAACCAAAACAGCATGGTACTGGTACCAAAACAGAGATATAGATCAATGGAACAGAACAGAGCCCTCAGAAATAACGCCACATACCTACAACTATCTGATCTTTGACAAACCTGACAAAAACAAGCAATGGGGAAAGGATTCCCTATTTAATAAATGGTGCTGGGAAAACTGGCTAGCCATATGTAGAAAGCTGAAACTGGATCCCTTCCTTACACCTTATACAAAAATCGATTCAAGATGGATTAAAGATTTAAACGTTAGACCTAAAACCATAAAAACCCTAGAAGAAAACCTAGGCATTACCATTCAGGACATAGGCATGGGCAAGGACTTCATGTCCAAAACACCAAAAGCAATGGCAACAAAAGCCAAAATTGACAAATGGGATCTAATTAAACTAAAGAGCTTCTGCACAGCAAAAGAAACTACCATCAGAGTGAACAGGCAACCTACAAAATGGGAGAAAATTTTCGCAACCTACTCATCTGACAAAGGGCTAATATCCAGAATCTACAATGAACTCAAACAAATTTACAAGAAAAAAACAAACAACCCCTTCAAAAAGTGGGCAAAGGACATGAACAGACACTTCTCAAAAGAAGACATTTATGCAGCCAAAAAACACATGAAAAAATGCTCACCATCACTGGCCATCAGAGAAATGCAAATCAAAACCACTATGAGATATCATCTCACACCAGTTAGAATGGCAATCATTAAAAAGTCAGGAAACAACAGGTGCTGGAGAGGATGTGGAGAAATAGGAACACTTTTACACTGTTGGTGGGACTGGAAACTAGTTCAACCATTGTGGAAGTCGGTGTGGCGATTCCTCAGGGATCTAGAACTAGAAATACCATTTGACCCAGCCATCCCATTACTGGGTATATACCCAAAGGACTATAAATCATGCTGCTATAAAGACACATGCACACGTATGTTTATTGCGGCATTATTCACAATAGCAAAGACTTGGAACCAACCCAAATGTCCAACAATGATAGACTGGATTAAGAAAATGTGGCACATATACACCATGGAATACTATGCAGCCATAAAAAATGATGAGTTCATGTCCTTTGTAGGGACATGGATGAAATTGGAAATCATCATTCTCAGTAAACTATCGCAAGAACAAAAAACCAAACACCGCATATTCTCACTCATAGGTGGGAATTGAACAATGAGATCACATGGACACAGGAAGGGGAATATCACACTCTGGGGACTGTGGTGGGGTGGGGGGAGGGGGGAGGGATAGCATTGGGAGATATACGTAATGCTAGATGACGAGTTAGTGGGTGCAGCGCACCAGCATGGCACATGTATACATATGTAACTAACCTGCACAATGTGCACATGTACCCTAAAACTTAAAGTATAATAAAAAAAAAGTACAAAAAAAAAAACCACAAATCATAAAAGAAGAATGATAAATTGGACTTCACCTATATTAAAAGTACTCTTCAACAGTCACTATCAAGAAAATTAAAAGGCATGACACAGACTGTAGGAAAATATTTGCAAAACATATATCTTTTAAAGGACATGTATGCAAAGTTTATATGTAACTCTTACAATTTGATAAGAAAAAGACAACGCAATAAGAAAATGGACAAAAGATTTGAAATAAACATGTCACAAAAAAATTAAAATGGTAAAAGAAGCACATGAAATTTTGCTCAACATCATTAGTTATTAAAGATGTACAAATTAAAATCACTGTGACATACCACTACACACCCATTAAAATAGCTAATATTAAAAATACTGATTATACCAAGTGTTGGTTTGGATGCAGAGCAACTGGAAGTCTCAAATTGCTGTGTTGTAAAATCATACAACTTTAGGAAATAAATTGATGATTTCTTATAATGTTAAATATACAGCTATCCTTTGATCCAGCCATTCTAATCCCAGTTGCATAACCAAATGAAATGCATAACCAAATGAAATGAAAATGTACATACACACCAAAAATTGTGGACAAATGTTTCTAGCAGCATTAGTCACAGTAGTCAAAAAGTGCAAAGTACCCAAGTGCCCATCAACTGGTGAACAGATAAATCGTTATACTCCTACAGTGGATTACTATTCAGCAATAAAAGGAATGAACTACTGATACATGTAAAAACAGATATGAATGAATGGTTCATATCTGATATGATTCTATTTATGTGCAATTCTAGAAAAGTATTGTCATAAATTTATAGTGACAGAAAGCAGTGGCCCATGGTGAGAGTAAGGAAAGTGGATTGATGGAAATTTTTGAGTTGATAGGATTGTCTACATTTTGATCATGATGGTAGTTACACGACTGTATACATTATCAAAACTCACCAAATTATACACTTAATGTCAGTAAATTTTACTACTGTAAATTATTACTCAATAAAGTTAATTAATTAAAATTGATGCAATTTACCTTAACTAATCCTTTATTCTTTCTAGCCACAGAAGGGGCACCACCTATCATGAAGTTATGATATTTTAAGGACCTAGCTAGGTAAAAAGCGGGTATGATTATTTCAGCTTATTGGAGCCTCTACCAGGGGTTTGAAGTACGTGTTATATTACCTAATTTGTTTTTCTTAACTATATATTTCAGTATCTACATCATCCCTGAATATTTAGAGGTAAATTCAATCAACTGGTCACCACTTCTTAATTTGAAATTAAACTATATGCCTTCCATGTCACAATTTCTTAAAATACACACACACACTGACACATACACACACACACACACAAATTTGATATTTAAAATGACATTTAAAGTTAACATTGCTGTACAAATTTCATAACAATGTTCATACTGAGAAGACTAGTCATATTAGTAATCGCAGAGGGAAAATTTTGGTTTTATGGTCTTTAGCTTTTTTCTGTAACTTATTCTGAAGGACTAATGGTATTTTACTTTTTGAATAGAGATGTAGGGACCCACAGTCTATATTTTGGGGCAAGTTAGGAGACTCTTCTTATAGTAAGGATCCTGAGAGAGCTGAACCGTAAATCTTCACCACCTTGTAGTTATGCTTGTTCCATGGAATCTCAGGAGTATCTTTGTAGTATGGGATCCAAATTTGATATTAAATTTTGACTCCAGAAGATGACAAATCCTAGGAAATTATCCAAAAATACAGAATTCCTGGAACAATCCCATATTCCTGTAACTATTTCTAGTTTCCCTGAAGCCAACCGTATAAGGCATATGGGGAAAGGACACTGATAACTGAAGGACAAGGGACACTGATAACTGAAGGACAAAGTGGCCTTTTGAATCCTCTCACTCAATGACGTGAAAGTTGGTCATGTATAGTAAAAAAATCATAGGCTTGGAGAGCAACAATTCAACCACTTACTAACTATATAACATTGGCCTAGTAACTTAACCTTGTTAAGCCTCAGTCTCCTCATCTGTAAAAGGGAGATTATATATACATAATTTACATATATGTATACATATATATATATATGTCTTGCAGAGCTATTGTGACTATTAAAACTGGAATATGTATATATTTCTATGTATAGCTAATGTCTATCATATTGCAGATGCCTAAAATATACTAGTTATTATTATTGTTATGGCTGCCATACTTGAGAATGACATTTGCAAGGAACTGTGAGGATAAAGGACTGACTCTTCTTTTTTTCAAAGATGAAACTCGTGTTGTTAATAAAAACTAACTTTGGACTCAAAAGCCTAATCAAAATTCAATTCTTTATTCCTTTGCTAGTTTCAATCTTCAGGCCTTCCTACCTTGTTTGATGTTCAAAATTAAATGTCATGAAAGAGGCCCTGATGTACCTTTTGGTCATCCCCTCAAAAACAAATCTATAGCCATGAGATGTGGAATTCATCTTTGCAAGATGAAATAAAATTCAAACAAACTACATTCTTCTCAGAGCTGAATATTTGGAAATTAGTCTGCTTAGCTATCCCTAGTACTTCTCTGATGTCTCTCATAAATGCCTGCCAACAAGTTCCCACTCAAAAGTATAAATGGAAGACCAGAGTTCTAGAAAACAAAAATAAGTTGAATATAGGAACGGCAGCAGCAATAAAACTCTTCTTCATTTAAAAGAATTCCCAGCAAAGACTCAGGGAAGAAGCGAGGGACAAGGCAGCGATAGAGGGAGTGGTTGTAGTCATCAATAGGATTTTGAAAATATAACTTTTTCTTTAAAATATAATCCTTCAAACCTGCTGCTATATTCTCAGAAGCAGATAATAAAACAGAATGAAAAGCAGACTCTTATCTTAATACTGAATCCACATGCAAAGCAGCTATTGGATGCACTGCAGCGGAATGAATTCTTCATTTTATCATTATTGCAGGCTCATTCTGTGATTTCTCTCTCAATGGGTGACTGCAATAAGCCTGAAGGTACAGTTCACTCTTCTGAAAGAGCTATTAGAGTCACTCCTAAATGCCTGCCTCAAAGCTACCATTTTTTAAAACTTGGTTTTCCTTCATCTCCCAAGCAGCTGCAACCCATGCTTTTTACTGCTTAGAGAAAGAAGAAAGAAAAAGACCAATAACTCAATGAAATCTCAAAGGAAGCTAGGTTGGTGATCTCAACTGGGATCCGGAGTGGTGGATTAAATTTTCATTTTCTTTGAGGAACTTGGGATCCACTTATGAGGAATTCACAATACGGTCAGATCTGACAGGGCAGTGCTTGATTCATATATTCTATAGAGGACTGAAGCAGGCCAGAGAGATGACAGAGTCATGGCTTTGTCCCAGGCTGAAGGGAAAAGTAATAGCAAGGGAAAAGACTAAGCTATTCCATTATCCTTATTCTGACTCCTTCTCTGAAAGGAGGGTTTGACCAGTGCTGCAGGCCATCAACAAAGAAGTTTATTCTTTGCTCCTGTCTCTGTCAGGCTCACCCCAGAGGTAGAGTGCAGAGGCTGAAGAGGAAGAGAGAAAGTTAAAATATTTTTTAAAAAACTTACTGACTCTGCTAATGTAGAAAGCAGAGATGTGCATAACTAGCTACCTTCCAGGTTGGGCTGCTACCAAGTCAAAATCTGTCACAAAGTGACCTGGAGGAAAAGAAAAGATAGATGAGCTGAGAGAGTCCCTCAGCCCCCTCCTCCCATAAGCAGGCACTGATTACTAAGGACATTTCCATGCGCGGTGTAGGATTTTTTGTCCTTTGCACATGACCTTTAAAACTACCTGATAAGCTATTTGCACTGCCTACCCTAGAAGTTTCAATAGACAGAGAGAAGACGAACATTAACCTTAATGGCTAAATTACCCAATGTCACTCTAAAGGTCTTTCCCCTTGAGAGAAGCCTGTGCAGCAGCCAAACACTCACTCCTTTAAAAGTTCACAGAGAGGCTCCATTAAAATCAAAACTGCAGAGTTTTCCAAACTTGGGCACTTTAAAAGTCAACATGTTACCTCTGGTGATGGACTCTCTTTTTTAAAAAAATTAATAATTTGGCCAAATAATTCGAAGAAATTTTATTAAAGCTCTCTAAAAGAGACTGTATACTCAAATGCTACAGTAGAAACCGAAGAGTTTTCAGCTTAATACTGAGAGCGCTGATGGACATATAGTTGCCTATTCCAGAAAATGGGGGAAAAGACCTATATGAATAAGAGAAGCCATCTTAGTGTTTCCAAACATTCCTTCATTCATTTATAAAGTGCTTACTCTCTACCAAGTACTATGCTAGATCCTGGGACTGTGATGGTAAACAAAATCAGATGTATCTGCCCTCCATCATTGGACTCACAGTCTAGTAGAGGATGCAGACTGTAATCCAGGAATCACACAAATACAGAAAATATTGTGATGGTTCAAGTGAATGAGAGGTTCATGGTGCTATGCTTACACTCTGATAGGTTTGGAGACAATGACTGCCCAGAAACTTCCATCTTCTCCAAAGAAAGAGAACACATACCTCCCCGTCCTGTAGAACAAAACACGGATATCCAGTCCCAGACACTTTCACTTAGTTTCTAATAAATCAAGTGTTAAGAAACAGCTAGCAGTCTTATAAGTGATAGAATTGTGGTCTCTGTTTGGCCTCAGAGCCTTGATTAATGCTTTTCTCATTCATTTCTTCATTCAATCCACAAGCATTTATTGAATTTTTACTGTGTGCCAGAAACTGGGCTAGACCCTGGGTACAAAGATAAATAAGGCAAAGACCCTGCCATCAAGATACTCAGTCTACTGGGAAAGGCAGACACAGATAATTACAATACAGCACAATAACTGCTCTACTAGAGAGAAGCACAAAGTGCTATGAGCATTCGAAAGGAAAGAAAAAATGCTGCTTTCCTAATACTTTCCCGGGGCCTAATCCATCAGCAAAATCCTTACTGCACAGGGCTAACAGGAAAACACTGGCAGATCATTTGTCGTGTCACTTGGCATTCCAGCAGCCGTCAGAAGCTCCTGCCCAACAAAGGTGGGCAGGCAGTTGAAAAGAAAGTGGTAGCATTAACAAACATAGCACGCCATTCTAAACTCAGTGCACAAGTGAGTTTACTGCCTGGCAGCTTGTCCCTGACACCTCACTACAGTGAGAGAAACAAGCCCCTCCAACCCCACACTACTGCTAGGCAATTTTTAGGGATGGATTTGTATATTAGAAGCAACTTCTCTAACACATCTGTCTCAAGTGCACTTACCTGCCACCCAGGGCCCTTCACAGCCTTTTCCATTTTTTTTCCCTCTTGAAATAGTTCGAGACATAATTTATGTCAAGCAGGTAATGAGAGCCACTGCTTCACTTCAGTCTACCGTTGGTCACAACACTTTATCTGGGGATCTGAAAGTATGAAGAGACAAGCATTTTTAGAAAATAAAATAAATACTATATAAAGTATATACACCTTACCTCTCTTTTCCAATCATCAATTGTGGTGGAAGGAAGAAAATTCAAATAACAATTAGCTATTGAATTGACCATATTCCCTTTTGCAATAAGTTAGCAGATCTTATAACATGGCAGTCAGTCCCTTAACTCTTTCAGTTCATACCTGCAGCTATATGTTAAAGCTCCAAACTGCCCCAGAATCCTGAATGAATAAAAGAAACTAATACTTTTTTTTTAAGGGAATCTCAAGCCTAAAGCCTGTCTTGTTGAAAGTCAAAGAACCAAGAGTTTCTAATGCTAAAACTACTTCCAATAGAAATACAATCATTTGAGAAAGTAACATTAATGTTTTCAGGCAATTCTTAAAGAGAATATACAATGGGAAAATCTAGCAACATAATGCGTATTTTTTCCATCTGCACACGGTGTACATTCACATATACACACATGACCATTATATGCCATACCTCTGCAATTCACATAAACGGTTCAGATGTTCTGCATGTATATTTATTTTAAACATGTAGTGACTCCTCACTGTGAGCCACATCCAATACTGATTGAGTTCTACTTAATTGTCACACATTTTTTTTTTCCTCTACTCCATTTGCAAGATTAAATAGACCTATTTCAGCATGGTAAAAAGAACCAAAATATCCCATTACTGCTTTTGCAAAGGTCACTCTCCTGCTTTCAGCATGGGTTATTTTTAATCACAGGTTACATATCTTAAAGGCAAGGCATTTATTGAAACCTCCAGTTCATTTTTAAAAGTCTCTGGACATATTGAATAAATCACAGCTCAGAAGTAAAATGTAGTGATACACTCTCTACCACCTTACATGCAAGGCCCCAGGGAGCCAGTTTCCAACTGTCCCCATCTCCAATGCAGATTAGCTCTTCACTCAGCCAAGATCAAGATGATAGTGCTCATCTCAGCATACAGACTAGGAAACCTCAACCCACTGGGGGCCACGATACTGGTTTTCAGGAAGACACAGAACAAAAGGAGCTTAGCTTTATGGGTCATTTAAGATCTCCAGAAAGCTTTTCAGGAAGAGAAACAAAGGGATAATGTCCTGGCTTAAGTTCCAGGCTGAAGAACAGGGCAGAAGCTGGACTCTATGTTCCTTTAAGTGTGTAACTTCTATTGACTTGAGATGCCTCACTCTACAATTGTCTTAGTTCCTGTTGCAATGGCTCTGTAACAGTGATAATTGGATTTCTTTGGTGGCTGAAATTAAGGAAGTCTTATGTATAAAATTCATATTTGTTGAGACTAACAAAAGGTAATGTATAGCTATTTATGGATTTTATTCTTCTCAGGCTCTATCATTTTGATTTACAACGTTGTTTATACTACTGTTTAAGGTTAAAGTTGTGCCTTACACCTGGAAATTTTCTACAAATAGGCCAAATTTTGAATCAGATTGAATATTCAGAAGATAAAATGACTGACAGAATTTTCATTTGTTTTAGTCTGAATGCCAAAAAAACAAATAGCTTTCTCCAGATCCTAAAAGCCAGCAAAATGAATCAACTTTTCCATGTTCTATTTTGTATTTAATATGTTAATGTGAATTTGTTTCTTAGTTTTCAAAAAATTGCATTGGAAGGTTCAATATAAGAAGAAAGAGGCATAAGCTTGCATTCTCCAAAATGCAGTGGCCCGCAATCATCTTATTTCCATCAGCAATAGAGTGCATTCTGAGAAATGAAGTCCAATCATCACTGGGCAGTATTAAATATATTTAGCCTGCCCACAGAGCATTTTACACAAATTTCAACACACTCTGCCATCTCATAATGACCACCAATGAAGCCCTCTCATGAAATTGTCGACGTCTCTTAAGCATTAACTTTCTCCTCCTTCTTGAGGAAAGCGCAATAAAAATTAAATTGCAACAAGCACAGTTTTGCACAGATGAGCTTATGTTATGCATTTTCATTATTAATGCAGTAACCACATCTCTCCTACTTTTTGGACATTCAAAACGGTATTTTTTAAGATGACTTAAAAATGAAAATTGTAGTCATTTCAAATTGTTTTTGTAAAATATTTAAGGAGAGCTTTATTTTAAGGCATGTTTGACTCAAAATGCTCTTCTGGAATAGGGAGTAAAACTTCAAATTAGATGGCAATTTAAATAAGAAATTGACATAACTTTTTAGAGAAACATTTTAGAGATCACAACAGATGAAATGTCATACCTAGATCATTTTCTTGACAACGTTCTCAGTCTTCTTCACTAAGGTCAATTCTTGCTTGATGAACAGGAGTTTATGCTAATACAACATTAAGCTACCATCCCTCCATAATATCATAATGTCTCAAAATCTTTCAAAAGTATTTTTTTCTTTGAGGCTTTTAAAACAGTCATCTAGTAGCAGATGTCCCTCTGTGCCTAGAGTTATCAGAAACTACAAAAAGAGTCCAAGTCTTTGTTGTTTATTTTTTTTTTTGCATTAAACAATAATTGCCAGTACAGAAAGTATAGAAATAATGCCCCTCAGCTTAATTCATTCTTAATTGTTAAATCATTTATGAATTAAAAGAGAAGAAAACCTCATTGCTCTTTTTCTGACTAAAAATTAATATGAAGAGGAAGAATTTTGGGTTAAATAACATAGTATATTTTATGTACCTGGCTGACATTGTTGACTTTGTTTATTAAAATTCATTTCAAGAATTAAAGCAATTCAAAATTTAAAGTGTTTGTGCTTATTTTTTTAAATAATGATTTGCATTTGTCACTAAAGAAAAATATTTATAGCTCTACACCTTCTTACTTTAATTAAATAAAACAATGTAAATGCCTGTTGTATTTGGTTTCAATTAGCTTGGCAAATAAAATAATTAGATAATCTGCAATTTTCTTATGTGCTACAAATTTAGTCAGAGAAAGTATGACATAAATCCCTGCTTGAAAATGGATAGCATGAAAAAAAAAAGAAAAAGAAAATGGATAGCATGAACCTTCTAAAAATAAAGTGCTATCAAGTATACATATGTTTATAAATATGCACAGTTCTCTCTTTGGTAATGCCCAATTAAATGTAAGTTTTTGGTTTTGTTTTGCTTTTTAAATAACGGATCAGGTCTTTGGTGATAACAATCCATATTCCCAAATTCTTTCTCATTCTTCTCATTAAGAGATAGAGTCTGAGGTCCCTCCCCTTGAACCTAAGTAGAACCTTGTGACTGCCTCAATAAATATAATGCCACAGAGGTGACTTCTGAAACTAGGTTTCTGCAGCTTTCTCATGGGACATTACACCAGGAGTCTTTAGCTACCATGTAAGAAGTCTAGCCACCCTTATACCACCATGTGGAAAGACCACATGGAAAAGCTACACAGAAATAGAGGGACATGCCTGGGGTGCCCTGACTGCTCCTATGACCAGCTGTTTGAATCTTCCCAGAATAGCCCATGGCATAGAGTTATCTTTGAGATACCCCAACTCCATTCATCATCTGACTATGGCCACATATCTGATAAAACCAGAGAACTGAGCAAAAACTCCCCAGCTGAATCCAAGCAATTCTTATATTTATAAACAAAATGAATGACTGTTATTTTTGTAAGCCACTATTTTGAGGATAGTTTGTTACGCAGCCAGAACAATATGTTACACCTTTTTCTATGCTTCCAGTGGTGCTTAGTAAAATTTGAGTATTTGTAGGCAGTTAATTGGGTGATTATCAAACATTAAAAATAACTTAGCTATTCTTATATCAGACAAAACAAACTTTAAAACAACGGCAGTTAAAAGAGACAGAGAGGGATATTATATAATGGTAAAAGGCCTTATCCAACAGGAAAATATCACAATTCTAAACATATATGCACCTAACACTGGAGCTCACAAATTTATAAAACAATTACTAATAGACCTAAGAAATTAGACAGACAACAACACAATAATAGTGGGTCACTTCGATATTCCACTGACAGCACAAGACAGGTTATCAAGGCAGAAAGTCAACAAAGAAACAATAAATTTAAACTATACCTTGGAACAAATTGACTTAACAGATATATACAGAACATTTCATCCAACAACTGCAGAATACACATTCTATTAAATATCCCATGGAACTTTCTCCAAGATAGACAATATAATAGGCCATGAAATGAGCCTCAATAAATTTAAGAAAATTGAAATTATATCAAGCACTCTCTCAGACCACACTGGAATAAAACTGGAAATTAACTCGCAAATGAACCTTCAAAACCATGCAAATACATGGAAATTAAATAACCTGCTCCTGAATGAGCATTGGGACAAAAACAAAATCAAGATGGAGATTAAAAAATTGTTCAAACTGAACAACAATAATGACACAACCGACCAAAACCTCTGGTATACAGCAAAGGCGGTGCTAATAGCAAAGTTCATAGACCTAAACTGCCTACATCAAAAAGACTGAAAGAGCACAAACTGACATTCTAAGGTCACACCTCAAGGAACTAGAGGAACAATAACAAACCAAACCCAAACATAACAGAAAAAAAGAAATAACCAAGATCAGATCAGAACTAAATGAAATTGATACAATAAAAAACAATACAAAAGATAAATGAAACAAAATACTGGTTCTTTGAAAATATAAATAAAATTGATAGACCATTAGCAAGATTAACCAAGAAAAGAAGAGAGAAAATCTAAAGAACTTCATTAAAAAACAAAACAGGAGATAATACAACGGACACCACTGAAATACAAAAAGATCATTTAAGGCTACTATGAACACCTTTATGCACATAAACTAGAAAACCTAGAAGAGATGGATAAATTCCTGGAAAAATACAACCCTCCTAGCTTAAATCAGGAAGAATTAGATACCCTGAAGAGACCAATAACAATACCCTGAAGAGACCAATAACAAGCAGCAAGATTGAAATGGTAATCTTTTAATTACCGACAAAAAAAAGTCCAGGACCAGAAGGATTCACAGAAGAATTCTACCAGACATTCGAAGAAGAGTTGATACCAATCCCTTTGACACTATTCCACAAAACAGAGAAAGAAGGAACTCTCCCTAATTCATTCTATGAAGCCAGCATCACCCTAATACCAAAACCAAGAAAGGGCATAACCAAAAAAGAAAACTACAGATTGATATCCTTGATGAACATAGACGCTAAAATCCTTAACAAAATGCTAGCTAACCAAATCCAACAACTTAATATCAAAAAGATAATCCACCATGATCAAGTAGGTTTCATACCAGGGATGCAGGGATGGTTTAATGTACACAAGTCAATAAATGCGATACACCACATAAACAGAATTAAAAACAAAAATCACATGATCATCTCAATAAATGCAGGAAAAAAAAAACATTTGACAAAATCCACCATCCTTTAGAATTAAAAGCCTCAGCAAAATCGGCACAGAAGGGACATACCTCAAGGTAATAAGAGCTGTCTATGACAAACCCACAGCCAATGTTATACTGAATGGGGAGAAGTTAAAAGCATTCCCTCTGAGAACTGGAACAAGACAAGGACGTCCACTCTCACTACTCCTCTTCAACATAGTACTGGAAGTCCTAGCCAAAGCAATCAGACAAGAGAAAAAAATAAAGGACATCCAAATCGGTAAAGAGGAAGTCAAACTGTCACTGTTTGCTGATGATATGATCATTTACCTTAAAAACCCTAAAGGCTCCTCCAGAAAGCTCCCAGAACTGATAAAAGAATTCAGCAAAGTTTCCAGATACAAGATTAATGTACACAAATTGGTAGCTCTTCTATACACCAACAGCAACCAAACAGAGAATCAAATCAAGAACTCAACCCCTTTTTACAATAGCCACAAAAAAATAAAATACTTAGGAATATAAATAACCAAGGAAGCAAAAGACCTCTACATGGAAAACTACAAAACACTGCTGAAAGAAATCATAGATGACACAAACAAATGGAAACACATTGTGATGGTTAATACTGAGTGTCAACTTGATTGGATTAAAGGATACAAAGTATTGGTCCTGGTTGTGTCTGTGAAGGTGTACCCAAAAGAGATTAACATTTGAGTCAGTGAGCTGGGGAAGGCAGACCCACCCTTAATCTGGTAGGCACAATCTAATCAGCTACCAGCAAATATAAAGCAAGCAGAAACCCATGAAAAGGACTGGCCTAGCCTCCCAGCCTACATCTTTCTCCCATGCTGGATGCTTCCTGCCCTTGAACATTGAACTCCAAGTTCTTCAGTTTTGGGATTTGGACTGGCTCTCCTTGCTCCTTAGCTTGCAGACAGCCTATTGTGGGACCTTGTGCTCATATAAGTTAATACTTAATAAACTTATATATATAAAATATATTATACATATAATATATAGAAGTCTATATATATAGAAAAAAGGAAGGCCATATATATATATATATATATATATATATGTATCTCCTAATAGTTCTGTCCCTCTAGAGAACCCTGACTAATACACACATCCCATGCTCATGGATAAGTAGAATCAATATTGTGATACACATGTCCCATGCTCATGGATAAGTAGAATCAATATTGTGAAATTGACCATACTGCCAAAAGCAATCTAAAAATTGAATGCAATCCCCACCAAAATACCACCATCATTCTTCACAGAATTAGAAAAAAGAATTATACAATTTATATGGAACCAAAAAAGAGCCCGTACACCCAAAGCAGGACTAAGCAAACAGAACAAACCTAGAGGCATCACACTACCTGATTTCAAACTATGCTATAAGGCCATAGTCACCAAAACAGCATGGTATTGGTATAAAAAAATATGCACATAGACCAATGGAACAGAATAGAGAAGCCGGAAATAAACCCAAATACTTTACAGCCAACTTACCTTCCACAAAACAAACAAAAACCTAAAGTGGAGAAAGGACACCCTTTTCAACAAATGGTGCTGGGATAATTGGCTAGCCACATGTAGGAGAATGAAGCTGGATCCTCATCTCTCAGCTTATACAAAAATCAACTCAAGATAGATTAAGGACTTAAATCTAAGACCTGAAACTATAAAAGTTCGAGAAGATAATGTTGGAAAACCCCTTCTAGAAATTGGCTTAGACAAGGATTTCATGACCAAGAACCCAAAGGCAAGTGCTATGAAAACAAAGATAAATAGTTGCGACTTAATTAAACTAAAGAGCTTTTGCACAGCAAAAAGAAAAATCAGCAGAGTAAACAGACAACCCAGAGTGGGAGAAAACCTTTACAATCTACACATCTGACAAAGGACTAACATCCAGAATTTACAATGAACTCAAACAAATCAGTAGGAAAAAAAAAAAAAAACAATCCCATCAAAATGTGGGCTAAGGACATAAATAGGCAATTCTCAAAAGAAGATATACAAATGGCCAACAAACATATGAAAAAATGCTCAACATCACTAATGATCAGGGAAATGCAAATCAAAACCACAATGCAATAACACCTTACTCCTGCAAGAATGGCCAAAATCAAAAAATCAAAAAACAGTAGATGTTGGCATGTATGCAGTGAACAGGGAACACTTCTACACTGCTGGTGAGGATGTAAACTAGTACAACCACTATGGAAGACAGTGTGGAGATTCCTTAGAGAACGAAAAGTAGAACTACCATTTGATCCAGCAATCCTGCTACTGGGTATCTACCCAGAGGAAAAGAAGTCATTATTTGAAAAAGATACTTGCACATGCATGTTTATAGCAGCACAGTTTGCAATTGCAAGATCGTGGAACCAACCCAAATGCCCATCAATCAACGAGTGGGTAAAGAAACTGTGGTATATTTATTTGATGGAATACTACTCAGTCATAAAAAGGAATGAATTAATGGCCTTTGCAGCTATCTGGATGAGATTGGAGACTATTATGCTAAGTGAAGTAACTCCGGAATGGAAAACCAAACATTGTATGTTCTCACTGATATGTGGGAGCTAAGCTATGAGAACGCAAAGGCATAAGAATGATACGATGGACTTTGGGGACATGGGGGGAAGGGTAGAATGGGGGTGAGGGATAAAAGACTATAAATAGAGTGCAGTGTATACTGCTCGGGTGATGGGTGCACCAAAGTCTCACAAATCACCACTAAAGAACTTATGCAACCAAATACCACCTGTACCCCAGTGACTTATGGAAAAATAAAAAATTAAAAAAAATTTTTTAAATTACTTAATCAAGAAACCTTTAAAAGAAAACCATCCAAGTTGAAAATAATTCTTATTACCACTATTTATCACTATTCAGTAAATAGATTCAAAATCCTCCAACATCAGTGGATTCTCAGAAGATATACACGTGCATATCAGTACACCTACCCAGTAAATCAAAGCAAACACTGAGTTGAGTGTCCTGGAGTTTCACTCAACTTTGCCACAGTTCTTAATATATAGGAGTATTCATATAGCATGCTATGAAATGATATATCAAGCTAATCTATCCTCAAATGTTCTCTTTCTGAGCTTCCCAAATAAGTGAGAATATAGTGTATAATTTTCTCACAAAGATGTTGTAACTGCTTCTCTCAAATTGGCCACTCCTTCCCTGCCACCATTCTAGTTCAAGTACCCGTTATCTTACAGTACTCTTAAATTATCTGTTTTCTCTTTTTTTCCTCCTCACACTAAACTCTTTGTACAACAAATAAACTGATGCTTTTAAAACATAAATCATGTCATGCCTCTGCCTAAGATACTTCAATGGCTTCTCTTTGTATTTAGGACAAAATTAACATTTTTATGTTTATCAGAGCCTATGTGATCTGGCCCTTGCCTATTTGATTAGCCCTTCTATAAAACCTCACTCTCTTGGTCCAGTCACAGTGCCCTTGCTTCAGGTCCTAGACTATGACCATCTGTTCCCACCTCAGAGGTTCAACATAGGCTGTTTTCTCTGCCTGAAATACTCCTAGCCCAGTTATGCTTTCTTTATAGCAAATTCCTTTCTAACAGGTCTCAGTTGAAATATCACTTCCCCAGATTGACCTTTCCTAATAAACCTATCTAAAGTGGCACCACAATCCCCATCATTACTCTCCTTCAAAGCATAACTTGTCTTTCATAGAACTTATCACAATTTGTAATCATGCATTTATTTTTGAATCTATTTTTAAAATATATCTATTGGTTATTAGAATGTAAGCTCCTTCATGGCAGGAATAGTACCTGTTCTATTCAGTTTACATGCAGTTCCTAGCACATTGCCTAGTATACATTAGACATGGATAAATATAAGTTGAAGAACAAACAAATGATTAGCCACTGACACATTCTGAAATTCTACAATACAAATTATTAAATCACTGACAGTAAAAAAGGATCATGAATTAGACAAGATTTCAAACCCAGTACCTTTTTATTGAGCAACCATAGTGAAAAAATAAGTGGAAAAGGCAAGGACACAAAAGAGAATACCCATGCAGATATTCTGAGGTGGCAGGGGAAAGTGGATTATCCATAGATCCGTACTGGACTATTCTATACTGTGTATTTATCCCTAAAAGCCTAAGCTCTTCCCTAAAATATGGTTTTCAGGGGGCACATTTAGCTACTTCTTGTTTTTCTCACTTTCATCCTGGGAAGCTGCCTTGGTAGTTTTTCCATATCCAGAAAATCCAAATCAAGATGACTTCAAAAGAGAAGTATAGTGATGTTGAAAGTGAAGAAGGAAAGCCTTGGGTAGATTCAAGACCCAAGATCAGGCATATAGCTATATATACTTAAGCTTACAATATAGAGGAACAATTCTCATTTGGCATCCTGCATATGATTTTCTATACTGTCATTTATTGTTTTATTATTTTTGGATTCAGCTATATTGCAAGGCCTTTCTTGCAGGCTAGGTTCCATTCACCTTTGCCTTGCTTATTATGCCTTGCCTAGTGCCTTATACATAACAGCACACAAAAAACATCATCGTCATCATCATCATCTTCTTCGTCATCTTTCACAAAACTTGAGCATTTTCTCCAGGCTTCACCTTCCTTATTTTTTTACCCCTGCACTTGGAACATTACTTAAAGTTGACTATTCTATCAATGTGACAGGATAGACATCTCATTGATACCCGAAACATAGTAACCAATCGCCTTTGTGTAGAGACCCATTTCATGGGATGGGGGGCTTTCTCTTGACTCTGTGAACTAAGTTCCGTTGCCTTGCAATGTTGTAATTAACCTTCAGAAGAACTTAAAGTCCCAAATAGGAATGGTCAGTGTAAAATCGAAGCTAGTCGATGAAAACTCTTTACCAAAGGTCTTATATACTTCACTGCCATCTTCTTTTTAGAACAGCTGTTGCAGGGTGTAAATTAGAATAAATGTCCCCTTCCCTGGCTTTGTTTCACTTGAAGTCCCCAAACCACCAAAAACACAACAGAAACCAGATTTAGCAAGTAAAGATTTATTATGTAGGTCTAGAGCCTTCATCTATTTTTAAGGAAACAGGTTTTTATTAAAACATCTCAGTACTCATTATGCTAGCTATATTGACGGTAAGAATTTTTGGAAACATAAAATTTTAATTTGCTTGCTACCACAGAAAGCAAGAGGAGAAAGAATTTCTAAATGACCCTATGGTAGAGAAGCACATTAATCAAGAGATAAATGTTGAGGTAAAGTTAACCAAACTTTGTGCCCTCACTTGGACTGTAAGCTTTTTAAGGGCAACTTTTGTGCTTTACACATCTCTGCATTAACCAATCTATAAAAATGTTTATAATATTTTGCCTCGCATACACTAAGCACTTAACCAATATTCATTAACTTATTTGTACATCCCTCCTTTGGCAATCACTTAATTGTGGTGCAGAACTGGACTTCCTAGGAGGAAATCAGAAGGGCTGCAGTCAAATAGAGCTGGTAAGAGAGGGTCCACCCTACCTTTCTAGTGCACTAATGAAACTCCCCCTGGTGTTCATGTACGCTGTCTGTATAAAAGAACAAGATGACACCTCTTGTGAAGTACACAATTCCTCCAAGTGGGAATTCAAATCTGTCTATAAAAAACTCATAAAACAGATGCAAATATAATATCCATAATTAAGATGAAATGACAACTTCATAGCCCAATTCAGGATGTTTACTCTTATTACATTCTTGGTTAATTTTACTTCTAACCACACACTCATTCAGCTAATATTTACTAGGCATTTCTTATGTGCAAGGCACAATGCCTGGATTAGTGGCAGGGGATGTATGGAGTACAGGATTTATAAAATGTAACTCTCACTCTCAGGAAACACACTATAACAAAGTATAGTTAAACAAACTAAACACTAAAACAAACACACTAAACACACTAAAACAAACACACTAAACACACTAAACACACTAAAACAAACTATAACAAGGTAAGAAGCCATCAGAACCAAAAAAATCTTTTAGTAAAGTACTAGCCAAATTGAGAAGTGGTAACTATAGGTAGGATAACAAAGGCTTCCTAAAGGAGGTGGTATTTGAATTAGAACTGGAATGATGAGTAGGTAGTGCATATCTAGACATAAGGAGAAAGAGCATTTCTATCCCATACCATGTTTCACTGTGCTGGATGCATAATGAGGACAACCATACATAATTTGTTACCTATTGCTGCTGTAACAATTTATCACAAACTTAGTGGTTTAAAACAATGCAAATTTATTAACCTGTAGTTCTGAAAGTCATGAGTCTGGGTTTCACTGGGCTAAAATCAAGGTACTGATAGACCTGGATTCCTTCTGGAGAACCTAGAAGAGAATCAGTTTCCTTGTCTTTTCTAGTTTCTAGAGGCCATCTGCATTCCAACCTCTTGCTTCTGTAATCACTTTTCCTACTACTCACTCTGATCGCCTGAGTCCCTCTCATAATCACCCTTGTGATTACCTTGTACCCACTCAAATAATCTAGGAAAATAATAATCCAGTATAATCTCCCCATTTCAAGATCTTTAACTTAATCACTTCTGTAAAGTTTCTTTTGTCATGTAAGGTAATATGGTCACAGTACTCTGGGGCAAATAATATTAAGTGGTTACTACCCTTAAACATTGAAGAAAAGGGCCTATAGGTGTTGCAAGATTCATAAAAGGATGCAGCCAACTTACAGCAACCTGTCAGAGAGGAACCTGAAGAATAAATATCCCAGCTACATTCTCGGCACCCTCTCCAGTCTCCTGCTGACACCTCCCATTGGCCAAACCCTACTGGAAGCCAGAGGGCAAGAGAGTCTATTTGTGCAGTCCATATGGGGTCAGCCTCCCTAGGCACAGAACAGGAGAGAAAGTAAATCTGCAGAAGCAAATGGAAATTTTCTAGCACATATGCCATGCGAAGAATTCGAAGCTTTATTTTGTAGATGGTGGAAAGCCAAAATGATGGCTTTTTTAAGAGAAGTGACTATCTGATTTCTGTTTTAGACAGATTACTCTGTCTAAAACTGTCAGAAGGACATGGGAAAATTATTTTAAAAATACACCGAGACTAACGCTGATAATTAATTAATTGAACAAATAACTTAGTAATCTCATTGATAGAAAACTTTTGTCCTATAAGGACAGTCACAAGTACTCAGAACCATGACTTTTGAATCACATCTGTGATTAAGCTGCAGAATATAGCTAACGCTAAAGTTATGGTGAGGACCTGAAGAAATAATATTCCCTTTGCTATTTGATTCATTGAAGGCAATGTTCAAAAGGAGATTCTCAACTCATATGATTGTTGCTTAGAGATTGTTGTTCAACAAATAGGCATACTAGTCCATCATATAGGAGTCACCCCAATGTGACAGGGGCTGAAATAATCAGAAACTAAATTGTAAATGAGCTACAATTGAGATAGTTTAGGTAAATATTGATTTGAGTATAGAGTCTTGTCCAAAGATGTTTAGGAAGGCAGCTCCTTAGGGAAACTTTGCTATAAAGCAGTTCATTATTTATTTTATAAATATTTAATGAATACCTACTATGTTCTAAACACGGTTGGATGGTTAAAAAAAAAATAGCAATGGAGCACAAAACATACAGTGTCCCTTACCCTCATGGGACTTAAAAACTAGAGAGTAAGAAAGATAATAAATCAATAAACAAATATACAGTATTAGATAATGTTAAGTGCTATAAGAAAACAGATTTATCTGATAGCCATGTATGAAACCTACATTAGATTGGAATGTTACCAATTTGCTCCTGACACACCACTATCTTCATATGCTCCAAAATACTTCCCTGCCACTGCATAAAGAACCAGCATCCTGGGTATACAGGATACTAAGAAAATAATAATTTCTCCAGGATAGACTATATTTAGGCTAATTCTCAAAAGCATTTGGTTTTTGGGATTAAAGCAATTGTGAAACCAGGTGGTTCTTGAATCAACCAGCATTCCAAAAGGACCAGACAGGCCCAACAATATACCTAGTGCCTCTGGCCTCTAGTTACACCCACATGGGTGGAATACTAGCCCCAAAATTTGAATCATGGGCACATAGCAATCTTATTTCCCAAAATCTGGTATAGGAATGGGGCTTTTATCAATCTGAGGGTGGATTTTTATGGTTATTTCTGGTGCTTTTTAACCACGCACACAAATTGCTTCATAAGCCTTCTAAATATTTTAGAAAAATAAAGCATGTTGGGTTTGAAAGATACGAAAATATCAACATTTTACTGAAGAAACAAATC
Source organism: Homo sapiens (assembly GCF_000001405.40). Classification (NCBI taxonomy): domain Eukaryota; kingdom Metazoa; phylum Chordata; class Mammalia; order Primates; family Hominidae; genus Homo; species Homo sapiens. The sequence continues at coordinate 100,188,345 of NC_000023.11, forward strand.
ATGAATGTAATTTTTTAAACTGTTCATTGGGAACCTCTGTTAAACATTAAGGTAAGTATGGTTTCCTGATGTTATGCTTTATAAAAAAGATGATTGGGCTTTTTTGTAAAGCACAATATAGCTACATAAAAGTGTTTCTTTTTCTTTGATCTAATATAACCCGGCTAGTTTGTTGCTGATAGCTATTCAGTATCCAGTCAATAATAACTTGGGAATCCATGGATTAATTCCATTTTTAGTGAGCTGGGATGCAGACAGGAGCATTTGAATCTTGGAAAACAGTCTCAATCAAAAGGCCTGACCATATCTGCAACTCTCCCTCAACCCTGGACAGGAGCCTCCAAACTAACCTAACATGTTAGCTTTGAATACAAGTAAAGCAACATGCATTTATCAGGCTAAGTCACCTTTGGAACTACAATCTTTAAATGTCAGCATCTCTATCTATAAAATCAAACAACTGGCCATGCATGATTGCTCATACATACCTGTAATCCCAGCACTTTGGGAGGCCAAGGCAGATGGATTGCTTGATCTCAGAAGTTCGAGACCAGCCTGGGCAACATAGCGAAACCCTGTCTCTATTAAAATACAAAAATTAGCCAGGTGTGGTGGCAAGCACCTATAATCCCAGCTACTTGGGAGACAGAGGCATGAAGAATTCCTTGAACTTGGGAGATGGAGGTTGCGGTGAGCCGAGATTGCACCACTGCACTTTAGCCTGGGTGACAGAGCAAGACTCTGTCTCCAAAACAAAATAAATAAATAAATAAATAATAAAATCAAACAATTAATGCTGAGCTCTCAGCCTCTCATTCAACTACTTTAAACAACTCTAGACACTACTTGCTACACATTTTTATCATTACAATTGCTAGATATCAGGTATATCAGGCCCCTAGGCTGACTTATTAGCATCATATCAGACCAATATTTTATTTCCATTTTCTGGATTGGACTTCCACTGCAAAGGAAATTATTTGTTTTCAGGACTAACATCTGGAATGAACAGTAAACTTACTATAAAGAATTTGGTTAGCACAGAGTGTGGAATTAAGCAGTTAAAACAAATGCAGTTAGTTACATGACAGATTGAGTTTTATTTTTCAACCATCCAAAAAGCCATCAAACAGTGAGAGAAACTGGAGCTTTCCTCTAGTGCAAAAGTCATCAATGCCATCCTGGCTCCCTGCCAACATCCAACATCGTGGGCTCGGCTTGGCCTGCTGCTCTGCCTCCCTGTTGCCACTTCCCAAACCCCATGCAATGTTTGTAGATGTATAAGGAAAATACACCCTGGGCTGAGGTGGAGGGGGTATCAGAGTGTGGAGGGAAGAAGGGAAGTAGGGATTTTTTTTTGAGGTACTTAAAAAAGTAAACAACCACAAAAGAACCCCAAGGCTTTCTGACTTGAAAATCTCTATGTTAATAGTCAAACTTTTTTTGAAGCTCAGTCAACTCTGTCCTCACCCTCCTGGCAAATAAAACCCATTCACCAAAGCTCAAAGAAAGTTCACGAAAAGTGCATTTTGCTATAATAGACAAGTCATCCAGGCCCAGCCCTCAAGGAATTCTCATCAAAACACATTACTAGGGCTAACAATGATACAAACACATGGACAGCATCACGCCAAACACATAAAATAGAAATGGCTGGCCCTTATTAAGCTTTTATTGTGTGCTAGACTTTGCCATGATTAATAATATAATTATTATAACAGCCCTACAAGATAGATACTATTGATGTTAGCATTTTACAGATTAGGAAATTTAAGTATAGAAATGTAAAGTAATTTGCCCAAGGTCACACAGCTAGTAAATGACAGAACTAGGATTTAATCTGAGGCACTCTGCTTCCAGATCCCACATTTTTTCCCCAATCCCACCCAGACATTCTTATTCACTAGGGTATAGTGCCTCTCTATTCACCCACAGATATTAGAGTAGGCAGATAGCCAGTCGTGAGCAAGAGAAGAGAGCCCCTTTGGGGAGGAAAGCCTAGAAAATCTCACACCCCAGAGATCACCCAAAACATGCATGCTAGTTATAAGCACAGCGGAAGGGAAATACCTATGCAGGAAGGAATGCCCATTAAGATGCCCAGTAATCATTCAGTCTTCAGTTAACCTGTCAGAATGTAGCTAGATGCATGATGATAAAAGAAAGAGGGCAAAGGAGGAAATTTCTAAGAAATACATAGGTGCAATTCATAGCCAACACCAGGCCCACGCATGTGCAACAACTAATAGTAAAAGAGGGTCCCACAACCCTGGGGTGGGAACTAGGCCAGGAAAAGGCAGAGACTTAAGGCAGGAGATGGAAAACTAGACAAAGAAAAAAGGCAGAGACTTAAGACAGAGGCGGGAACTCCAAGACAAACCCAACATCTTAAAAACTCAAGGCAGAACTCTCAGGGTGCTGCTGGCTCACTCCCTTTCAGGGGTCCACTCTGCTTTATCTTTTGAGAGTGTACTGTCTCTCTAAATAAGCTCTCTGCTCTCTGTTTTCCTTCAATAAGTTCTTTTCTTTGGCTAAATCAGCCGCTTGGTAGAATTCTTTCTCCAAGACTAAGAACTGAGGATTCCTGCACTTCCTGGTAACAGAGACGTCAAGAACAGTGGAGCACAGTAAACTTATAGCATTTTTCCCACTTAAATGGAGGAAAACTGATCTAATACTTCACTCCTATCTTTTCTACTTTTCTCTTCCCAAAGAACACCAAGAATACTAGTCCCTTTTCAGTCTCCTGTCATTGGGACTCCTCATCTTCTGACAAAAACAAAAACAAAAAACAAAAACAAAAAAAAAGGCCTTTCCTGAACTTGAACCCTTGTAGTCATGCTTCTTGACAATTTAATGCTCTGATTGTATCAACGTGCTTTATAAAAATTGAGCAATGCTTCTTATGTGTTTTTTAAAGTTAGCTCCCATCATTGCCTGACATGCCTTTTTTGCTACCTGGCACCATACAACTTTTATTACAGATGAACCCATGAACATATTATCCATAATCTTTTCCAATTTTAGGCATGCAGGTCCAATGACAGTCTCTCACAGGCCTCTGAAATAGGCATTTGTGTACGTAAGCACCTGTTTTAGCTATCTAAATGTAAACATTAGCACTCCACATTCTGTACCACATCTCAGTTTGTATAGAATACTTAATCAATAAGAGCATATTGTGCCTGATTCTTCCCTTGATGGTTGGTGAATACACTATTATAGAGCTATGGAGGGAGTTTCTAGGCTGAATTACTTAAGGAGTATCAAGTCAAAAGTTGAACCCATATGTTTATACAGCTGAATAACCTGCATCTGGGCAGTCAGCTAGAGGTGATGATGAAAGGGCCTTCTGTTTAAAATCTGTATTTGTAAGGTCCACTTATGGAACTGCTACTAAGATATACTTCTAGGTATTACTTCCCAGCACATATAAAAGCCATACTTGCAGTATATCGTAGTGGTTAGAGGCCCAAGCTTTGGCAATAAGTTTGAATTTTAATCCTGGCTCCACCATTTGTTGACTGTGACCTTGGTCAACTCATTTTACCTTGCTAACCTCAGTTTCCTCATCTATAAATACAGATAGTAATAGTATCTACCTCATAAATTCACCTGCACTTTAAATGAGATGTTTTATGCAAACTAATCATCCAATGTTTGGCTGTTTGGCACACAGTAAGCAACTAATAAACAGTAGTTATCAGTTATCATACAGTCTCCCAATTCTGTCAAATTATTCTACCTTGTACATTCAGTAAAAGGGGCATAGATGGGGCAGAGAGCAAGTTGCAGCCCATCAGCAGCTTCACAGAAAATCTTAGGGCTCCCCTAAGGTAAAGAGAAAAACTGAGGCCACTGTGTTTGCATATGTAATCCAGTCCTATTCTAGTTGATGTCAGAATAGATAGGCACACATTTTTGGCATTTGAAATAAAAGCAGGAGGAGGAAATTACAAGAGTGAGCATGCACAACAAAATGCTCTTAATTTTTCCTGTAATGAAACAGAATCAAAGTGGATCATTATAACTGTTCATTGAGGCCGGGCACGGTGGCTGACACCTGTAACTCCAGCACGTTGGGAAGCCGAGGCAAGTGGATCACCTGAGGTCGGGAGATCGAGACCAGCCTGGCAAAACCCCATCTCTACTAAAAATACAAAAATTAGCCAGGCGTGGTGGGGTGCCTGTAATCCCAGCTACTCAGGAGGCTGAGGCAGGAGAATCGCTTGAACCCCAGAGGCAGAGGTTGCAGTGAGCCGAGACGGCGCCATTGCACTCCAGCCTGGGCAACAGTCTCAAAATAAAATAAAATAATGTTCATTGAGAAATCAAGTAGCTCTCATATTAACACATGTGAGACAATGATAACTTTGCCTGATTTTAGAATGAGAATGTGAGTGTCAAAATGCAAATGCCAAGGGGAAACCCAGTTGCCTCATTTTTTTCAATATTAATGTTTTTCTTTTGTCTACTGAATTCTAGAGCTATTTTATTTAAATTCAGTGTTTGTATGTAATCTTGCCTGTGGTTGGCATTCTTCAATAAAAAATGGTTCAGCAGAACAAAAACAAAATCTAGTAATTATGGCTGTAGCTACAATGTTTGTTAAAACTCAAAAGCAGACAATAGAAATGATTGTTTAATCACTGAAATTCAAAGAACAAAAAAAATCTCCCCGTTACCCTTTTGTTGAACCTGGCCCAGTGAAGGAGAATTATAGCTGAATGAACCAATGCAGATGTGTGTCTCTTTTTAAAATATTTTAAAGGTGCAAAACAGATTTCCCAAAGCAAGTTTGGTGCTGATGAGTTTTCTTCATTGGTAAATACTGCCTACCAGCCTCCAGTTGCCGACACACAAGACAGGTGAAAATATGATTGTAAGAGGTGTGATAACGGCTCCCTCACCATACTTTATTAATTCCAAGATGCGCTTGTATAGGTGTTAAGTACTTTTTTCTGCCTCTTACTAAAAGATTTCAGGATATTTTGAGCAGATGTGGCTAAGAGGTGATAAAGAAACTAGCTATATTTTACTGAAACATAATGTAATGGTAGTCTTGTGTCACCATGTGTAGTGGTCACTGAATCATTCATTCAAGCTTTCAGTGAATACTTATCGAGAGCCTACTATGTGTTGAGGAATCAAGAGTAAATCCCAGTGATGTGATCCACAATTTCATAGAGCTTACAGTCTAGTAGACATGGACAACAAGAGAGTAAACAAAAACATATAATAATTTCAAGCTGTGAATAATGCAATGTAGAAAATACAGCATTGTTAAAGTGCCTAATGGGAAAGAAATATTTCTAGACAGCATAGCATTCACTGGGGAAATTGTCCAGTTTGACCACTTCAAGGATGAATTGACCATCTTGAAGCACGAAGATTAATGACCCTGGTAAGTTTAGCCCAGTTACTCTACCTGCTCATAGCATTTAATTTACCTAAGGAAAACTTACCAAAAGAAAATAAAATGTGTTGACATGCCTGGTAACATAAATGCCCTCATTTATTTCGTGTGACTTATGGAAAAGGATCAGGTTTGAGCTTTTTTTCAGGATGGTTGCTGTTTAATTTTACAAAACATTCTTTTATTCCCACATCACAGGAAAAAGCATAAAGGTATCACTGTGCCCTCCCTCAATTGTTAATCATATTTGTTCATGACTCCCCCATTCCCTCCCCTTCTTTCAAAACAGAAACAGTCTAGAGTATTTAAATGTTTCTTCTTCCAGGTATTTCTCAGGTATTTCGATTGTTGGGTTTTGTTTTTAATTTATTCTCCTGATTTTTTTGAAGGAACATTGATCATGAAATAAAGCATCCCAAGCTGTTACCTCACTTTCTGTAACAGAGGAGTCTTTATTACATTGCTGACAGGATTCCATTAAAATGTTAGAGTGTAATCATTCATCTTATTAACCAGTCCCAGAACTGGCCAGAAGAGCACAAAGGAATAGAGGAGGTCTTGAATAGAAAATGCATCTGTTTGGTTGCTATAAGGAATGGAGCTGCTGAAAGACTTTGCCCTTCTTGCACCTGTTCATACTGTCAACAACATCCTTGCTTTCAAAGGGGCTGTTTGTTGTGGTGGTGGTTTGTTTGATTCTTGGAGTGGTAAATGATCAAATTCTGACAAATCTGTGATGTTATATAAAACCATGGTAATTCATCAACTTGGAGCACATTTCCTGGCACTCACACAAGGTCACTGCCCTTGATCAAGCCCTGCACTGATCTCCTCTGAACTCTGTCAAAAACAAGGACTATATTGTTTATTACCATCATTCCAGGAAGGTACAGCTTTCCCTCCGTCTCCCCCTCCCAATCCTATTTCAAACTAATTTGTTGTTTTTATCCTTTAAACCATATCTAATTAATAGCTTCTTATTGCAGGAAGTTGCAGTCACCTATAGGGAGGATGAAAGGAATCATGATACTATATAAGAAAAAGCAAATGAATGGTTCCTCCACTGACTCTTAGGTACAGAAAATGACAGATCTTCCTTGGGGGAAAACAAAAAATGTGGTTGTCAGTGCACACTCTTCTCTTTCTCTTTTCAAAATGATTGGAAAAGTGTAGCCAGAATAATGCCTAGTTTCCACATAGATGAAGTTCTAAGCTGATAACTCATGTGGTTTTTCTTTTGGTTGTTGTGGGGATTTAAAAACTAATTTTAAACACAGAGATAGTCTTCAAAATGTGTCTGGCAACAGACCTGGATCTCTAAATGATAAGACAGGTATGAAAGAAAACTATTTATTCAATAGGATTTCTAAACTACAGGAAATGTTCTGGCATTTTGGCAAGGAGTATTAAGCTCTAGCTGTGTGATAAATAAGTTGGTCTTTTAATAATGTGTTCTTCCTTAGTGTTTGTTCTTTCATCTACATAAGAGAGTAGGGGGAAATCCCTTGCACCATTGTCTCTCAGTATACTAAATTTCTATATTGTTGGTTGGTACTGAAGGCAAGTTGAAATCAAAATTCTCACATAAATCATTCATTGGGATTTATGGATATCATAAAGATATGTAGAGTAAAGATTCCACCACTCTTCTTTAACAGTATTACTGGTTATAGCCCTCTCTGCAATATACTGGTAAATTGTATTATCTGTATTAGTACTCCAAATAAATATAAGCATCTGCTGTAGGTAACAGGGCAATTAATTAAGCAGCCACTCTCCTTATGTAATCGGACCCTGTTGAATATGTCCTAAGAATCAATGAAAGAAAGACACACCTCTCATTTCAATTCACACAATATTCATCAAATTCTGTAGTTGGTGGTGTAAGGAAGACCTGCACATGGACCTGGAAGAGGCTCCTTTATGGGCTTTCTGAAAATGTGTGTTCTTTTATAAAAAGCTTAACAGTAGGTCAGCCTAAGAACACAAGAAACAGGGAGGCTCAGAATAATCTTTTAAAAGCTGCTCCTTTTAACAAAAAAAAATTGATGAAAAATGGGAATGGAGGGATGCATACTTGGTAGGGTGTTAACACAATCACTCAAAAACAGCAGCATCCAACTTTACAGGAAGCAGAAATCAAGGGATTAACAACCTTGTCCATCCATACATGGATCTATAATGCAAAACAGCTTCTAGCAAACTAATTAAGGCTTGAGGTTGATCATAAGGTCACCATAGAGTTGGCTGGAACAAGCCTTTCCCCAAGACATTTCAAATAAAAATAGATAAGAAGAAGAAGAGGAGGAAGAATATTTCATATCATTTGAATAAAATGTCTTTGGAATACTTGGAAAAATTTAATTTGATGTAACATACAATCTAAGTAAAAAGAATATACTGTTACATTTTCAAGGCAAATTTTCTAGAAACATACCAAATACATACTTGCTTTTTATTTCCTGGATAGAAATATTGGAGCCACTACAGTGGTTGAGAGTTAGAGGGTGGGGGTGGGGTTAGGAATAGGCTCTCATCAAAGTTACTAGGGTTTTTTTCAACCAGGTTTGCATGAAATTAGATGAATGACAGCCAGGAGAGAAGCCTAAATCAAAGTTTAAGCATGGTCCTTGGTTTTGTCCCTGATGCCTCATTAATCTTCCTATCCTGAGGCCTCAACTTACTGTTGTAGTATGGGGAGAAGGGACTGTTTCAAACTAACCATTCATTCTGCTATGATCTGAATGTTTGTGTCTCCCCAGAATTCACATGTTGAAACCATAATGCCCAAAGTAATGGTATGAGGAGGTATGGTTTTTAGAGAAATGATTAGATAATAATGGAGGAGCCCTCATGAATGGGATTAGTGCCCTTATGAAAGAAGCCTTAGAGAGACATCTCCCCCACCTTATTCCTTCCATCATGTAAAAACACAGAAGGTGCTACCTGTGAGGAAGCAGGTACTCACCATACACTAAATCTGCTGGCAGATTTAGGTACTCACCATACATAAAATCTGCTGGACTTCTTAGCCTCTGAAACTGTGAGAAATAAATGTCTGTTGTTTGTAAGCCATCCAATGTATAGTATTTTGTTAAAGTAGCCTAAAGGACTAAGATAGGAAATTGGTACCAGGAAGTAAGAGTGATATTGTATGTAACAAATACCTAAAAATGTGGAAGAGGATTTGAATCCAGGTAATGGGTAGGAGCTGGAAGAGTTTTGAGATTCATGCTAGAAAAAGTCTACATTGTTATTAAGAATAATTCTGGTGAGGGCTCAGAAGGAAAAGGGGACAGCTGTAGAGAAAGCCTCAACCTCTTAGAGAACGTGTAACTGGTTGTGAGCAAAATTACTGGAAGAAATATGGACAATTTCTGATGAGGCCATTCTGATGAGGTCTCAGACAGAAAAAAGGAACATGTTATTGGACAAAGGAGGAAAGGCCACCCTTGTTATTAAGTAGAAAAGTACTTGGCTGAATTGTGTTAGTGTCCTAGTGTTTTGTGGAAGATAGAATTTGTGAATGATGAAAGCAGATATTTGGCTGAAGAGATTTCTAAGCAAAGTGTTGAAAGCATGGTTTGGCTCTTCTTGACTGCTTGTAGTAAAATTAGAGAAGAGAGAAATGACTTAAAGATATAATTGTTCATCAAAAGGAGAGCAAAATTTAAAAATCTGGAGATTTTGCAGCTGATTCATATTGGAAAAAATGAGAAAACCTGTTCAGGAAAGAACAAAGGTGCAGCCAAGAGACTATTTGATAAGGAGATTCATATGAATTGAACATCTCAACGGAAGTCAAGTACTATTCATCAAGACAATGGGATTATTAGTCAGCCATCTAAACAAAAGCCAGGACCTATTGTATAAGACAATAGAAGAAGGACCCAAAAGACATATCAGAGATCATCAGGGCTTCTTCTCCACCATAGGCCCAGAGTGCCAGGGTTTAGGGGGCAAAATTACATCAAAGGAAGGGTTTAAGCTGCTTCAGATTGTAAATTCCACCCTTCTTACTCAGTTGCCTTATTCCTTGGCTGCCCTAGATATGACTCTAGTAGGCCTGGGTCAATGTGTACTTGTACCCAGCAAAACCGTATGGGCAGGGCTGCCTCCAGATAGCCACGGGACCCAAGTAGAGAACAAACACAGGGGCAAAGCCACCACAGAGATCCCTCACTAGGGCAATGCCCAATAGATCCATGAAGGCAGAGTCACACCTGCAATTCCAGACTGCTAGAGCTACATGCCAGCAACTCCAACATGTGAGAGCTATGGCATGGGCTTTGCCCAGCAGTGCCATAGGGTCAAGGTTGCCTAGAGCCTTGGGAACCCAATCTCTGCCTTGCAATGTTGCAAAGGCAGGATAGCTGACTCAGTGGGTCTGGAAGGCAGGACCTCCACTGCAATGGGCCTGGAGGGCAGAATACTGAGCCAAAGATTATTCATGAGCCTTAAGATTTTGGATTTGTTTGGGATTTGCCACTCCTTTCCTCCCTATTTCTTCCTTTTGGAATAAGAATGTCTATCCTGTGTTTGTCCTATCATTGCATTTTGGAAGCACATAATACATTTGATTTCACAGGTTCACAGCTGGAGAATAATTTGCCTCAGGATACCCTGAGTCTCATTCATACCTGATTTAAATTATATTTAGATGAGACTTTGAACTTTAGACTTTTGAGTTGATGTCAGAATGAGTTAAGACTTTGGGTGCTATTGTAATGAAATAAATGTATTTTGCATGTGCTATTGGAATGAAATAAATGTATTTTGCATGTGAGACAGATATGAATTTGGGGGGCTCAGGGGAAAAATGCTATGGTCTGAATGTTTGTGTCCTCCCAAAATTCATGTGTTGACATCCTAATCCCCAAGGTGATGACATTAGGAGGTTGGGCCTTTGGGAGGTGATTTGCTCATAAAGGCAGAACCCTCATGAATAGGATTAGTGCCCTTATAAAAGAGGCCCAAGAGAAACACCTCTCACCACTTCCACCATGTGAACACACAGCAAAAAGACACTGTCTAAAAGCCAGAAAGCAGGCCTTCACCAGATACTGAATCTGCTGGAAACTTGATCTTGTACTTCACAACCACTAGAACTGTGAGAATAAATTTCTGTTGTTAATAAGCTACCCAGTCTAAGATATTTTGTAATAGCAATAGCTGCCCAGACTAAGACAAATCTATTTTGTTAACTTCAAAATAGAATGAATTTTTAATTGAATATTTAAAATATAAAGGTATTTTACGTCAGATGATATAAAAGAAAGAAAGCACTTTGAAAAAGGAGAAAGTGTTACACAAAGCTAAAGACTTCTCATGACAACTTTAGCTATAGTTTTGCCATAAACAGTGTTTAAAGGGGTCCACACCATTTCACCACATGTTAGCATTGATGGTCAAAACAGACAACTGAGCACTTACCTCTTTAGGTAACCTTTGATAAAATAAGTCTGGTTGTGCATCCAAAGCTTGGTAATCTACCACCTTCAACTCTCACTGCTGTAGAAAACCTCAGCAAACTTCAAATATGGGCAAAGTGGGAGACTGCCTCTGCAAAATGTTAATGTTTAATTATCAAACTCCTATTAGACTAAAGAAGCGGTTTGGGGAAGATGCTATGCAATTGCACTGTTAGTGATTTTAGTGAAATTGAGTACTAAATTGGAACTCAAATGGGATTTTTAGTACAAAAGTCACCTTTGTGAGTCACAGTCCAGCTGGCCAAGGGTTACCCTTAAAGACTCATTTATGATTTTATTTTTCCAATGTGTGCAATTTACTCAATTCGTGAGTATCCCTGTTGACATGAAACACACTGAGTTTGGGTATACAAAATTAATCATTCATTTGCATTTAAACATTCTTTCCAAACAATTCTTCCTAAGCTGATGTCATGAAGCTGATTGGACTTGTACCAAATACTGAAAGCCAATATTAGTATGTTTCTATGGAATTTCTAGAACTAGTGAATGCCAACTCAGAGATTCCTTATAATGTTTCTTAATATGAAGCCTTATCTTTGGACATTTGAAGGTCAAACCTATGAATCATCAATTAACATAATCTGACTTATCAAGACAAATACAGTAGTGTTTGAGGTAAAGGGTGTATCTCTCAAGTAAACAGGCTAACCAAATAAGAAAAATATATTTAGCAAAGCTCTTGGTTTGGGTTCCCCCAAGAACAGATCCTGAGATAAAACTCAAGAGCAATGTTTTTGGGGAGCTGATCCAGGAAATACCCACAGAAAAGTGGGGAAATGAGGCAAGGAAGGGAAAGAAGCCAATACAAAAGGGCAACAAGAGCTCAATCTTGGTGTGGGACTCTGGAGAAATTTATTCCAACTGAGGACTAAGGAACTACAATATTTACCCACAAAATTCCCCTCAGACATTGGTTTAAGGATGTTTCCAGGGCCATTAATTCTCTGGCACTTCAGGCTTGCTTTGCATCTAGGACAAGTGCTCCCACAGGCAAAAAAAAAAAAAAAAAAAAAAAATCCTTAGACAGATAGTCAAGGGTATAAGCAGTCTCCAGTATGTATGTATTGAGATGAGTTTCAAGAAATATGGATGGGGCATCACAGTTGTCTGTTACACTCAAGCAGCAACATCAGAATAACCTGGGATCTTGTTCGAAATGCAAAAATCTCAGGCACCGCTTCATCTCCATGCACGTTAAAATTTGAGAGGTGCTATGGTATGAGATACATAGATTAGATAGATTAGATAGATAGATATATAGTTAGATAGATAGATAGACAGACAGATAGATAGAAACAACCCATCTCAAATAGAACCAAGTACATCTAGATGCTGTTTTGAGCCAAAAGAAGCAAAAGAGCAATCTGGAATTCTAATAAAGGAATCCCTTTTTGGTTGCCCACTAACATGCTTTGTCAGAGCCAATTAATCTAAAGTCCCATAGACAAACATCAAAACGGCAAGAAAGTGCCCCTGAAGATGCAGAAATTTCTATAGTTTCAATACCTGAAGGGTGTGGGGCTATTGCCAAGAGGCTGCCTAGGGTTTTAGCACCTTATCTCCAAGCTGAAAACTAGTCAAGACCATCATAGTATGTATTTCTTAATAAACTATTTCCATAATGATGGTTATTCTGATCCAAATCTGATTCATTTTCTTACGAAGTATATTAGAAATGCATCATAATGAGAAAATGTTGGCTTGAGTACAAACTTAAAAGCAGCAGTTGACATTGTTAGGCTCTTCAGGCTCCCTAAATAATTCCTCAAAGCAAGAAGAATGCTGCAGATCACCTAGAAATAATTGTCAATGCTAGGTCTTCCATATATATACAAGGAAGCTGGGGATGAGAGAGAAGGCTCTGCTAACCCATAGAAAGTGAATAAAATCTAACAGGGATTACAGTCTGGGAATTAGCATCTGGAAAGCATACTGAGTTAACAAGCCCAAGATCATGGGGTAAGAAGCTTCAGATGGAAGATATCTGTTACATAGGCAACCAGCCACCCACAAGGAGGACACATCATACTGAAATCTGAATTGTAACTTCGGTTACAAATTTCAGCACATTTTTCAGCACGTTTTAATTGCATTATGACACATTGTTACCTCTATGAGGAAACTATAAAATTATCATCAACATGACATATAACATGTATTTTTATATGCCAAACATATGCACTTGCATGCTTCCACTTACATGTAATTCTCAACCTGATGAGGTGAGGTGCTATAATTAATTCCTGTGTTATAGATGAGGAAACTGAGACTGAGAGAAGATAGGTAACTCACTTTCCCAATGTTATACAACTATCAAATTGCCCAGTTAGGATTTGAACACCAAACCTATGGTGACTCTGAAACCCACACACTTATGCCCAAGACGCTTCTATCTCATTATAAGATACTCTACCCTTTATTAGTGAACCAGTCATATTTGAAAAAACCAGCCCATCACAAGTCAAAACAGGTTTAAAAATCACTGGACTACCATTGAAATTAGAAGAGGAGTTTCTTTTCTGCTGAGTTTGTTTCAATGTCAAAAGCAGATGATTTCTCTTCAGTGCACCTTCACCTTTGGATATACAAAACATTATCTATAGCAACATTACTCATACAAAATGTGGGAGATTAGTTGGTTCTACTACCTTTTAGGGGCTGCTCATTCCCTTCAGGCTTCAACATGTCATTTGAAATCTGGCCCTGTATTTAGTTGAAAAGGGCCTAAACTTTCATAGTCAAACAAAGGAAAAGATTGAAGGCATGAAGAGAGCACAAAGCACTCTGAATTCTTAGGTTTGGTTTCCTGTTCAGGTTTCCTGTTAAACTGCAGGGAAAAAAAAGAAAGAAAGAAATGCAGAGAGGCAACATAAGGGCCCTGAGGAGAGACCAGTAGTTCAATGAAAATCCCACCATGGAAAATGTGTCAAAATACACTGATACCCTAAAAAGTACAAATGTAAAATAACAGACGTTAAGAAAGAGTTTGAAAGATTTCTAAATAGGGGAACATTAGCAAAAGAATTCAGGTAAAAGAGATAAAATTATCTTTTGCTTTACAAACTTGCTGACCCAGAACTTGGTCAAACAAGTTTGATTTTTTGAAATAAAGAGAATGAGAAAAAAGTGTGGAAAAGAGTTAGCTAAAGACTATAAGATAGGGAAGGGAGCCAGAGAATCAGGTGGAGAAAGAGCAAAGGGGAAAAGAGGAATAAGTAACTGGAATAGTTGGGGCAGGAGGAAGAATATACTCAATTTAGTAGTTTTTAATGAAGTTGTCCAACATTTAAGTCCAGCAATGTATGGTTAAGCAAAACATCAACTTATCAAAGTAAGTACTTTTTATAGAATTATTATTATATATAAGGTATTCTGTATTTTTTTAAAATCAAGAAGAGTACATTAAGGAGAAAAGTGTTTGAAGGTGTTTCAGGAGAAAAGTGAAACTCCCGGGAAACCTGATGAAATGGGGCTATGTGTGGGGATGGGGACAGAGTTCAGAACAGAGTCAAGACAGAGAAAACAAGTTAGTGGCTGTTTCTGAAGACTCAAAAGGCACAGAAACAATACTATAGAAACTTGACTTAGAAGTGCAGGTGGATTAATGGCCACATTCAGCATACTGCATGTAGCATTGCCTGTATTTATTTTCATGCTGGTAAAGGATCCAAGTTACAAATCCAAAAGCCTCACAATCTATTAAGCCTCATGATCACTGCAGGACTGAATGCAAGAAGCATACACTGGCTCAGTCCATTGGCCTCCAAGGCCCCAACCACACCTAGACATCCCAGAATGCCTTGACTTTCCCTGAGGGGAACTTGGTAACAATGGCTCAGGCCCATCGAATACACCCCGAAGAAACCCAGCAGGCACCTCTCTGAGTACAAACAGCACAAGATCCTCAAGTACTATTCTCCATTCCTCACATTTATCACCCTCTTAGAAGGCTAGTATAATTGAGAGTGTATTATTATACATGAATGCATCTCTGATATCAAAGTCCAGAGAAACCAATATCTGCATTATTTTCTCTAGTTCTCACCCAATCTACCTGAGAAAGGGAACTTGTAAGTTTCAGCAACTTGTAAGTAACTTTCCAATAAAAAATTCAGGGGAAACGTGCTATTAATAATGATATCTAGTTTTATGGGACTGATGTAAGAACAGATGGGGCGCGGGTGTTCAAGGAAGCATCCGTGTGCAAGTGTGAAACTGCAGAGAGGTGTGAAGAGGCACCTCGTCTTCCCCTATGTAAGGGCTTCTGTGGGCATCTGTCACAGTCTCATCTGAGAATTCACTGAGGAAACTTGGGAGTAGAACCCTCAGAGGGCACCTGAGGGAGTCCTGCTGCTTACTGGGAAAAAAAAATCAGAGAATCGAATCGGGGACAATCCCACAAACTCCCAGGACATTAATTGAGACGAAGTGGAAAGAGAAACCAAATAAGAGGTGATTTAATGAAATTTGTTGCTTCCCGTAAACTCCAAAGTTCTCTGAAATGTTGAAGGCTTCAGATGCATCTGCCAAATGGAACTACATAGCGCCTGATTGCAGGCCAAGCCTGAACTCTAGGTAGAAAACACTACAGTGAAGAGCAGCCAAATTCTCATTTGGCCAGGCACTATGAAGATCGCCAACACAAAACAGCATTTGCTCTATGAAGAGTCTTTACCAAAACCAAAATCCTCCATCTTAAAGCAAGCTTATGGTCTTTTTAAAAATGTATATTCTCTCATGACAGCTTTGAGTCAGAGTAATTTGCCCACAGGTAAAATGGTTAAATGTTTTAGATATTTTGTTTTTCTGGTTTAAAGGATATCAGAAGAAAGAAAACAAAAAAACAAAAAGGAATTCTGAGAAAGGGACCAAACAATGTCCCCTCTTAGAGAAGAAAAAAAAAAAAAACCTTTAGCTGTAGCTGGCTACAGAGTAGCCTCTAGAGTAGACACTGCATCCCAGTACCTTGTACACACATATCAGTATCACAACTACTCTTGCTAGCTGTCCAGGGAACTATTGGTTCAAAATAGTTTGATTCTACCAGTGCCCAAATCCATGATTGGCTGTAAAATCCATATTGAACTCTGGAAATGGAAAAATTTACCTTGACAGCATAGGGAAATTTTGAAAAATTCAACAAATCATGGAACATAATATTTTTGAAGATGATAAAATACAGCAGGGATAACAATATTTTATATATACCAAGTATAAATGCATATCATCCAAGCATCTAAATTCACACTATCCTTGTCTATAAATAAGTAAAAAACAATATAAATAATAAGTCAGTTTTGTTATAATGATCAAAATCACTGATGGTACAAATATCTCAAAATCCATACTGGAATTAATGGGAAAATGCCCACTTAGCAGTCCTATAGTTGACCAATGGCTGTTCTTAGCAAAGAAACAAGGTTACTCGAGTTATCATTCATCACTTCTGTGCAGCCTGGATTCCTAGGAATTCTCTTGGGAGTTTCAAGGGGCCTGTACATCATCAGCCAATTACAAAGTGATAGCCAATTAAAGAGAGTTCAATCAATAACTTTGCTTTAAATCTGACCACAGAACCATTGTCTGTTCCTTTCTTTGGAAATAGGAATGATTGAACTCCCTTTTCCCACAGGACAAGCATGAGGAATCATTGCAAATCACTCTGCTCTTACATTCTACATCAATAGTTGCAATAATAATGATTGTGTTGGTTTATAGCATGAATATTGAACCTAGTGTTTTTCTAAGGAGGCTCTCACAAACCACTAAATCATTTCCCTACCTCGCACTCGCTTAATTTAGAAGTTTTTGTTCTGGGCATTTGAGTGGCTAGAGCATTTTAACAATTAATTACCCTAACCTCACAGTGCTGCCTCCCACTCTTATAGAAGACTCTCTTCTCTTGGGGATCAGGATACATGTTCTTCTACCTTTATGACTACCTTCTATTTGCCCCTAGACCACGTATCCACATTCTTCAAGGTCTTTGGTACCACACTCTCTGTCAGTCACTGTACCTTAACTCCAGTCATTGGCCTGTATGTCTTAGCCATGCTATAAGCCCAACCATATAGCCCACAGTTCCTTGAGCTCTTTTACTCTAAGGACTTTCTCCTCCATTTCATTTTAGAAACCTACTCCCAGGGCCACACTCTGGACTTCATCTCTGACCAGAACTGCTCCACTTCAGAAATCTTAAATACCAGTTGACCTTTCCTTGAGGACTAGCTCTTGTTTATTAATCTCACTCCATGATTCTTACTTCACATGTTCCTCATCTTCTTTGAGTTCCACAGTCCTATGACCCTTCTGTTTTGGTCAGTATATTGGTCCATTTCTGGCTTCACTTTCTTCCTTCCCCAGTCTCAAGTTTACAATCCAATCTGTAAGCATTCTTTTGCCAATACCTTCAAATATACTGCCTTCTTAGGCGATTCTACCAAGACTGTCTTGTAAATCTCTAGCCTTTATTCAATCCAACCACCTACTTTTTCTATTCCTATATTGAGGCATCTGACCATGACTAGATTTAAAAATCATACAAATGTGTTGGTGTTCTGAAAAATGATTGTCTCCAAACTAAGGCATTAGTTAATTACTCCATAGGTGCCCAACAATTCTTCTAAATATCTTTGGTCCAAAATTCCACTTACTAAAAAAGGAGACAATGGTTATTGTCTCTACATTTTCACCTCTTATTTCACCCTTCAGTCTGATACAATCTTACTCTGCCCCTAGAAACAGCTTTAGCTTATTTTACTCATTATTCTTTTTTTTTTTCTTTTTGTCTTTGAGATGGAGTCTCACTCTGTTGGCCAGGCTGGAGTGCAGTGGCAGTATCTCAGCTCACTGCAACCTCTGTCTCCCCAGTTCGAGTGATTCTCCCGCCTCAGCCTCCCAAGTAGCTGAGACTACAGGTGCATGCCACCATGTCCAGCTAATTTTTTATTTTCAGTATAGACGGGTTTTCGCCATGTTGGCCAGGCTGGTCTTGAACTCCTGACCTCAAGTGATCTGCCCACCTCAGACTCCCAAAGTGCTGGGATTATAGGTGTGAGCCACCATGCCAGGCCTACTCATCATCCTTGAGGGCAAGAATGAAGGTTTCTTTGTCTCTCAGAGATAAAGCATGATAATATCAAAAATAGCATAATGTCAGCGTGCATCACTGGCATTTTACTGAATAAGGAATGGAGACCAAAAGAAGAGAGGTGACTTTTCCAGAATGTGTGATGATTCCATGTGTTTAGGTATATATGTCAATGTTTGACAACAGATTAATGTAAAGGTGGTAAAATAAGGCGAATGAAACATTAAAAAGAGTCTTATACTTCATAGTTTGTGCTCTCAACACCTGGTGAGAGTGACCAGAGCCAGATTTAAAGAATACAAGCATGGCATGGATACTGAGTCCTAATGAATCTGTGTGGGTCTTACCCAGTTGAAAATTCATATTGCTTCACTGATCCATGTGACCAGGATCCAAATAATCCACTCTACTTTCGGGCTTCCCTTAATCCTTTTATTACTATAAAATTATTCCACTCCATCCACTCATTGATCAAGAATCATGGAAGAGTATCCCGAAATAGCTTACACTTTCAGCAGGTGTCAAGAGCACAAACTATGAAGTATAAGGTTCTTTTCAATGTTTCATTCTCCTTATTTTACCATCTTTACATTAATCTGTTGTCAAGCATTGATATGTATGCTTAAGCACATGGAATGTTCACACATTCTGATAAAGTCACCTCTCCTCTTTTGGTCTCCATTCCTTACTCAGTGAAATGCCAGTGATGCACACTGACATTATGCCATGCCAGCCTGGAGCACCCTAAAGTTATAACTGCACCCTTTCCTTTATGTAAATGATACAAACCCCCATAGTCAGAGAATCATGCCTGGGAATGAGATGGCATAAATTTCCTCTCTAAATCTATGTCAAATGAGCTTCTCACTGCATCTTAGAGGTACCAAAAGGCTTTTTCTTTGCAAAGCCATGTGAGAACTTTCTCTTTTGCTCTTGGATAATTTTTCATTTAGCATTCCATTGCTTTAGCTCAGCACACCATTCACTTAAGGGTCAACGGGCACAGGTACACTTTTCTTTAGGCAAGGTAAATTAAGTCTATAAGCTCTTGAACCAATGAATTTTCACAGTAGGTTGCTCCAGAGTCATTTAGCTCAAGATTCTGTGTAATTGTGATACATTGAGACAATTCTCTACTGAACACTGGGGTTCAGTACAAAGTGCATTTAGTTGCAGGTGCTGATGTGAGACTTGAATGACTGGACCAAGCCTCAGTGAAATTTCTCCCCAGGAAAGTGCTTCTCTAAAACTCTGAGTCATCCAAAGTTAGGAGAGTTTCAAAGGAAGCTCAAAGGGCGAAAAGTAAAAAATAACAGAGTTAATTAGGAGGGCTATTACCACGGGAAGCTTTGGGCAGGCAGAAACCCCAGTTAAACAGACTCCCAGACATAAATCACCATTGCTTACCAGCTACATAGGCAAATTGGCAGGCTTTACAAAAGACATGGTTGGGTTCCCAAGCCACACCACTTGAGAGTCAGAAATGGTGTAAAATGAGGAAGCACGGTAGCAGCTGAGATAGCCAAACTGCAAAAGCAATGGTCCCCTGGAGATTCAGCTATGCAGAGCAGGAGGCAAGCAGCAGTTAAATCATTCTTCAGTGGGGGTTTGTGCCTCACGATTTAACAGACTTAGAATTGTACATATTTTTATAAATTTTCAATTAAGCCATTGGATTATGTTCTTCCTAATTTGGTACTTCAAGTGTTAGTTTCTCCTCTGGAAATTCCTCTGCCCTGTGACTGTCTACAGGGGGCATGACCAGAGGAGCCACCTGGAGGCAGATAGGCCAGCTGTAAACTCAGGTTTAGGATTCCAGGCACAGCCCTCTAGGAGATTACTTTCTGATTCATATACAGCTTTCCCTGGACTAATTCCTCTTGGGAAACCTAGGGCTACCTCCTGCCCTTATGCACTGTGTTGTAACTCCTAAAAGACAGCTCCTTTGAGCAGGTCTGCACTTGCCTTTGTGTCACTAATGGAGGATTGGATTTCCTCATGTCCTAAGAGTCTTTTGGGAGGAGAGATGTTTGGGCCTCCCTCCTCCTCCCTTGAAAGTCCTTCCTTCTTTATCCAGGCTTCCTACACAGACTGTTTTTCTCACTATCCTTTTCTAATATCCTCAATGAAACCTTCTCCAACTACCTCAGCTCACACAGAATTCTTCCCCTTCTAAACAGCTATGGCACTTAGGGAAGCAATGTGGCACAGTGAGAATAAAAGCAAACTTTGGAGTCAAACAAGCCTGAACTTGAATGCCAGTTCCAGCAATTCCTACCCATGTAACTTTGGAAAAGTTGTTTCATCTCACTAAAGCTCAGCTCTCTTATATGTAAAGTGAACATAACCACAGTCCCTACTTCATAGGGATTTACGAAGACTAAATAAAAATCACAGCAACCATCGCTTATATCGACAATGTGTTAAACTCTTTTGTAAGTACATTGCATATATTAATTCATTTATTGCTTTTTTATTGTACTTTAAGTTCTAGGGTGCATGTGCAGAACGTGCAGGTTTGTTACATACTTATACACGTGCCATGGTGGTTTGCTGCACTCATCAATCCATCATGTACATTAGGTATTTCTCCTAATGGTATCCCTCCCCTAGCCTCCCACCTCCCAACAGGCCCCAGTGTGTGATGTTCCCCTCCCTGTGCCCATGTGTTCTCACTGTTCAGCTCCCACTTATGAGTGAGAACATGTGGTGTTTGGTTTTCTTTTCTTGTGTTAGTTTGATGAGAATGATGGTTTCCAGCTTCATCCATGTCCCTGCAAAAGACATGAACTCATCCTTTTTTATGGCTGCATAGTATTCCATGGTATATATGTGCCACATGTTCTTTATCCAGTCTATCATTGATGGGCTTTTGGGTTGGTTCCAAGTTATTGCTATTGTAAATAGTGCTGCAGTAAACATATGTGTGCATGTGTCTTTATAGTAGAATGATTTATAATCCTTTGGCTATATACCCAGTAATGGGATTGCTGGGTCAAATGGTATTTCTGGTTCTAGATCATGGAGGAATCGCCACACTGTCTTTCACGATGGTTGAACTAATTTACACTCCCACCAACAGTGTAAAAACGTTCCTATTTCTCCACACCCTCTCCAGCATCTGTTGTTTCCTGACTTTTTAATGATCACCATTCTAACTGGCATGAGATGGTATCTCATTGTGGTTTTCATTTGCATTTCTCTAATGACCAGTGGTGAGCTTTTTTTCATATGTTTGTTGGCTGCATACATATCTTCTTTTGAGAAGTGTCTGTTCATATCCTTTGCCCATATTTTGATGGGGTTGTTTGTGCTTTTTTTGTAAATTTGTTTAAGTTCTTTGTAGATTCTGGATATTAGCCCTTTGTCAGATGAATAGATTGCAAAAATTTTCTCCCATTCTATAGGTTGCCTGTTCACTATGATGATAGTTGCTTTTGCTGTGCAGAAGGTCTTTAGTTTAATTAGATTCCATTTGTCAATTTTGACTTTTGTTGCCATTGCTTTTGGTGATTTAGTCATCAAGTCTTTGCCTACGCCTATGTCCTGAATCGTATTGCCTAGGTTTTCTTCTAGGGTTTTTATGTTTTTAGGTCTTACGTTTAAGTCTTTAATCCACCTTAATTTTTGTATAAGGTGTAAGGAAGAGGACTAGTTTCAGTTTTCTACATATAGCTAGCCAGTTTTCCCAACACCATTTATTATATAGGGAATCCTTTCCCCATTGCTTGTTTTTGTCAGGTTTGTCAAAGATTGGATGCTTGTAGACGTGTGGTGTGATTTCTGAGGCCTCTGTTCTGTTCCATTAGTCTATATATCTGTTTTGGTACCAGTACCATGCTGTTTTGGTTACTGTAGCCTTGTATAGTTTGAAGTCAGGTAGTGTGATGCCTCCAGCTTTGTTCTTTTTGCTTAGAATTGTCTTGGCCATGCGGGCTCTTTTTTGGTTCCATATGAAATTTAAAGTAGTTTTTTTCTAATTCTGTGAAGAAAGTCAATGGTAACTTGATGGGAATAGTATTCAGTCTATAAATTACTTTGGGCAGTATGGCCATCTTCACGAAATTGACTCTTCCTATCCATGGGCATGGAATGTTTTTCCATTTGAATGTGTCCTCTCTTATTTCCTTGAGCAGTGGTTTGTAGTTCTCCTTGAAGAGGTCCTCCACATCCCTTGTAAGTTGGATTCCTAGGTATTTTATTTTCTTTCTAGCAATTGTGAATGGGAGTTTACTCATGATTTGGCTCTCTGCTTGTCTACTATTGGTGTATAAGAATGCTTGTGATTTTTGCACATTGATTTTGTATCCTGAGACTTTGCTGAAGTTGCTCATCAGCTTAAGGAGATTTTGGGCTGAGACGATGGGATTTTCTAAATATACAATCCTGTCATCTGCAAACAGAGACAATTTGACTTCCTCTCTTCCTATTTGAATACCTTTATTTCATTCTCTTGCCTGATTGCCCTGGCCAGAACTTCCAATACTATTTTGAATAGGAGTGATGAGAGAGGGCGTCCTTGTCTTGTGCGGGTTTTCAAAGGGAATGCTTCCAGTTTTTGTCCATTTAGTATGATATTGGCTGTGGTTTTGTAATAAATAGCTCTTATTATTTCGAGATATGTTCCATAAATAGCTACTATATTGAGAGCTTTTAGCATGAAGGGGTGTTGAATTTGTTGAAGGCCTTTTCTGCATCTATTGAGATAATCATGTTGTTTTTGTCATTGGTTCTGTTTACATGAAGGATTACGTTTATTGATTTGCGTATGTTGAAACAGCCTTGCATCCTAGAGATGAAGCTGACTTGATCATGGTCGATAAGCTTTTTGATGTGCTGCTGGATTCAGTTTGCCAGTATTTTATTGAGGATTTTAGCGTCAACGTTCATCAGAGATATTGGCCTGAAATTTTGTTGTTGTTGTTGTGTCTCCGCCAGGTTTTGGTATCAAGATAATGCTGGCCTCATAAAATGAGTTAGGGAGGAGTCTCTCTTTTTCTACTGTTTGGAATAGTTTCAGGAGGACTGGTACCAGCTTCCTTTTTTAGCTCTGGTAGAACATGGCTGTGAATCCGTCTGGTCCTGGGCTTTTTTTGGTTGGTAGGCTATTAATTACTGCCTCAATATCTGAACTTGTTACGATCTATTCAGGGATTTGACTTCTTCTTGATTTAGTGTTCAAAGGGTGTATGTGTCCAGGAATTGATCCATTTCTTCTAGATTTTCTAGTTTATTTGTATAGAGGTGTTTATAGTATTCTCTGATGGTAGTTTGTATTTCTGTGGGATCAGTGGTGATATCCCCTTTATCATTTTTATTGCATCTATTTGATTCTTCTCTCTTTTCTTCTTTATTAGTCTTGCTAGTGGTCTATCTATTTTGTTGATCTTTTCAAAAAACCACCTCCTGGATCCACTGATTTTTTGAAGGGTTTTTCATTTCTCTATCTCCTTCAGTTCTGCTCTGATCTTAGTTATTTCTTGTCTTCTGCTTGCTTTTGAATTTGTTTGCTCTTGCTTCTCTAGTTCTTTTAATTGTGATGTTAGGGTGTCAATTTTAGATCTTTCCTGCTTTCTCCTGTGAGCATTAAGTGCTATAAATTTCCCTCTAAACATTGCTTTAGCTATGTCCCAGACATTCTGGTACTCTGTGTCTTTGTTCTCATTGGTTTCAAAGAACTGATTTATTTCTGCCTTAATTTTGTTATTTACCCAGTAGTCATTCAGGATCAGGTTGTTCAGTTTCCATGTAGTTGTGCAGTTTTGAGTGAGTTTCTTAATCCTGAGTTCTACTTTGATTGCACTGTGGTCTGAGACTGTTGTGATTTCCGTTTTTTTATTTGCTGAGGAGTGTTTTACTTCCAATTATGTGGTCAATTTTAGAAAAAGTGTGATGTGGTGCTGAGAAGAATGTGCATTCTGTCGATTTGGGATGGAGAGTTCTGTAGATGTCTAATAGGTCCACTTGGTCCATAGCTGACTTCAAGTCCTGAATATCCTTGTTAATTTTCTATCTTGTTGATCTAATATTGACAGTGGGCTGTTAAAGTCTCCCACTATTATTGTGTGGGAGTCTAAGTCTCTTTGTAGGTCTCTAAGGACTTGCTTTATGAATTTGGCTGCTCCTGTATTGGGTGCATATATATTTAGGATAGTCAGCTCTTCTTGTTGCATTGATCCCCTTACCATTATGTAATGCCCTTCTTTGTCTCTTTTGATCTTTTTTGGTTTAAAGTCTGTTTTATCAGAGACTAGGATTGCAACCCCTGCTTTTTTTGCTTTCTATTTGCTTGGTAAAGATTCCTCCATCTTTTTGTTTTGAGCCTATGCGTGTCTTTGAATGTGAGATGGGTCTCCTAAATACAGCACACTGATGGGTCTTGATTCTTTATCCAATTTGCCAGTCTGTGTCTTTTAATCGGGGCATTTAGCCCATTTACATTTAGGTTAATATTGTTATGTGTGAATTTGATCCTGTCATTATGATGTTAGCTGGTTATTTTGCCCATTAGTTGATGCAGTTTCTTCACAGTGTCGATGATCTTACCAATTTGGTACGTATTTGCAGTGGCTGTTACTGGTTGTTCCTTTCCACGTTTAGTGCTTCCTTCAGGAGCTCTTCTTGTAAGGCAGGCCTGGTGGTGACAAAATCTCTCAGCATTTGCTTGTCTGTAAAAGATTTTATTTCTCCTTCGCTTATGAAGCTTAGTTTGGCTAGATATCAAATTCTGGGTTGAAAATACTTTTCTTATTGGCCCCCACTGTATTCTGGCTTGTAGGATTTCTGCAGAGAGATCTGCTGTTAGTATGATAGGCTTCCCTTTGTGGGTAACCTGTCCTTCCTCTCTGGCTGCCCTTAACATTTTTTCCTACATTTCAACCTTGATGACTCTGATGATTATGTGTCTTGGGGTTGCTCTTCTTGAGGAGTATCTTTGTAGTGTTCTCTGTATTTCCTGAATTTGAATGTTGGCCTGTCTTGCTAGGTTGGGGAAGTTCTCCTGGAAAATATCGTGAAGGGTGCTTTTCAACTTGGTTCCATTCTCCCTGTCACTTTCAGGTACACCAACCAAATGCAGGTTTGGCCTTTTCACATAGTCCCATATTTCTTGGAGGCTTTCTTCTTTCCTTTTTTCTTTTTTCTCTGATCTTGTCTTCACGCTTTATTTCATTAAGTTGATCTTCAATCTCTGATATCCTTTCTTCCACTTGATCAATTCAGTTATTGATACTCATGTATGCTTCACAAAGTTCTCGTGCTGTGTTTTTCAGCTCCATCAGGTCATTTATGTTCTTCTCTAAACTGGCTATTCTAGTTATCAATTCCTCTAACCTTTTCTCAAGGTTCTTAGCTTCCTTGCGTTGTGTTAGAACATGCTCCTTTAGCTCAGAGGAGTTTGTTATTACCCACCTTCTGAAGCCTACTTCTGTCAATTTGTCAAACTCATTCTCCGCCCAGTTTTGTTCCCTTGCTGGTGAGGAGTTGTGATCCTTTGGAGGAGAAGAGTTGTTCTGGTTTTTGGAATTTTCAGCCTTTTTGCTCTGGTTTCTCCCCATCTTTGTGGATTTATCTACCTTTGTTCTTTGATGTTGGTGACCTTCGGATGGGGTTTCTGAGTACATGTCCTTTTTTTGATGTTGATGTTATTCCTTTCTGTTTGTGAGTTTTCCTTCTAATAGGCCCCTCTGCTGCAGTTCTGCTGGAGTTTGCTGGAGGTCCACTCCGGACCCTGTTTGCCTGGGTATCACCAGCGGAGGCTGCAGAACAGCAAAGATTGCTGCCTTTTCCTTCCTCTGGAAGCTTCATCCCAGAAGGGCACCCACCAGATCTCAGCTGGAGCTCTCCGGTATGAGGTGTCTGTCGAGCCCTGCTGGGAGATGTCTCCCAGTCAGGAGGCAGGGGTTCAGGGACCCACTTGAGGAGGCAGTCTGACCCTTAGCAAAGCTTGAGCACTGTGCTGGGAGATCCGCTGCTCTCTTCAGAGCCATCAGGCAGGGACCTTTAAGTCTGTTAAAGCTGTGCCCACCACTTCCCCTTCCCCCAAGTACTCTGACCCAGGGAGATGGTGATTGTATCTATAAGCCCCTGACTGGGGCTGCTGCCTTTTTTTCAGAGATGCTCTGCTCAGAGAGGAGGAATCTATAGAGGCAGTCTGGCTACAGCGGCTTTGCTGAGCTGTGGAGGGCTCCTCCCAGTTGGAACTTCCCCATGGCTTTGTTTACACTGTGAGGGGAAAACCGCCTACTGAAGCTTCAGTAATGGCTGACGCCTGTCCCCCCACCAAACTCGAGTGTCCCAGGTCAACTTCAGACTGCTGTGCTGGCAGCAAAAATTTCAAGCCAGTGGATCTTAGCTTGCTGGGCTCCGTCAGGGTGGGATCCGCTGAGCTAGAACACTTGGCTCCCTGGCTTCAGCCCCCTTTCCAGGGGTGTGAATGATTCTGTCACACTGGCATTCCAGGAGCCACTGGGGTATGAAAAAAAAAACAAAAACCTCCTGCAGCTAGCTCAGTGTCTGCCTCAAATGGCCACCCAGTTTTGTGCTTGAAACCCAGGGCCCTGGTGGCATAGGCACCTGAGGGAATTTCCTGGTCTGTGGATTGTGATGACCATGGAAAAAGTGTAGTATCTGGGCTGGAGTGCACCATTTCTCACAGCACAGTCCCTCATCGCTTCCCTTGGCTAGGAGAGGGAGTTCTCCCTTACCGCTTGTGCTTCCCAGGTGAGAGATCGCCCCACCCTGCTTCAGCTCACCCTCCGTGGGCTGCTCCCATTGTCTAACCAGTCTCAATGAGATGAGCTGGGTACCTCAGTTGGAAATGCAGAAATCACCCACCTTCTGCATTGATCTCGCTCGGAGCTGCAGACCAGAGCTGTTCCTATTTGGCCATCTTTCCAGCCTCCCTAATTCATTTATTTTGGAGGCACAGAGAGATTAAGTAACTTCCCTGGGTCACACAGCTGGTGCGTAGAGAGAGAAGTTGAACCTAGGGAGTCTAGTAACCCCAGCTCATGACCTTTAACCTCTACATTATAATGATATATAATGATATGCTATATATGTGAAGGATTTAACAAGGAGCCCCGTACATAATGGATGATCAGGAGGGATAAAGAAGCCCCTTACCTGTTTGTCCACAGGAAACCATGGTATATACTATAGAAAGAATACAGACTTTGGAGTAGGAGGCAAAATTCCAGATCTGTTACTACCTGTGTTACTAAAACAAAGTCACTCTTCCTCTCTGAACTCCAGTTTACTCATCTGCAAAATGGGGCTGATCATAGCACCAACTTCATATGATTGCTGTAAGGAACTAATGGCCTCTGTAGATGCTCAGCAAATGCCTGTTTACTTCCTCATTGTTTGCATCCATCATTTGACACCTATGCTGCCTCATATTGCTGCTTCTCTCTTGGTTTGTGGGTCCTATCTCTCCGGGTCTATGATAAGCCCTTAAGGACTAAGACCATACTCTAAGCCTCTTGATAACCCTTTAGCATAATGCTATGCCCATTAAAAGTCCTCATTAATTGAATTCTTAACCTCCACTGGGCATGTACTCAGGCAGGCACTATGCTATGTTCTCAAATGCATTATCTCCTTCAAGTCTCACAACTATTATCTGTGTTTGTTGATGAATTTTATGTTTTCAGGCATAAAATCTCCACTGAGAAAAGAGACATGTCCTTTTCTTTCAGACTAATTTCAATGGGTGAGGATAATTTCAGAGTCTTCCAAACTCCTTTGTTGGCTGGTAGAAGTAAAACTTTTGCCCTCCCCTCTAGATACCCTTGACTTACTGACATTTTCTAAACAATCGTCGGTGTTTGTGCAGGTGGGAGCCAGGTTCTTTTTCTGGGGCTCGGCTGTATGAATCACCTTGAGATTCTTTTCACTGGACATTTACCCTCAGCTCTTTTTCTCCCCCTTTTGTTTTATTCATCATACTGAAACCTCAGAGGACACGCAAGGCAAGGCTGTGTGACAATACTAATTCTTAGCATATGTGGGACCCAAAAGAAAAAATTGCAAATTGTGTGTAAAGAAATTAACCCTGGAGCATTATTTGAATGGACTGAGGAGTCATAATGCAGACATGTTGAACCATGTATATGTGCTTATTATTTTCATGATTGTGGCTTCATAATTGCTTCTGATGAAAGGCAAGGAAATGAAAATTCAACATTGAAACATAAATAACCAACAAACCCTGACTGTGAAGGAAATGCACTATATTAAAGGATTTACTTTCTCAGACAAAGGGGTGAAAATAAGTGGGTTTGCTGCTATTGAATTCAAAGAAATTGAACTCAGCTTCTCTCTGTAGTTCAAGTTTCCAGCAAATAATTTACAGTGTAAATGCAGCAGGGGTTTTTGCTGAACAAATGGTTGTGTATTGTGAGTAGGATATAAATTAAGGATACTATTTTTCTTCTAAACCTACAAGTAAATAACTCCCCATCATGTTTCCCTCTGTACCACAGTTCTCTTTCCATGTGTGGAATGTGTTGCTTTGAAACAAAATCGTGGAAACCAGCATCTGTTCAAGTGGTGTGCGATCACAATGGGCCGAGGAGTGCAGTAATGGAATGTGGTGCTTTAATTGAGTTCAGGTTAATACCACAACTTAGAAATATCAATTTCTATTACTTACATTAAGGCTAAGCTATTGAATGTAGCAGTTATAGGTAGGAGGCGTTGGAAGCCACACATTGAGCAAGATCTGCTTAAAGAGTCACGTGCAGTTGCTGTTTTTATCCCCTTGGCTCTGGATTGAGATGTTAAGTACCCATTACCAGAAAATGTCAACTCAATAATCTAATTGTACCACTTCTAATTACTGAAACAGTCACCATTATTGGGTACCTGTGATCCACCAAGCTCTTCATTAGACATTTCGCTTATCTTGCTGCATTTAATCCTTACAACAACCATGCAAAGTAGACATTATGATCTTAATTTTGTAGATTTGGCAACTGACAGTCAGAAAGGTTAAGTAACTTACCCAAGCTCACACAGCTTCTAAGTTATACCGCAAAGATTGGACCAGATCTGTTTGAATGCAAAGCCTGTGCCCTTGCTAGTGTGACATGCTGCCTTGGCTCTATTGGGGCAGAGAAAGGGAATAATCACTTTCAGCAGTACCCTTGACCTACTGACTGAAAGAAGGTTCCACATCATCTCAAGAACTCCTTCTGCTGGGATTTGGTGGTAAAAAGACAGCATTATGGTTGCAATATGGGTTTTAACATCAGATAAACCTGGAAATTCTCCAGTTCTACCACTTGCTAGTTGTGGGATCTTAGATAACATACCTATCCCTGGGACTTGATTTACTCACCTGAAAAATGAAGATAATAATACTATGGCATATCTCACAGAAATTGCAATACAGATTAAGTGACGTCATGCATGTAAACTATCTGACATAGTACCTGGCATATACTAAGTGCTCAGTAAATCTTAGCTATCATTATTAGTGTATTATATAATATCTTCATGTATAAAGTAAAGGATTTCTCTCTCTCTCCTCAACTTGAAGCTATGCCTGTCTTAGCACTCTAGCACAAATTCAACTGTGGCTGGTATTTACCCCCTAGCACTCCTGGAAGCTATGTTTCACCTATAAAGCACCGCAGTTGTAATATGGCCTCAGACCCTCAAAGATCTTTGAAAGTGCCACATCAGGGGAAAATCCTTAGAGAAACAAGGGTGTCAGATTTTTAAACTGAATATAAGATTTTCTCCCAAAATAACCAAATTCACTGAATCAGCCCTTCAATTCACCTACCTTAGGCATCCACCCAAATTTCAGAATTCTTTCTTGTAGCCATGATCCCTGAGAACCTCTTCATTGGGTCATAATCCAAACAGATATTTAAGTCTCCTCCACAATACTCTTTTAGGTTGCTGTTACAAAGAGCTGCTCCTTTTCAAACACATTGCCAAGAATCAAATTCTTAGGTTAACTTACTTCATTCTGTATAAAAACCTGAGTTCCTAGCCCTGATACTGAAATATTTAGTGTGCATGTACAGCACAGTCATACCTATCATTTATTTTTAATTGCCATGGGATTATTTTTGCTATAAAGCAATTGTCCAGTTTTTATTTCAACAAGGTAAGCAGAAGCACTGCTTATAAAGAATGAGCTTCATCCCCAGGATCAAACAGCTTAGCAAGGTTGAGTCAAATGGCCAATTTATAAAACTCCATTTAAAAAATGTTAAGGGAAACATTAGAAGAAAAGTAAAGTGCTGGGAAAGTGAGAGACCGCTCTAATTTTATTACAGCTGCAACCATATACATTAAGCCTTTAGGACAAAAAAAGTCATTTAATAATGCCACCCCTAAAAGCTGTAGCACAGTATATAACTAGCAATCTGTCTTCTGTAGCCACTCCCTAGGAAAAAAGAGGGTGTGTCAAATGACTAGTACCCCAAACTCGGTGGGAAGACCAAATGGACTCAACAGGCAATCTCCAAGCCCTCACTCTGCTTCAGCCTGAGGAACATCCTCCAGTTCTTCCAATGTACCATGCTTTCTCTCTCCTCCAGCCTTCACATGAACTGTTCCCTCTGCCTAAAATATTCTTGCTCTGCACCATCACCTGTTTTACTCTTACTCACCTTTCTGATCTCATTTAAAATGTCACTTTGACCAAAAGCTTTCCCTGACCACCCCCTCCCCACAACTTTGGGTTTGTTAATACTGCTTTATGTAACCAGAATGCTATATACTATCCCTGTCAGAGCACATTTTATATCACACTGTATTATCATTGCTAATTTGCTTGCCTAATCATCCATTTTAAGCTGTGAGTTCAGTAAAGCAGAGACAATGTGTTCCTTTTTCACTATTATATCTCAGTGCCTAGCACAGTGCCTAGGAAATAAATATTTATTCAATTGAATATAACTGTACTTGAACTTCCATAGGTAAGAAAGCTGCCAAAATAGTAAATTTATGATTGGGAAATTTAACCTTCTCTGGCAATACAGTGTAAAAGTTATGAAATAGATTTTAGAGTCAGCCAACCAGACTATAAGCTTCACAAGGGCAGTTACCATAACTGTCATATTCTCTACTACATCCCTAGCCCATTGAACAGTGTTGAGGATATGATGAGAGTTCAGTAAATATTCACTGAATGAATGAATAAATAGGTGGATAGCTCTCATTTTAGATAGTTTCTCCCAATCAGGAAAAGTTCATTGCCTTGGAGCATAAGGGGATCCCCACCAGACCCTAACACAAAATCTACCTCCTCCATGGAGCTCTTACCTCCACTACCCCTGACCTAACAGGAATCTTTATACCACCCTGAATGAAGTCAGAAGGCAAACTTATAAAATGTGAACGGTACACAAAGCTTAGAAGAAATAGTCAATAGGATGGATGACCAAATCAAAATTCAGAATGATCTCAATAAACCAGAATAAAATGCCTAAATGAAAAAGATTCAATTTAACTGAAATATGAGCTAAGTCCAGCATTCAAGTTCAAAATATCAATTTCACAAGTACAGCACAGGGAGAGACCAGTCTTGACAGCAGTTTGTGTGAAATAGACCTAGAGATTTTAGTTGGCCTCAAGATCAATACGAGCCAGCAGTGAGATCTGACTGCTAAAGATGCTGGTACAATCTAAAGCTAAACTAGGAGAAGTATTTTGTCTGCTTCACAAAAAGCAATTGTCCCACTGTACCCTGTTACAGTCCAACCATATGTGTGATATTGTTTTCAACATTTTAAGAAAAACATTTACAAACTGATTAAGTTCAGAGTAGATAAACTAGAATGATGAGAGAATGTAGAAAATATAGTATATGACAGATAGCTAAAGGACCAGGGGACATATACACTGAGAACAGAAAATCTGGGGTCAAGGAATGTAGCAGCATCTCTAGGAAAGAGGAAAGAAACAGGTGGTAAAGAGTGGTGAGGGGCATGTGTGATTTGAGAAAGTCCCATCAATGCGTCAAATACACACAGAATCCACCATACCCATGCCACATACATGGCTGAGGACTACTGTCCCTGAGGAAATAAACCAGCCAGCTGAATATTATAGGAGGGCAATTCTAAAAATAATGTTATAATGTTATTATAGCTGAAGCAATCTAAAAATGCAACAGCTTCTTATGAGGCAGAGGCCCAGTATCACTGGAAATACTTAAACAGAAATTGAATGCCCACTCTCAAAGATATTAAAAAGCAAATTGTTTTGGAGTCAGATGTTGGAGAAGATGCCTTGAATAACCCCTCCATGTTGCAAAGATAATAATGATTCTATGTCCTCCTACTTCTCTGAATCCCTAAATCAGGAGTCTCCAAACTTTTGCCTTCTCTGAGCCACATTGGAAGAAGAAGAATTGTCTTGGGCCATACATAAAATACACTAACACTAACAATAGCTGATGAGCTAAAAATATCACAAAAAAAACTCATAATGTTTTAAGCAAGTTTACGAATTTGTGTTGGGCTGCACCCAAAGCTGTCCTGAGTGGACAAGCTTGCTTTAAATCTTCCAATTAATTCTATTCCTCTGGCAATTAACATCCATTTCTTTGGATTGTATTATATAAGACCTTTGTGAGGGTGAAATCTATGCTAGTCTAGAGGGTAGATTCTATGGCCACTTGCAGAGTAGGCCTCCAAATGTATAGTGAATAAATGAATCCTTTAATTTATCTTCTGCACAGCAAAGGAAACAATCAACAGAGTGAAGAGACAACCTCTTGAATGGGAGAAAGTATTTGCACTATTCATCTAACAAGGGATTCCTATTTAAAATATACAAGTAGCTCAAACAACTCAAAAGCAAATACATAAATAAATAATAATTTCATCAAAAATGGGCAAAAAATCTGAATAGACATTTCTCAAACGAACATATACAAATGGCCAAGTATATAAGAAAAATGCTCAGCATCACTAATCATAAGGAAAATGCAAATCAAAACCACAATGAGATATCATCTCAACCAAGTTAGAATGGCTATTATCAAAAAGACAAAAAATAACAAATACTGCCAATGATTCAGAGAAGAGGGAACTCTTATACACTGTTGGGGGAAATGTAAATTAGTGCAGCCATTATGGAAAACAGCATGGCAGTTCCTCAAAAAACTGAAAAAACTAAAGCTAGAACTACCATATGATCCAGCAACCCGCTATGGGGTACTTATCCAAAAAAAAAAAATGGAAATCAATATATCAAAGAGATATCTCACTTCCATGTTTAATGCAGCATTATCCACAATAGCCAAGATATGTCCATCAGTGGATGAATGAATAAAGAAAATATGCTGGACGGGCGCAGTGGCTCACACCTGTAATTACAGCACTTTGGGAGGCCGAGGCGGGCAGATCACAAGGTCAGGAGTTCAAGACCAGCCTGGCCAAAATGGTGAAACCCCATCTCTACTAAAAATTAAAAAAATGAGTCAGGTGTGGTGGTGGGCACCTGTAGTCCCAGCTACTTGGGAGGCTGAGGCAGGAGAATCACTTGAACCCAGGAGGCGGAGGTTGCAGTGAGCCAAGATCGCACCACTGCACTCAAGCCTGGGCGACAGAGGGAAACTCCGTCTCAAAAAAATAAATAAATAAAATAAAATAAAATAAAATGTGCTATATTTACACAATGGAATACTATTCAGCCATAAAAAATAATGAAATTCTGTCATTCTTGGCAACATGGATGAGCCTGGAAGACATTATGTTAAGTGAAATAAGTCTGGCACAGAAAGACAAATACCACATGTTCTCACTTATATGTGGGAGCTAAAAGAAGTCAAGTTCATAAACAGTAGAATTATGATTATAAGAAGCTAGAAATTGGGGGAGGGAAGGACAGGGAGAAGTTAGCTAATGGATACAATGTTATAGCTAGATAGGAGGAATAAGTTCTAGTATTCTATAGCTCTACAGGGTGACTATAGTTAACACTAATTCATTGTATTTTTTCAAACACCTAGAAGAGAGGATTTTGAATGTTCCCAACACAAATAATAAGTGTTTGAGGTTACGGATATCCCAATTACCCAGATTTGATCATTATACATGGTATACACAAATCAAACTATCAGTTTGCACCCCTAAATATGTAAAACTATTACTTGTCAATTAAAAATAAAAATAAGAAAAAAAAATAAATAAGAGGGCCGGGTGCAGTGGCTCACATCTGTAATCCCAGCGCTTTGGGAGGCCGAGGTGGGCAGATCACCTGAGATCAGGAGTTCAAGACCAGTCTGGCCAACATGGTGAAACCACATCTCTACTAAAAATACAAAAATTAGCCAGGCATGGTGGCGGGCACCTGTAAACCCAGCTACTCTGGAGGCTGAAGCAGGAAAACTGCCTGAACCTGGGAGGTGGAGGTTGCAGTGAGCGCCGAGACCATGCCACTGCATTCACACCTG
Organism: Homo sapiens; assembly: GCF_000001405.40. NCBI lineage: Eukaryota > Metazoa > Chordata > Mammalia > Primates > Hominidae > Homo > Homo sapiens. The sequence continues at coordinate 100,222,772 of NC_000023.11, forward strand.
GGCGACAGAGCAAGACTCTGTCTCAAAAAAAAAAAAAAAAAAATTAAGAGATTTCAGAAAACTGAGTGTTAACATTTGCTGGAAAGACACTGGGTTTGGATTCAGAATACCTGGGTTCTAGACCCCGTTCAGTAACATATTATGCTTTTGACCTTTGTCAAATCATTTAAAATTGATTAATCTCTATTTTTCATCTGCAAGGTAAGAATAAAAATGCTTTCCTTGGCCATCACATGGAGTAATAATTAACTGAGACAGTGTATCATATAAGATTTAAAAGTGTTTCATAACCTGTAAAGCACCAGGCATCATTCAACCCACTGGTGTATGAATAAACGGCTAACTACTTCTCTGGCAAATTTCTATTGCTATCAATATCAATATTACTCCTCGCCTCACCCACCTCCAGCCTCACTCCAAGAACATGTAAACCTTCCAGTGGCTCAAGCCATTTGATATTTCCTATGAGGCTCTATTCCTTTCCCTCCTTCTAAATACAAGTACAAAGAACTTCTTTATGTTATTACATCTAAAGGTGGTCTTTTAAACTTTTATTTTAGGTTCAGGGGGTACAGGTGAAGGTATAGGTATAATTACTTTTGCACCAACTGAATAACTTTTTGAGTAATCGCCATACTGCTTTCCACAATGGTTGAACTAATTTACACTCCTACGAACAGTGTATAAGTATTCCCTTTTCTCCACAACCTAGCCAGCATCTGATATATTTTGACTTTTTAGTAATAGGCATTCTGATTGGTGTGAGATGGTATCTCATTGTGGTTTTGATTTGCATTTCTCTAGTGCTCAGTGATATTGCGCTTTTTTTATTCATATACTTCTTGGCCCCATATATGTCTTCAAAGGTCTAATAACCAACGACTATAAGGAACTTAAAAAAATTTATGAAAGAAAAACAAACAACCTCAATAAAAAGTGGGCAAAGAATAGGAACTTCTTAACAATGTGTTGAAAGAAAAAACCATTTGGTAATGGAAAATGGGTGGTCCTCCTACAGCCTCTGCAGCCTGTCTTTTAAGAACCTTCTTCACCACCATCAAAACCATTAGCCAGGCTCCCAACTTCCTCCTCCTATTCCTATGCTAATTAGGATGGCCATTACTGCATCCCCCAGTCTTCCCCTCCTCAGACAGCCCCTTGGGCCTCCTTTCCTTTCCTCTTCACTTTAGTAGCTGACTGACTCTGGCTCTCTTCTGAAAACTGTTTCTTGGAAATGCTGTGAAAAAATCTTCCAGGCTGAAGTACTAAACACTGATAGCATGTCCTTTTTCTCCTCCTTTTCTGGGAGCTGTCCATTGATAGAGATCAAATGCCTTCTTATCCCAAAGGAATGAGCCACTAGGGGACAGGAATGTCATTATTTGATTACACAGAGCTTTTCATGGAATTTTTTACATAGGCAACATAGGTGAAACCGCCTTTGCAAAATTATGACTGAGACAGTGAAAGAGATCTAACTTAACTGACTCCATCTTGCTTCTAACCTCCAAGCTGTCCTTCTTCATTCCTGGGCGTCAGCTGAACTAACTTTGGGAAAAACTTAGTTTATCATTTATAGTTTAAACAAAGATGGCAACAGCCCTTTCCCAAAGCCGACCTCCTTCCTGCCTGGGGACTAGGTTGCCTTTGTAGGACTAACATTAGCCACAAGATTAGAAATGATGGTTTAGAAGTCCTGCAGCTGGAGGCTACAAGATTCTGACCGTCCCTAAACTACTCCTGAGATCAGTGCTTGAGATATTTTGCAGACCCTGCACTTGATGGATCAGCTGGCACCACCCAGATCAATGAACTGGCTCATTTGATCTTGTAGCCCCCACCCAGGAACTGACTGAGAGCAAGAAGACAGCTCCGACTCCCTATGATTTCATCTCTGACCAATCAGCACTCCTGGCTCGCTGGCTTCCCCCAACCCACCAAGTTATCCTTAAAAACTCTGCTCCCCAAATGTTCAGGGAGGCTATATGAGTAATAGTAAAACTCCAGTCTCCTGCACAGCCAGCACTGCATGAATTACTCTTTCTCTATTGCAATTCCCCTGTCTTGACGAATCAGCTCTGTCTACGCAGCCGGCAAGGTGAACCCCTTGGGTGGTTACTTAGGGATAAACTACTCTGAAAAGAAATCCTCCCCCAGTCCACCTCTACTCTCTGAGCTCAGTCACCTTTTGGTTGTATATAAGTATACATGGTTGGCCACATAAGCTAGTCTTGGGTTTGAAAACTTTGGTAACTGAGAGCACCGAGATCCCAGTGATCTGTAGGTTGTAGTTTGAATACTGATAATAAAGTAAGGGCATGTGCCCCTTCAATTCTTCCTCTCTGTGATGTTCTGAGATGAACATGGCACATGTAATGTCACTTGTTATGCAATGTAAATTTGTGAATATGCGGCTCCACATAGCAATAGGATTCAGTGAACGACTCTAAAGAAACACAAATATTTAAAGTGATGTGAAGAGGAAGTCTCACCAACAATTGCAGATTTAAAAAATTGTACCAAAGCCCTTGGCAAAGATTCATATTTAGACACTAATACAATTTTAACAATTTTCACAACCTTTTGACTTAAGAAATCATTCTTTGTATTTAACTTCTCCCCCTGCTTACTCTTGTAAAGTCAACTGAATAATGGAAGAATAAATTAAATCATGCAACCAGCTGTGTATCTCAAATCACATTCATCTCCTTATACAGACAGGGACAGCTCTAAACTTACATAAGTTGCTCCAGACAGATGTATTAATATAGAGTTTGTGGCAGCATCTGCTGTAAAAAAAAAAAAAAACTTATGTTTTTAAAAATGTTCATAATATATGAACTCTCATGTCGAAAAATTCCTCTTCACTTTATGGTCTATTCCAGGACTGCAGAGAATCATCTACCAGACACATAAGGTCCACATTCTAGCCTCATCTCTGTCATTACCAGTTGTGGGATCCTAGGAAATTATTTTTTCTCCCTATGCCTTACTTTCTTCAACTGTAGAATGAATGTAGTTGGACTAAATCAATTGTTCCCAAATAATAGTCCATAAATAGGTACCAGTTTGTGATAAAACATTTATCAGTCCTTTCTGAGCAAAAAATGCACTAATACAATGTAATAAGGTTTTCATTAAGCTAAATTTACTCAATTTTAAAAATTCTGAATGTGTGGCTTTATTGGTATTGGACCAAAAAAAGTCCATTATTTTATGATATAGTGGTGCGGAAAAATGGTAATTTTTTTTAAAAATGTCTCTACTTGGGAAAATTGAAAGTTGTCAAGCCTACATCAGCTCTTATGTTTTGATTTTTAAAATGGTTTTGGTACATTACAATCAAACATCAATTGGATGGTATCTAAGAGCCCTTCTAGCTTTAAAATTCCTAGGATTATGCATCATGTAGCCCTTTCTTGCCCAGGCTTTGCCATTCTTTTAGGGCCACATTCAAAAGTTTTATCTTCAGAACCACTGTATGGTTTTTGAGCACTTACTTCAAAAAGTAAGTGTTTTTGAGCACTTACTTCAAAAACAACTCCAAGAGATATTGAAGGAATCTGTCAAAATAAATAAATAAATAAATAACTGGTGGGTCTCCTTTATCCCCTCATTGCAAATCCCAATAATCTACAATCTGCAACCTCCAAATGTTGGCCATGTCCCATATTGAAGGTCTCAACTATAGCTCATATTACACAGACACAGACACACACAAATCATGCAACCAGCTGTGTATCTCAAATCACATTCATCTCCTTATACAGACAGGGACAGCTCTAAACTTACATAAGTTGCTCCAGACAGAGAGAGAGAGAGAGACAAAGAGAGAGAGAGAGAGAAAGAGAGAGAGGATTCCACATTCCCTGTACCCAAAAGATTTGGGGATCCCAGTGGTTATGCCTTAAATATTTCTGGCCCCAAAAAGTCTTGCCTTTCTCAATGCTACACACTACTCAGCTTACCAGGTTTACCCAGCTTGCCCTCACCACAGTAACCACATATACCTTTTAATCCACAATGATACACTACCTCACATAAGTGCAAAGGTTTATGCTTTTTATAAACCTTTTCTATATTTTATCTTGTGGGGGTTATCCCGTATAAACTGAGCTTATCAGATGAGCAAGACAGGTCACTGACATGAGATATATTACATAAAATCAAAGAATAGTTACCACTATCCCCAAAAGAGTCTACATTATCCTGATTTAAAGTAGTCCTTCGAAAATGTCCCAGTTTACTCTCAGAGACTCAAAAGAGAAATAAACTTTTATTGTTTTTGTTTGTTTAAAGTACATTTTTAAAAACACAGCTCCAAGTCAAGTTTTTCCTGGCTTAGTGATGAATCAAGTCTGGTTTTGCTGTTTTTGAGAACACTTCTCCCAGAAAGAATTTCTAGAAAGTTGTAACACATTAGCCGCATGGCTGGCCAAGGAGTTTTCAAGATGAAAAAGAACATCAGAAACCTCGAATGAGGAAGCACTGGGAGTGAAATGGGCAAGAAAGGGGCTCTTTGATGTCCTGTTTCAAAGACATTTGAAATGATCAGGAATCTCCTTCTCAATGCAGAGCCTTTGAAACCAAAACTGCAATTTAGGATGGAAGCAATATTAGGAAAAAAAAAAAAAGAGCTTCCACTAATTACCCTGTTCCATGAGAGTATAGATTAAGTGAAAAGCTAGTAACTAGGAAAGTTTCTTGCCAGTAACTTTGTGACCTGTCTCAACTTGCCATTCTTTGCTTCTTTCTGCCATACCATGAAGAAAAGAATCATCAGAATCAACAGAGTATTTTGTTGCATGGTAGCCCCACAGAACAGCAGCCAGCACTTTGCCTGATATATGGGGGACATTCAAAGTTTGGTTGCCTAGTCATGGACAGAGGATAACCATATATTTACTATTCAAACTGGAACATGTTTTGAAGGGGAAAGTGTCAGCTATTAGTTACTACTACATGCGGACAGCAAGCTTAAACTACAACTGTCCCCAGGCAAACCAGCATATGTGATCCCTCTAGTCATGAAGAATAGGATTCAGATGGTGGATTTAATTTCAAACAGTGCTGACTAAAAAGAGGCTACTGCTTGACTCCAGAGAAGTCAGGTGATTGCTTAAGGATGGCCAGATGTTCTCCAAAGAGAACTCAAGAATGTCTGAGCATGTCTCTAACTTTAGGTTTATGATGTTTTTAATTATATAAAACTAATGATTAAGATAGACAACTGTCACAGCACAGAATTTAAAGTATGTAAACAATTAAACTGTATTATCATACTGCCAAAAGTATATAACAGGAAAAAACTTTTCATTGGAGAGTTGATCTCAAGAGGACATGAGAATTGTTTCTCCCCCAGGAACCCTCCAAAACAGCTCACTCTACTGTCAATAAGTTAACTTACACCAAGATGCAAATAGCTCCTACTGAATGCCCTTGAAACAAGTATTCAGGACCCCCATGATTAGTAGAGTTAAAGGCTAGGCCTTCCAACCTTTCTTTATAAGAAACTGAAAGGTGCAATGGATTCATAATGAAACCTCCATAGCATCTGACCCTCTCTCAGAATATGTCCAACAGAAATCTTTCTGAATCAAGAGACAGCCTACCACCTAGTCATGCACTAGCCATTTTCCTAGCAATCTTTTCAGCATCCTCAGAAAAAAAAGCTTGACAATCAAGTTGATCAGAGAATCTACTCTGCAAGCAATGGCAAAGACCGCTTGACCAACCAGCAGCCACTTGGCAACATTTCAAGGCTGGGTCCAGAAGAGCTGGAAGCAATTCAATTCCTTGATTTTAGAATCAAGGAATCCCAACAGTTTGAACAAAATTGGGAATGGTTTTTCCAGATCCCTCAGGGAGAAGACAGCGTCCCTGTTTGTTAACATCAGGATTTATGTTGCTCAAAGCCAACACAACTTGAGGATATACAAAAATGCACCTAGATATGTAAGCCCAGTAAACACCCTCAGTTCTGTACTGCAAAGTGGATATTGGCAAAGAAAATCTTTAAATTACCCTCACAGCATGTGTCTCCTCAGCAAAGCACCAAATGTGCCTTTCTTCAGTAGCCAAACTAATGAGGAAAAGATACATCCACAGATGGCAACAAGACCTGTATTGAGCTAATCATTATAATCCTTTCTCCCACCAATGCTTTTACCATACATCAAGCAGCTATCAACATGCCAGAAAAATACCCAGAAGGTGAGTAGCAGAAGGAAATGTGGTCTGACTGGTCAAAAGTCTTGGCAGTTATTGCTAAGTATTTAAGAGCGGGCTTAAACATTCATAGTTCATGGCCTTACATGTAAGGCCAGCTCCTAACTACATAGTTTGCCAATTCTCCCCTCCTAGCCACTCCCTCTTCAAGTTATGTGGTGCTATACCAAAGCTGATAAGACTTGCTTATTTCTGATAAACTAAATACTAATAATATTACTTCTCTGTTGATTTATATTTTCCTTTTTAACAAGTTTTATTGATGTATAATAGTTGTACATATTTTAGGGGTATATGTGATATTTTGATACCTGTATACAATGTATAATGATCAAATCAAGGTAATTGGGATACTTATCACCTCAAACATTTATCTTTCTTTGTTTTAGGAACATTCCAACCTTCTCTTCTGGCTATTTTGAAACATACAATAAATTGTTAGCTGTAATTTCCCTACTGTACTATCCAATACTAGAACTTATTCCTTCTACATAACTGTATTTTAGTACCCATTAAACAACTTCCCTTCATTCCTCCCTCCCCCCTTGCCTTCCCAGCCTCTAGTAACCACTATTCTACTTTCTAACTCCATGAGATCCAGTTTTTCAGCTTTCCCCTGTGAGTGAGAATATGTGATATTTGTCTTCCTATGCCTGGCTTATTTCACATAACATAATGACCTCCAATTCCACCCATGTTGCTACAAATGACAGATTTCACCTGATTTATGGCAGAATAGTAATTCCATTGTGTATATGTACCATATTTTCTTTATTCACCTGCTGATGAACATTTCGGTTGATACCATATCTTGGCTATTGTGAATAGTGCTACAATAAAGTGAGTGCAGATATGATAAAATATGAGTGCAGGTATCTCTTCAATATACTGATTTCCTTTATTATGGATGTATTATACACAGCAGTGGAATTACTGGATCATATGGTAGCTCTATTTTTAGTTTTTCTGAGAAACTTCAATACTGTTCTCCATAGTGGTTGTACTAATTTACATTTCAACCAGCAGTATATAATAGTTCCCTTTTCTCCACACCCTTGCCAGCATTTGTTATTTTTTTGTCTTTGCTAATAGCCAACTTGCCTTCAAAGGTAAGATTAACTAGAGTAGGGTTAGGTATGGTACAGTCTGATTTTAAGGTAAATGTCACCAGAATGGCAGCCAAAATTCTACCTTTTTCAGCAACTCACTAATTTCTGTTAAGAAAGTTATTTTATCTCCTTATATTCTCTTCTGTGCAATGGAAGTTTTGAAGTAGATGACCTAAAACTGCACTTCCAATATTGACAATCTAAGTTAATATTAGTCAGAAAGAATATTCATCTACAGAGAAGGCTGACCCTGTTCACAAGTTTTATTTGTGTAGACACCCAGGACCACTCCCACTGCATACACACTAAAATCCAGATACTTGGATGATAGTTTCAGCCGTGCCACTGGGTCATCTTGGGTAACTCACTTAACGTCTCTGGGTCTTTCTCTTTCTCTGTAAAATAAAGGAATAAAATGTAGCAGTAATTTTCAAATGATATTCCGTGGTGGCCTTGGATTGCACATCCCTATAGCTACAAATGCCTCAAGATCTGCTACTAGAGAAGCCAAGAGGAAAAACAAGAGGAAAGCCAATTGTGTGAGACTCTTGAACATCTGTCCCTGTCATGACAGAGCAGCTCTGCTTTTATCTATATTATATTTTTTGTCTGGGTAAAATTTCATTTGAAAAGGGGGTTCACCATGTGAAAAAAAATTAAAATCCATAGGACAATTTGCTCCCTGAGTTTTGTTTTACAACGAGTAAGCACTTAGTATTTGCTAAATGAATGATTCTATAGTTCTAAACCAGGAGTTAGCAAACTTTTTCTGGACAAGTTACAGATAGTAAATATTTTAGGCTTTGTGTGCCATAAGGTCCCTGTCACTACTGCTCAACTCTGCCATTGTAGTGTGGAAGCAGCCTCCTTGGACAATACATAACCAAATTAGCACGGGTGGCTGCGTTCCAATAAAACTTTATTTATAGACCGTGAAATTTGAACTTTATGAAATTTTCATGTGTCATAAAATAGTACTCTTCTTTTGATTTTTTTTCCAACCATTTTAAAACATAAAACCATTCTTAGTTTACAGGTTATATAAAAACAGGTGGCGGGCCTGATTTGGCCCATGAGCAATAGTGTTCTGACTCCTATTCTAAACCATCTGTACCCACATGGCATTAAAAAGAAAATCAGAAATAACCACATCATTAAAGGCCACAATCAGTAAATAAGCTTAAGAAAAATATTTACTTACAGCTAAACTGATCTCTCCCTTACGTTATCTACAACATAGTCTGAAAAATGAAAGCACTGGAGTCAAACAGACACGAGTTCACAGCCAGGTCTGCTATTCACCAGTTTTGTGACCCAAACAATTTATTTAACCTCTCTGATCCTTAATTCCCCCATCTGTCATGTAGAAATAAAGGTCTTTTACATTCTGCTAGAGGGAATGTAGTACAAATTATTTGGAGAGCAATTTGGCAAAATCCATGAAAAGTATAACTACACCTACTCTTTCACTAGGCAGTTCCACTGCTAGGAGTTTAACCCAAGGATATATTTGCAAAGGTATGGGAGATAAATGTACAAGATTGTTCACTGAAGTATTATTTACACTAGTACAAAACAGGAAACAACCCAAATGTCCCTCAATAGGGGACTGATTAAATAATGAAATCTCTGTGTGATCACCTGCTATGTAATCATTAAAAGAATGAGGTAGATCTGTATTAGAGGCTAAGAAACTATCTTCAAAGAAGACTATTAAATGGTTTTTAAAAGGTGCCAAATCATAACTTATAGTAATTGTATTTATTAAATAATTGTTTAATGGTGATGATATGTTCCTATTTCATAGCATTGCTGTGAGGATTAAGCAAGACAGTACATGTAAAAAAATAGTGATTTAACCTTTTTGAGGGCAGGGACTTTTTAATCCTTGTATTCCCTGCAGCACCTAGCACTATTCTTGACACATAAAAGGGTCCTAAATAAAGTTGTAGGAGACAATGTCTTATAGATTAAGAGGATGGAATTTTGTGTTAGGCAGACCCAGGTTTGAATCCTAGTTTTGCCATTTATTAATTGTGTAACCTTGAACAAGTCAGTTAACCTTTTTGTTCATCGAATTCCTCATCTGTAAACTGGGGGTAGGGAGTAGAATAAAATATGTCTTATAAGGCTATTGTGAAGCTTAAATCTGATAACATTTATAAACTACCTCTCATATAGGCTTTAGTGGATATTCTCTATTTATGCCTCTATATCCATTCTCCACCTTCTCTACTCTGCTCCAGGCCTCAAGAAGATATGGACTGCATCAGTTGGGCCCCTTTGCCCTTAGGCTTTCAGGTGATTCCAACCAATGGGAGACACTGGCAAGAAATAAGAAGGTGAGAGGAGATAAAGTTCAAATTATCTGTTCCGCCCACTCTCTGCCAGGCTGTGATTTGGCAGTTCCTATCAGGTGGCCCTCTCATTAAGGATCCTCTCTCCAGATTTCAGTAGCACAATTTTCTCCTCTTGTCTCTTCATGCCGTTCCTACTATTGTTAGTCTCACGGCACTTCACCATCCCTTAACCCTGTTCATATCTCTGTAAATACTCCTTTCATCAGTCTCTCTTCCATTGCCCTTTGAGCATGCCATATGCTTCCTACTAGAACCCTAACACATACCTTCTAAGTAAATATTTTTGACCCCAACTTTCTAAATACACATTTCTCAATATGCTGCTTTTCACTTTTTCTCTAATCTAGAAATAATTATCTCAAGATACACTGCAGGTCCAAATCAATCATCTAAGCAGAAAGCTCTTTCTCTGCCCAAACCTGAATGATCCTTCATTGAAGAATTATCAAATATAACAAACCCCATAAAGTTTTAGCCTCATGTTTGCAAATGTTTGCAATTCATTTAAGGAAGAGAGAAGTGGGAAACCTGTCTACTAGATTTAACAGGAAACTCTTGGTATGAATTGGTTGACTCCTCTGAGGCCAAAAAATCTCTTTCCTTTATCTTTGGGAGTTGCAGTGCTGCTTTTGTGTATCTATGCACCAGGCCAATGACAACCTACAGCTACGTAACCCCTGAGCAAACTTTTAAAAGCAGTCGCTGATAATAGAAAAACTAGAGACCTCACATACAAAACTTATTGAAATTTTCATTTGTTTGTTTGCTTGCTTACTTGTTTGTGTAAGTAGGAAAATGTGTTGGTAAAAAGGTGGGGAATGGATAAACTCTTGCTAATGATTGGTAAGAGTAACATACGCTATTGGTAAACCCTTTTAGGAAAGTGAATTGAAAATAAGTATTAGCATTCAAAATGAGTAAGACATTTGATACATTTGATTAAGTAATTTCTGAAGAAACAGTGACAAACCAAAATACATATGTACAAGAATATCCTTGCAAAATTATTTATTAAAGTATCTCCAGGACAAAATAAGGAAATTAATTGAATAAAATATAATAATGCATATAATTGAGCATTATATAGTAATTTAAAAGTATATTCTCAGATAATATTTAGAGTTATTAAAAATGTTCATCATCACACATGGACATGGCGGGGAGAACAACACACAATGGGGCCTGTCGGGCAGGGGGCAGGAAGAAAATCAGGAACAATAGCTAATGCATGCTGGGCTTAATACCTAGGTGATGGGATGATCTGTGCAGCAAACCAACATGGCACACATTTACCTATTTAACAAACCTGCACATCCTGCACAGGTACCCTGCAACTTAAAAGTTGAAGATGAAAAAAAATGTTCATCATCTAATATTAAGTATTTAAAAATCAGGGCACAAAACTGTACCTAAAGTAGAATTTGAATTTTTAAATCTGCATATATGCATATGTGTGTGTATATATACACACACATATATACTGCATATATGTACACATATAGAGAAACTTTGTGTGTGTGTGTGTGTGTATGTGTGTGTGTGTATGTGTATGTGTGTGTGTGTGTATATATATATATATATGGCAGCAGGCAGAATAATGGCCCCCCAAAAACATTCACCTCCTAAACTTTGGAATCTGGGAAAAGGAACTTTGTAAATGTGATTTGGGTTAAGGAATTTAATATGAGAAGATTATCCAGGATTATCAGGTGGGTTCAATCTAATCATGTGTGTTCTTAAGAGCAGAAGAGGACAGCAGAAGAGGAGGGACAGAGGGAGATACGACTACAGAAGAATGGTCCAAGAAATGAGGTTTGCTGACTTTGAAGATGGAGAAAGGGGGCCACAAGCCAAGGAATGCAGACGTCCTCTTGAAGCTGGAAAAAACAAGGAAATGGATCCTCCGCTAGAGGTTCTAGATAGAAACACAGTCCTGCTGACACATCAATCTTAGTCCAACTAGACCCATTTCAGACACATATATATACACATACTGAAAGGATACTCACTAAAATGAAATAACAGTTACCTCTGTTTGGTGTGGTTATAGAAGTGTATGTTGCTCTTTATTTTTCTTTTTTCAATTACAAAATATTTCAGGTACAAAATAGATTTAGGTATAGATATATAGATAGTATATATTTGTATGTGTATGCATATATATAAATACACACACACACACACACACAAAGTTTTACCAACCACCCCTTGGATACATTTTCTTAATCCATTGCTCCTTTCCTCCCTGCCCCTCCAAATCTTAGCTATTTATTATCTTTATTTTGGTGTCTAATATTTCCATGTGTGCTTTTAAATATCTACTAAATGGACATGTAGTATTATCCGGGAACAATATTCAGTATTTTCATTTGTTTAACTTTATATAAATGACATAACAGTCTACATATTATTTTACCACTTGCATTTTTTATTCAAAGTGTTTTGTCAGGCTTACTCGTTTTCATACACATAGTTCTGGAGTATCCACTTTCAGTGACATTTCACTTTTGGTGCCATGACCACACCACACCATTGTGTAATTATATCGGGATTTATTTAATCATTCTCTTGTCCATGTACATTTAGGATGTTTCTAATATTTTACTACTAAAACAATGCTTGCAAAATTGACAAATGACAGTCTTATTAAACTAAAGAGCTCTGCACAACAAAAGAAACTATCATCAGAGTGAACAGGCAACCTACAGAATGGGAGAAAATTTTTGCAATCTATCCATCCGACAAAGGGCTAATATCCAGAATCTATAATGAACTTAAACATATTTACAAGAAAAAAGACAAACCACCTCATCAAAAAAGTAGGCAAAGGATATGAACAGATGCGTCTCAAAAGAAGACATTTATGTGGCCAACAAACATATGAAAAAAAGCTCAACGTCACTGATCATCAGAGAAATGCAAATTAAAACCACAATGAGATAACATCTCATGCCAGTCAGAATGGCGATTATTAAAAAGTCAAGAAACAATAGATGCAGGAGAGGCTGTGGAGAAATAGGAACACTTTTACACTGTTGGTGGGAATGTAAATTAGTTCAACCATTGTGGAAGGCAGTAAGGAGATTCCTCAAGGATCTAGAACCAGAAATACCATTTGACCCTGCAATCCCATTACTAGGTATATACCCAAAGGATTATAAATCATTCCACTATAAAGACACATGCACATGTGTGTTTATTGCAGAACTATTTACAATAGCAAAGACATGGAACCAACCGAAATGCCCATCAATGATAGACTGGATAAAGAAAATGTGGTACATACACATCATGGAATACTATGCAGCCATAAAAAGAAATGAGATCATGTCCTTTCCAGGGACATGGATGAAGCTGGAAGCCATCATCCTCAGCAAACTAACACAGGAACAGAAAATCAAACATTGCATGTTCTCACTCATAAGTGAGAGTTGAACATTGAGAACACATGGACACTGAGAGGGGAACAACACACACCAGGGCCTGTTGTGGGGTGGGGAGTAACGGGAGGAAACTTAGAGGACAGATCAATAGGTGCAGCAAATCACCATGGCACACGTATACCTATGTAACAAACCGTCACATTCTGCACATGTATTCTGTTTTTATTTTTAGGAAAAATAAAGAAAGAAATGTGATTAAGAAAAAATGAATTAATTAATAAACACACACACATGCAAAACAATGCTTCAGTGAACAATCTTGCACAGATATCCTTGTGCTTACCTAATGAAATTTTTTAGAATGAGAACCCATCGGTCAGTTCGAACTTCTAGGAGGCTTTGTTTACATTGTGAGGGGTAAACCGCCTACCCAAGCCTCAGTAATGGTGGACGCCCCTCCCCCCACTAAGCTCAAGCATCCCAGGTCAATTTCAGACTGCTGTGCTGGCAGCGAGAATTTCAAGCCAGTGGATCTTAGCTTGCTGGGCTCCATGGGGGTGGGATCCGCTGAGCTAGACCACTTGGCTCCCTGGCTTCAGCCCCCTTTCCAGGGGAGTGAATGGTTCTGTCTCGCTGGCGTTTCAAGTGCCACTAGGGTATTAAAAAAACAAAAACAAAAACACCTACAGCTAGCTTGGTGTCTGCCCAGATGGCAGCCAAGTTTTGTGCTTGCAACCCAGGGCCCTGGTGGCTTAGGCACCAGAGGGAATCTCCTGGTCTGCGGGTTGGGTTGCGAAGATTGTTGGAAGAGCATAGTATCTCGGCCAGAGTGCACTGTTCTTCAATGCAGAGTCCCTCAGGGCTTCCCTTGGCTAGGGGAGGGAGTTCCCCGACCCCTTGCACTTCCCGGGTGAGGCAATGCCCCACCCTGCTTCGGCTCATTCTCCGTGGGCCGCACCCACTATCTAACCACTCCCAATGAGATGAGCCGGGTACCTCAATTGGAAATACAGAAATCACCCACCTTCTGGGTTGATCTCGCTGGGAGCAGCAGACAGGAGCTGTTACTATTCGGCCATCTTGCCAGCCACCGCCTATTTGCCAGCTCTTCTTACATCTTACTCCCTCTTTCTGAATTCAGTGTTGTTCATTATTTCAACCTGACTTTGAAGCCATTATTCAACTTTCTTCTGATTTCTATTGTTGCTGTTGAGAATTCTGCTGTCAGACTAATTGTCATTCCTTGCTGTTAAACAGTCCTGTTTCTCTGCTACCTTTTAAGCTCTTCTTTGTCCTTGATGCTCTGTAGTTGCACCATGATGAGTCAAAGTAAAAATTTATTTCTACTTTTCCTGCTAGGGATCCATTATACTTCCACAATGTGGATTCAATTCTTTCCTCAATGCTATAAACTTCTTAGTCATTGTTTCCTTGAATTTTGTTTTCCCCTTATTCTCTATTCTCTCTGTATAATGTCAATCATATATATAACATGAATGTGTGTGTATAAATTTGGCATTTCATGTGTTTTTATTATAAATACACAGACACACACACACACACACACACACCTTCTCTATGTCTCTTAACCTTAGTTTTGTTTCCCATCTATGTTTCATTCTGGCTAATTTCATCCAATCTCTTTCAGTTTAATTACTTCTCTTTAGAGCTGCCTCTAATTTGCTATTATATCTATTCAGGACTTTTTAAATTTCAATGTCTATATTTTTATTTTGGATATTCTATTATTTATAATCTACCTGTTTATATAGTTTATTATTATTCTCTTTAATGTTTTCAGTCCTTTATCTTATTTCTGTTATGGTTCTAAACATTCTAACTTGATGGACTCTATTGGATTGTTCTATTTTATTATATTCTTGGGATTCTAATCCTGCTTCTTATCGTACTTCCACATCTCATGGTGACGTGGTTTTTGCTTCATTTTGTTTTGTTTTATATGATGTTGGGTGGCAAGTTCTTCTTCAGCAGGACCTTATATATAGAACTCTTTTGCAGCCTGATTTTATCACCGCCCTGGAAACAATTCTATGTCGAATTTTTTGCCTTGCAGATGCCTAACTAAACTCTGCATGTAATATAAATAAAAACTCTGGACCTATGAGAGTCACAGACCTGTTGATAGAAATTTTCAGGAGAAACTTTTTTCTCACCCAGATCCTAGACAAAGATAAGCTTCTTTGTTGTTTCCTAGTATTATGGCATGTATTTTTTTTTTATTTTTCTCATTCACCCATGCATTAAAGTTGTAACCCTTCAAAGTTATGGCTCCATGTGAGAGGCACTTTTCCTTACTTAAGGTTTTATCTCTTTTCCCCAAATACATGTTAAAACATAAGCTTTTAGACTGAGCCTGATACACCCTCTACCTCTTAGTCCATTTTGTGTTTCTATAACAGAATACTTGAGGCTGGGTAATTTGTAACGAAAAGAATGTTATTTAGTTCACAATTCTGCAGGCTAAGTACAAGAAGCATGGTGGTGCCAGCAGCTGCTGCACTTCTGGTGAAGGCCACGTGCTAGGTCAAAACATAGTGGAGAAGGTCAAAGGAAAAGTAGTCACATGCTAAATGAGGGGCATCTTGGCTTTATAACCACTCACTCTGGAGAGAACTAACCCATTCCACAAGAACTAACCAAGTCTTGCCAGAGCGAGAACTCACTACCACAAGAACTCACTACAGTGAGAATGGCACCAAGCTATTCATAAGGGATCTGACCCCATGACCCAAACACCTCCCATGAGGCCACACCTCTCAATGCTACCAGTTTGGGGATTAAATTTCAGCATGAGTTTTGGTGGGGACAAACTCAAACCATAGCAACCCCCACCGAGGGCATCCACATCATAAAATATGTGTTTACCCCTCAATTTTTAGCTCCCACTTTATTTCTGGATCCTAGAAATATTCTTCGTTTTCTTTAGCGATGTTATATATTTAATAGGTGGTTTGTTATGATTTATCTAACATTTCTAGAACCTTCCTAGAGCACACTCATAGTATCTAATTTGCATTAAGTCCTTCAATATTGTTAAATACAAATTTTAAATTCAGTTTAAAAGAAGGGCCAGATAGAAACATAAATGAAATTTTAAAATAATACTGAAATAGGAAAGGTTTTTCTAACGAAGATATAAAACACAGAATCTCTGAAGAAAATATTTGACACATTTAGCTACATAAAAATTAAAACCTTCTGTATGGCAAAGAACAATTACCATTACAAAGGCAGAAAACAAATGAAAAATTAAGAACAAATGTTTGCTATGTAGTTGACAGAGAAAAATGGCTAATTTCTTTCATATTCAAAGAGCTCTTAAAATTCATTAAGAAAAACATATAAATAGAAAATGTGTGGTTCACAGAATAAGAAATGCTAATCACAAGTAAATATACAAATACATATTCAACATGACTTGTAATTAAATAAATGCAAAATAAAACAACATGATCTCACTTTTCCACCCATTAAGTTGTCAAAGACTGTGAAAATATAAATATCTTGAAAGCTATATATGGGTATATGTATGTGTACAAATATTATATATGCATAGAAAGTTTCTGGAAAAATATATAAGAAACTTAACAGTGACTACTGACTACTACTGAGTAAGGATAGGTGGGAAAGGAGGAGAATTTTTACTTTTCACCTTTCTCTTTAAAATTCAGATTTAAACAATAATAGGAATTACTTTTGGAATGAAAACAGAAATGATAATAAAAATAATAACAACAATAATAAATGCCAAAAGGAATGGGGCTGCACTGCATACATACATGGAAGCAAAGAGAAAATGAAGCGGGAAGGCTGAGATCTAAGCAAGCACTGAACTACTGTGTTTTCTGGCTGCTTCTAGAGATACCGCCCAAATAGAGATGAGAGGCAAAGTGGCTATGAAGCTACAGGCTCTTCAATGGGAAAAGTAATGCCTAATTAGCCCAAGCTTATTTCTATGGCAAAACTGTTGCCACATTTCATCCTGCACTGTAATGCTCTGTGTTAATTTGACTATTTTCATTTTCGTGTACATTAATTGTAATTGTGTTCTTTCAATCCTTTTCTGAGGAGTACAGGTGGCAGCCATTATCATTAGCTATTTACCAAGTGCACAGACATATTGAAAAGATTTGTTAATATAAAAAAGGAAGAAAAGAAAACAGAGATTTGTTAGCAAGAATTATGTTTTGAGAAATTCAAACATGATTGAATCCCTTTCTCTTCCAGATCAACCTGTAAGCCCTTAATCTCAATACAAATGTTCAAGCTCCTCTAAGATACTGGCCTTTCATTTTCATAAAGCATATAGTACACAGGTTGAGAAGAAAGGGAAAAGCTTTGTCATCAAATTGGGTTCAAATCCAGGCTCTCCAACTTTCTAGCTGTGAGAGCTTGAACAAATTGCTTAAGTTATCTGAGTTCCAAGTACAGTTTCCTCATTTGTAAAATGGAGATTATGAAAGCACCTACAGGGGTATTAGGAGAATTAAACAAGACAACTAGCTTGTAAAGCACTTAGTACAGTGTTTGGCAAATGGTAAACAATCCATAAATGTGAATGACCAATCAATTGTATATTAAGGGCCCAGAACCATGTTACGATGATGTAAGGGATACTCTCATCTCTTACAATGCTGTTGTGTAGAAGCACACGCAAATTCCAAGTAGCTGTTGAAACCACATATTGCTGATTGGTAAGTACCCAGTCAACCTCACTCTCAAAAATGTTCAGCAGCCCCAAAGCACAAAGCTCCTCTTGTCAACAATGGGTCCACTAATGCAACATTTTCAAAAGGTGGTGGGAGGGTCCATTGTGGGCATGGAAAGAAAAGGAAATTCAGTGAGTGAGAAAAATCAGCCCTTCAGTAGGACTGAATAGTCCAAATCTACAACACTGATTATTCTCATGGCATATGATATAAAAACAAGTCACTAATTACACTTTTACAGCTTTATAAAGCCAGTCCTACAACTATTTGATTTTGTTGATTTTGCATGGGCTACCCAGCCAGCCAGGTAATCCCTGCAGAACAGAAAAGGTCACCACTTCCACAGGTGTTTCCCAGAAAAAAACAATACATCGATCAAGTGGCTTACACACAGAAAACAACTGCCTCTGATGGTGCTGGAGGTGGTGGTGGAGATGATGATAATGACTACATCAATTGCTAATGAATTCCAGGAGTGTTCTTAAAATGTCCTTGTAACAAGATTGGGACTAGTAAAAATCTCATAGAAGCACAAAGTGTTAGAGCGTCAAAGGACATTAGGTCTCTTAAAGTGTGGTCTGTGGCTTACACATATCAGAATTACTTGGGGGTGGGTACCTGTTAAAATGCAGATTCCTGAACTCACTTGAGTTCAGATATATTCATTTTCATCAAGCTTTCTGGGTGATTCTTATGTCTAAAGTATGAAAGCCATGCCTTTAAAGACCATAATTTCATTTTTCAAAACATAATCTTCAATTAGGTAGACAGTAACCAGCCATGGAATAACAACAACAACAAAAAAAACCATGCTTCTTGAAAGCAGCATAAGAAAAGAGCATGCGTGTAAAATCAGACAAATCTGTGTTCAAATTGCACTTGTGCTAAGTAAAGCCAAACTTATATGATCGATTAATTTTCAACAAGGGCGCCAAGAAGAGACAACAGGGAGAGGATAATGTCTTCAATAAATGGTACTGGAAAAACTGGATTTCCACATGTAGAAGAATGAAATTAGACCCTTGTCTTACACCATACACAAAAATCAACTCAAAATGGATAAAAGACCTAAATATAAGACCTGAAATCATAAAACTCCTAGAAGAGAACATAGGGGGAAAGCTCCTTGACATTGGCCTTGGCAATAAGTTATATATATATACACACACACGCACACACACACACATCTCACACCAAAAGCTCAGGCTACAAAAGCAAAAACAAAGAGGACTACATAAAACTAAAAACCTTCAGCACAGCAAATGACACAATCAATAAAATGAAATGGCAACTTACAGATTGGGAAAAAAATATTTGCAAACCATATATCTCATAAGGGATTAATAACCAAACTTTATAAAGAACTCATACAATTCCATAGTAGGGAATAAAACCCAATTTCAAAATGGGCAAATGATCTGAATAGACACTTCTCCAAAGAAGACATAAAAATGGCCAACAGGTATATGAAAAGGTACTCAACATCGTTAGTTATCAGGGATATGCAAATCAAAACTACAATGATACACCACCTCACATCCATTAAGATGGCTATTATCAAAAAGTCAGGAGACAACAAATGCTGGAGAAGTGTGGAGAAAGGGAACTCTAGTATACTATTGGAGGGAATGTAGATTGATGTAGCCATTATGAAAAACAGTATGGATGTTCCTAAAGAAATTAAAAATAGAACTGCTATATGTCCCAACATTCCTTCTTCTGGGCATATATTCAAAGAAAATGAAATCATCATCTCATAAAGATATCTGCACTCCCAAATTCAATGTAGCATTATTTACAATAGCCAATCTCTGTAAACAACCTAAGTGTCCATTACCAGATGAATGGATAAAGAAACTGCGGTATATATACACAACGGAATATTATTCAGCTTTAAAAAAGGAGATCTTGTCATTTGCCACAATATGGATGAAACTGAAGGGCATTATACCAAGTGAAATAAGCCAGACATAGAAAGATAAATATTTCCTGATCTCATAGTGGAATCTAAAATAAAACTCAAATATACAGAGAAAATAAAACTGGTTACCAGGGGCAGGGTTGGAGGACGAAATGGAACCTCATTTCCTTCTCTGATGTAGATCAGAGGTTGCAAAGTAACAGATATATAGGATGAATAAGTCTAGAGATCTAATGTACAACATGGAGACTATATAGTTAATCAAATTGTACTGTATTTGGGATCCTTGCTAAATGACTAGACTTTAGCTGCTCTTGACACAAAAACAAAAACAAAAAAGGTAACTATGTGAGACAATGGATATGTTAATTTGCTTCACCACTGTATTAGTCCATGATCGCATTGTTGTAAAGAAATACCTGAGACTGGCCGGGCGCAGTGGCTCACGCCTGTAATCTCAGCACTTTGGGAGGCCGAGGCAGGCGGATCACGAGGTCAGGAGATCAAGACCATCCTGGCTAACACGGTGAAACCCCATCTCTACTAAAAAAAATACAAAAAAATAGCCAGGCGTGGTGGCGGGCAACTGTAGTCCCAGCTACTCGGGAGGCTGAGGCAGGAGAATGGTGTGAACCCGGGAGGCAGAGCTTGCAGTGAGCCGAGATCGTGCCACTGCACTCCAGCCTGGGCGACAAGGCGAGACTCCGTCTCAAAAAAAAAAAAAAAAATACCTGAGACTGGGTAATTTATAAAGAAAAGAAGTTTGATTGGCTCACAGTTCTGAAGGCTGTACAGGAAGCATGATGGCATCAGCTTCTAGGGAGGCCTCAGGGAGCTTTTACTCATGGCGGAAGGCAAAGTGAGAGATCTTACATGGCAGAAGCGGAAGCAAGGAAGAGAGGAGGGGGAGGTGCCATACACTTAAATGACCACCTCTCACAAGAACCCATTCACTGTTACGAGAATAGCACCAAGGGGATGGTGCTAAACCATTCATAAAGGATCCACCCCCATGATCAAATCACCTCCCACCATGCCCAACCTCCAATATTGAGGATTACACTTCAACATGAAATTTGGGTGGGGACACAGATCCAAACCATATCAACCATAGGAGCCTTTTTACTGTCTATTTGTATCCCATAACAGCACATCGTGTACCTTAAATATACACAATAAAATTTATTATTTAAAAAACCAAATCGTACCTGGGATACTTATGGTTTGGTCTTGGGTAAGTTACTTAATCTCGTAACCCTCAGTTTTTCAGTTGTAAAAGTATAGATGAGACGATCTACTTCATGGGATTGTTTCACAAATTGAATAAGATCACATGTGTAAAGCACACAACACATATTAGGTGTTCAATAAATGTTACTTCTTTAACACCATACGAGCTGAGTATATTTGAAAGAAAAGGAAGTTAATATAGTATATATAGTGTGCTCTCTATGTGCTGGTACTTTACATACATGTAAGCTTCACAAGCCAGGGATCTTTGTTTACTTTGTTCACTGATGTATTGTGCCCACTGATGCCTAGAATGGGGACTTGAATAAGGTAAGTGCAAAATAAAGAATATTTGATGTAGATATTCTCTCTCTTCTCTGAGTCTCATGCCATCCTGGATTCTCAAAAGGATGGGGATGGGGAAGGTTAGGGTAAATTTCAGGAATGGGGTAAAAGGAAAGGTTGCTGTACATATCATCCATAAGAAATACAGTGGTTTTGTGTTATATATATCTGGGGACAGCTATTTTGACACCTTGAACTAACAACATAGGGCCATAAATGGTTGGTGTCAAGTGTGGAGAGTAGACAGTTGCTTTAGAAGGTAACTAGGCAAGGTCTTGTGCAGAAAACTGTATTAGGGCTTGGTCTTTAAACACTGGCAGAATTCAATAGAAAGGCAGTAGGATTCAGATAAGCAGAGCTATGCAGGAATTCTCTCTACTACATCCATGACAGTTTGCCATCTCACCTCTATTTAAACACTTTCAGGGACACAAAGGTCATTCATCACCTGACTAGGCAGCCCATTTTTTTTTCTGAGCAGCTCTGATTGGTTCCTTTGCCAAACCAAGTCTTCCTCTTCGTAACTTCTGCCATTAGTCTTATATCTGCCCTCTGCAGCTCCAAAGAATGTCTACTCACTTTCCCACATGGCGACCCTCCACATTGTAGAAGGCGGTTCTTCAGTCCTCCTGAGTCAGGCAAAAGTGAGGAAGACATTCTTTTCTTAAATTCATGTACAATATGCCCAAGCCCAGTAGACTCAGGAACATCCCTATCCCAGTGCAGCCCACCCAAAGGGGAAAGCATTTCTGAAAAAATAAAATAGACACAGAAGTAGGCCTGGTAAAATAATCACTGCTAAAAACAGCAACTTGCTGGGTGGCCTCCAATTCAAAAAAGCAAGCAGCCAGCACAAATGTGTTCAAGTGAGGAACTGGGAAAATGGATCCATTTTCTCTTCAGCAATTATTCTTTATGAAATTGAAAACTTTCTCACAATCTTCTATATTATACACTAATTATTACCTGATGCTGAGGCCAGTGGAGGCTCCTTAACTGAAAATTCTAAAGAAAGCAAAAGCCCCTCCCTCCCACCCATAGCTGCATTTTCACTGTCTTGAGCCGGGGTTTATTTCTCCTAGGAATCTAGAGGAAAACTGGAGTGGAACAGACGAACCTAAAACATGCGTTTTCATGAGATGACAAGGGGAATAATTGCACTCACAGAATTTCACAGCAAATCTGACAGAATGTTGAGGATGTGAAGAATTTTACAAGAAATATGAACATTGTCAAAAGCAGCATATTTCTGCGAAATTCTCTAAAATTCAGCCATACTCATTTTACAAAGAAATTGGTCACAACCTAATGAAACAGATTTTAATTTTATACTCTCTCTATGCAGCTTTCATTTATAGTTTAACAGTTTTAGTGAAGAGTTCATATTGCATGATTTACCAAGCAGATCCATATTTCCTAGATGGATTGTAGGTACTGCTTCTCTCCACAAACTAGCTGTATCCTAACTTTCCAACTGTAGCTTTAATTCTACTCCTTCACAAATTGGTCTATTGGCCATGTTCCAAAAATGCTCAGTGCTTTCTTACCTCTACAACTTTCCCTAGTGACTTCTTCCACCAGAAAAGTCTCATTCTCTTGCTTCTACCTCTCTACACTCCTGGTTCTTTCAAGATCCAGCTCAAATTTTTCTTCCTCCATGAACCGTCCATCATTCTTTCATCCCAGCCACTTCTGAGTTCTCACAGTAATCTATCTATAGTAGTGTAGGACTAAAGCACATTTTAGTATTGGAGGGAGAGGGGCAAGATGATGCTAGAATTCAAGGGGGAAAACTTTAAAGGTCAAAAGCCAAACAAACTGCTACATCACAATGACAAGGCTAGAATTACAGTTAATGAACAGAATATATTTATTCAACAAATATCTGTTGAGTACTCCTTATGTGCCAGGCACCCTGAGAGATACAGTACTTACAGCACAAAGAAAGTCGGGGGAGGAAGCAATAACACCCAAGAGAAACAAGAAGACATTGACCAAATAATCATACAAATAGACTACACAAACATCTTTTGCTTGAGCATCTGGATGGATGGTGGTACCATTTACTGAGATGAGGAAAACTGGGAGAGATGTCAGTTGGGGTAGAACTCTGGGAACTAAAGAGTTCAATTTTGGTCACTTAAAGTTTGAGAAACCTGTGCAACATCCAGGTGGAGATGTCAAGTAGGCAATTGGATATACAGTCAGGGACTCAGAAGACAAGTCAGGGGTAGAAATAAAAGGAACAGTAAAAGTCAACAACTAGAAAGTCAAGAGACAGTTGAAAGCAAGTGAAATGGGGCCACTGCATCCAATTCTGTAAACGTCGAGAGTCTCAAAAGGTACTTTTTCTATATTGGTGACAGGCTTTGCAGGGTCAGGAGCAGAATCTCAAAAACAGCCAAGCCACGCTTATGGTGCTTATCATATTCACCTTTTCTTACCATTATATATGGACTAGACTTGTCTCAAATCTTCTATTAGACTTTGGTTGGGGATGGAGAGGAGGCCAAATAAATTCCACTCCTCTGAATTCTGAGTCAATTGCATAGTAGGCAAAGAGGTCAGGCTGGTAAAAACTAGAATGTCACCTCTTTCACTGCTGAAGTTTAGAGTCAAGGGCATAGCTTAGGTGGGCTTCCTAAATGTGTACCCCAGAATTTGATAGACTTAACCACCCAGTCACAAATGACACTGGAAGCCAGCAGGCCTCCCCTTGTGGGGACCTGCACCTATACGAGTTAAAGCACGCAGGAGCAGACTAGAATGTGTGTTTCCTGCAAGGCTGCTGGCTCTCACATGGAAGCAGAAGGGCACAGCTGAGCCTCACCTGCCTAGTGCCTTCTCTCAAACTCATCAATCAAGTAGTCACCAATTACCCCCAGGAAAGGATCAGGTTAGAAGGCAGAGAGAGGCCAGGAGTGTTATACTGATGAGATATCACTCCATACGCAACGAAACATCAGGAGTCGGGAATATGTGAACCTCCTTAACAGACCTGAAGCTCCTGGGGTAAGGCAGGGCTGGAACTTTGTACCTCTGTGTATCTCCAAAGTATCCTTCATAGTGCCATGCTACAACAGAAGCCAAATAAATACCGAATAAAGGAATGGTGCCAGGAGCACTGTGTGTATGTGTTATGGGCCTCCTTTGTTCAAAATTCAGCTTAAAATTTTCCTCCTTAGGGAAGCCTTTTCTTATTGACCTTGCTTCAATAGGTCACCTCTTCATTCTGGGCTTCCACAGCCTCTCCCTATTTTAGTTGCACCACATTAATTTTCACTTATTCGTATGCTGTTTCACAAATGTTCTTGTAAGTCATTTCTTATCCCCTTAAAAATACATCTTTGCTCATGCCTGTAATCCCAGCACTTTGGGAGGCCAAGGCGTGTGGTGGATCACGAGGTCAGGAGTTCAAGACCAGTCTGGCCAACATAGTAAAACCCCATCTCTACTAAAAATACAAAAAAAAAATAGCCAGGTGTGGTGGTGTGTGCCTGTAATCCCAGCTGCTAGAGAGGCTGAGGCAGGAGTATCACATGAACCCAGCAGGCAGAGGTTGCAGTGAGCCAAGATCACGCTGTTGTACTCCAGCCTGGGCAACACTGCAAGACTCCGTCTTAAAAACAAAAAATTAAAAACAATACATATTTGCTCAGCTAGATAGCAAGCTCCTTGTAATCATGCATCCTACTATTCCCCCTCAGCTGTGTGCCTAGAAGAGTGAGGAGCACACAGTGGGAGCTCAGACAGTGCCATGACTGGCATTGCTAATTGTTGAGGTTGTCAGTCTTCTTTGAGAAATGGAGTGCAGTAACCTCCAAGACAAAAGAATCTGCTCTGAGGCTCTGACTTCTGTACTGGATGCATTTCTACTGTCCTTCTGTATTAGGCTCTCAGAACAAGATTCCTCACCTACTGCCATTTTCTATCCATCACAAAGGAGCACATAAAGAATGACAGGCTCCAAACAGACTGAGCTTCTTCCAGCCCTTTTGCACTGAAGGAACACTCCACAGTGACAGGCTTTTGAAGGAGATGACAAAGAGAAGCCCCATAATGAAAGCTGATGACAGAGATTTCTCTGCATGAAGTTGGTCTTACCTTAATTCCTCTGTGAGCTGAGTTATGGAGCAATCACAGGTCACACAAATTGATAACGCATTTGATAGGGCATTAAAAATAGCAGATAGGAAAAATTGTAGAAAATAAGCTTTTACTCCAGGGGAATTCGTAGAATAGAGGACTAACCTGGCAGATATTACCTGAAATGCCAGCTCTAAAACTATGAGCCTTCCAGTTCCAGTTCCTAGTCCCAAATTGACCTTGCCCACCGCAGAATGATTTGGCATATGCAGAGTAAATTAAAAATAAACTCCACAAGGAAGGCACAGCTTCAACAGGACTTTGATATGAAAATATTTAATGGGATCAAAGCTCATGTCTTAGTGTGTCTATGCATCATGCTGCCAGTGTGTGGTATGTATGTGTGTTAAATAGGAGAAGTGGGGGAGTGATCAAGGGGAGACTCATTGTATATGATTGGGGGAGTAATTATTCTGATCTGGAAATATGTAAAATATCACAGCTGGAAAACCTTTAGGAACATCAAATTCAAAACCCCTATTTTATAACTAAGGAAAATGAGTCAAGAGGCAGAGTATATTAGTTCTCAAACCCAGGCCTCTAATTTCTAATGTGTGTCTTTCTGCTCTCTATAAGAAGGGAACTTGTAGAGAGCACACTATTTAATAGGACAGTTCTCAACTGATTTGCCCTTTTAATCACATGAACTGTAGTAATGATATATTTTAATCATTTTTACCTCCATAGTAACTCCACAGCCAATATCCATATTATTTTTGCCATGTAAATTGCAAGATGGCATGCTGCATCTTGCCATCTTGCAAACACTGAAAGGAAGTGACAAAATGATCTTTCCAGTTTCACAGAGCTCATTATAAACTCCAGTATTCGACCTTTGTTCTGTAGGTGATATATAAGATTTGACTTTAGGGTAAAAATTAACCCATCTATACTGCCTCCCTGAATATGCTGTGTGTCTTCTTTACATTATACCTTGACTCGTGCTAGTCCTTTGCCTGGAATATCTTCCTACCATCCTAGCCCATCCCCATCATGATCTATTGCAGGTTGGTGCAAAATAGTTGCGGTTTTTGCCATTAAAAGTGATTTCAAAAACCGCAATTACTTTTGCACCAAGCTAATATCAAAATTCTGGCTGTTTTTCATGGCACATATTAAGTATTACCTTTTTATGGAGTTGTCTCTAATGCTAAGCTCTCAAACAAAATAATGCCTTTCTTCACTGAAGCTACAGAGTCCACTGTTTAAACTATCCTGAAGTGTGTGTCACATTCTCTCTTTTATGGTGGCCATTCACTGTGGCAAACACTGTTGGTCACATACTCAACAACAGTTTCTTCTACTTTCTTGCTAAAAGAAACCTTGGTCAGAGGAGTAATGTGCTCAGCCCCAGAGAATGAATTATAATATATGTAAGCCAAATATGATTATTCCATTTTCCTTTGCTGTACAATCTCTATTCCAACCTCCCTCACAGTAAGGGGTGACCATATGAAAAAATTCTGACCAGTAAGACTCAGAACTGTGAAAGGTCAGAGATCTTACCCTACTTATAAGCTAACAAGTTAGCCTGCCATAGTGATGTAATATTATGGATACTGGCAGAAAACACACAACTCCCGGGACAGAGACAAAGGACTTCACCATTCATAGCAACAGCAGTAACCAGAGTATCAGCATTTTCTTAAGCCCATTCTCCAGTCCCCAATTCCCACAGGTTGATACAAACAGGGCCACAGGACACCTGCATACTCAGTGGATTATGCTACAGGAGAGGAAACCTAAGTATAGAAAACCCAAATATTTTATGATGGGCAGTAAACATGTTTGACCTTTGCCCTGGAAGAAGGCATTATCTCTATCTTCCACAGCTATTTACTATATAGGCATCCTTGAAAAAAATAGTCCAGAACAAAAGCTATCAGTGTCTCTGTTCACAAGATGTACTGAAATACAAGTGATAATTGTCTCCTATGTCTCCTAACAGAGACATAAGCAGAAATATGCTGCAGAGACTTGTGTGATTTTTCTCCATAATAAAAAGAAAATGGCCCAGAACCAATATCACCATAAACAGAGTCACCAGCAGGGCCTGCCCCTCAATTCTCCCCTCCTAGTGGCTTGCATAAGCCACTGTGGTGAACGTCCACAGAGAGGCAGATACCCCAGCACCCACTAGCACCCTGATGCAGCCAATGAGCATGCACCCCACTGTGCTGCCACGATGGCTACTGCTGGTCCATGCAACAAGGATGAAACCTACTGTCATCACACTACAAAACACTTTGGCTGATGCCACCCACCAAAGTGTAGTGACCAGTGGTCCAGGAGCATCTCAGCATGCCCCCCACCCCCACCGCTTCAAGGGCGGTGGATCCCCAACCTCAAGGAGCCAGAAAACAAAGTCAGGGGCCTTCAATACAAGTCCCCCAGAGTTAGAGCATGCAATCTAGGAGTTGGGAGATGAGCGTTGTCCCCCTAAAATCTTCCAGAAATGAAGCCAGTCAGCTGAATTCACCTTATAACACAACCAAACCCTCAAGGTCATCAAATAAGATAAAAGAAAAAGAACCCATCCAAAGTTCAGCCACCTCAAAGAATGAAGGTACATAAGTCCACAAATATGAGAAAGAACCAGAGCAAGAACCCTGGCAACTCAAAAAGCCAGAATACCTTCTTTCCTCCAAATAACTGTATCACCTGTCCAGCAAGCATTCTGAATTGGGCTGAGATGGCTGAAATGACAGAAATAAAATTCAGAATATGGATAGGAATGAAGATCATTGAGCTAAAGGAATACATTGAAACTCAATCCAACGAAGCTAAGAATCAAGATGAAACAATGTAGGAGCTGACAGATAAAATAGACACTATAGAAAAGAATGTAACTGACCTGATAGAGCTGAAAAACTCACTACAAGAATTTCATGACCGGGCGCGGTGGCTCACGCCTGTAATCCCAGCACTTTGGGAGGCCAAGGCGGGCAGATCACAAGGTCAGGAGATCGAGACCATCCTGGCTAACACAGTGAAACTCCGTCTCTACTAAAAATACAAAAAATTAGCCATGCATGGTGGTGGGCGCCTGTAGTCCCAGCTACTCGGGAGGCTGAGGCAGGAGAATGGCGTGAACCCAGGAAGCGGAGTTTGCAGTGAGCCAAGATCACGCCACTGCACTCCAGCCTGGGTGACAGAGCAAGACTCTGTCTCAAAAAAAAAAAAAAAAAAGAATTTCATAATGCAGTCATAAGTATTAATAGCATAATAGACCAAGTGAAAGAAAGAATCTCAGAGCTTGAAGACTGTCCTTCTGAAGTAAGACAGTCAGACAAGAATAGAGGAAAAAAAAACAATAAAAATGATCAAAACCTCTGAAAAATATGGGATTATGTAGAGACAAAATCTATGACTCATTGATGTCCCTGAAAGAGATGGGGAGAATGGAACCAACTTGGAAAACATATTTTAGGATATCATCCATGAGAACTTTCCCAAATCAGATAGGCCAACATTCAAATTCAGGATATGCAGAGAACCCCAGTAAGATACGTCACAGGAAGATCATCCCTAAGACACAATCATGACTCTGCAAGGTCAAAATGAAAGAAAAATGTTAAAGACAGCTAGAGAGAAAGGTCAGGTCACCTACAAAGGGAAATCCATCAGACTAACAGTGGACCTCTCAGCAGAAACTCTACAAGCTAGAAGAGATTGGGGGCCAATATTCTACATTCTTAAGGAAAAGAAATTCCAACTCAGAATTTTACATCTGGCTAAACTAAGCTTCATATGTCAAGGAGAAATAAGATCCTTTTCAGACAAACAAATGCTGAGGGAATTTGTTATGAGCAGATTGGCCTTACAAGAGCTCCTGAAGGAAGCACTAAATATGGAAAGGAAAGACCATCACCAGCCTCTAAAAAACACACTGAATTACACAAAACAGTGACACTATAAAGCAGCTTCATAAATAAGACTTCAAGATGACCAGCTAACATCATGACAGGATCAAATCTATACATTTCAATAATAACCTTAAATGTAAATGTGCTAATTGCCCCAATTAAAAGACACAGAATGGCAAGCCAGATAAAGAACCAAGACCCATTGGTATGCTGTCTTCAAGAGATCCATTTCACATGCAATGACACACATAGGCTCAAAGTAAAGGGATGGAGGAAAATCTTACCAAGCAAATGGAAAACAGAAACAGGTAGGGGTTGCAATCCTGGTTTCTGACAAAACAGATTTAAACCAAAAAAGATCAAAAACAAAAAGAAGGACATTACATAATGGTAAAGGGTTCCATTCAACAAGAAGATCTAACTATCCTAAATATATATGCACCCAACACTGGAGCACCCAGATTAATAAAGCAAGTTCTTAGAGACCTTCAAATAGACTTAGACTCCCACACAATAATAGTGAGAGACTTTAACACCCTACTGACAATGTTAGACAGATCATTGAGTAAGAAAGTTAACAAAGATATTCAGGACCTGAACTCAGCACTGAATCATATGGACCTGATAGATATCTACAGAACTGTCCACCCCCGCCCACAAAAACAGAATATACATTCTTCTCATCGCCACATGGCATGTACTCTCAGATTGATCACATAATCAGAAGTAAAACACTCTTCAGCAAAAACAAAGGAACTGAAATCATAACAATCTCCCAGACTACAAGACAATTAAATTAGAAATCAAGACTAAATAATTCACTCAAAACCATACAATTACACTTAAATTGAATAACCTGCTTCTGAATGACTTTTGGGTAAATAATGAAATTAAGGCAGAAACCAAGAAGTTCTTTGAAACTAATGGGAACAAAGATACAACATACCAGAATCTCTGGGACACCACAAAGACAGTGTTAAAAGGGAAATTTATAACACTACATGTCCACATCTAAAAGTTACAATGATCTCAATTTAAGAAGCTAACATCACAACTAAAAGATCTAGGGAATCAAGAACAAACAAACCCCAAATCTAGCAAAAGACAAAAAATAACCAAAATCATAGCTGAACTGAAGGAGATTGAGACATGAAAAACCATTCAAAAGATCAGTGAATCTAAGAGTTGGTTTTTGGAAAAAACATTAATAAAATATATAGACCTTTAGCTACACTAACAAAGAAGAAAAGAGAGAAGATTCAAATAAACAAAATCAGAAACAACAAGGGAAATATTTATACCGACCCCACAGAAATACAAATAACCATCAGAGAATATTAAGAACACCTCTATGCACATATATTAGAAAATCTAGAAAAAAATGGATAAATTCCTGGACACATACACCCTCCCAAGACTGAACCAATAAGAAATCGAGCACCTGAACAGACTGATAATGAGCTCTAAAATTGAATCAGTAATAAATAGCATATCAACCAAAAAAAAGCCCAGGACCAGACAGATTCACAGCTGAGTTTTACCAGATGTACAAAGAAGAGCTGGCACCACTCCTGCTGAAACTATTACAAAAAATTGAGGAGGAGGGACTCTTCCCTAACTCAATCTATAAGGCCAGCATCATCCTGATACCAAAACCTGGCAGAGAAACAACAGAAACAGAAAACTTCAGCCAATATTCTTGAAGAAAATTGATGCAAAAATCCTCAACAAAATACTGGCAAACCAAATCCAGCAGTACATCAAAAAGCTTATTCATTACAATCAAGTAGGCTTTATCCCTGAAATGTAAGGTTGGTTCAACACACACAAATCAATAAATGTGATTCATCCTAAACAGAACTAATGACAGAACTACATATTTATCTTAATAGATAGAGAAAAGACTTTTGATAGAATTCAACACCCCTTCATATTAAAAACCCTCAATAAACTAAGTATTAAAGGAACATACCTCAAAATAATAAGAGCCATCTACAACAAACCCACTGAATATGCAAAAGCTGGAAGCATTCCCCTTGAAAACTGGCATAAGACAAGGATGCCATCTCTCACCACTCCCATTCCACATAGTATTGGAAGTCCTGGCCAGAGTAATCAGGCAAGAAAGAGAAAGAAAGGGCATCCAAAAAGGAAGAAAGGAAGTCAAACAATTCCTGTTTACAGAAGACATGATCCCATATCTAGTCTTGGCCCAAAAGCTCCTCCAGCTAATAAAGAACTTCAACAAAGTCTCAGGATACAGAATCAACATACGGAAATCACTAGCACTCCCATACACCAAGAACAGCCAAACCAAGAGCCAAATGAGGAATGCAATCTCATTCACAATTGCCACAACAAATATATAATACCTAGGAATACAGCCAACCAGGGAGGTGGAAGATCTCTACAAGGAGAACTACAAAACACTGCTCAAAGAAATCAGAGATGGCAAAAACAAATGAAAAAGCATTCCATGCTCATGGAGAGGAAGAGTCAATATCATTTAAAATGGCCATACTGCCCAAAGCAATTTATAGGTTCAACACTATTCCTATTAAACTACCAATGATATGCTTCACAGAACTAGAAAAAAAACTATTTTGAAATTCATGTGTAACCAAAAAAGAGCCCAAATGGCCAAGGCAATCCTAAGCAAAAAGAACAAAGCTGAAGGCATCATGCTATCTAACTTCAAACTGTATTACAGTGCTACAGTAGCCAAAACAACATGGTACTGGTAGAAAAACAGACAGAAAGACCAATGGAACAGAATAGAAAATCCAGAAATAAGGCCAATCACCTACAACTATCTGATCTTTGAAAAACCTGACAAAAAATAAGCAATGGGGAAAGAATTCCCTATGCAATAGATGGTGCTGGGATAACTGGCTAGCCAAATGCAGAAGATTGAAACTGGACCCCTTGCTTACACCATATACAAAAGTTAACTCAAGATTGAGTAAAGACTTAAATGTAAAACCCAAAAGTAAAAACTCAATTTAAACCGAAAACTAAATTTAAAGACTTAAATGTAAAACCCTGGAAGACAACCTAGGCAATACCATTCTGAACATAGGCATGAGCAAAGATTTCCTAATGAAGACGCCAAAAGCAATTGCAACAAAAGCAAAAATTGGCACATGAGATCTAATTAAACTAAAGAGCTTCTGCACAACAAAAGAAACTATCAACTGAGTGAACAGACAATGTACAGAGTGGGAGAAAATTTTTGCAATCTATTAATCTGACAAAGGTCTAATGTCCCACATCTATAAAGTACTTAAACAGATTTACACGAAAAAAAAACATTAAAAAGTGGGCAAAGGACATGAACAGACACTTTTCAAAAGAAGACATATGAAGTCAAGAATCGTATTTTAAAAAGCTCAACATCGAGCCAAGATGGTTGAATAGGAACAGCTCCGGTCTACAGCTCCCAGCATGAGTGAAGCAGAAGACGGGTGATTTCTGCATTTCCATCTGAGGTACCGGGTTCATCTCACTAGGGAGTGCCAGACAGTGGATGCAGGACAGTGGGTGAGGCACACCGTGCGTGAGCCAAAGCAGGGTGAGGCATTGCCTCACTCAGGAAGTGCAAGGGGTCAGGGAGTTCCCTTTCCTAGTCAAAGAAAGGGGTGACAGACGGCACCTGGAAAATCGGGTCACTCCCACCCTAATACTGCGCTTTTCCGATGGGCTTAAAAAATGGCACACCAGGAGATTATATCCCGCACATGGCTCGGAGGGTCCAACGCCCACGGAGTCTCGCTGATGGCTAGCACAGCAGTCTGAGATCAAACTGCAAGGCGGCAGCGAGGCTGGGGGAGGGGCGCCCGCCATTGCCCAGGCTCGCTTAGGTAAATAAAGCAGCTGGGAAGCTCGAACTGGGTGGAGCCCACCACAGCTCAAGGAGGCCTGCCTGCCTCTGTAGACTCCACCTCTAGGGGCAGGGCATAGACAAACAAAAAGACAGCAGTAACCTCTGCAGACTTAAATGTCCCTGTCTGACAGCTTTGAAGAGAGCAGTGGTTCTCCCAGCACGCAGCTGGAGATCTGAGAACGGGCAGACTGCCTCCTCAAGTGGGTCCCTGACCCCTGACCCCCGAGCAGCCTAACTGGGAGGCACCCCCCAGTAGGGGTAGACTGACACCTCACACGGCCGGGTACTCCTCTGAGACAAAACTTCCAGAGGAAAGATCAGACAGCAGCATTCGCGGTTCACGAAAATCCGCTGTTCTGCAGCCACCGCTGCTGGTACCCAGGCAAACAGGGTCTGGAGTGGACCTCTAGCAAACTCCAACAGACCTGCACCTGAGGGTCCTGTCTGTTAGAAGGAAAACTAACAAACAGAAAGGACATCCACAGCAAAAACCCATCTGTACATCACCTGCATCAAAGACCAAAAGTAGATAAAACCACAAAGATGGGGAAAAAACAGAGCAGAAAAACTGGAAACTCTAAAAAGCAGAGCACCTCTCCTCCTCCAAAGGAATGCAGCTCCTCACTAGCAATGGAATAAAGCTGTACGGAGAATGATTTTGACGAGTTGACAGAAGAAGGCTTCAGACGATCAAACTACTCTGGGCTAGAGGAAGAAATTCAAACCAAAGGCAAAGAAGTTAAAAACTTTGAAAAAAATTTAGACAAATGTATAACTAGAATAACCAATACAGAGAAGTGCTTAAAGGAGCTGATGGAGCTGAAAGCCAAGGCTTGAGAACTACGTGAAGAATGCAGAAGCCTCAGGAGCCGATGCGATCAACTGGAAGAAAGGGTATCAGTGATGGAAGATGAAATGAATGAAATGAAGCAAGAAGGGAAGTTTGGAGAAAAAACAACAAAAAGAAATGAACAAAGCCTCCAAGAAATATGGGACTATGTGAAAAGACCAAATCTACATCTGACTGGTGTACCTGAACGTGACGGGGAGAATGGAACCAAGTTAAAAAACACTCTGCAAGATATTATCCAGGAGAACTTCCCCAATCTAGCAAGGCAGGCCAACATTCAGATTCAGGAAATACAGAGAACGCCACAAAGATACTCCTCGAGAAGAGCAACTCCAAGACACATAATTGTCAGATTCACCAAAGTTGAAATGAAGGACAAAATGTTAAGGGCAGCCAGAGAGAAAGGTCGGGTTACCCACAAAGGGAAGCCCATCAGACTAACAGCAGATCTCTCGACAGAAACTGTACAAGCCAGAAGAGAGTGGAGGCCAATATTCAACATTCTTAAAGAAAAGAATTTTCAACCCAGAATTTCATATCCAGCCAAACTAAGCTTCATAAGTGAAGGAGAAATAAAATACTTTACAGACAAGTAAATGCTGAGAGATTTTGTCACCACCAGGCCTGCCCTAAAAGAGCTCCTGAAGGAAGCACTAAACATGGAAAGGAACAACCGGTACCAGCCACTGCAAAATCATGCCAAATTGTAAAGACCATCGAGGCTAGGAAGAAACTGCATCAACTAACGAGCAAAATAACCAGCTAACATCATAATGACAGGATCAAATTCACACATAACAATATTAACTTTAAATGTAAATGGACTAAATGCTCCAATTAAAAGACACAGACTGGCAAATTGGATAAAGAGTCAAGACCCATCAGTGTGCTGTATTCAGGAAACCCATCTCATGTGCAGAGACACATATAGGCTCAAAATAAAAGGATGGAGGAAGATCTACCAAGCAAATGGAAAACAAAAAAAGACAGGGGTTGCAATCCTAGTCTCTGATAAAACAGACTTTAAACCAACTAAGATCAAAAGAGACAAAGAAGGCCATTACATAATGGTAAAGGGATCAATTCCACAAGAAGAACTAACTATCCTAAATATATATGCACCCAATACAGGAGCAACCAGATTCATAAAGCAAGTCCTGAGTGACCTACAAAGAGACTTAGACTCCCACACAATAATAATGGGAGACTTTAACACCCCACTGTCAACATTAGACAGATCAACGAGACAGAAAGTCAACAAGGATACCCAGGAATTGAACTCAGCCCTGCACCAAGTGGACCTAATAGACATCTACAGAACTCTCCACCCCAAATCAACAGAATATACATTTTTTTCAGCACCACACCACACCTATTCCAAAATTGACCACATAGTTGGAAGTAAAGTTCTCCTCAGCAAATGTAAAAGAACAGAAATTATAACAAACTATCTCTCAGACCACAGTGCAATCAAACTAGAACTCAGGATTAGGAAACTCACTCAAAACCGCTCAACTACATGGAAACTGAACAACCTGCTCCTGAATGACTATTGGGTACATAACGAAATGAAGGCAGAAATAAAGATGTTCTTTGAAACCAACGAGAACAAAGACACAACATACCAGAATCTCTGGGACGCATTCAAAGCAGTGTGTAGAGGGAAATTTATAGCACTAAATGCCCACAAGAGAAAGCAGGAAAGATCCAAAATTGACACCCTAACATCACAATTAAAAGAACTAGAAAAGCAACAGCAAACATATTCAAAAGCTAGCAGAAGGCAAGAAATAACTAAAATCAGAGCAGAACTGAAGGAAATAGAGACATAAAAAACCCTTCAAAAAATTAATGAATCCAGGAGCTGGTTTTTTGAAAGGATCAACAAAATTGATAGACCACTAGCAAGACTAATAAAGAAGAAAAGAGAGAAGAATCAAATAGACGCAATAAAAAATGATAAAGGGGATATCACCACCGATCCCACAGAAATACAAACTACCATCAGAGAATACTACAAACACCTCTACGCAAATAAACTAGAAAATCTAGAAGAAATGGATAAATTCCTCGACACATACACCCTCCCAAGACTAAACCAGGAAGAAGTTGAATCTCTGAATAGACCAATAACAGGCTCTGAAATTGTGGCAATAATCAATAGCTTACCAACCAAAAAGAGTCCAGGACCAGATGGATTCACAGCCGAATTCTACCAGAGGTACAAGGAGCAACTGGTACCATTCCTTCTGAAACTATTCCAATCAATAGAAAAAGAGGGAATCCTCCCTAACTCATTTTATGAGGCCAGCATCATCCTGATACCAAAGCCGGGCAGAGACACAACCAAAAAAGAGAATTTTAGACCAATATCCTTGATGAACATTGATGCCATAATCCTCAATAAAATACTGGCAAACCGAATCCAGCAGCACATCAAAAAGCTTATCCACCATGATCAAGTGGGCTTCATCCCTGGGATGCAAGGCTGGTTCAATATACACAAATCAATAAATGTAATCCGGCATATAAACAGAACCAAAGACAAAAACCACATGACTATATCAATAGATGCAGAAAAGGCCTTTGACAAAATTCAACAACCCTTCATGCCAAAAACTGTCAATAAATTAGGTATTGATGGGATGTATCTCAAAATAATAAGAGCTATCTATGACAAACCCACAGCCAATATCATAATGAATGGGCAAAAACTGGAAGCATTCCCTTTGAAAACTGGCACAAGAGAGGGATGCCGTCTCTCACCACTCCTATTCAACATAGTGTTGGAAGTTCTGGCCAGGGCAATCAGGCAGGAGAAGGAAATAAAGGGTATTCAATTAGGAAAAGAGGAAGTCAAATTGGCCCTGTTTGCAGATGACATGATTGTATATCTAGAAAACCCCATTGTCTCAGCCCAAAATCTCCTTAAGCTGATAAGCAACTTCAGCAAAGTCTCAGGATACAAAATCAATGTACAAAAATCACAAGCATTCTTATACACCAATAACAGACAAACAGAGAGCCAAATCATGAGTGAACTCCCATTCACAATTGCTTCAAAGAGAATAAAATACCTAGGAATCCAACTTACAAGGGATGTGAAGGACCTCTTCAAGGAGAACTACAAACCACTGCTCAAGGAAATAAAAGAGGATACAAACAAATGGAAGAACATTCCATGCTCATGGGTAGGAAGAATCAATATCGTGAAAATGGCCATACTGCCCAAGGTAATTTATAGATTCAATGCCATCCCCATCAAGCTACCAATGACTTTCTTCACAGAATTGGAAACAACTACTTTAAAGTTCATATGGAACCAAAAAAGAGCCCAAATCGCCAAGTCAATCCTAAGCCAAAAGAACAAAGCTGGAGGCATCACACTACCTGACTTCAAACTATACTACAAGGCTACAGTAACCAAAATAGCATGGTACTGGTACCAAAACAGAGATATAGATCAATGGAACAGAACGGAACCCTCAGAAATAATACCACACATCTACAACCAAACTAACCTGACAAAAACAGGAAATGGGGAAAGGATTCCCTATTGAATAAATGGTGCTGGGAAAACTGGCTAGCCATATGTAGAAAGCTGAAACTGGATCCCTTCCTTACACCTTATACAAAAATTAATTCAAGATGGATTAAAGACTTAAATGTTAGACCTTAAACCATAAAAACCCTAGAAGAAAACCTAGGCATTACCATTCAGGACACAGGCATGGGCAAGGACTTCATGTCTAAAACACCAAAAGCAATGGCAACAAAAGCCAAAATTGACAAATGGGATCTAATTAAACTAAAGAGCTTCTGCACAGCAAAAGAAACCACCATCAGAGTGAACAGGCAACCTACAAAATGGCAGAAAATTTTCGCAACCTACTCATCTGACAAAGGGCTAATATCCAGAATCTACAATGAACTCAAACAAATTTACAAGAAAAAAACAAACAACCCCTTCAAAAAGTGGGCAAAGGACATAAACAGACACTTCTCAAAAGAAGACATTTATGCAGCCAAAAAACACATGAAAAAATGCTCACCATCACTGGCCATCAGAGAAATGCAAATCAAAACCACAATGAGATACCATCTCACACCAGTTAGAATGGCAATCATTAAAAAGTCAGGAAACAACAGGTGCTGGAGAGGATGTGGAGAAATAGGAACACTTTTACACTGTTGGTAGGACTGTAAACTAGTTCAACCATTGTGGAAGTCAGTGTGGCGATTCCTCAGGGACCTAGAACTAGAAATACCATTTGACCCAGCCATCCCGTTACTGGATATATACCCAAAGGACTATAAATCATGCTGCTATAAAGACACATGCACATGTATGTTTATTGTGGCACTATTCACAATAGCAAAGACTTGGAACCAACCCAAATGTCCAACAATGATAGACTGGATTAAGAAAATGTGGCACATATACACCATGGAATACTATGCAGCCATAAAAAATGATGAGTTCATGTCCTTTGTAGGGACATGGATGAAATTGGAAATCATCATTCTCAGTAAACTATCGCAAGAACAAAAAACCAAACACCGCATCTTCTCACTCATAGGTGGGAATTGAACAATGAGAACACATGGACACAGGAAGGGGAACATCACACTCTGGGGACTGTTGTGGGGTGGGGGGAGGGGAGAGGGGTAGCTTTAGGGGATATACCTAATGCTAAATGACGAGTTAATGGGTGCAGCACACCAGCATGGCACATGTATACGTATGTAACTAACCTGCACATTGTGCACATGTACCCTAAAACTTAAAGTATAATAATTAAATAAATAAATAAATAAAAATAAAATAAAAAGTTCAACATCACTGATACTTAGAGAAATGCAAATTAAAACCACAATGAGATACCATCTCACACCAGTCAGAATGGTGATCACTAAAAAGTCAGGAAACAAGAGGTGCTGGAGAGGTTG
Source organism: Homo sapiens (assembly GCF_000001405.40). NCBI lineage: Eukaryota > Metazoa > Chordata > Mammalia > Primates > Hominidae > Homo > Homo sapiens. The sequence goes on from NC_000023.11 coordinate 100,261,773, forward strand.
CAAAGAAAGTAATGCTTGTACACGGTTGCTCGGAGTGTAAATTAGTGCAACCATTGTGGAAGACAGTGTGGTGATTCCTCAAAGACCTAAAAACATAAATAGTATTTGACCCAGCAATCCCATTACTGGGTATATACCAAGAGGAGTATAAATCATTCTATCATGAAGACACATGCACATGTATGTTCATCACAGCACTATTCACAAAAATAAAGACATGGAATCAACCTAAATGCCCATCAATTATAAACTGGATAAAGGAAATGTGGTACATATACACCATAGAATACAATGCAGCCATGAAAAAGAAAAAGCTCATGTCCTTTTCAGGGACATGGATGGACCTGGAGGCCATTATCCTTAGCAAACTTGTACAGGAACAGAAAGCCAAATACCGCATGTTCTCACTTACAAGTGGGAGCTAAATGACGAGAACACAGGGACACATAGAGGGAAACAACACACACTGGGCATATCAGAGGATGTAGGGTGGGAGGAGGGAGAGGATCAGGAAAAATAACTAATGGGTACTCGACTTAATACCTGGGTGACAAAATAACCTGTACAATAAATCCCCCATATAGGACAAGTTTACCTATATAATAAACCTGCACTTGTACCCCCAAACTTAAAATTTAAATTTAAAAATAAAACAATATAAAAATAATAAATAAATAAAACAATGTTATGGAGAAAACAAAAGAAAGAAAAAGAAAATGCTGCAAAAATAAAGCCCCTTCCTTTCCTCCCTGTTTAGAACACTTGCCTGTGAGAACATGATGCTTACTTAATTCTTCTGCAGCCATCTTCAAACTGGAGAAAGGCAAAAAGAATCCCAAGGATTCTACCCCATACCCAGGGATTATAGAGCTGCTGAAACGTCCGTGGAATTACCTAATTCCAGGCTTGCTGGTAAGTAATAATATAATGGCCTCATGGCTTAAACCACTCTTCATTGAGTTTTCTGGTACATGCAGGCAAAAGTGTCCAACCTGAAACATTTTTCATAGGTCTTATTATTCATTCATTTACTGAAAGCAAGAAGTACATCTACTATAATCATTAAGACAGACATAGATTTGAATTCTTAGTCTACAATTGACTAGCTGTAGTTTTAGATTGTCATCTAACTTCTCTAAGCCTCAGTTTTCATGACTGTAAAATGATTATAGTAATAACATAAGCTACATCAAAGACTTTTTGTGATAATTAAATGAAAAAATAAATGACAAGTACTTATCCTAACTCCCAGCACACAGTAAACACTAAATAAAGGATAGTTATTAATATTTTTCTGTTCTCTTATATGTGGCCTAGGACAGAGCCATGTATAGAGTTGGAAGAATCTGTAAAATGAGTCATACAGAGTTACATAGGCTGTGACTTAAACACAATTACTTCACAACTCTCAGGCCTAAAAGGAAATAGGAAGAAGATAGCTAAATAAAACCTCTCGATGATCTACCAAATTCATATTTGTCAATATTTTGAATTCCTAATCCCACTGTTCACTGAATATTTTTGAATAAAAATTTTCTCAGTTACAGCAGTAGTACATAGTCAGTGTAAAAAATTTGAAAAAAAAATACCAAAAAAGTAAAAATCAGGAAAAAATCAGTCATAGAACCACCACTCAAACTCAATCATTGTTATCATTCAGTTGCATTTCCTTCCCTCCTTTTCACTGTGTGTTTATACACACATTTTTAAATATGATTGTGTTCACTCTATGTATAAAGGCTTGTGCTCTTTTTTTCTCCAGTTAATATTGAAACATAAGTATTTCCCCCATGTTATTAAAACCTCCTTGTGAACACATTTTTAATGACTGCCTGGTAGCACATCATGTGGATATGCCATAATGAACTTAAACATATTCCCACACTCCCATACACTTTGGTTGTGTCCAGTATTTGGCTACAATAAATAAGTTACAATGAGCATATCCGTGCCTAAAACCTTACCTACTTTATATAACTCCCTGAGGATACACAGATTCCCAGAAGCTGAATAATCACATCAAGGGATATAAACACTGCCACATTGTTTGCCAAAAAGTTGTACCAATTTATAGTCCGGCCAGCAACATATGAGTGTGCCTATTGCATCATAATTTCTTCGGCTCTAGGTATTTTCATTTTCCCTTCTTTACTATTTTGATGTGGGGGAGGAATCTCAATATTCTAATTTGCATTCCTTTGATTATCATTGAAGCTAAACATTTTTTCCATGTTACCACTGAAACTTTTGATCAGAGATGCTGACATGTTATACACATCTTACTGATTCATATTTCCCTTATTCCTGTTCTAGAAGCAATCCCCAGAAGAAAGCAGCAAAAACAATAACCAGTAAAAGCCTCAGAGGTGCAAGTTAGGACCTAAATAACTTGATTTGATTGTACAAATAATTGGCTAGAGGTTCTCATTCTCACAGTGGTTCCCTGCTTCCAGGTCTGTCCCTCATAAATATTCCAGTTACTGGCTCAGCTATATCTGAGGTGGGTAGAAAGTGAGGTACTTTCCCACTATCTCTGGGTTTCATAAACATAACCTATAAATGGCTGAAGAACAAGCAAGAAGTGCCTACTTTGAAAACCTCAACTTAGAAGATGTTGCATAATAGGTACTTAAATCAGTCATCTTGCTTGCTTTTGACTTTCCTTACCACTAAGAGGCTTCACAATTTACAAGGAGTGTAGGACATACTGTAAACCTTTGTGTATTATGACCTGACGTATTTCTCACACTTGCCTCTCACCCCACCTCCCTTACAGCCACGAAGTAGTCAGTGGCATGTCCTGAAGTATGATTTAAGCTGATCTCACTGGCTCACCACTCTATATCAGAAGACTTGGAGGGAAGGAAAAGATGTGTAGCTACTCAATGAGTGCTTCTCTTGGGTGAACGCCTGTGCTTTGACATTTAGGAAAGAGACCTGGACAATCCCTCCACCAATTCTGCCTGCATAGCATGAGAAATACCTTGCAGTTCCCTGCAAAGTTTTAGGTGCCTACTAGCCAGGTTTGTCACAGTGGCCAGCCATCCTGACCCAGCCATATGACTTTCCTGCATGAAGAAGATGGCTGTGCCTCAAATGTTTCTGCGTTTAAGGGTGTTTGACTTCTGAGAATCAGCCTGAGAAGAAAGTTGAAGCTATTTGGTCTATGATTAAAAAATTCACTTCTGCTTGATCCAGATTCCTTTTGCTTGGCTTCCAAAGTTTAACTGGATCCAAGAACCAGGCAACATCATTTTCCAAAGCAAAGACACTGTTGTGTTAGGCACGCAACACAATGACAGGAGAAGCCACCAAATGTATTTTAAGATCCCAGCCCATTTGCACTTATCCAGCTTGACATAAAGTCAGCACAAGCTTGCACCTTCTTCGAAACATAATGAGCATTCTTTTCTGCAGCTCACTGAAATCAAGAGTGTGAGACTTATAATGGAGGTATCAATCCACAATCATTTTCAGGAATAAATCCCCATAATATATACTTGCTCTGAGGCTGCATTCCCTTTATCATACTATCTTGGTCTAACTATCATGTCCCAGCCCACTTTTTCTCTCAACAGCCCTCTGATCCACTGCTGGAATGTCAGATAAGGAAAAGCCAGGAAATTATGAACTCACCCTCCAGGAAGCATGTCACAGTTGGACTCAAAGAGATGTAACTTCCATTCAGAAATCCATTTTTTGTCCTCAGTTGATAACCTTAACTTTCTTCTGTCTTTATTGTTAAAAATACAACTTTCTGTCCTGGTAAGAGTGGAGTGACTGGTTTGGGTGCCAGTACACATGTCCCAGAAGTGGTTCTGTTTTGGCTTAACACACATATTTGGAACCAGAACTCAGTGTCTGGCATTTGCTTAACATGTGGTAAATGTTTAATTGAATTGAACTGAACCACGTAAAATTCAATGGAATTAAATAGAATTTATTTGGTTTAGATGTATTAAATGAGGCTTTTTCTTTCACATATATGACAGCCTTCCAAGTATCCTATTTCAACCTTCCTCAAACAACCTCAGAATAACCAAATGATTAATAGAATGTAGTATATATGAAGAAGAAAGATAAAGCTAGATTTTTATTTTTGTAATGATAACCATCTAAGTAAAAGAGAAGGATAATTGCATAATTGGCACAGAAAGCTAAGAGTCTAAGGCAAACTTGGCTTTGGAAAGCATGATGAACAGGAAAAAGTTTGTCCTCAGAACCACTGACCTCTCCATCCTAGGCTCTCCTATGGCCCTCTCGATCGTCCCATACTGAGTACTTTTATAGGATCTCTTCTACTCCTTTCCCCACAAAAAAATTCAATCTCAATAAAGGATGAAATGCACAGACTCATGCTAAGAAGGAAGTTATCAAGAAATCTTGAAAACATCAGCCCTCCCAGTGATGCTTACATGTTATAAGGACTTAAAAGCTTATCTTAAAGGGGTAAAGTGGATATCAGCAGTCAGCAGTTGGGGAGAAACAAAGTTAGAAATTTGGGGGTTTTGTTTGTTTTTCTCTGATTTGTTTTTTAATTAGGCCAATGGCTTAACCCCGTGGTTTTCAGCTTCCTCATGATGGAAAAAGTTTTAAAACCACAGAGGCAAAAATCAGACAACTTCTCATAGAGGCTCTTCTAGTTAACTATCTGAAGGCCACCCAGACTGAATATCACTTTGGTTCCTTAAATTGTTTATGCTGTCTAGCCTGAGATGTTTGAGAGTGCATTTCTAATTAGTAGTGATGTTTGCAGTGGCTGGCAAGATAGCCTAATAGGAACAGCTCCAGTTTGCAGCTCCCAGTGAGATCAATGCAGAAGGCAGGTGATTTCTGTACTTCCAACTGAGGTACCCAACTCATGTCATTGGGACTGGTTAGACAGTGGGTGCAGCCCACAGAGGGCAAGCCGAAGCAGGGTGGGGTGTTGTCTTACCCCAGAAGCGCAAGGGGTCAAGGAACTCCCTCCCCTAGCCAAGGGAAGCTGTGAGGGACTGTACCTTGAGGAACAGTGCATTCCAGCCCAGATACTACACTTTTCCCATGGTCTTTGCAACCCGCAGACCAGGAGATTCCTTTGGGTGCCAACACCACCAGGGCCCTGGGTTTCAAGCACGAAACTGTATGGCCATTTGGGGAGACACCGAGCTAGCTGCAGGAGTTTTTTTTCACACCCCAGTGGTGCCTGGAATGCCAGCGAGACAGAACCGTTCACTCCCCTGGAAAGGGGGCTGAAGCTAGGGAGCCAAGTGGTCTAGCTTAGCAGATCCCACCCCCACAGAGCCCAGCAAGCTAAGATCCACTGGCTTGAAATTCTTGCTGCCAGCAAAGCAGTCTGAAGTCGACCTGGGATGCTCGAGCTTGGTGGGGGGAGGGGTGTACGCCATTACTAAGGTTTGAGTAGATGGTTTTCCGCTCACAGTGCAAACAAGCCCCTGGAAAGTTCAAACTGGGCGGAACCCACCACAGCTCTGCAAAGCCGCTGTAGCCAGACTGCCTCTCTAGATTCCTCCTCTCTGGGCAGGGCATCTCTGAAAGAAAGGCAGCAGCCCCTTTCAGGGGCTTATAGATAAAACTCCCATCTCCCTGTGACAGAGCACCTGGAGAAAGGGGCGGCTGTGGGTGCAGCTTCAGCAGACTTAAACATCCCTGCCTGATGGCTCTGAAGAGAGCAGCAGATCTCCCAGCACAGAGTTTGAGCTCTGCTAAGGGACACACTACCTCCTCACGTGGGTCCCTGATCCCTGTGCCTCCTGACAGGAAGACACCTCCCAGCAGGGATCAAGAGATACCTCATACAAGAGAGCTCCAGCTGGCATCTGGCGGGTACCCCTTTGGGATGAAGCTTCTAGAGGAAGAAACAGGCAGCAATCTTTGCTGATCTGCAGCCTCCGCTGGTGATACCCAGGCAAACGGTCTGGAGTGAACCTCCAGCAAACTCCAGCAGAACTGCAGCAGAGGAGCCTGACTGTTAGAAAGAAAACTAACAAACAGAGAGGAAGAGCATCAACATCAATGAAAAGGACGTCCACACAAAAACCCCATCCAAACGTCACCAACATCAAAGACCAAAGGTAAATGAATCCATGAAGATGAGGAAAAACCAGCACAAAAAGGCTAAAAATTCCAAAAACCAGAATACCTCTTCTCCTCCAAAGGATCACAACTCCTTGTCAGCAAGACAGAGAATGAGTTTGACAAATTGACAAAAGTAGGCTTCAGAAGGTGGGTAATAATGAACCCCTTCAAGCTAAAGGAACATGTTCTAACCCAATTCAAGGAAGCAAAGAACCTTGAAAAAAGGTTAGAGGAATTGGTAACTAGAATAACCAGCTTAGATAAGAACATACATGACCCGATGGAGCTGAAAAATACAGCACAAGAACTTTGCGAAGCATACACAAGTATCAATAGCGGAATCAATCAAGCAGAAGAAAGGATATCAGAGATTGAAGATCGACTTAATGAAATAAAAGGTAAAGACAAGATCAGAGAAAAAAGAATGAAAAGGAACAAAGCCTCCAAGAAATATGGGACTATGTGCAAAGATCAAACCTACGTTTGATTGCTGTACCTGAAAGTGATGGGGAGAATGGAACCAAGTTGGAAAACATTCTTCAGGATATTATCCAGGAGAACTTCCCCAACCTAGCAAGGCAGGCCAACATTCAAATTCAGGAAATACAGAAAACACCACAAAGATACTCCTCAAGAAGAGCAACCCAAAGACACATAATTGTCAGATTCGCCAAGGTTGAAATGAAGGAAAAAATCTTAAGGGCAGCCAGAGAGAAAGGTCGGGTTACCTACAAAGGAAAGCCCATCAGACTAATAGCAGATCTCTCTGCAGAAACCCTACAAGCCAGAAGAGAGGGAGGCCAATATTCAATGGTCTTAAAGAAAAGAATTTTCAACCCAGAATTTCATATCCAGCCAAACTAAGCTTCATAAGCGAATGAGAAATAAAATCCTTTACAGACAAGCAAATGCTGAGAGATTTTGTCACCACCAGGCCTGCCTTACAAGAGCTCCTGAAGGAAGCACTAAATATGGAAAGGAAAAACCAGTACCAGCCACTGCAAAAACATACCAAATTGTAAGACCACCCACACTATGAAGAAACTGCATCAGCTAACGGGCAAAATAACCAGCTAACATCATAATGACAGGATCAAATTCACACATAACAATATTAACTTCAAATGTAAATGGGCTAAATGCCCCAGTTAAAAGACACAGACTGGCAAATTGGATAAAGAGTCAAGACCCATCGGTGTGCTGTACCAAGGAGACCCATCTCACATGTAAAGACCCACAAGCCTCAAAATAAAGGAATGGAAGAATATTCCCAAGAAAATGGAAAGCAAAAAAAGCAGGGGTTGCAATCCTAGTCTCTGACAAAACAGGCTTTAAACCAACAAAGAGCAAAAAAGACAAAGAAAGGCATTACATACTGGTAAAGGGATCAACGCAACAAGAAGAGCTAACTATCCTAAATATATATGCACCCAAAACAGGAGCACCCAGATTCATAAAGCAAGTTCTTAGAGACCTACAAAGACACTTAGACTCCCACACAATAATAGTGGGAGACTTTAACATCCCACTGTCAATATTAGACAGATCAACGAGATGGAAAATTAACAAGGATATTCAGGACTTGAGTTCAGCTCTGGACCAAGCAGACCTAACAGACATCTACAGAACTCTCCACCCCAAATCAACAGAATATACACTCTTCTCAGCACCACATCACAATTATTCTAAAATTGACCACATAATTGGAAGTATCACCACTGATCCCACAGAAATACAAACTACCATCAGAGAATACTGTAATCACCTCTGTGCAAATAAACTAGAAACTCTAGAAGAAATGGATATATTCCTGGACACATACACCCTCCCAAGACTAAACCAGGAAGAAGTTGAATTGCTGAATAGAGCAATAACAAGTTCTGAAATTGAGGCAGTAATTAATAGCCTACCAACCAAAAAAAGCCCAGGACCAGGATTCATAGCTGAATTCTACCAGAGATACAAAAAGGAGCTGGTACCATTCCTTCTTAAACTATTCCAAACAATAGAAAAAGAGGGACTCATCCTGATACTAAAACCTGGCAGAGACACAATTAAAAAAAGAACATTTCAGGCCAATACGCCTGATTAACACTGATGCAAAAATCCTCCAAAATATACTGGCAAACCAAATCCAGCAGCACATCTAAAAGTTTACCTACCACGATCAAGTCGGCTTCATCCCTCAGATGCAAGGCTGGTTCAACATACGCAAATCAATAAACATAATCAATCACATAAACAGCACCAATGACAAAAACCACATGATTATTTCAACAGTTGCAGAAAAGGCCTTCAATAAAATTCAACACCCCTTCATGCTAAAAACTGTCAATAAACTAAGTATTGATGGAATGTATCTCAAAATAATAAGAGCTACATATTACAAAACCACAGCCAATATCATACTGAATGGGCAAAAGCTGGAAGCATTCCCTTTGAAAACTGGCACAAGACAAGGATGCCCTCTCTCACCACTCCTATTCAACGTACTATTGGAAGTTCTGGCCAGGGCAATCAGGCAAGGGAAAGAAATAAAGGGTATTCAATTAGGGAAAGAGGAAGTCAAATTGTCTCTGTTTGCAGATGACAAGATGGTATATTTAGAAAACCCCATCGTCTTAGCCCCAAATCTCCTTAAGCTGATAAGCAACTTCAGCAAAGTCCCAGGATACAAAATCAATGTGCAAAAAATCAAAAGCATTCCTATAGACCAATAATAGACAAACAGAGAGCCAAATCATGAGTGAACTCCCATTCACAATTGCTACAAAGAAAATAAAATACCTAGGAATCCAACTTACAAGGGACGTGGAGGACCTCTTCAAGGAGAACTACAAACCACTGCTCAAGGAAATAAGAGAGGACACAAATAAATGGAAAAACATTCCATGCTTATGGATAGGAAGAATCAATATCATCAAAATGGCCATACTGCCCAAAGTAACTTATAGATTCAATGCTATCCCCCTCAAGATACCACTGACTTTCATCACAGAATTAGAAAATACTACTTTAAATTTCATATGGAACCAAAAAAGAGGCCATATAGCCAAGACAATCCTAAGCAAAAAGAACAAAGCTGGAGGCATCATGCTACCTGACTTCAAACTATACTACAAGGCTACAGTAACCAAAACAGCATGGTACTGGTACCAAAACAGATATATAGACCAATGGAACAGAACAGAGGCCTCAGAAATAATGCCACACATCTACAACCATCTGATCTTTGACAAACCTGACAAAAACAGCAACAGCAAATGGATTCCCTACTTAATAAATGATGTTGGGAAAACTGGCTAGTCATATGCAGAAAACTGAAACTGGACCACTTTTTTACACTTTATACAAAAAACAACTCAAAATGCATTAAATACTTAAATGTAAAACCTAAGAGCATAAAAACCCTAGAAGAAAACCTAGGCGATACCATTCAGTACATAGGCATGGGCAAAGACTTCATGACTAAAATACCTAAAGCAATGGCAACAAAAGCCAAAATTGACAAATGGGATCTAATTAAACTAAAGACCCTCTGCACAACAAAAGAAACTATCATCATAGTGAATAGGCAACCTACAGAATGGGAGAAAATTTTGTAATCTATTCATCTGACAAAGGGCTAATATCCAGAATCTATAAGGAACTTGAACACATTTACAAGAAAAAAACAAACAACCCCATCAAAAAGTGGGTGAAGGATATGAATAAACACATATCAACAGAAGACATTTATCAGGCCAACAAACATGAAAAAAAAAGCTCATCATCACTAGTCGTTAGAGAAATGCAAATCAAAACCACAATGAGATACCATCTCATGCCAGTTAGAATGGCGATCATTAAAAAGTCAGGAAACAACAGATGCTGGAGAGGATGTGAAGAAATAGAAACACTTTTACACTGTTGGTGGGAGTGCAAATTAGTTCAACCATTGTGGAAGACAGTGTGGTGATTCCTCAGTGATCTAGAACCAGAAATACCATTTGACCCAGCAATCCCATTACTGGGTATATACCCAAAGGATTAGAAATCATTCTACTATAAAGACACATGCACATGTATGTTTACTGCAGCACTGTTCACAACAGTAAAGACTTAGAACCAACCCAAATGCCCATCAACGATAGACTGGATAAAGAAAATGTGGCACATATACACCATGGAATACTATGCAGCCATAAAAAAGGATGAGTTCATGTCCTTTGCAGGGACATGGATGAAGCTGGAAACCCTCATTCTCAAAAAACTAACACAGGAACAGAAAACCAAACACCACATGTTCTCATTCATAAGTGGGAGTTGAACAATGAGAACACATGGACACAGGGAGGGGAACATCACACACCGGGCCCTGTTGGGGGGTGGGGGGCTAGGGGAGGGATAGCATTAGAAGAAATACCTAATGTAGATGACGGGTTGATGGGTGCAGCAAACCACCATGGCACGTGAATACCTATGTAACAAACTTGCACGTTCTGTACATGTATCCCAGAACTTAAAATATAATTTAAAAAAAAACAGTTAGTAGTAAAGTAAACCAAATATATCCTTGAATTGCCTTATTCTCTTACCCTACAAAATCTAAGTTGTGCACTTGGCAATCCCCCACAGTAAACAGGTTCCTTTGTCTCCTCCCAAAAGGCACTTACTCTATTTAGACTAGATAGAATGAACTCTTAGCCATAGCTAATTTATGGATAGGAAAATTGCCGACGAGTTTACTCTTGAATGTACTCTTGAATAGGAATTTAATGAGGAAAAAAAGGGTGAAAAAAGAGGAATTTTTTTCTTACAAAAAGATGAGGGAAAAATCACTCCTCCTACTAGTAAGGCTTACTACATAGATACAGTAATCAAGACAGTGTGGTATTGGCAGAAGGATAAACACATAGGTCAATAGAAAAAAACAGAGAAGCAAGAAATAGACCCCACAAATATACCCAACTGATTTTGACAAAATGCAAAAGTAATTCAATGGAAGAAGAATGGGTGCTAGACTTCTCAACGAATGGAGTTGTAGTAATCGGACAACTATACACCTATTGGCAAAATAATAAGAAAAGAAAACATCTTTGGGATTTAGGACTAGACAAGAGTTATTAGACCTGACACCAAAAGTATGGTCCATAAAAAGAAAAATTGATAAATTGTACCTCATCAAAATTAAAACCTTTTGTACTGAAAAAAAACAAGCAAAAATAATGTTCACATAAAAAGACAAATTACATACTTGAAGGAAATATTTGCAACCACCTATGTGACAAAGGGCTTCTATCTGGAATATATAAGGAAATTTCAAAACTCAATACTAAAAATACAACAATTCAATTAGAAAATGGGCAAAAGATATGAATAGACATTTCACCAAAGAGAATATAGAGATGTCAAATAAGCACATAAAAAATGTTCAACATCATTAACCATTATGGAAAGGACAATTAAAACCACAGTGAAATATTACTACATAGCTATCAGAATGGCTACAATAAAAAATAGTCACAACACCAAATGCTGACAAAGATGTTAATAAACCAAATCACTTATATGTTGCTGATGAGAATGTAAATTGATACAACCACTCTGGGAAAGAGTTTGACAGTTTCTTGTAAAACTAAATGTGCAACTGCTATATGACCCACAAAGACCTGTACAGTAATTTTCAAAGCAGCTTTATTTGTAATAGCCAAAAATTGGAAACAACCCAGATGTTCTTCAACAAGTGAATGGTTAAACAGACCATGATGGTATGTTCATATTGTGGAATACTACTCTGCAAAAACAGAAGGAATTATTAATACATGCAACACCTTTGGTGGACCTCAAGGGAATTATGCTCAGTGAAAAAAGTTTATGTATGTTATGATTCCATTTATATAATAATCTTGAAATAATGTAATATATAAATGGAAAACAGATTAGTAGTTGCCAGAGACTAAGATTTGGGAGGGAGGGGTAACTATAAAGCGGTAGCATGAGGTTGCCTTGATGTAATGGAACAGTTCTACAAATTGTTTGTGGTGGTAGTTACATGAAGCTACGTAAGTGATAGAATTGTATAGAACTACACATACACACTAATACACACAAATGAGTTCATCTATAACTGGTGAAATCTGAATAAACTCTGTAAATTATACCAATGTCAAGTTCATGGTCTTAATAATGTACTATAATTATGCAAGATGATAACATTGGGGACAGAGGGGTGAATGGTGCATGGGATTTCTCTGTACATTTTTCTGCAAATGCTTGTGGATCTATACTTATTTCAAAATAAAAAAAGGTAGAGGTAAAAAGCCCGATCTCAACATGGGTGCGCTGTTGCCTTTTAGTGTGGTATCCTGCCTGCTAGGATCCAGGAAGAAGGCTGGCTATGGAAAGCATTAAGTAGGCAAGTCCCCTTGCAGAGACCTGACCTTGGACTTTCCCTAGGACTGGACACTAGCAACTGCAGGTACTCCTGGCCTTGGACTTCTTTCTTGCCTCTGCTAATGCTTTAGATGAGGGCCAGATGCAATCAAATACATGGGCTGTAACTGATTTCTTTGGAGTCCTTGAAACAAGAAGCCTGGCAGTGAGAAGAAGAAACAGCAGATCTCCCAGGATAGTGTGAGAACTAAGAGAGTAGAATGGAAATGGGTCTTGGGGAGAGGGGAGGGCAGGCATCAGGGCACTTCTCCGAAGAAAAACAAAATGTTGGGCCATTGCCCTTTTCAGAGACCAATCAAAATAAGAAAGAGGGAAGAAGCAGTCTATCTTACTAAGTTGCTTTTAAACTGCAAAATTTTATGCCTGGCTGTTCTACTTGCTAGTTTCATCTCCTGTGATGTGAAGAAAGAATGAGTTTTTGCTTCACTGAAGATTCTACTTCTAAGTTGTGTCCTTAAGGTATTACATGTTAACAAAATGTTGACAGATCAGACAGCATTTTTAAATGCTTCTTTTTTTTGACTATGCTTTTTTTTCTTAAGCAGAAGTACTGCTAGCAGCACCTTCAGTGTTCATTTCATCAAAGGACTCTCTAAACATATCGTGTATTTATTGCGTCTTTGGGAGTAATAATTTTCTTCCCAGCTTTCAAATTACTACATATTTGTTACTGCACCACTGAGGAAGGAGATCATTTGTTATTAGTTCCTTGTCTGACGTGAAACATTTAATTTGAACTGAAACCACTGCACAAGAAAATAAACAGTGCATTTCATACGCAAAAGTGTCTGCTTCCCTCACTGGGAGGCAGTGGGAATCATTTTGACCATATGGTGGGTGTTTATCATCAGATGGCTCATAAGCATCTCTGCTGTCTGCCTCCATTTTCCCTTCAGACCTGGGTACTGGCTCTTTTTCAAAGAAGCTAGGTCAGCTTGCTTTCAGACAGAGCATCTAAACTCTGGAAGCTCACCAGAATTCCAACAGATTTTTTAAAAATACCGATGACCAGACCACACCACTCTCAGGTCTGTCAACAAAACTCTCTAAGGGTAAGACAGTTTAGTGAAATGTTTACTTTCTTGGGCTCTGAAGCCAGACTGCTTGGGTATGACACCCAGTTTTGCCACTTAAGACCATCAGTTTGTGTGCAAGTTATTTAAACTCTCTGGGCCTCAGTTATCTCAAATGCAAAATGAGGGTAATATTACCTAAGTCACAGGGTTATGGTGAGGACTAAATAAAATTAATTATGTGAAGTAATTAAAGCAAAGCCTGGTCATAGTAAACACCTGATGATGTTAGCTGTTACTTTTTCTGATGAGCACCCTTATTCTTAATATCTGATAAGAAAGCTAGGAGTTATTATATTATAAGCTGTTCTTACCACCTTGAGTTCTTCCCCAGCCATTGTTGATAAAATCCCAAACACTGCAAAAAAATAAAAATCTACAGAAGAGAGAAAAAATTCCAGGGCCAGTTTCAAAGGAGGCTCAATACACGGCAGGTTCCATCTATTTATATTGCTTAGAATCAGAAATGTCAAAAGTGAGTGAAAAGAACCCTTTGAAGAAACTTGATGCTTTCTGTTTGAAAATTTTTAACACACACACGTGCATGTGCACGATGCCAAAGAGCCTTGATATTCCAAACTTTATGTCTAAATATTTATGACCATCAACAAATTACTAAAATATGTACAAAGCCTTAGGGGAAAAAATCCATCATCCAAATGATTAGAGCATTAGGATATGTGACTACAGACATATGACAAATACAGCAAACACCATGGTATTCCTTCTTATGCCCAAATCCAGATCTGATGACCCTGGTTTTTATACATCTGTAAATTCACACGAATTGCATTTCCAATTTATTCTAGTTTTTAGCTCTATTTGATGAGTTAGTTTTATGGGAATGCTGTTACCTTGAAACATGTCCTTTGGGTTTCACAAATACATGTGGCATTACTTGGCTCTTTAGATTAAAATCTCATTGCTGTTAAGCAGACCCTTCAAACTGCCCTGGTATTGAAGATTGCCACATGTTGGATTAATTTAGGGGCTATAGAAAGAAAAACATATTGGACAGGGCTCTGAGCTCTCTCATTTCATATGTGAAAGAGATCACGGTATACCTTTTAGTTCTTCCCATGGCACCTAGCACAGTTCATTCAACAGAATAGGTGGACATTCAAGATTTTGAGGCTGTTGAGTAATACAAAGTGAAGTGCCCTGTAACTCCAGGATAATTTACACATATTTAAGATGTGATATATAATATTATTGCCAAAGCACTTAATTTTATTGCTTAAAAATTAAAACACACACACACACACACAAAAAAAAAACCTCTTATTTCCAGACACAAAAGGGAGAGTGATGAAAAGTCTTTTACTTACAGTAATTTTTTGATCTCTTCTGGTTATTGCTTATTTTTTCACTACTCATATTAATCTTCTTTTATTGATGCTCAACTACAAATCATATCTCTGTGTTTATTATGGCTTATTCATAACTCTGAATGAAACATTGTTTGATAAGTGAGCATGAATCACTAGCCTCTTTTATCTAAATCTATCCCTCTACATATTTCTAGTGTCCATTAGCCTATCAGACATCGGTACCAAGCCAAATATATTAAATATATGGTCCTTTCCTGTTAGAGATAGAAATGACACTTCAGCATAAAGTTTGAGAGCCCTCAAATCACATTTTACTGCCATTTTAAAAATATACTTACTACATTATGTTAAATTTAACCCTCAGAATACAACTACCTGTCTTTAATTGAGGCCTTTAAAGAAACTCGCTTCATTGTTACAAGTCTCAGCTTTTTTCACTTCCAGCTACAATAGTAAGTTAATATAATGGAAAGTTACTAACACACAATATTTTTTTTAGCACAGCCCTGTCATATTATAATAAGATTTTACTTTTAGATCTTTGAGCAATTTAACACAGTATGAATTTCATTATCTTAAGAGAACTATTGACCAAAAAAAGGTGGGGAGAAGGAAGAAAAAAAGCGTACTACAAACAGGAGGCTAATGACCTTATGTGAAAAGAAACTTTGCAAATGCTTTTCCTCTAAAATGAAACTGGTCAAAGGCCAGACTGATTGTTGAGGGAAGAATGCTGCCATGGTTAGAAGGAAGTGAGTTAATTGACCTGCTAGGTTATTTCCTAATATGATAGCCTTGAGTTTGTCATTCAATTCTTACTAATGTATCCACAGACAAATGGACTGTGATATTTACATGTACACAGTACAGGGAAACATGTAACTATCTGAGCCATGGGTCTCTTAACAAAAGATTAATGTTGACATTGACACATGGGAAGGTTTTTTTTTTTTTTTTACTCAGAAGACAATGTGTACTCACTTGGCATGTGCAGGTTCAAAGCTGCTAGACAAGGAAATACTCAGAAAGCAATCTGGTGAGGTGACAAACTTCAGTCTCCAATGCTCTGTGAATTTCCAGTCCACCCCACTTCCATCTGCTAAAAGTATAGCAGCCCCAGCTATGGCCCCGCACTCCGCATTGAGAGCAGATGTTCTCTCTGGAAATAGGTTTCTCTTTTAAAGATGAACCATCAGACTCCATTATAATCTATTCTCCTGTCATTTGCTTTGTTATACTTTTTGTGCCAACAGATTGTGAGGCAGCAAACATTTTAAGTGAAGCTCTGTAAAATTGCTAATATCCAGCAATAACTATCAATGCTCAACTGTCACATGATAACTAGATGTGGATGTAAAGTTGGCTAACATTTGCTAAGTGGCAAATAATTATTTGATATTCATTTTAACAAATGTGGTCAAGAATGAACTCATTATTAGGATAGATATGAAATACAGTTTGTGTGTAATTCTATTATATACCACCTTTCTAAAGGGAAAATTGTAAAGGATGAGTGACAAGGATACTTTTTAATATTCTAGTCAATTGGCCTGTGAGATTGGTGACAGTGCGATTGAGTTTCTACTTTCACACCCACAGGCATGTGCACACATACATGCACACAAATACAGAGAGTGAGAGCACAGAAAAAATAAGTAGTTCTCCTAATTTTTTTTTCAATATTGACTTTTCCCTCCTTTAGAGACTGTATCTAGAAAAATTTGCTTTGTGTGCTAGGAATCTAAAGTAGTAAAAAGTTAGATAACTTGCCCAAGGTCACTCAACTGGAAACAGGGAGTAGACTGGATTTGAACTCTGGTCTGTATAAGTCTAAAGATGACAACTTCAGCCACCATACCATACTGCCTCTTCACCCAGGGAGAGAGTGTCATTTTTGAAATGTCCTACAAAATGCTATTATGAGGCCGGGCAAGGTGGCTCACGCCTATAATCCCAACACTTTGGGAGGCCAAGGAGGGTGGATCACCTGAGGTCAGGAGTTCGAGACCAGCCTGGCCAACATGGTGAAACCCCACCTCTAGTAAAAATACAAAAATTAGCTAGGCATGGTGGCAGCACCTATAATCCCAGCTACTCAGGAGGCTGAGGCAGAAGAATCGCTTGAACCCGGGAGGCAGAGATTGCAGTGAGCCGAGTTCGCACCACTGCCCTCCAGCCTGCACGACAGAACAAGATTCTGCCTCAAAAAACAAAATTGCTATTATAAAAGCAGCCTTTAGTACCATCACAAACCTAGCTGACCTTTAGAGACGTCAGGTCAGCAATAAAATCAGAAATGGAACAGCTAATTTAGTTGGCCTTTCAAAGCTCTCACAGCAAAATACCCAGCTCCTACAGTGTGAACACACTACCAAAGATCAAGAAATGAGTCTTTTGGTTTGAAAGTAAGTGAAAAAGAGAGCTGGGCATGGGGAGGTTACAACGTTGTTATTCTGTATGCAGGACTCTGTGTTCATGTATTTGGGTAATGTATTACTAAGGTGGTTAAGGACATGGGACGTGGAGCCTGACAGTTGTTTCATGTATAAAATGGAAATCATAATGTTATCTATTTTGGGGGGTTGTTAGGAAGTTGAAATGAAAGAAAACATGTCAAACTCTTAATATAAGGACTGAAACATAGTAAGCACTCATAGATGTTAGCTACTGCTATTTTTGTTGTTTTACAGTGATTAATTTTTTTGCCTTTCTCCCCAAATAGTCCATGAGCCCCTTAAGTGCAAAGACTCATATTCCTCTTTGAAAAGCAGTAGAATACAACTGTTAAAAGCCGTTTCTAGAACTGTAATACCTAGGTTCAAGCCTGGCTCTGCTATTTACTGCCAGTGAGATCTTTATCTCTCTGTATCTGTTTCCTCATCGATAAAATGGGGCTAATGTTAGAATCAATCTTATAAATGGGCTATAAAGATGAGAGTATAAGTCCTACAAGGACAAAATTTTTGTCTGTTCTGCTCAACAATGTAACCCCAGTGCCCAGACCATACCTAGCACACAATAAGTGCTCAATACCAATTTGCTGAATAGTTACACATAAGGCATTTAAAATAGACCTGGGTACTCAAATAGGAAAAGGTTAGCTATTATTATCACATGTACCATCAGAGCCTAGTACAGTTCTTAGCACAGGTTAGGCCCTCAAAAAATGTTTGCAGAGTGAACAAATGAGTAAATGTCCCTCTAGTCTGAGCTAGCTAGCCATTGCTCATCAAAAACTATGAAGTAAGTGAAGTCTGATCTTTCATGCCCATGGCTTCCCTTACCTGCATCACATACTGTGTAAATGCTTTTAGTAGTTTTTTGTTTTGTTTTGTTTTTTGTTTTTTGTTTTTTGTTTTTTTTTTTTTGAGACGGAGTCTCTCTCTGTCCCCTAGACTGGAGTGCAGTTGCGCAATCTTGGCTCACTGCAAGCTCCGCCTCCCGGGTTCACGCCATTATCCTGCCTCAGCCTCCTGAGTAGCTGGGACTACAGGCACCCGCCACCACGCCCGGCTAATTTTTTTGTATTTTTAGTAGAGACGGGGTTTCACCGTGTTAGCCAGGATGGTCTCGATCTCCTGACCTCGTGATCCACCCACCTCAGCCTCCCAAAGTACTGGGATTACAGGCGTGAGCCTCCGTGCCCAGCCTTAGTATTTTTTTAAAAAATTATGGGGATCAAATGAAATAGAATATCAAATGTGTAGGAGATCTTGCAGATCCACCATTTAAGTCCTCCATTTTGCTCATTTATTCTACATTCATTCAATATTTTTTAATTTTATTTTTAAAATTTTATATTTTTAACTTTTGCGAGTACATAGTAGGTATGTATATTTATGGGTTACATGAGATGTTTTGATACAGGCATACAATGTAAAATAATCACATCATGGAGAATGGGGTATTCATCTCCTCAAGTATTTATCTTTTGTGTTACAAACAATCGAATTACACTCTTTATTTTAAAGTATACAATTAAGTTATTATTGGCTATAGTCACCTTGTTGTGCTATCAAAATAGCAGGTCTTATTCATTTTTTCTAACTATTTTTTTCTACCCATTAATCATCCCCACTTCCCACCCACTTCCCACTATTCTTCCCAGCCTCTGGTAACCATCCTTCTGCTCTCTACCTCCATGAGTTTAATTGTTTTGATTTTCGGATCCCACAAATCAGTGAAAATATGCAATTTTTGTCTTTCTGTGCCTGGCTTATTTCACTTAACTCAGTGATCTCCAGTTCCATCCATGTTGCTGCAAATGACTGGATCTCATTCTTTTTATGGCTGAATAGTACTCAATTGTGTATATGTACCACATTTTCTTTATCCATCCATCTGTTGATAGACATTTATGTTGCTTACAAATCTTAGGTATCGCAAACAATGCTGCAACAAACACAGGAGTGCAGATATCTCTTTGATATAGTTATTTCATTTGGGGTATATATCCGGCAGTGGGATTGCTGGATCACATGATACCTCTATTTTTAATTTTTCAAGGAACTTCCTCCAAATTGTTCTCCATAGTAGTTGTACTAATTTACATTGTCACCAGTAGTGTACAAGTGTTCCCTTTTCTCCACCTTCTCAACAGCATCTGTTATTGCCTATCTTTTGGATATAAGCCATTTTAACTGGAGTGAGATGGTAGCTCATTCTAGTTTTGATTTGCATTTCTCTAATGATCAATTATGTTGAACACCTTTTCATGTCTATTTGCCATTTGTAGGTCTTCTTTTGAGAAATGTCTATTCAAATCATTTGCCCAATTTTTCATTGGATTATTAGACTTTTTTCCTATAGAGTTGTCTGAGCTCCTTATATTTTCTGGTTACTAATCCCTTATCAGAGGGATAGTTTGCAAGTATTTTCTCCCATTCTGTGGGTTTTCTCTTCACTTTGTTGATTGTTTCCTTTACTGTACAGAAGCTTTTTAACTCCATGTGATCCCATTTGTGCATTTTGGGGTTGGTTTCCTGTACTTGTGGGGCATTGCTCAAGAAATCTTTGCCCAGACCAATATCCTAGAGATTTTCCCCAGTGTTTTCATATAGTAGTTTCATAGTTTGAGGTCTCAGATTTAAGTGTTTAACCCATTTTGATTTTTGTATATAGCAAGACATAGGGGTCAAGTTTCATTCTTCTGTATATGGACATCCAGTTTTTCCAGCGCCATTTATGGAAAGGACTGTCTTCCCCAGTGCATATTCTTGGCACCTTTGTCGAAAATGAGTTCACTGCAAGTGTGTGGATTTGTGTCTCCGTTCTGTATTCTGTTCCTTTCATCTATGTGTCTGTTTTTATGCCAGTACCATGCTGTTTTGGTGACTGTAGCTCTGTAGTATAATTTGAAGTCAGGTAATGTGATTCCTCCAGGTTTGTTCTTTTTGCTCAGGATAGCTTTGGCTATTCTGGGTCTTTTGTGGTTCCATATAAATTCATATACATTTTAGGAATTTTTTTTTCTGTTTCTGTGAAGAATGTCGTTGGTATTTTGATAAGGATTGCATTGAATCTGTAGCTTGCTTTGGGTAGTATGGACATTTTAACAATATTGATTCTTCCAATCCATGAACACGAAATATTTTTCCATCCTTTGGTGCCCTCTTCAATTTCCTTCATCAGTGTTTTATAGTTTTTATTTAGAGATCTTTCACTTCTTTGGTTAATTCCTAGGTATTTAATTTTATGTGTGGCTATACTAAATGGGATTACTTTTAATTTCTCTTTCACATTGCTCACTGTTGGCATATAGAAATGCTATTGATTTTTGTATGTTGATTTTGTATCCCAAAACTTTACTGAATTTGCTTATCACTTCTATGACTTTTCTTGTGGAGTCTTTAGATTTTTCCAAGTATAAGATCATATCATCTGCAAACAAGAATAATTTGACTTCTTCTTTTCCAATTTGGATGCCCTTTATTTCTTTCTCGTTTGATTGCTTTAGCTAGGGCTTCCAGTACTATGATAAATAACAGTGATGACAATAGGCATCCTGGTCATGTTCCAGATCTTTCTGTTCTTCCCCATTCAGTATAATACTAGCTGTGGATCTGTAGCATATGGCTTTTTATTATGTTGAGGTGTGTTCCTTCTATACCCAGTTTTTCTGGGATTTTATCATAAGAGCATGCTGAATTTTATCAAATGCTTTTTCAGCATCAGTTAAAATGATCATATGGTTTTTTCTTTCATTCTGTTAATATGATGAATCAAACTGATTGATTTGTGTATGTTCAACCATACTTGCATCCCAGAGATAAATCCCACTTGGTCATGATGAATGATCTTTCTAGTGTAGTGTTAAATTTGGTTTGCTAGTATTTTGTTGAGGAAGCTTGCATCAATACATCGATATATTAGACTACAGTTTTCTTTTTTTGATGTGTCTTTGTCTAGTTTTGGTATCTGGGTACTACTAGCCTCATAGAATGAGTTTGGAAGTATTCCATCCTCTATTTTTGAAATAGTTTGCTTAGAATTGGTAGAAGTTCTTGTTTAAATGTTCTTAGAATTCAGCAGCTAAGCCTTCAGGTCCCAGGCTTTTCTTTACTGGGAAACTTTTTATTACAGTTTTGATCTTGTTACTTCTTATTGGTCTGTTCAGCTTTTGGATTTCTTCCTGGTTCGATCATACTACGTTGTATGTGTCTAGGAATTTGTCCATTTCGTTTAGATTTTCCAATTTATTGGTATACAGTTATTCATAGTGGTCATTAATGGTCCTTGGAATTTCTGCAGTATCATTTGTAATGTCTCCTTTTTCATTTCTGATTTTATTTATTTGGGTCTACGCTCTTTTCTTCTGTTAGTCTAGCTAAAGGTTTGTCAATATTGTTTAACTTTTCAAGAAATGAACCTTTCGTTTCATTGATCTTTTGTACTTTTTCATTTCAATTTCATTTATTTCTTCTATTTTATTTATTATTTCATTTATTCTACTAATTGTGGGTTTGGTTTACTCTTGGTTTTCTAGTTCTTTAAGATGCATTGTTAGGTTATTTGAAAATTTCTTCTTTTTGGATGTACACACTGACAGTTATAATCTCTCTTAGTACTGCTTTTGCTGTATCCCACAGGTTCTGGTATGTTGTGTTTCCATTATCAATTCTTTCAAGAAATTTCTTCATTGACCCACTGATCATTCAGGAGCATATTGTTTAATTTCCATGTATTTGTATGCCATACCCTCCACCCCAGGTAGTAAGTGCTCTAACTAGAGACATTTCAGTATCACACATTGCTATAATCACAGGCCCAAATCATGACTAGTTCCACACCAATGTCCCCTTTAAATATTATACCTCTTATTTTAGGAAGTCAAACTTGCTATTTGCCAATGATATGATCGTATACCTAGAAAACCCTAAAGACTACTCCAAAAGACTCCTAGAATTGGTAAATGAATTCAATAAAGTCTCAAGTTACAGAATCAATGTATACAAACCAGTAGCACTGCTATACACGAACAAAGACCAAGCTAAGAATCAAATCCAGAACTCAATCCCTTTTACAATAGCCTCACAATTGCTGTGTTCTTCCTGCCCCAGTGCCCAGAGTTGCTCTCTGTACCATGCTGATGCAGCAGGGCCTGGGGGAGGGATGGCATTCCTGATTCAAGACTGTTTTCCCTTTCTCTTTAATGCGCTTTCAATAATACAAAGTCAAAACCAGGTACTATGAGTGCTCACCTGTTTTTTTGGCTCTTAAGAAGCTGCTTTTTCTGTGTAGATACTTGTTGAGTAGGTGTCCTTGCTGGGGTGGAAGATAATCAGTGGAGCCTTCTATTCCACCATCTTGCTCCACCTCCCGCAGAAAGTCTCATTCAATAACTTTTTTTTTATTGAGCACCTACTATAGAATTGACTTGACCCTATGATTAGTAGCAGGGCCTACAATGGTGAGCAAAATAGTTATGATCTGCCCTCATAGAGCTATGGATCTTACAGTCTAGTGATTTCTTTGTAATTCATTTTCCTCATCTGTAAAATTAGGAAGTTGAATGATTTCTAAGGTGCCTACCAGTTGAGAGACAAAATATAGCATGCTGCTTAAAATCATGGGTTTTCAAATCAGGCTGCCTGTATTTGAATCCTGCTTCTTATACTTGCTAGCCATTTGAACCTCATCAAGTAAAGGGTCTCCACGCCTCAGCTTCCTCGTCTGCAAAGTGGGAATAATAATAGTAACTATCTTACTATCATGTTAGGTGGACTAAATGAGAAAATATATATATATATATATATTCCACTTTGATAATGCCTGGTGCATACTAAATGCCCAACAAATGGTGGTTAATACTATTCAAGTTCTGTCACTCTATGATATACAATCTCTAAGTCCCCTTATGGGAAGTTGCTCCTTATAAAGCCCCACCTTGACTACAGAGGTTGGATAGGGCCAACCTGCATATCGCACCTATTTTTCTGAAATTTCTTTGAATTCCACCTCGTTTTAACTGAGTTGTCAGATTTAAAAAATGGAAGGACTTGGCCCTTGCTAAGATTTCTTACCTGAAGCACATTGCCAGGAAGCATCAGCACTCCCAGTCACCACTAAGTGGCAAACCAGGAGTGTGTGTGTGTTTTTCCTCGAAGTTCCAAATGTGTAGTTCTCTTTCTTACGCAGTCCTGGGAAAGGAAGCCTTCTTGTGCTCACTGCCTCCTCACTGAGGCTACTGTTTTGATCATGTTACTCCTTGGTTTATCAAAGCCAGCTGCAGCTTCCTCACAACGTGTTGGGAGAGATTTAAAACACCTTCAGCTGCCTTTGGAGACCTCAAGAGGGATTGGTCCAGGTCAAATATTTGACTTGCCATCTGAAAGCAAGTAAGTGAAAAACTACCATATGCTCAACTCAAGCTCCACCCAGGTGTAGGTTCTGGAGCCAGCCCAGTCCACACCACCACCATCACCAGGGTGAGTCTATGGCAAATGACGATGACCCTCCCTGATATAGCCTCATTAGAGTTCTTTGTGTCAAACTAGCTATTTTCTAAGCAAAATCATACCACCATTTGTCAGTTGGACCCCTTACTGACAACAATTACCAACTGAAAAAATGAAAACATTTGTAGATACTCCTCCTTCTTACGCACCTCCTCCAAGAACTTCTGAAGCACTCTTCCCTGTATCCACACACCCACACACAAATACACACACACACTTTTTTGTTTCCAATGCAATCAAGGTCAGGGATAAGAGTGATAAAGATGGTGCGAAGATGGTGCAAAGTTAAGCTTGACATTTATTCTATGAGGAAACACTACAGGAAACTGCAAAGAGCTTACATCTTTCAAAAAACATAGAGCTTGAACTTTAAAAAAAAAAAAAGTCAATGCATTGCAAAAAAAAAAAAAAAGTAAGTGAAAGGCAACTATTGGCAAAGCAGATTACTTTTCCCATGGATTGCAATGATAAAATATAGCACTGAATTAGAATTTCTTCAAAAGGAAAAATCCCATGTAGAATAGATGAACTGAGCGAAAAACTTTGAGGACAAAGAAATTAGCCATAATTGGCAACCCATAGCCTCTGGGAGGTTGTGCTCCACCAGCAGCTCAGTGTTTTCTACTTTTCCTTAATAGAATTCTCCTAATTCTAAAATGTATGACACCTCCTCTGTCTAGCCTCAGTTGTTCTTCAGTCTGTAAAACCTGGAGTTGCCTCCTATTTCTGGACCAGACTCTACTCTGGGTCTTCTGATTTCAGAGAGATCAAAACGTCAAAATTCCAAAAGACAGAGTCTAACTCAAGGGTTCTGCTTCTCTCTTTAATCTCTATTAAATACAAGCCCCAGATGTATTGATAAGTATTAAAGCTGTGTGATGGGGACATTGCATTTATCATACTATTCTGTCAATACTATATAGATTTGAAATTGTTCATAATAAAGTTCAAAAACTCAAGGCCCAAACAATTTCCAGATACTACCTAGTTTGCTTCCAGCCTTCCAACAACAGGAAGGAATTCTGAGTTTTCATCTACCAACAGATAGTACTGAACCCCACACCTGGGCATCACACACTTGGTGATTGGAGAGTAGACAAGAGAGGGGACTTTGCCTACAGTCCACTCATGCAGGAAGCACAGCTCCAAAAAAATGTATTGGGCTGTTCTGACCCATTCATTTCCTTTCCTGGGGCTGATTGGAATTTCTTTTCACCTCAGTTAGCTTGGAGAAGAACAAGTATCTCCTTAATCTATACATATTTTTAAAAAGTCCATTATTTCAAAATGCTGCAAAACAAGTTACCTTACACGGACATAGATAAAGTGAAAAGACATGGTGATGAGTTAATCTCTGTAATCAGAAGCACCTGATATTGAAAATGGATTTAAGACACATTCTCATTTTCTGACTTTACTCTCCCACATGGCCTTTTTTATTTCTCACAATTATCTTTCCTCCTCTCCCCACTGCCTATTCTGTTTTACTCACCAGGACCTCGAGCCTCTGCACCATTTTGCCACATATCTTCCCTCTTTCTAGTCTTTATCTTCTATTAATATTAATAACAGCATCTGTGGCTGCATTAAGGCAGTTAAGAAAATAACGGGATCACTTCTTACCTACTCCATGGCCACTACCCTCATTCAAGCTACTATCTTATCTAGCATGGATTATTGCAGCAGCCTCCTAAGTGGTCTCCCTGCCACTGAGCGTTGAATCTGTACATTCCTTTGGCAGTATGGCCATTTTCACAATATTGATTCTTTCCATACATGAGTATGGGATGTGTTTCCATTTGTTTGTGTCACCTATGATTTATTTCAGCAGTGTTTTGTAGTTTTCCTTGCAGACGTCTTTCACCTCCATGGTAAATTATATTCCTAGTTTTTTCTTCAGCTATTGTAAAAGGGATTGAGTTCTGGATTTGATTCTTAGCTTGGTCTTTGTTCGTGTATAGCAGTGCTACTGGTTTGTGTACATTGATTCTGTAACTTGAGACTTTATTGAATTCATTTACCAACTCTAGGAGTCTTTTGGAGTAGTCTTTAGGGTTTTCTAGGTATACAATCATGTCATTGGCAAATAGCCAGTTTGACTTCCTAAAATAAGAGGTATAACATTTAAAGGGGACATTGGTGTGGAACCAGTCATGATTTGGGCCTGTGATTATGGCATTGTGTGATACTGAAATGTCTCTAGTTAGAGCACTTACTACCTGGGGTGGAGGGTATGGCGCTCTGCATTCTGAAAACCAGGGAATCTTTGTCTGAGGGATGCAAAAAGCCCCTGGAGTTGTAAGCAAAAGTATGTGTGTGTGCTTCTCCAATGCTAAAATTTAGTAGTTGCAACAGACATCATATGGTTCACAAAGTCTACAGTATTTATTATCTGGTCTTTTGCAGAAAAAGTTTGCTGACCCTTGGCATTCAGAGTTGAATAGAATATATCAGTGCCTTTTAGGTAGTAAGGATAAGTATTGTTTGTGAAATGTTCATTTCAGTTATGAGCATGTGACACTGAATTGAGATGCAAAATGCATTGTTTAGTATGGAAAGCAGACAAAAAATTGAAAACCACTCTTGTAGTCTATGTTAAGGGATTGGATTTCATCTTAAGAGAAACCATTGTTGGATTCTAAGCTGAGTTGTGATTTAACCAGTGTTGTGTTTTAGCAAGATTCCTCTGGCTGCAGTATAAAGAATGTGATAAAGAGAGGCAAGGTGAATAAGAGGCAGATTAGGAGACTATTTCCATCATCCAGATGAAGGATGCTGAGGCCTGGGCCACTGTGGTAGCAGTGGGAATAAAGTTTATCAGACATTTTTGGAAAAGTTCCTGAGTATTGATTTAGGGGCATAAAATACCTCTGTCTTGGTCTCTGACAATATCCCTATTTTTCTGCTAGAAGGGAAAAAAAGAATGTTAGAACGGCACTGGCAAAGCAACTCAGTGTTTACCATTGCATTTAACTCAGCTCTGACATCCAAAACCCTGAGAACTATATCCCAGACTGAGAAGTGCTGGGCCACTGAGGCAAATTAGGAACACTTCAACAATGAAGTATTTTAAATGGCTTGGCATTTAGCCTCTCTATATAGAGGTCTCCTTTGGAGAAGCTGGTCTACTCATTACCAGAGACTTTATGCATGTAGTTGGGATCGTTCCTCAGCTCCCTTCCCATTTTTTTTTTTATCTGACCTCACTTCTTAATTTAGCTCCATTTCAGATCCCTTGCTAAGTTAGAAGGGCCAGATGAAGGTCCTTCGGGGGCCTATCAACACCTCTTCAACTCCACTTGCACTATGAGGCAAGCATAGAAACCAATCCCTAGGCTTCTGATTGCCCAGTGCTTACAGCTGATTCAGCCACATTTCCCAGCTGATTGTTCCACCCCCGATCTCTTTCCTTGCAGTAGCCTGGGGTTTCAATTTCTTTTACAAACATGCCTCCCCTACCCACTACCACTATAACCTTGCCTTAGCCATCAACCTCCCTCACCCTCAACTAACTTTCTGGATCTAAAAAAGTAGCCAAGACCTGTTGCTAACATATACTGGGATTGACTCCAACTGTGCTGACCTGTAATACACATGAATACATCCTTGACAGATTGCTTGAAACCCAGAGGGACAGATGAATACAGGGTTACCAGACCTTCATTTCAAGGGCTGTTGACTAGCTAGAGTGCACAGACTCTAAAAGGAGCCACAGTTCTGCCATGCATGACTAATGCAACTTGAAAGGCAGGCACTTGGTAGAGAAGGAGTAGGAACATGCCTAGGAGGCTGATCAAAAGCACCCTAGCCTGAAAATCCCACTGCTGCAATCACTTCTTTGGGCCATGACATTGGTTTCCCAAAGATCTCAGTTAAAATGTCAACATGTCCTCCAGGATGGATAAATGCCTTAAGACATTAGCACCTACCATTACTACTCTAGTCAGGAAGAACTTACCATGTTGGTTGCTGATCCCTTAAGAGTAATTGAAAAGAATAATAATTCCTAAGTAGACAAACATGGATTTGAATCCTAGCTCTGTCATTTAGTGTTCATGTGGCCCTGGGCAAGCTCCCCTAAGCTCTCTGAGTCTCAATTTATTTGTGTATAAAATGTAGATATCATTATTTACTACGTAAGTTGCTGTAAGGATAAAATGGGATAATGTTTGTAAAGTGTCTTGCACACAGTAAGTGCTCATGAAAAGACTTGGTCCCTTAAGCCCTAGCACTCCCCACTCTGCCCAGGTCTTGAATGTCCACATTGAATGAGTTGCCCACAAAAAAATGGTAAATGGTTGGAAGTGTCAGATATGTGCAAGTAGGTTATTTGCCAACGTGTAGAAAGGTTAAGACCTGAAACTCTCAGGGAATACCTCTCTGCTCCCATCCTAGAGAATTTTGTTCTCGCGATAAGAGCCCCATCCCTTTACAAGTGGTGGCAGTGCATTCAAGGTGTACCTCTCTAAGGCAAGTCTATACCCCCAAACCGAAATAATAAAAATGGTTACTCGTATCTTTGTCTCTGGAGCAGCTATCATCTCCTGTTGGAGAATGCCCTCTTACATATCAATTCCCATCATGGTTTCTTGACTTCACACACAGCATGTCAGTGACACATATGTGTCACAAGCACTTTCGATAGTTTTAATAACGTGTTTTGTTTTATAAATTTGAATCGATTTGAGGTTACGCCTATAATCTTGCCACTCTCCCACACTTAGGCAGAGTTACTGGTTTCGTCAATGACCTTGGATATGCCTGTGTTGCATATGTAAATGCCCTTCATCATGTGAGACTTTATTTTCTCTTGCTCATTCCTTGGAGGATCTTATTTTAGGATCGAGTTGCTATTTCCTTTCCAGCCCCTCCCCCTGAAAAAAAAGGTAGTTGAAATGGGGTCAAAGAAACTTATTTTCTTTGTGTTTTTGGTGTGAACTACCTCAGAAGTACTCATATAGCCTCCTATGACTTAATGTCCTCCAAGCCAGTGACAGAGCAGCCTCCTTCCCATATGCCTTTATGAACATCTGGGAGTCTGCGTGAACATCTGTACATACATCAGTATATGTGACTCCATGTGTCCCAGCATGTCTGTGCTTGCATTCTGATGCAACACCTGTTAAACTACAGTACCAAATTGCTGGCTATTGCTGTGGCTTTAGGGCTAATTCTGGAGAATAAGATGCAATCTCAATTTAATACAGGTGGATAGAGATAACAGGAAGATGGAGATCCAGGGAGACAGTAGATTTCCTTGAGATCATTTTTAATTGTCCGGAGAGAATAGGTCAT
The DNA here is from genome assembly GCF_000001405.40 of Homo sapiens. Taxonomy (NCBI): domain Eukaryota; kingdom Metazoa; phylum Chordata; class Mammalia; order Primates; family Hominidae; genus Homo; species Homo sapiens. Next base: position 100,290,942 of record NC_000023.11, read on the forward strand.
GCTGAAGCAATTTAGCCTTTAACCACTAACGGCACTATTTGGAAATGTTCTGCCATGCTCCTGTTTTTCCTCTACTCTGACTTTTTTTCTGCCTGTCGCAGGCAGAATGAATACTTACAGCCCAACTGCTAAGTCCCAGAGAATAATGGCTTGGATAAAGAAAACTTGTCAGGGCTTTCTCTGCAGCCTTGTTCTGTGCGAAGTCAGAGCCTCTCCTGTTGCTTCACTTTCAAACCTGAAGGCATCAAAGGGGCAGCCAGGTCATCTTTGTTTTAAACTCTCTTTTCCCCTGCTGTCAGCCTCTACTATATCTCACCTTTTTTTAAATTAATTCTTCAGAGAAGTCTCACTGTGAAGTTGCCCTGACATGATTTATTTTAAAGAATGGCTTTAGCGCTCTTGTTTAAAGTACCATCCAGGAAAGTCTTTACCATTCCAGATATGTATGGGTCTTCCTCCTCAGGCAACGGTATTCACTGGGGTAGGAAGGAGAGGAGGTGCTCAGGAAATAGCTGGAACCTGCTGGAGGAAGAGGCCCCCCTTAGTTGGAGGTCGTGAATGCTGTGAAATGGAAAAGGCAAAAGGATCCCTTGGGGTCTGAACATCAATGACTCCGCTAAGGACTGGTGACCTCTTAGGTCTAAGAGTCGCTTCCCGCGAGCCTACAAACACTCTCTGAAACACATTCCACCAAACACTCAATACTTTTTCCATAATAGCCTTTAATACTAAAATGCATTAAATTTTTGAAGCAGAGAAAACACATTTAAAGGGGGAAACAGAGAACCACCAGATAAAAGGAAACAATGTGGCAGATAACACCATTTGAAACATAACTGTAATAATTTAATAAAGCTGCTTTATCATCTTCATAAAATAGACAGTGGTGATTCTTTTTTGTCTTTTTTCTTTTTACAATGATTCAATCACTGTGAAAATGTACATAACATACAGATCAGCATATACAACAATTTTATCTTCATATAATCAGCAACAGAGACTGCTTAATGAGACATACTGTACTTGCATCCCTCTAAATTTCCACCCTGGTTTGACAGGTAAACAGTAATAGTGTCATCAGGCTCATTCCCCTCACTAGAGGAGCGAAGGCGTAAGCCTATTGCAACTAATACCTTAGCATTCAAATAGCACAAGGAGGTATTTGTTGCTGATTTCTAGCTCGAGCTAGTCTGGCTCTTGGTCATTAAAGTCTGTATCCTAGCCTTCCTCAGCTGAACGCCAGCCAGTGCCAGTAAAAATCTACTTAACCAGTGCTGTAATGGTGTTAGCTGGTTTGTTTGCTAAGGTTGACAGCAACTTTCAGTTAGTAACAAGGTCATCTTGAATTGCCAACACAGCTGGAGCAACAGTCAGCATCATCAGTTTTCCCTAATGACCTACAATGCTTTCCAATCAAGATCAGGTGTTTGTGGGTTATTCTTTACCAAGAGCGCCTTCCAATCTATGTATCAGACAAGGTGGTAAATTTTCTTTGTTTCACAAAAGCAATATGATTCCTATTTGAAATTAATTCACTTTTGCACAACAAGTGACCCACAAGCCAATTCCAGCGGCACAAGAAAACGAAGAGAGCTGCAACAACTTCATTAGGACAATGTGTTTTGCTCTGGAATATTTCATTATCAATATAAAGCCACCCGGTCCCAGCCCCACCCCCAAACATCCCCTTTGAATATTACTTTGTTACATACTTAAACTAAAGAACAACATCTCAATACACTTCAGTGTCAGCAGATACAATTTGACTCATGAAATGACATCCTTAAATGTAATTTTACCAAGAAGGCAAACACTAGGACTGTATACAATGGATTTCTTAAGCTCATTTATGCCAGTTTTTCAAAGTCAATAAGGGTCTTATTACCCGGGGTAAAGAGCCAAGTGGACCAAACTTGTCAGAATGCTTTGGGGGAACATTCAACATCAAAATGATCCCCAGAAAGTGGATTGGAATTCCAGCCAGAACTGCTATTATGTACAATAATAATCCTTTTCCACTCTGGATGCCCAATCGAGCTATCCCCTTCACCCTGCCTCTCCCTAAACTGCCCTTTGTCCTTGCTGCTTCAAGTGGACCACTTTTTGTTTTTAATATGATAGGGCTACAGGGAAAAGTCAGCTAAACTCCCTTCATAAAATCAGTCAGTCATATGCTGAAGTAACACTATCAAGATGATACTCTTGAGTGGTTCCAATTTTCAGAGATCTAAATTGTATTTTTTAAAAATATTTCTGATTAGAGATCAGTGGATCACTAAGCGAACAATTTTGTCTAAATGAACACCTTAGGTGCAATTTTGGATGAAGAAGTATACCTGTCTGGGGAATTGCCAAAGCAGTTATCATTAAAGCATGTCACACTTCAACACCAACTCCTCCTTAAAAGGGACATCAGAATAAATGGAATAGAACTCCCTAGGACTTAGGAACCGAAATCACTCCCTTGAGTTTATGTGTGCAACATGTTTAGAGAACAAAAGGGAGAATATTTGGCCCTGTGAACCTTGTAGCTTTTCACCAGACATGCCAAAAAGGAGAAGGTGGGGTGGGGCGGGGGGGACATGAGCCAAAGGGAAATTTAGGATCCTTGCTCAGAATGCCTATTTGCAGGTACAGCCTGCCTACAAAACCAGTTTACAAAGCCTTCCTAGTATGCACTTGTGCTTCTGAGAGGACTCATACATCAGACAATTGTGGGGAAAAATATTTCCTTAATGAGAGGAATTCTCTGAACATGCTCAGTGAGGTTTGGAAGCCAAAAAAATCTGACTGCCCACTGAGAACAAAGTATTTGGATAGGGAAGAAGGATGGATCTATAGCTTGAAGATGAATTATGAAAAGAAATGAAGAAAACCCAAGAGAAAAGCAAAATCAATGCCAATGCCACTCTAACCATTTAAAACTTGGCTGGTAAGAGGCATGGCAGCCAGTGGCCTCTCTGGCTCAACAGCCACGTGACAATTAATGTTCCCACTTTCCACAATCTTTTCTGCTCCCTGGTTCCCACTGAGCATAGCAAGAAATACACCTGTAGAAAACTGTGAAGTCTGACTTCAAAGTGACCTTGAAATCGTAGCTAATAACATAATATCAGGATGGATCAGGGTGAGAAACAGTCTAAATTCTATAGGCAGCCATCATAACTTAAAGGGGAAATTTTTAAAAAATTTTTAATGTGTTAATCAAATAGTCACTTGCAAAGAGAAATAAATACTTAATTCAAAATCCACTACCAAAATGAAATAAATCAGAGGGAGAAAACTGTATGAGAGGCAATGAAATGAGGAAAAATGAAGATGTTATGGTAATTCATCCTTAATTGTGTCAGCTTCAGAGGGAAATTTGCAGCCACACCAATATTTTGCATGAGGTAGTATTCAGCACTGAATAAGAAATAAGGATGGATTTGTAGCTTCATTATAAGTTCTTTTTCAGAAATGTTCTCCCCTACCTAACCCCATCCCTACTGCCTTACCCACCCCCTCCCTCAAAACCCTTCTCCCTCCTGTAAAAGAAAATATTCCTAGTAATGCGTAAAGCTAGGAACTCAGGCAAAAATAAGTAAAACATTCAAAAGAGCTGACTTATCTACCTAAACTTAAGAAAATAAATCCTCTTTTGCATTCTAGTGCTCTAACCTCTAGGCCTTCTCTCTGTGTATTCCTGAATTTCAAAAAATGAAACAAATGAAAACAGAACCATAAAACTTGTTTCTCTAGAAACAACTCTCTTAAGACCAAGGCAGAACAAAGGTGACATATTTCTTTAGTTTATTTTTAAATAATGAACTCTTAGGCTGCAAAAATACTATGTTGGCTAGTGAATATTAATAGACAAAAGATAAATGGGGGAGTTAGAGGAATGTTAAAACAGAAAAAAAGGATCTACAGTGTGTTAATTTAAAAAGGGTGTATTCCTAGCCTACAGCAAAAAGAGTTGGCTAAATCGAAAGGATTTTTATTTTAGTATTTTCTTGTTCACATTTTTAATCAAAAAACTATTAGTCATAAAAAGATGAGTTCAAGTGTCTGAGTGTCTCCGTTTAGAAGGCACAGTAATTGGATTAGCGATGCTGTTACCTGTTACCTGTCTTTTCCAAAATATACACTTTGTACTGCTTACTCTATCCCTACGTATATAAGCCTAAGATACAGAGCAACATGGAGTTCTCAATCCCAGCCCATGACGTGCTTTGCAGTCTAATTCTAATCATGATTGGGAAACACTGAATCAGGAAGTGTGTGTCTGAAGAGATGCTAATTTAGATCTTAAAATAGATTCAGTCATCTTCAATTTTAGATGATTGGAGAGAGGGAATTTCTAAGCCTGGAAACATAACTTCAGGAGCAACTTTCCTGTTCAGGGCCTGAAAATTTAAAAGATGGATGTCATAAAACTTTCAGCACAGTATTTCTGACAACTGCAAATTAGATAGCAGCCTATCCAAAAATGACTTTCTGCAATGATCTATCATGGACCTGGGCAGACCACTGAAAGGCAGGAAAAATACTTTGCAAAGTGGTGAGCAATCACTACATGAGTTAAAAAACGTGAGTATTCTCCAAGTACTCAATCTATATGCATGGTGTTGCTCATTCATTTGCTGTCTCAGTTGTTTGCACTTTGTTTTTGTCTGTAGTTTTATTATTTTTTTAAGAAAAAGAAAACACCAACTTTTAAAAGCCTTTTGCCATCACCACACACATAGCAATTTGCAATATCAAATACAACAATAGCACAGCTAGCAAAAGGGTTTTTAAAGCAGGGGTGTCCACAGCAAAGTAGCGGCATTGGGAAGTACTCGAGCTTCAGAAACAACCTTTTGGGGGCTCAATTTCACATCACTGAATCAATGAATAGTACACAATAAATGACCATTAACTTGTCTACACTACAAAAAACAGTGGCGAGCTTATTAAAGGTGTCCAGAGCTTTTTTTTTTCACTTTTTGCTTTTTTAAATGTAATCCTCCACAAACAATGGTAATTTATATTATAATTTTGACATAGAAAAATATATAAATTCAAACACTTAATACATAATACTTTTCACAACTGAATTTGTCTCTGTTTCCCCAACATCAAGGCCCCATGAACAACTCAAGCCAAAGCTAATTTGCTCCAACTGAACACCCCTGCTGCCTGTTGAAACAAGGGACTGTCACAGAATGATAATCACCTATAAACAATACATTTAGGAAAAGCTCTGAAATATAGCCACTCAAGAACCAACCATTGGTGAGCAATTAAAACAAGAAGCTCCTGCTTCTTCACTAGCCAGTGTGGTTTCTTTCTCTTCTTCCTGGAGACTGGTTTAGAGAACGATATCCTTCAGACGCTTCACACCAGGGGACTCTTTGTTGCGACCTTCCTTCAGAATGGGGCTGACCTCATGCATGACTTTCTCGCTATCAGCTCCACGGGGCTCAGCTTCAGAGGGACGAGTAGGGCCATTGTTGACATTGTTGACATACTGCTCCAGATCACGGGCTGGGGGAGCCAGGGCAATGGTGTAAGACACGGAAGGCTTGGTGGGCAGAGAGCTCTTGAGGTGGAGGGGGGAGGTGACAGGGCTAATCGCCTCACAGCCATTGCCTGCCTCCCGGATAACGCTGTTGACCTTGGGGCTGCAGATGGTCACATCGACAGTCCTCTTGCCTTTCAGGGTAGGCCTCTCCTCAGCCGGGTGGTCGCTGACATCTTTCCCAAAGGTTGCGAAAGTCCGTTTGGTGGGGCCGCAGTCGTCATAAGCCTCGACATCAGCAGCAGTAGCTTCAATAGACAGCGCGATGATGTTCCTCACATGCTCAGGGGACTTGGAACGGATGGGCATGGGGTTCCGGGGCATCCAGCACCTGTCAGAGTGGCCAAGAATCCGGCATTCTTCCCGGCAATGAAATCCTTCATTCTGATCTGTTTGGAAAAAAGAAAATATCAATTTCATCAGCTTTTCCCAGGATTCACTGTTACTCCCCAGTGTTCTGGTTTCTTAGATATCCACAGGCCCTTGTGGGAAATGGCACTTTTAGGTAGTCCTTTATTGCCTTTTGGGACAAGTGTGAAGAACTGGATTTTTTTAAAAGGCTGAAGATCTCCCTCTATGTATATCCTTTTTAAGGTTCCCACTACTGACAAAACAAAAAACCTAAAGGGAAACACGTTATGATGAAAATACATATATATTCTAAAGTTCATCTGGAGTGTCAAGGTGCTGAGAGTCAGCATTTTAATCAACAACTCCTGCTAAAAATCACCTGTGTTTGAAACTGGATTCAGCAGATGAGGGAGTGGAGGCAGGGAAGGGAATCCAACAGTCAGTGTATTTAAGAAGCCTTGGCCATATTTTTGAACAACAGCACTGCCAAACACCCTTCCACCCTACCCATCACTGATACACAGTGCTTAATTTAATTTTAGATTGATATCCTACTCTCTGTGAAAGCCCAATCACACCCCTTCTTTTTGACCACCAGTCCCACCAGCCAATCTCCTCACTATGCCACTTCCATGACTTGATTTCCCATCAGAAGGAATAAACTGAGAGCCCTTCTATCCAGCTGACCCATAAGCTTCAATTGGCCCTACGCAAACATCAGTGACATGTTGGTCATTGTTAATTAGACCCAACTAGCCATCCCTCCTTATCTTTCTTATCTGCAGTTTTGTTAGAGAAATATTTCTTAAAGAAATCTTTCATGGATTATTTTAACTCCATCCTGGAAGATCTCAGCAGTTACAATTCATAATTATTGGGCAGACATAGATTTATCTTTCCAGGTCAGGTTCACTAAGGGTTAAAGCTTCAATCTGGCTCTCAGAGAGGCTTACTGCACAGGCTTTACCAAGGCATGGACCCAGGGTTAACTTCTGCCTGTTACTGGAAAACTGTTAATCTCAATGTTTGTTTTATAGCCCTAGTTTTCCAGATCTATTTATATTTATGTTACATTCTTACAAGAGGATGACCTAATGAAAACATTGCGCAATGCATCAAAATATGAGCAGCTTAACATTTACAGAAAATACATATATATATCTTATATATACATATGTATATAAAATATATATATTTATGTTGTGACTTATTTTGCAGGGGGAAGATGTCTGCAATTCAGAGTCTTACTTGGCATCAGTCTATATATAACACATCTTCCTTGTATACTTGTATTTCTATATTTTTGGTGTTTTTTGTTTGCTTCTTCATTGTTTTTAAAGAGTAAATGGCATAGCAAAGCAAGGTACTGCTATGCCTCATTCATCAAAGGTTCTTTGGTGAAGGGGCACAAGGCAGAGGGCTCAAGGAATAATGGTTGAATTGGCTGTACACTTCATTATTTGGAGGAAAGACATTAGAAGCCTGTTAAATATCAAGGACCTAATCCAAGCTAAATCCAGATTTCAACACAATTCTGGGCATGGCCCTTGACCTCATTTAAGCTACTTAAAAGCAAACTAAAGACAAGACCTCTTCAGTGTACCTTGACATAATTTGCCAATTTATCTTTAAGATGGACACTTTCATCCCCCTTTCAGTGCTGGGCAATGAAACACTCAGAATTTTGTACAGTGGAACCAAATAACAAATGAACAACATCATGAACAGGGAAAGTGCCTTCCACCTAGTTAGGACAATGTTTCTGCAAACTCCAGCTCAGTTCCACATCAGGCTGCATGGCCACTTCTGCAAAATGAAAGGTCTGTCAAGGCCCTTTCTCCGCCCCTTCCCTGCAAACTCTCTGTGTTGCCATCTGATACCCTGTTATCATTCAACATGCATGTACCTGGGAGGCAGAAAATATGAAAGTAAGGGAAGCATTTTGGGATATACTTGAGAAGCACTTTGTGTAGACTAAACAGTATGAGTGGAAGAGTTAGTTGATCTACTTTTAATCAGTTTCCTCCAAATATAGTGCTTTCCACAGGAGGTCCCAAGATCCCTTCAGTAGAACAGAAGTCACATCTTTAGGGCTTCCCAATAAGCTGTTTTTGCCTCTTCATCTCTTCCAAGGCCTATCTGGTAACTTTCCAAATAATACCTCTAAAAAATTAGTGAGAGTGTTTCAGGGTAGAGAGAGTAAGCAGTTGCAGGTGGGGGAAAAGTTCAATAAATTATTTCCATTTCTACAAATCAGAGTAAAAATCCCTGGAAGCCAGCAAAAAAATGTCCAGAAGGCTATAAGATCTCTGCCCTTTTTGTCCCTACCTGAAAGGCATAAAAGCATAAAGACCTAACCCTTGAGCCCTGAAACCATGGACATATGACCAACTAAGAAAAGAAAATCCCAGCCAAGATTAAGACTGATATTTCAGGCCACTTGCTCACACTTCTAGAGCAGAGCAGTAGTGAAGTACAATTGAGTACCATCTGCCCAATGTCTTCAACACGAAGCTCTTATTTCTTTGAGTTTTTTAATATGAAGTGACTGTCCTCTAATTTTGAGATTTAGTTTTTTTCAACAGCATTCAATAGGAGAATACCACCCATGTGTCACCCTGAATCCAAGTACAATGCTCCTTCCCTATACTAGGCTGCCTCAAATGAACAGCATGAGGAGACTTGGATCCCCAGAATATCTGGGGAGGGAGAATAGAGAGCCCAGAGACAGACACCTCCAAGATCTTATAAATCTTGGAAGACCAGAGCAGGGAATTCAATCTTCTCTGAGGTTTCTCTGTATAGATAGTACTTGCCTTCAGCTGACCCACTGTCTAAATGAAACAATCACTGTTGGGAAAAGAGAAACGGAGACTAACTCAGGACACACCCAACAATGCAATCAGTCTAAGCCTCCCCACCAAGCTCACTGAGCCTACCTCAGCTCCATATGAGCTGGAATCATATGCAGTTTTCTCAGATTACTTATGTAAACTTATTATATGCACTGCCCTTCCTCACGCAAGTGAAGACTTGAATCTAAGAGACTCTTTTACTCACAGTGTCTCATCCTTGGCTTGGATCTGATACCTATATTTTTTTTAAGTCCTTACCAAGGGCACTGAGTTACTGTTTCTTATTTTTGTGTTTCAGATATTTTGTGACATTTTTGTCTATACAGTTACAATGAAGTCTAACTTAGCTTAAATATGTTTATAGCCACTTTATATATGAAATAAAAATTGTCAATATAGACAGGCAGGAAGAACATCTCTGCCCAGCACAGGGTAATTTACATTCATAAATATACTGCAGATGAATTACCTTTCAAAAATCAAAATTTCAGTTTAGTAAAGAAATTGTGTAGTAAATGTGAGAAAGTCACAATACAAAGCCCCTTAAAAATAGCAATGAAGACAGACCAGATGTAAAAAAATAAAAATTAAAAAGACTACTTCTGTAATTGTATAGGACTTGTAAAGATTATGTGCCAGTCCTCATGTAGTATAGTGGCTGGGAATGGAGCTATGAGACTAGAGAAGAACCATTTTGTAGCATCACAAACTGTCAAGGTGCTGGCTCCAGCTTATATAGAGAGATGGGCTCACGATTCACTAAGTTCCTGCTGAGATTCTTCTTATGAACCTATCTGTGACCTGATACTTTGCTACATTTTTATCTGAAAGTTCTGACCTGAACCTAGGCAAAGCAAAATGTGGCATTCTAAAATCCACATATAGTTGTGGAAATTCACGTATAGATGAATGAAGGCAGGTGTCTTTAATTTAAACATACTCATGATGAGGGTTGACTGATGAATTTGTAAATTGGTTTTCCCTGCTTCTGAAGTTGTCCCTAGGATTTGCAAAAGAAACAAGAACAGAGTGCATAAATTTGGAAGAGGAACACAAATCTTGAGACCAGAGAACTCCTTAGTTCAAAACAAATCTGATTATTTTAGACCATAAAAAATACAGAAAAAAGTGAAAGTTTCTTCAATCTACATAGCAGTAAGTATTTGGTGGTCACAATTTGTCATCAGGAAACTTGGTGAGAGAATTCCAAAACCCCTGGCCAAAAAAAAAAAAAAAATTAAAGCATCAGTCTTGCGAGGGTACAAGAGGCAAAAGAGGCAGTAAGGCAGTAATGACTAAGTCATGATAGATTAAGGAAGTAATTCAAACAGAAAAAGACCAGAATATGCTATTTTGTGCAGATAATAGCAAAACTTTATGCAGCAATTACTACTCTCCTCAGGACATGAAACTGCCATCTCCTCAGATGTGGCCAAACAATGTACTTCCACACTAGAAAGAGCCTACCCATGGTCCCCACCAAAGTAATAAAAGAAAATGATGAAAACATCATTTCAGGCTTTGCTAAAACTTTCCAAGTCCTGGTGGAATAGAAGAGCTAAGAGGCTCTGCTGGGTTTGTATAGATATCCAGTCACAATGGATGTGTTTGATAATGCTGGCAGTTCTTTACTGTGATTCAGAGTTTGGGTGTATTAACTCAAAGATCCTAATGATCACAGACGAAAATCCAGCACTAAAATAGTTCAAGGTTACAGTTACAAGAGCAATATGTTTCCTCTTCAGAAATAATCTGCAATCAATGAATCAGAAAGAAAAAAGTTAAAGTGAGTTCCAGTTCCTGAGAGCTCAAGTAGTTGGCTACTTCTAAGTGGCAGCAGTAGTAGAACCAACAAGCAAGTGATGTGTATATCAGACAAGCTTCCTGAATTGTACTCTTATACATCTACTTAGTTTATTCTGCATCACCTCATGAACAAGACAATCTGTAACCAAAGCAGGGCCATTTTTTGTGAGATATAATGGAGGAGATTATGACAATGATTATGAAGAAGTTTAGTGCTGTTAAAATTGGTCACATGTGCCTAATCGAGGAAACCTAATTGTTGAGAAGTACACCACCCACCCTTGACCTATCTAACTCCTACTCTATGAAGCAGAGATAACTAATTGCCTGCCAAATATCTTTATCTGTTTTTGTTAAATAGAAACAAAGCCCCATTTCTGTTAGGAATGGCAGTGTGCTCAGCTAAAAGAAACTACATTTCACAGGCTCCCTTGCAGACATGTAACATAAGATTGGACCAACATTATAAAGCAAGATGTTAAGAAAATTCCTTAAAAGGGGAGAGCTGACTTAGGTAAGAGACTATTTTGTCTTTATTCCTTCCTGCTTTGTCCTGTCTGGAATGGAGACATAATGACTGATGCTGCAACATCTGTCTGACTACCATGAGGCAACCCTGAAGATAGAAGCCATGTGCCTGTGGGTGGCAGAATAGAAAGATATAAGGACCTTGGGTTATTAAAGATACTGTAGAGCTACCCTCACCAAACTTGAACTTCTTTAATAAGAAGAAAAATAAATATCTCTTATTTAAGTCATTGATTTATTTTCTTTAGTAGGAGAGGGGCATCTTTATTACTAGCGGTTAAACACAATTCATGATTAATACATTATCCCTGAAGTCTCCATTTAAATTTCACTTCCCCAGGGAGTCCTTCTGTGATCCTTTAGACTAAGGTAGATCTCACAGCACTTCCCTTTTATAACATTCATCACACGCGTAATTACCATTGACCCTTGAACAACATGGGTTTGAAACTGCATGGGTCCACTTACATGTAGGTTTTTAAAAATAAATATGGTCAGCCCTCTGTATCTGCAGGTTCTGCATCTGCCACAAAATGTGAATAGAAAATACAACATCTGTGGGATGCAAAACCCTCAGATTTGTAGGGTCACCTTTTCATTTATCCACAGGTTCCACCAGATTCCCCAGGGCAAACTGCAGGACTTGAGCATGTACAGATTTTCGTATTCTCAGGAGTCCTGGAACCAATCCTCCATGGATGCCAAGAGACAACTGTACTTGTTTCATGTCTATATTTTCTGCTACCTTTTAAGCTCTGGATGAGCAAAGATTACATCTATCTCAACCTAGCAAAGCGTCCAGCACAGAGCTGTCAATTAAACTGTTAATAATAGTTTAATTTAATTGAATGAAAAATGCACAGAAAGAAGGAAGAATATTGGTCAACGCCCCAGATACTGTCCCACCCCAGATACTGTGCAACTCCTAAAGTGGAAATAACTATTTTATCATAAATACTACAGAAACCTACAAAGTAAACTATGTAGCTTTGTCAGAGGCGTAAAGTAAATTTAGAACTTGAGAAACATTAAGTGTCCTCTTAGCCTCTGTGTGGTTTCCTGCACACTATATACAGGTGTTAGAGAGATCTAGTACCCTCTAACATCCCGTTGAAAATACATTTGCCATAGACCTGCAAGTTTTCTATACTAACAATAGTTAATAGTGCTCTCTCCTGCACTATTATCAATCCCATCTCTGTAACTTAACAAGGCAAGTAAAGCAGCAACGGGATCAATGGAAAAGAAAGGAAGGAAATGGAAGAAGGAAGGAAGGAAGAAAGGAAGGAAGGAAAAAAGGAAGGAAGGAAGGAAGGAAAATATTACCAAGGCTTTAGGCATTTTATTTTGGTTTTGATATGTTTGATATCTTGAGGATTGGGCTTATTTGGGTGTTTAGATATCATATGGAAAATATCTGTTATGTATCTAGCAAAAATTCAATATGAGCGTAATGACAACTTCCTAGAGCCCTCCCAGGCTGTAATGTTGCAGGGGGTTTACAGTCGTATTCTAAAGTAAAATTTTAGCAAAAAAAAGATGGAATTCCATCCGTAAAACATTCAAGGGAACACCAGTGAAGGCTGAGATATCTGTAGACACTCATGAACCAATGATACCAAGCTATCCTGTAGTCACTCTATGTGACAAGAAGCACATCACAAATTACACTACAAACAACTACTTGTCTCTTTCTCACTCCCTTCTTCCCTTTTTTTCAGCAATTTTCTCCACTTTTGGTTGCTCCCTAAAACTTTCTTTTTGTTCTCCCGTTCCCTAGCCTCGTCCTTGTTAGCAGCCCTCCCCTACAACACTATGGAATGACAGACAGACATCAGGCAGAAGGGAAAGGATGCCAGCACTGATTGGCATTCAAAACACCTATGTGGTGTTACCTGACAGATGCCAAAGAAGTGCTATCCAAGAACCAGCCCTTGCAGCATGGAGAAAAATTTCCACATTTTTCATTCATCTGGATACATGCATTAAAAAATGCCTGTTAAAATAAGATGATCCAGCATCCACCCTATAGTACTGCAGCTGATACACTCTTGAAAGCACCACCTCCTGGCTGGAGGCCAACCAACACAAAGCCAGTGCACTAAACAAAAATACAGCCAAGGACCCTCACAGAGTCCACTTCACTCTCCTGCTAACTCCACTGGAGCAGGTGCCGATATCCACGGCTGAAAGACCTGAAGACAGATCATGTCACAGGACTCTTTGCAGACACTCCCCAGTACCAGCCCATAGCCCAGTAGCTCCACTGGGTGGCTACACCCAGAAGAGAAATAACAATCACTGCAGTTCGGCTCTCAGGAATCCCCATCCCCAGGGGAAGGGGAAGAACACCACATCAAGGGAGCACCCCATGGGACAAAAGAATATGAACAGCAGCCCTTGAGTCCTAGATCTTCTCTCTGACACAGTCTACACAAATGAGAAGGAAGCAGAAAAAGTATTCTGGTAATATAACAAAACAAGGTTCTTTAACACCCCCAAAAGATTACACTAGCTCACTAGCAATGGATCCAAACCAAGGAGAAATTTCTGAATTGCCAGAAAAAAAATTCAGAAGGTCAATTACTAAGCTAATCAAAGCGGCTCCAGAAAAAGGTGAAGTCCAACTTAAAGAAATCAAAACCATGACACAAGATATGAAAGGAAAAGTCTTCAGGGAAATAGATAGCATAAACAAAAAACAATCACAACTTCTGGAAATCAAGGACACACTTAGAGAAATGCAAAATGCACTGGAAAGTCTCAGCAATAGAATTGAACAAAAGAAGAAAGAACTTCAGAGCTCAAAGACAAGGATTTTTGAATTAACCCAATCTGTCAAAGAAAAAGAAAAAGAATTTTAAAAAATGAACAAAACCTCCAAGAAGTTTGGGACTATGTTAAGCATCCAAACCAAAGAATAATGGGTGTTCCCAAGGAAGAAGAGAAATCTAAAAGGTTGGAAAACACATCTGAGGGAATAATCGAGGAAAACTTCCCCAGCCTTGCTAGAGATCTAGACATCCAAATACAAGGAGCTCAAAGAACACCTGGGAAATTCATTGCAAAAAGATCATCACCTAGGCACATAGTCATCAGGTTATCTGAAATCAAGACGAAGAAAAGAATCTTAAGAGCTGTCAGTCAAAAGCATCAAGTAACCTACAAAGGAAAACCTATCAGAATAATAGCAGATTTCTCAGCAGAAACCCTACAAGCTAGAAGGGATTGGGGTCCTATTTTTAGCCTCCTTAAATGAAACAATTATCAGCCAAGAATTTTGTATCCAGTGAAACTAAGCTTAATAAATGAAGGAAAGATACAGTCTTTTCCAGACAAATGCTGACAGAATTCGCCACTACCAAGACAGCACTATATGAACTGCTAAAAAGAGCTCTAAATCTTGAAACAAGTCCTTGAAATACATGAAAATAGAACCTCCTTAAAGCATAAATCTCACAGGAACTATACAACAGTAACACAATGAAAAAAAGGTATTCAGGCAATAATTTGCACAGTGAATAGAATAGCACCTCACATCTCAATACTAATGTTGAATGTAAATGGCCTAAATGCTCCACTTAAAAGATACAGAATGGCAGAATGAATAAGAGTTCACCAACCACGTTTCTGCTGTCTTCAGGAGACTCAACTAACACATAGGAACTCACATAAACTTAAGGTAAAGGGGTTAGAAAAAGATATTCCATGCAAATGGACACCAAAAGCGAGCAGGAATAGCTATTCTTACATCAGACAAATTTTAAAGCAACAGCAGTTTAAAAAGACAAAAAAGGACATTACATAACGATAAAAGGACTAGTCCAATAGGAAAATATCACAATCCTAAATATATATGCACTTAATGCTGGAGCTCCCAAATTTATAAAATAATTACTACTAGACCTAAGAAATAAGATAGATGGCAACACAATAATAGTGGGGGACTTTAATAGTCCACTGACAGCACTAGACAGGTCATCAAGACAGAAAGCCAACAAAGAAACAATGGACTTAAACTATAACCTACAGCAAATGGACTTAACAGGTATTTACAGAACATTATACCCAACAACTGCAGAACATACATTCTATTCACCAGCACATGGAACATTCTCCAAGACAGACCATATGATAGGCCACAAAACAAGTCTCAGTAAATTTAAGAAAATCGAAATGATATCAAGTACTCTCAGACCACAGTGGAAAAACTGGAAATCAACTCTAAAAGGAGCCTTCAAAACCATGCAAATACATGGAAGTTAAATAACCTGCTTCTGAATTATCATTGGGTCAACAATGAAACCAAGATGGAAACTGAAAAATTCTTTGAACTGAATGATAATAGTGACACAACCTATCCAAACCTCTGGGATACAGCAAAAGCGGTGCTAAGAGGAAAGTTCATAGCATTAAATGCCTACATTAAAAAGTCTGAAAAGGCAAAAATAGACAATCTAAGGTCACACCTCATTAAACTGGAGAAACAAGAACAATCCAAATGCAAACCCAGCACAAGAAAAGAAATAACCAAGATCAGAGCAGAACTAAATGAAATTGAAACAAAAGAAATAATACAAAAGATAAATGAAACAAAAACCTGGTTCTTTGAAAAAAATGAATAAAAATGATTAACCAAGATTAACCAAGAAAAGAAGAGAGAAGATCCAAATAAGCTCAATCAGAAACAAAACGGGATATATTACTACTGATACCACAGAGAAACAGAAGATTATTCAAGGCTACTATGAACACCTTTATGTGCATAAACTAGAAAACCTAGAGGAAATGGATAAATTCCTGGAAATATACAACTCCCCTAGATTAAACCAGGAAGATATAGAAACTCGTAACAGACCAATAATGAGCAGTGAGATTGAAATGGTAATAAAACAATTGTCAACAAGAGTCAGACAGATTCATAGCTGAATTTCATCAGATATTCAAAGAAGAATTGGTACCAATCCTATTAACACTATTCCACAGAACAGAGAAAGAGGGAATCCTCCCTAAATCATTCTATGAAGCCAGTGTCATCCTAATACCAAAACCAGGGAAGGACATAACAAAAAAAGAAAGCTACAGACCAATATCCCTGATGAACACAGATACAGAAATCCTCAACAAAATACTAGCCGACCGAATCCAACAGCATATCAAAAAGATCATCCACCATGATCAAGTGGGTTTCATACCAGGCATGCAGGGATGGTTTAACATATGCAAGTCAATAAATGTGACACATCACACAAAATTTAAAACAAAAATCACATGATCATCTCAATGGATTCAGACAAAGCATTTGACAAAATCCAGTATCCCTTTATGATTAAAACCCTCAGCAAAATCAGCACAGAAGGGACATACCTCAAGGTAACAAGAGCTGTCTATGTCAAACCCACAGCCAACATTATACTGAATGGCGAAAAGTTGAAAGCATTCCCCCTGAGAACTGAAACAAAACAAGGATGCCCACTTTCACCACTTCTATTCAACAAATTACTGGAATTCCTAGCCAAAGCAATCCAACAAGAGAAAGAAATAAAGGGCATCTAAATTGGTAAAGAGGAAGTCAAACTGTCACTGTTTGCTGATGATATGATCGTATATCTAGAAAACCCTAACGAGTCATCCAAAAAGCTCCTAGATCTGGTAAATGAATTCAGCAAAGTTTCAGGATACAAAATCAAATGTACACAAATCAGTAGCACAGCTATACACCAACAGCAACCACACTGAGAATCAACAAGAACTCAACCTCTTTTACAACAGATGCAAAATAATAATAATAAGGAATATACTTAAGCAAAGAGGTGAAAGAACCCCTACAAAGAAAACTATAAAACACTGCTGAAAAAAATTATAGATGACACAAACCAATGGAACCATATCCCATGCTCATGGAGGGGTAGAATCAATATTGTGAAAACGACCATACAGCCAAAAGCAATCTACAAGTTCAATGCAATTCCCATCAAAACACCACCATTATTCTTCACAGAACTAGAAAAAACAATCCTAAAATTCATATGGAACCAAAAAAGAGCCCACATAGCAAAAACAAGACTAAACAAAAGAACAAATCTGGAAACTTCAGATTACCCGACTAGAACTATACTATAAGGGCATAGTCACCAAAACAGCATGATACTGGTATAAAAATAAGTACGTAGGCCAATGGAACAGAATAGAGAACCCAGGAATAAAGGTAAATACAGCCAACTGATCTTCAACAAAGCAAACAAAAACAAAGTGGGGGAAAGACACTCTATTCAACAAATGGTGCTGGGATCATTGACAAGTCACACTTAGAAGAATGAAACTGGATCTTCATCTCTCATCTTATACAAAAATCAACTCAAGGTGCATCAAGGACTTAATTCTAAGACCTGAAACCATAAAAATTCTAAAGGTAACATCGGAAAAACTCTTACAGACATTGGCTTAGGCAAAGACTTCATGACCAAGAACCCAAAAGCAAACACAGCAAAAACAAACATAAATAGATGGGACTTAATTAAAGCTTCTGCACAGCAAAAGAAATAATCAGCAGAATAAACAGACAACCCACAGAGAGGGAGAAAATCTTCACAATCTATACATTTGACAAAGGACTAATATCCAGAATCTACAAGGAACTCAGACAAATCAGCAAGAAGAAAACCAACAATCCCATCAAAAAGTGGGCTAAGGACATGAATAGACAATTCTCAAAAGAAGATGTACAAATGGCCAACAAGCATATGAAAAAATGCTCAACATCACTAATTATCAGGGAAATGCAAATCAAAACCACAATGTCATACCACCTTACTCCTGCAAGAATGGCCATAATAAAAAAATAATAAATGTTGGCATGGATGTGGTGAAAAGGGAATACTTTTACACTGTTGGTGAGTATGTAAACTAGTACAACCACTATGGAAAACAGTGTGGACATTCCTTAAATAACTAAAAGTGTATCTATTTGATCCAGCAATCCCACTACTAGGTATCTAAAAGAAGTCCTTATATGGAAAAGGCACTTGTATACTCATGTTTATAGCAGCACAATTTGCAATTGCAAAAATATGGAACCAGCCCAAATGCCCATCAATCAATGAGAGGATACAGAAAATGTGATGCATGCACACACACACACACACACACACACACCATGGAAATAGTACTCAGCCATAAAAAGGAACAAAATAATGGCATATGCAGCAACCTGGATAGAATTGGAGACTATTATTTTAAGTGAAGCAACTCAGGAATGGAAAACCAAACATTATGTGTTCTCGCTAATAAGTGGGAGCTAAGCTATGAGGATGCAAAGGCATAAGAATAATACAATGGACTTTGGAGACTCAGGGGAAAGGGTGGGAGGAGTGTGAGAGATAAAAGACTGCACATTGGGTAGAGTGTACACATCTTGGGTGATGGGTGCACCAAAATCTCAGAAATCACCACTAAAGAACTTATTCATGGAACCAAACACCATTTGTTCCACAAAAACTATTAAAATAAAAAATAAATTTAAAAAAATGTTTAGAAGAGGCACCATTATCGAACTGAGATTATCAGATTTTTTTGGGTCACATAACAGAGCCCTGAATAAGGGTATCCAGGATAAGAGAGATTTGATGGGGTTAAAAACACTAGAAATGTCTGGATGTGGAGATGCCTCAGGAAGGATGAAGGATGGGGATGGGGTGTGGGAACAAAGTTCCTGAGACTGGCAAAGGGATGTTGCCAAAAGACAAGACAGAAGAAAAAAGGCCAGCCCTGGTTAGCATAACTTGGCATTTTCAGTATGGCTGACAAAACAGCAGAAATTCTGCAAAGTTTAGTTTTAGTTTGAGATAGGGAGAATGGCTGAAAAGACTGATGAACCCCAATCTTGTCCTAGACCATTTCACTGATCAGCATTAGTTAGCAAATGTCACCCAATATTTGGCCTCTGTGATGCCAAATGGCACATAGGCCTCTCCCATCATTCACAGGCTATGCACCTGAAATTCACTTAACTCCCAGTGCAACATGAAAATAGATTAAAAAGATGCCCCTTTCAGAATTCAAAGCAATTGAATTATCTTCAATGGAATCTTTAGTGCTGAGCTGGTCAAACAGACAAAGTTAAAACATATTGAAGTATAAGTGCTTGAGAATTTAATATTTATGATAGATGAGAGTGTGGCGTGTACAGTCATACAATCCAAGTTGTAATTTGGGCAATCACAACAGTTCCTGGAGTTTTCATTTTTGTACTGGGGCTCGATTCAATTCAATCCATAAAGAAGAGATTTCAAGATGTACATAAGTATAAATCATTTGTGCTGATGCATGGGGAGCAAGGAAATCAAGCAAAAGGCTGCCTGGAAAATTGAGACTAAGAAATAAGAGGTGCTGACAGTGACTGAGATAAGCAGAGATTGACTAGACTGAAATCTTTGTATTTTGGCTTCTGTGATGGAGAAAATAATCTGACAAAGTGCTGGACTTCATCTAGGTGCTTATAAACCATTTGAAAAAGCAACTTTACTAGTAAATATGAGGTGACACAGAAGGCCAATGAGCTATTCCCCAAAAGATAGAACACTGAGATACTACAACTCTGAAAAACATAGGACCGTTTTTGAAAGTTTCATATAAAGACGCCCACAGAATTAAGTCCCTCAAACCTATATTAGTGGGATACCTACAACATCTTGTCACTTCTCTGAAGAGTTCAAATCAGTTATTTGACTTGGTGTAGATTTAAAAGTCAGATGCATTCTACATGCAGTTATACATCTAGGATGACAGAGCCTTTACAAAAAAATGATAAATAAATAATAAAAAAATTAAAAAAAAACTTCTTTAGAGACAAGATCTCACTCTTGCCCAAGCTGGAGTGCAATAGTGCAATCATAGCTCATTGCAGCTTCCAACTCCTGGACTCCAAGAATTCTCCTGGCTCGGTCTTCCAAGTAGCTGGGACTGCAGGCAGGTGCCTGGCTAATTAAAAAAAAAAAAAAATTAGAGGCAGAATCTCACTATGTTGCTCAGGCTGGTCTCAAAATCCTGGACTCAAAGGATCCTCCCACTTCAGCCTCAGGAGTAGCAGGGTTTACAGGAGAGAGCTACCGCGCCCAGTCACAGAGCCTATCACACTTAAAAAATAGTTCTGAACCTAAACTTATCTCCAACTTGGTTTCACTCTTTTGTGGAAAATAAGGAAACTGCTAGCAGATCATCAGCTTGTGAAGAAGCCACTTTCATGATGGTCATGAGCTTCTAGGAGAATACATAGTGAAGATGGCACACATAAGACTGACACAGAAAGCAAGAGTAGACAGAGCACGTTGGCCAAGAGAAAAATCTTCCCTTTTCTAATGAAAACTTACTGTTGAATGGAACAAAAAGGGCACCCAGCAGCTGGTGTTCCCCTTAACAGGAACTGACACTTCCTTCAGTCAAGTCCCAGGACATTCAGTTTTGTAGAATAGGCCATACTATACATGAGTCCATGAAAAATGTTGCAACTGTAACTTCTAAATTCCTTAAAGGTTCTTGACTACCAATATGTTCCTAGGACTGGGTGGGGAAGCTAAGAAACAGCATTAGTAAATCTCCAATCATTTCTTCCACATTTGGAAAATAAAGAGCTCAGTAAACCAATCACTGTCTCCTGTAATGATTCAAAGGGATAGTGTGTGTGTTTTGTCATCAGCTGGGTATCACTAGAAATGGTCATTGGAAACAAATATATATTAATTAATATATATTAGCTACCTGGGATGGACTATTCATTACCAATAGAGGCGTCATAAAAAAGTCTAGCATTATCTTGATGTTTCAGTGTAACTTCGGGAACCATCTGGAATACTATAGTTGTGATGACACTGCTTCTGGGTACAGCAAACAGCACAATCATTAAAAAAATGCATTTCAAATATCTTTCTGGAAGCTAATAAATTTTACAGCAGTTTTAATCCTTCCTCATTGCAACAAAGAAAAGCTTAGCTCCAGACAAATTAAAAGTAAATTGATAGCCTTAGGGGACTCTATTCAAATATCAGTTTTCCACGTTAGAAATCTTTTTTCCTAAAACATTGAGAGAGAGAGAGAGAGAAGAGAGAAGAGAGAAAGAGAGTGAGAGTAAAACATTGGATGGGAGAGCAAGACTGATGATGGAGACAAAGGGTGTAAAAGGGGCTAGAAGCCAGCACTGTATATGAAAAGACAAGCAACAGAGGAAGAGTGAGAGGCAGCCCAAATCATTAAATCCTTGTTTGCAAAACCAGGTAGAAATCAACTTAAAGTAAAATGCAAATGTGTCACTGGGGCACAAGCCTAACCTGGAATTTATGAATAATAACTATGAATAATGAATACCAAAATCGAAGGGATCAAACACCACCTTCTGTGTTTACTTGTCATTATCCATCTTACATGGACAATGCTAAATTTTACTCTTTTGCTCTTTTCTTTAAAATTTACTTTGAATGATTCTTTTTCCATTTGTCCGCTTAATTATACTAGTCGGAAAAAGTAAGCTATATTTTTTCAGGGTGTTGCCTCAAAAACAATTACACAAATTCAGAAGAAAGGCTAATTGATCTATTGTTTGAGGAAGTCTGATAATTTGAAGGCACCCTATGCTTGTCCCAGTGCTCTTATTAAGAAGAAAAGATTCTTTACACCTTTCAGCACATGAAGATTACAATATAATCCTCTGGCCTCCAGCTTGCCCAACTCTTCTTTAATAGAGAGAATGGCTCTCTATTAAAGAGAAAGGCTCTTCCATCTGAAGTTTCAGAGAAGTCTTGGAATCTATCTGGGCCACAGCTGTGAGAACTTTTTCTGAGTTAACTCGAGCCTTTGCACGTAGGAGTAGCAGAAGGCTCTCTGGTTGAGATGACCTGAATTAAGACACTCAGACACAGCTCTGTAAAAATCTCTTTAGGAGCTGATGCATAGTAAGCCTGGATCATGGCCACAAAATCACACACACACACACGCACATTCACCACCACTACCACCAGTCCTCACCATCCTTAAGATGCATTTTCATTCACAAATTAATTGAACAAATCAAAAAATCACTGAAAACCAGGCTGGTAAATTTAAATGTTCTGTCCATCTTTAGATCATGTATCTTTACACTCTTGGAATAATCTGTTTCTCCAAAACATTGCATCTCCTGAACTCCAATTTTATTGTGTTTTCTACTTGTTGGTTAAAATGCCAGTTCTTCATGACTGGGTCTGGGAAACATGGGGCTAATGGAGGAATGCCATGCTGTGGTGGGGGAAGCCCTGAGGAGTCTAGTTCTGTGTACAGACAATAAGACAACACTGGGAGAATTTGAAGCTCCGTTCAAGCCTGCATGATTTCCATTCTGAGATTCCAATTCGGCAGTTATAAGAGGAAGGGTGCACACATGTTTAATATAAGATGTTGAACTCTAGCATAAAAATATTCTAAGAGTAAATGGAAATTATTAATTAAAGAAAAAGCCTTCTTTGGCTCTAGTACTTTCTTATCCCCTTAATTCCACTTTGCAATCTGTTTTTATTTGCTTTTATTAGTTAGTGAACAGCAAATAATCTGGTTTGCTATTAAAACTGCAGATAAAATAATCACCTTTGGCAAAATGCAAACAGCGCCTAGCTGTAGAGCTAAGGATCATCATTTGCTCATATATTAAGACATGGCACAACTCCTTTATCTATCCTAATGGCCCTGGATGGGTCGGTGATGAGAAGGGAGGTAGAAAAGGGTTGGAAAGGACAAGAAAGAGGGGCAGATGCAGAATTATATTTTAAAACCTCCTGCTGGAATTCAAAGAGCCCTCTGCTGTTAATCACACACACACACACACACACACACACACACACACACACACACACACACAAAGTCTATACAGAATTGTAATGCTGACATAGCTTCCTGAATAAGATGCTTATAGGACACTAATAAACAAGGACATTGGCGAATGGTTTTATTCTCCTGGGGAATCTTTGTCCCCCTTCTTCCAGAGTTTATGCAAACTAAAAAGTTTATATTTTTAACACCCTGTTGTGCATTCCAATATGGGAGGTCAGCAGTATTTCAACAAAGAAACCACTCATGAGTAACGATTTTACGGAGACAAGAGTAGGGAAACGAACTGTTTGAAATGAGTCTAATTCCTTGTGTGATGGCTAATAAAAAGAAACATCTGAACACAGTGCTTGAGAAGCATTTTTGTACTGTTCAACAGACTGAAAATAATACCCTTTTTTCTGGTCTGCATTACCATTAATAACAGCCTTCTCTTCTGGTCATGTGTGTTTACAGAGGGAATAAAGATTGATACCAAGAGCTTGCCTTTTTTTCTTCCCCACTCAACTAGACACAGACTGTCCGGATGATATTTTTAGCACAAACCAACTTTGATTTTTAGAAGTTAAACGATTACTAGTCTCTAAATATTTTCAGAAATTACTTGGATCTGTGAGGAAGCTAGAAATTTTTCCAGGTAGCTCTCAGAAAAAGTTGTTTAGAAAGTAAAAGGTTATGCTCACATCTTGCCTTTGTTTAAGGAAGCTCTTGAACTCTCCTGAGAGGAAATATTCCATCTGTTCTATCCGCTTTCTCTTGACCACACCTGGAAGAATGTCCAGGGTAGAATAGAAGAGTGATTGTACACTAGATAGAATAATCCATGAACTGCAGGTTGTCAGCTCCCCCAGTGTATTTAAGATGGAATTGCCGTTACAAAATTTCAACATATTCACAAGCATTTCATATAAGAAGGGTCCCCTGGAGTTCAATGAACCTTTTATTCCAACTTATAAATAATAAGTGCTTTCATGAATTGATTCCCACTCCTCTTCTCATCTTGTCTCCATTCCATAGTGTTCAACTCATCTCTGCCATGACCAAAACAGCCTCTCACTTAGTTCTATAAGACCTCATCTCTCTTCCTTCAGTTTTGTGGCCTTCCCTCATCACAGCAAATCTTTCTGCTTAGAAACTCATACCTCCAAGGAAGCTACAGGGAGGCAATCTGAGACAATGGCAGTGGCCAAGACTCTGCCAGAAAATCCTCCTTCCCACCAAAGAACCTTGAGAGTAAGCCTGACAATTCTGTGGGGTGGGGCACCTATTATTAGAAACAGCTGTGCCTGGAATTTCCTTAGTAGGGTATGTTATCAGCACCCCTTACAAGAAAAACACAGAGAAGAGTATTAACTGTACAACTACATAATATGCACACCCTATAAAAGAGCCCACATTTCCCTATTAGGAGAATGAATGGTTAACATGTACTATAAAAGAAAATTTCGAGTCTTACATGTCTCTCAAATTATGAATTTTGTGTTTACCCCACCAAAAAACCAACAGGGTATTCACTAAACCATTCAACTATTTGCTCATTAGAAACTCACAGCCTAACGTAACATTGGTCCTCTCCTGTCCTTCACGTCAATATTGTTGGGCCATCAGCCAAAACCTAGAGAAGTAAGCTTCATCTTGGTGAATTGGGATCTCTACTGTCAGATACAGTTAGCCTGACTAATGGGAACCACAGCTTGCCAAAATCTACAGCCTTCCTGTCTGTTCCGCCCACCAAATATGCTTAGAAGTCCCATGGCACAAGCCCAGCAGTTCACATATCCCAATCAACTATCAATAGCTTAAGTGTAAGTGATTGTGGATGAAGTACAAGCCATGTGTTTCCTTTTTAGTTGCAGTAATTCCTGTGCTATTATGGCACCCATAATGTTCATACCTAATGATTCAGACAAGCATCCACGAGCTAAGTGCTATGGTATGTACATGCTACAATGCACATGCTACAAATACAGAATTCAGTGAAGCACTAATAGGCATCCCAGTCCCAAGTTCCAGAGATACCACATAGGCAATATTGACAGGATCACCCCCCGACTACAGTTGAATATGATGGATGATGGAGAGGTTCCCCTATGCCCTGCTGGTATTCTGGAGGCATGTTTCTGCCTCTTCAGGCTACCACAACTAGTAAACAAAATAATGCATGTGTGTACATCATAGACTGGAAATCTCTAGTGAGTGTCTTATCACCCTGACCATCCAATATTGCATCAACAGTAATTTATTGAATTTTCCTCTCTTTCTGTTCTTGAACACTTTCCATATGATTCAAACTCAGTGATTTATCAGCCTAGCATTTCTCTTTTTCAATCCAGAGCTCCCCATCCTATAAAAGAATATTCTGTCTCAGAGACATTTTGAAGTGAGCTTCTCAGAAAAATAGTTTTTCAATAGCCAGTTGTAATAGGAACGAATATCATTGATTGGGTTATTCCTAAATGCATTACAATCCCCAGCACATTCAAAAGGCAATGCTTTGTTGTCTTCCTTGATCAGGACCATGTCTTGACATTCATATCCAGTAGGAAGCCAAGTACCTTTGTGTTAGCTATCAATGATACTCCCCCAAGAATAACCTGGAGAATCTATGGCATCAAACAAAACCTGCTATATCATCAGAAATCCCATCCTTTAGGGCTCAGGAATACGTATGCCCATGTTCCTCTTTAGAGAGACAGAATAATTACTGGATCTAAGACTCTATTGAACTGAGCAGGGCCAACACTGTACATAATTGTGGGTGGAGGAACAAGGACAAAGGAATTGGATGATCCATAATATTTGTATTTGTTATGAAGAAATTGCATTTCCTTCCATAATAATAGTGCTCCTTTATTAGAAGTCTTTAGCATTACTTAGCTATTCATTATTTAAACAAATCTCAAGAAAACAAAACTGAGTCCAAATATTAGAACAAATCAATATTTTACAATCAATACAATATTTCTCTACTCTTGCTTTCAGTGACCACAAAAAAGAATCAATTGGAATATAAATGTAGCTACAATTTCAATAGATATTTTATTGGATTTTTTCTTGTCATATTTAATATTTGGGGCTGCCCTACTTTGTCCAATGTCTTCCATTTCTTTGTTTCCTACTGCCATAACTGGAGCATATTTGAGGATATAATTTTAGATTTTCCTAGCCCTTGCCTAGTTCTCATCCCCTACTGATAAGAAGCTATAATACAGTATAATTAACTACAGCTGCCCCATCTTCACTTCTGACTCTAGGAGCTGAGCAAGCCGACTCCGCAGGGTGTGGACTGAAGTGGGTGGAAGAATGTCTGGCTCCAGCCCAGCTATGGTGTGCCACTCCTAAATTGAAATCCTCCCCCATTAGACGATACTTAAGTTCTGCAATCATGTTTACACAGCTGGAACTGTACAGACCCTGAAAATCATGCAAAGCACAGACTAAGACTACTCCTTGCTTCATTCTGAATTTAATCCTATTTATCTAAAGAACAAATGAATGCATTAAATTCCCAATGTTGGGGTAACAGCTGCTGGGAAAGAGAATGAATGCTCCCCTTCTGAACAGAATGTTCATTGTCATGACTGCAGCAGCCCACAGGTGTGAAGCATTCTACTAGTAAGTAAGCAGCAGCCAATAAAAGTTCGGTCCAGAAGGAAAAGCAGTAATAACAGAAAACACAACCATCCACCTCAGAAAACAATTCATTGTATCACCATATTTAAAAAAAAAAAAAAAACCTACTTACAGTGAAGAGACTAGCGCTACCTGAGTGAAGCAGGGTTTCTAACCATACTTGCCTTGAGAGTGTGGATGAGTCTGCTCTCCCCTTCATGTATCCCCCTACCCCGAGTCTGTCATATTCATGCTCACCAACACCAAAGAGAGCCTCCTTCCCACACACACATACATAGCTCCTTCAGCTCTGAAGGTAGAGAAAAGATAGAGTGTAAGCTTGGTCCTAAGCATTTGGCAAATATCCCTACTGATGACTTACAACTACAGGGACTGGTGAAGAAAGTTTTTAATACTGCTAAGTTTTGGGGTGCAGAAAAGCAAAGGCAAACCTTTCTGCTGTAGCATTGTGTCCAAAGGCAAACTTCTCTCCAGAAAGGATGAGATATAAGCTAGATCTACTGGAGCAACTCAAGACTTCATTTGTTCCTTGCCAAAGGGAAGCTTACTACCCAGCAGCACATCTGAAGTTAGCTCTTCTGAGTGAGGTGTACATGTGAAAAAGGTACCATCCTTTTCCCAGAGGCAGTGCAGCAGAGTCTAAGACTATGGGCTCTGGAGCGAGACTACCTTAGAGTCCCAGATCTAAGACTTAACAGCCCTATCCTATAGAAGTTACTTAAAGTTACTCTGTGTGCCTTTTTTCCCTTCCATAAGTCAGGACTAATAGCACTGACCTTCATAAGGAATTGTTGGAATGACTAAAAGAGGAAATGCATGGAAGCTGAGCTACACAGTGCCTCGCACTAAGGAAGAATTTAATATATGTTAGGTAGGTATTATTATTCATCAAGCAGCTCTAATTCTCTGGGATAAATGGAGTCCAAGCTAGCCTTATCATTTGACCATGTAGCCAACTATTGGTGGGATATAAAGGAACTGATGCTGGGGAAAAGGCCATATCCTGAAGACATCACGCCATCAGGCTGCATTGGTGACCCAAATGCCACCATTAGGTATTCTTTTGGATTATCATCACATTGAGATACAAATACTATTTGGAAAGAAAGAACAGGTCATTTTAACAGGTCCCTTGAAATAATTAGGATTTTGGGGAAATGGAACATGGACCAGGTAAGTTTTTTATGGGGAAAGTAGGAAACGAGGAAAGACTGGGAATGCAGGGCCCTGAGTAGAAGGGTTAATGGTGACAGAAACTAAGAAAACCCAAGGAGAATACTGGATGCCTATGCTCCCAAATGGAGGGGAAGGTGCACGCAGATAGATATAGTGGCACTGTATAAATAATTGTGCCAAGGGCTGGCTCTTGCATACACCTTCTGAGAATGTGAGAAATATTCTTTCCCTCTGTGCTTTCCTTTTCTCCTAGGCACAGAGCTAATTCTGGCTCTCTGTTGCAGTAGATCTCATCATTTAAGAAAAAAAAAAACCTACACATGCAGAATGCATTCAAATTTTAAAAATAGACCTCAGAAAGGAAATATTGACAAGATGCCTAATATGCTAAGTATATGGAATTAAATTGAATGAGGCGTTTGGGGTGGGGAAGCAAAAACGGGCTGCACCACACACATTTGGAACAGCACTACTAAACCCACAATGCTTTTGATTGATTAACAGGGAGCATAATGTGAGAGGGGAATTGGAGTGGAGTGGAGAAGTTGACTTGATATCTTAAGTGTAAGGGACACATATGATAAAAGGAAATCCCAACAATTAACAAGGGATGTGAAATCATAAAATTAAAGGCTGGAGGGGCAGATGAAGTCAAAGTACATGAGGAAAAACAGTAATCACTTTCTTAAATACAGGTACATAAGACTAAAATGGAATAGGCAAAAGGGCTTTTCAGAAACTGAAGTGGAGATCCTGTGACAAATGAGGGCTATTTGATTCAGGAACAAAATACATTGAGGATCTTCTTATCTGCTATTTCTCCAGCAAAACCACATCAGGGACACCAGGCTAGGTTCTCCTCGTAGATCAGCATCTCAAAAGGCTGAACAATGAAATCACTGGAGATAATGAGGCAAATGGACCTCTGAAAGATTGATAAATCCTCCACTTCATATGAATTAAGTCCCCAGAAGACTAAAAGACACTAAAGGCAAATTGGAACAATTCTGGCCATGGGATTTGGTAGTTCCATCACACAGGAAATGGGCTAGTAGTCCTGAACTAATGGCCAGCTAAAAAATCAAAGGAAAGAGCTAATCATTCCATTTTGGGAAAGGCAGAGGCAGCTGCCAAAGTATCAGAGGAGGAACAGCTGTGTTCTTCACTTAGGGGAAAGACCTCATTAAGTTGAAAATTGCTAACTATTCAGAAATGGATGATTCAGTAAGGGAGAAGGAAGATGAGAACATGAATTTGGTGTAAAAGGAAAAGAGGACCATTTCCACGAAAATACACACACTTGAAAGCAGAGTTAAGCTAAACATATGCAAACAAAAGCCTAAAAGAAGGAATAAGCTCAGAATGTTGAACAAAAGCCAACTTCACCAATGTCTCACCCTCATTCCTCTTGCCACAACGGAAGGATTATTACAGCCCAAAGCCCCAGGAGTAAGAGTCAGATTTCCCACCTTGCCCTGGTCTTTAGAAATACACAGGAAAATCCAGCCAAAATGTCATCCACTTTCCAAACAATCTTTCCATATTAAATATACAATAAACAGTAATAGAGTATTAGCAATAATAAGCACCTATAAGTCATTCCAATCCAAACTCTTCATTTACAGATGAAAAAAACTGGAACCCAAAGCGAGGAAGCAAGTTGCTTGAGATCACACAGAGTTAGTGGCAGTTCCAGGACCTGAATCCAAATGCTTGAATCAGGGCTTTTCCCCTTTCCTATGCAATAAAAACCCCAATTAAAAGAAAAAGGCAATAATAAACACCTCAATAACTATTGGGATGTTAAGAGTAATAACAGTGTGTTTAAACAATGTGGAAAATCGTTTTTGGATCATTTTTGAGAAATGACAATCACCAAAATGCCCATATAGTACCACAAAGAACTAATCAATCTTGAATGACTGGGCCTTAGCACACTTGCAGTCCAATAAGCCAAAAAGAATAGAGCCATATGATAAAACTTTTGAAAACATCCTATCTAAAACAGCCCAGATCAGTGGAAATGACAAGAAAAAAAGAAGCTAAAAACTTGCATTTCATCAGCATTTTTTTGAAAGAAAAAGTTCTTTTTTTTTTTTTTAACCTTTTTTTTTCCCATAAGTGATTGGGGTACAGGTGGTATTGGTTACATGAGTAAGTTCTTTAGTGGTGATTTGTGAGATTTTGGTGCACCCATCACCCAAGCAGTATATACTGCACCCTATTTGTAGTCTTTTATCAATCGCCCCCCTTCCACCCATCCCCCCAAGTCCCCAAAGTCCACTGTATCATTCTTACACCTTTGCGTCCTCATAGCTTAGCTTCTACATATCAGTGAGAACATGTGATGTTTGGTTTTCCATTCCTGAGTTACTTCACTTAGAATAATAGTCTCTAATCTCATCCAGGTTGCTGCAAATGCCGTTAATTTATTCCTTTTTATCACTGGTAGTATTCCATCATATAAATATACCACAGCTTCTTTGATGGGCATTTGGGTTGGTTCCACGATTTTGCAATTGTGAACTGTGCTGCTATAAACATGTGTGTGCAAGTATCTTTTTCGTATGACGACTTCTTTTCCTCTAGATAGCTACCCAGTAGTGGGACTGCTGGATCAAATGGTAGTTCTACCTTTAGATCTTTAAGGAATTTCCACACTGTTTTCCATAGTGGTTGTACTAGTTTACATTTCCACCAGCAGTGTGGAAGTTATACCTGTTCACCGCATCCATGCTAACATCTACTGTTTTTTGACTTTTTGATTATGGCCATTCTTGCAGGAGTAAGGTGGTACCGCATTGTGGTTTTCATTTGCATTTCCCTGATCATTAGTGATGTTGAGCATTTTTTCATATGTTTGTTGGCCATTTGTATATCTTCTTTTGAGAATTATCTGTTCATGTCTTTAGCCCATTTTTTGATGGGATTGTTTGTTTGTTTCTCATTGATTTGTTTGAGTTCGTTGTAGATTCTGGATATTAGTCTGCATACATTGTGAAGATTTTCTCCCACTCTATGAGTTGCCTGTCTACTCTGCTGACTGTTTCTTTTGCAGTGCAAAAGCTCTTTAGTTTAATTAAGTCCCACCTATTCTTTTTTTTTTTTTTTTTTTTTTTTCTGAGACAGAGTCTCGCTCTGTCGCTCAGGCTGGAGTACAGTGGCGCGATCTCGGCTCACTGCAAGCTCCGCCTCCCGGGTTCACGCCATTCTCCTGCCTCAGCCTCCTGAGTAGCTGGGACTACAGGCGCCCGCCACCACACCCGGCTAATTTTTTGTATTTTTAGTAGAGACGGGGTTTCACCGTGTCAGCCAGGATGGTCTCGATCTCCTGACCTCATGATCCACCTGCCTCGGCCTCCCAAATTGCTGGGATTACAGGTGTGAGCCACCGCGCCTGGCCTATCTTTGTTTTTATTGCATTTGCTTTTGGGTTCTTGGTAATGAAATCCTTGCCTAAGCCAATGTCTAGAAGGTTTTTCCAATGTTATCTTCTAGAATTTTTATAGTTTCAGGTCTTAGATTTAAGACCTTGATCTATTTTGAGTTGATTTTTGTATAAGGTGAGAGATGAGGATCCAGTTTAATTCTCCTACATGTGGCTAGCCAATTATCCCAGCACCATTTTTTGAAAAGGGTGTCCTTCCCCAACTTTATGTTTTTGTTTGCTTTGTTGAAGATAAGTTGGCTGTTAAGTATTTGGGTTTATTTCTGGGTTCTCTATTCTGTTCCATTGGTCTATGTGCCTATTTTTATACCAGTACCATGATGTTTTGGTGACTATGGCCTTATAGTATAGCTTGAAATCAGGTAGTGTGATTCCTCCAGATTTGTTTTTTTGTTTTTTGTTTTGTTTTGTTTTGTTTTTGCTTAGTCTTGCTTTGGCTACGCAGGCTCTTTTTTGGTTTCATATGAATTTTAGTATTGTTTTTTCTAATCCTGCAAAGAATGATGGTAGTATTTTGATGGGGATTGCATTGAATTTGTAGATTGCTTTTGGCATTATGGTCATTTTCACAATATTGATTCTACTCATTCATGAGCATGGGATGTATTTCCATTTGTTTGCGTCTATGATATCTTTCAGCAGTGTTTTGTAGTTTTCCTCGTAGAGGTGTTTTGCCTCCTTGGTTAGGTATATTCCTAAGTATATATATATATATATATATATATATATATATTTTTGCAGCTATTGTAAAAGGGGTTGAGTTCTTGATTTGATTCTCAACTTGGTCGCTGTTGTGGTATAGAAGAACTACTGATTTGTGTAAATTAATCTTGTATCCGGAAACTTTGCTGAATTGAAAGAAAACGTTCTTAAATATCAACATGAGCAAGAAACCAGCAAGGTTAGAGGGAAGGAAACTTGAAGACTCAAGCTGTGATTCAACTGAAGTGTTTTGGTCAATGGAATTACCAGTGACACAGAAAACACAGCAGTCCAACTCAAAGAGTAAAAAGTAAAACACACACTGAGAGGTCAATATCTATACAGGTGCCAGTTCTGTAGACATACCTGGGTACTATCAAACATGCCCCTGAGCTAGTTAGGCACACCAGCTATTTCCTTCCATCTCATAGTAATACTTCTGACTCCCTGATCTTTCTGGCTTTACTGCTATAATCTGCTGCTGTTTCCCTAAGCAACATCTCTTCCAAACTGGAGGCAGTAACCCTTTCATAACAGGAATGAAAACTTCCTGTCAGTCCAATAGCCTTTGAGATTTCAAATGGAAAGCAGAACAATGCCCTGAAGTCACATAATATATCCAGGAAACACAAACTCTCTTCTGATCCTTGCACTGCTTTACAATAGATCATTTCACCTCTGGAATCTGTAAAATAAGGTAGATAAGAACTGCCCTGGGGATCAAACATTGGTGGATGGCATCTGTTGTTTGGTAATGTTCAGAGAAATAAATTGATCAGCGCTTATTCACTGAGGGTTTTCCTCACTCATGGTAGTATACTGTGAATTGTGTGGAAGGAGAGAAAAAATAGTAAAGAAGGTAACTTTACCAAATAAAAATAAGCCATAAAAATCTTCACAAGGGAAGACTGAACCACTAAAACCCAAAAAAAAAATTCTCAATGTCATTAAAAATTATTTCTATTCTCTGTAAAAACACAGTGATGAATGAGAAATTGCCTAGAGGGGAAAAGGATAGAATTAGGCTGAGGTGAAAGCAGGGAGGGTTGGAGAAAGAACTAAATAAGAAGCATCAGGGGAAAAAGTGTGTGTGACGAGAGAGGAGGAAGAAGATAGGGGAAAGGAGTTTATATAGTAAAGTTAGCAGTTTACAACTGGCTCCAACGATGAAAGGACATCAGATTTGGCTTACAGTGTTAAGAGTTTAAGAACAAACCAACTGTGAGAGGTGTGACATGATGGCCATAGAGGAGGAATCTACTTAAACTTTAAGAAAAATGGAGACAGTTATCAACTAGAAATAGCCACCTTGTTTAGGAAAGGAGGAACGATCAGACAATTAAGTACCCTTAAGAGTTACTTGGTCCCTAATACTAGAAGTTACAAGCCCCTCACTTGGTAGACCTTCACTGGTTCTTAGTTTTAACAATAATTTTGTCTGAGATAGACAAGTGACCTGCTACTTGTTTGATTTTCATCCTATGCTTCGTGGCATTGCCATTGAACAGTATCCAAAGAAGGAATGCCAAAGGGAGGAAATTAAGATGAAAGAGTAATTACCCCTCAAAGCAAGCGCACCACACCATCTGTTAATTTGAGTGTGGCACTCATTACAGATCCATTGGCAAATGGCTGTGTGCTCAGGAATCTGAAAAGGTTGTACCCAGAACCCAAAATCAGAATAAAAGAAGCTCAGAAGTTGAAATGTCTTAACAATTATCAACTCTCTCATTTTACATTTTTAAAAAACAGGAAAAAAGCAAATTAACATGATATAAACTCTGTACATGGATATTAAAGAACGCCAAGTAAAGGAGAGATCAGGACAAACCATTAGTCAAAAGAGGCTGCTTTCTGGGACTTAAATTTTGCTTGTAATTTTAAAGAGAGAAAGAGACGTAGATAAGTGAAGAGGGGAGACAGGAACCCAGGGAGAATGTTTCATCAGCATCATCTTGCCGCTACTCTTTTTAAGTGCCTACTGTGGAACAGACACTGCACTAAGTGTTTTACATGTGTCATCTCATTTAATCCTTACAACCACCCCACAAGGCAGGTACTACCAGTATCCTCCATTCTGCAGATGAGAAATCCAAAGACCAGACTGGACAAGTAACTTGTTTATAGGCTATGAATCTGTGGAATATGATGAGCACATAAAGTTCCCAATTCTCAGGTCAGGTCAACAGGCCAAGGAAGAGAAGGGAACAAAAAAACAAAAACAAAAACCAAAAACCGGCAAAACACCTAGCCATCCGATTCACAATTATATTGTACTAAGAAAAAATACTAGATAGATAGATAGATAGATAGATAGATAGATAGATAGATAGACAGATAGACACTTTGATTATTGGTCTTATCAACATTAATGCAACATTGCTCATCATCCCACCTGTAAATATACGAATTGAGACTTTGAGAGGTTAGTGACTTATCCAAGGCTCTACAATGAACAAACAATAGAATGAAAACTACAATTCTCATTTCCCAGTAGGTCATGGCATTAAAGTATGTTAGGGACTATAATGATCTTTTTTTTTTTTTTTTTTTGAGACGGAGTCTCACTCTGTTGCCAGGCTGGAGTGCAGTGGCGAGGTCTCGGCTCACTGCAACCTCCACCTCCTGGGTTCAAGCAATTCTCCTGCCTCAGCCTCCCAAGTAGCTGGGATTACAGGCATGCGCCACCAATCCCAGCTAATTTTTGTATTTTTAGTAGAGATGGGGTTTCACCATGTTGGCCAGGCTGGTCTTGAACTCCTGACCTTGTGATCCACCTGCCTTGGCCTCCCAAAGTGCTGGGATTACAGGCGTGAGCCACCGCGCCCGGCCAGGACTATAATGATCTTAGCATTTTGTATATAGCACGTGGATTTAGATTTTGGGGAAGGCAAAAAGTATGCACTTCCAGTTACATTGTTCATGGAATGTTCAAACTATAAAAGAAAGTTTATTTTCACAATGAATCTGCCTTTTTCAAAAACACAGTGCTTGCCTCTGTGTTATAAGTTGTTTTTTTCATATCCCTAATTCCACACAGTTCTATGTGTGTACATGTCTCCCCAAGCCCTACTTTCCAATAGGATGTTGACAAACACAAACATGTCACAAGGTCCCTTACAAGCCAAAATACTTTATGCAATAGAACTGCAGGTTGCTATATTCAACACCATATTATCAGCGAAGGTGGGCCACCTGGCTTACATTAATATAAGAGAAACAGCTCTAAGCAAGGCAAGGGTAAAAAATATTTTTTCATTTATCAACTGTGTGTCTGAGAGGCTCCCTCCTGGGAGTTATAGAGAGAGAATTTTATAAAGGGCTTTGGTTGAGATTTTTTTTCTATCATTAACAAATTTATTTTTCCACTACAAAATGAGGCCAAAATCCAAAGGCACATAAATTCCCATCATTTCTCAGATGACACTCTCCCTATGGACCTGCTGGAAGCTCATTCATATGGCAAGGAGATATGACCTTTCAGGTAGGAGCTGAGCATTTTTCAGTCCATTGTTAGAAAAAAAGAATAGAAGGGATTCTTTGCAGTGTGGCTTTTTTAGAAAATAAACTAAAAATGAAAAATGCATCCCCTCATTTATTTTTTAATGAAAGTCTGGGCATGCAGTGGGAGAGAAAATAAAGGAATCAAAATGACGTCTACCACCCATTAGCCATTTAAGAACCGTGAAGCAAGAGAGGGAGAGCAGGGAAGAGCAGCAGGGATCCTGGGGCTGGGGTATGCAGCTTTTGATACAGGGAGGGCAAAGTGGAGTCAATGCCTCCAGAGAGGAACCAGGGCTTCTCTTACCTCACAGTAAGTGCTCAAGAATATGTATATTTTGCAATGTAAATGAACACAACCTCTTTTCAAACCTTTGGCAGACATGTTATAATTTCTCAAAGTCTGGGCTGATTCAGAAAAATGATTTGATAGTAAAGGCAGCTTTCCAGCATCCAGACATTTCACAGTGAGTAAATCAAATTACTTTCTTTGGACACCAATAGCTCTGGCAAACTCATGAGGTTGTCACCCCATTTCTATGCATTTCTCCCCTCTGATTCTCCCCTCTGAGACTTTTAAAGTTCAATATTCTAGAAACGATCCTCTTCCCCCCACCACTCCTCTCAAATAATAAGCTTAGAAACAATCTAATAGCAACTATTTACAACTTAGTGTGAATTTAAATAAATGCATTTTCTCTCCCCATGGACTGCTTAAAGTGTGAACAGTAACTGTAAAATGAAATGCCTCATTTTCTGTTAAAGGGATCAGAGATAGAAGCAAACAGATGAGGGGCTTTGAGTGGTAGGGTACCTGAAATCCTATAAAGTGGCTATTCCACTGACTCAGTCCCCACAATAACACTTGCTATGTTTTGGACACTTGCTATATTCCAGGAAGTATTTATCTGGATCTTCTCACAACATTCTGATAGGTAATTTCTATCATTACTCCCATTTTGCAGTTGTGAAAATTGAGGATTCGAACAAATAAGGTCAATAGCTATTAAGTGGCAAAGATAAGCATGAAACTTAAATCTGTATTATTTCAAAGTCTGTACTCTTAGCCACTATGATGTTCTGCCTGCCTTTGTATTTACAGGCAGACTAATGATGTCAATCTTGAATATAATGGAGTAGAGTGGAAATAGTTGTACTGATTCATTAGGACTGGCTCATATTAGTTGGAGCCTGAAGTGATTGGACACTATCTGTCTGGAAGACTCCAATGAGAATTAGAATTCTTAGGTTTATCAATGAGTATTAGCTAGATAGTACATATAAAAGGAAATCTGGATTATACCCCTTTTGTCCCTGCCAATCTCGGTTTCAACCATAGATATTTTTATCTTATTTCATTCTCTCTTATCACCTCATTCTAATTTTCTGAACCTTTCCCCATCAGCCAAGATTCTGATTTTGATCCTCACTATAGATGGCTGTCATTCCTCTGTTGACTATTTGGAATTCTATGCTTGTCTCTCCCTTTCAGTGTTGCTGTAAGGGATAAATGATATATTATAACATGAGTTCCATATCACAATGATTTCAGGGACTTTTTAGGACTTTGAACATTCCATATTGATGACAATGAAAACTTAAGATACCAAAGGGGCTCCAGGTAATGCTGCAAGAATATTGGGTTCTGTGCCTGCATTTCTGGTATGGATATTTTAATCTCTAAAGGATCCTAGATGATTAATATTGGGCTTCTCGAAGAGTACCTCTTTGCTAAATCAAATAAAACAATGTCCAGCTTTGCAGATCTCACTTATTTAATAGTCAGTCAATTCCTCATCTAGAGATTCTGTCCCCTAGGATCATGTAAGTCATTTATGCTAGGTAATTTTTTATTTTAAACAAATGAGAGAAATGAGGCACTAAAAGGTGCTGTAGACAGGTAAACGAAAGCACAGGATGAATACATGGGTCCAACACGCTTAGAACACTTATCTCATAATGCTCTTGTTCTGGGTGTAAAAAATATTAAAGAGGAAATGAGATGGGGGACTAGAGCAGGAAGGCATGGTGCTCCTCCATCTTCATCATGCAAATGTAACAGTTTGAACGTTGAGTGGGCCCATTTGATAACTCATTTTGAGCTAAACAGCATGTCAACTTCGAAGACTTTTCCCTCTCCCAAGAGTACAAAGCTCATTCCTTGGCTCATCATCCCCCAGAAAGGAAGCAAAGCACACATCTAACCCCCTCAGGCAATCAAAACAAATTCACACCAAAGGAGGAGGCAGACAGGCAGTCTGGCAGACAGGGCTACAGCGTGGGAATGGGTACTTTCAGACAGTCAAAACATAACGGTGGTAGAAACATCTGCCGCCTACTTCAGTACCACCGGAATCTGGAGAGTATTATAAATTATACCAACTACAGAACCAACTTTTCCTGGCATTTTAATTACCAAAACATTACAGATTAATTATCCAAACTTTACTTAAATGGCAAGTCAGTCATTTTCCTTCATGAGGTTTGAAAAGGCCATACTAACAGGAGCCTTAAAGTGAATTGTGTTTCTTTGAAAATTGTATTTTAAACGGAAGATCTAGAGCAGATAGTTTTATGGGTCTCTAATTAGCGTCACAAAGGAAACACCAAAAGGTTAATAAGAGATGGTTAGTTGGAATGGTGGTTTCCTGGTGCCAGCTCCAGCCGCTCAGTCTGTCTGCAGACTCATTAGCTGCAGATTGATTATCAGCTGAATTCAGCAAGTGCTCACTTGCTGTTTTAGCAGAAGGCTAGTGTGATTTGATACACCTACCCTCCGGCTAACCAGGGCCCAACAATAAGGTGATATTTTCTACAGTCAAAAAAAGAAGGTTTTCTTTGACTTCAACTTCAGTTGACATCAATTATAAATCTGAAAGTGTTTGATGAAGCTGAGAGAGGCATAATGAAACCTTCCAAATTGACAGTTGGCACAAACAAAGGTCTGGCTCTAGGTCGTTAAAATCCACTTGTGCACAGACACTGTATTTCTGAGTTCTCATTTTGTCACTAAGCAAAACCATCCAGTGAAGAAAACTCCAACTTAATAGAGTACTCACAGATAGTCACTAAACTTCTAAAACATACAAACAGTGTGATGAGCATTGAGTCAAGCAAAAGAATTTGCACTTTAGGCTTCACTCTGGACTTTGCTATAGATTTGTGTTCTGACATTAATAGAGTGTTTAAAATTTTGGTGCATCAGTTTTTCTTCTAAAAAATGGAACAGATATTTACACGCAGCATGTCTCCAGAATACAATGACTACTTGAATTAAAAGAACTAAAATTTGGCCGGGCGCGGTGGCTCACGCCTGTAATTCCAGCACTTTGGGAGGCCGAGGTGGGCAGATCACGAGGTCAGGAGGTCAAGACCAGCCTGGCCAACATAGCGAAACCCCGTCTCTACTAAAAATACAAAAAAAAATTAGCCGGGCGTGGTGGCAGGCGCCTGTAGTCCCAGCTACTTGGGAGGCTGAGGGAAGAGAATCTCTTGAACCCAGGAGGCGGAGGTTGCAGTGAGCTGAGATCGCGCCACTGCACTCCAGCCTGGGCGACACAGGGAGACGCTGTTTAAAACAAACAAACAAAAAAAGAACTAAAATTTCTGGCTAGTGATGGTAATAATAAGAGTTCTGCAAATTTAAAACGGTTCACGTTTGCATATGAATGATGGTTCAGCATCAACATTTGACTTGCTTTGTTTTATCAACAGTGTGCAACCTGACTCATAGAAGCTGGAAGCATTTTTTTTCAATAAGCTGATTTTTAAATTAAATTAAAGTCAAAACAATTCTTTTGGTTCACCTCCCAGATTAGAGCAACTGACAGCCTCATTAATGATTAAAAACAGCAGGTGGTGATGCCTTGGAACAGTTTGACCAGCCTAAATATCTCGAAACATACATCATTCCTCTTTTTCCTCTTTTCCATGTATTAAAAGGGAAATATTCTATTGTTCACACAGGTTGGAAACTCCATAGAGACTGAAAGAGGAGGAAAGAAAGCAAGTTGTCAAACATTTATTATTATGCAAGTTAAGGATAGAAAAGGAGAGAATATATGAGCTTAGAGGTGGAAAAGCGACCACAGAAATTGGAAAATATATCTCTGGCATTGGACTTGGATTTGCAAACCCATGACTTGGAAGCTGCCTTGCTGCAAGAGTATCAAGTTTCTCCAAATTATTAGAGTACTGTATGTTTACAGATTTCTACTTAAAAAGAAAGCAACATTATAAGTTGTATTTTTATTCAAAGCAGATTACAGTTGCAGTCCTGCATTACTTAGAGTCTAGGGACTAGACCATAATTTAGAAAGGCCCTAAGGCTTAGCTTACTGGGGGCAGAGGGAGATAAACTTGCTTTTAGAGTTCTAAAACTCTAGAGTTCTTTAGCCAGATTGAAAATTTTCCTGTTAAACTAAGGCAGTAACCTAAAGAGCCTTATTTGCCATTAAAATGAGTATTACTAAGGTTAAAAAGAACTAAACTAATGATAAAACAGGGTTGTCTATTATTTCAAATTTAATAGCTTGCATTTTTGTTGTCTAAACTGTCATGAAGGATAATGAAGTACAACTATTGTTTCTGATGACCAGAGACCCTCAAAAGAAAAAAGTATTTGTCATTAGGCCGCCTCAATGTGACAAAACTTTGAGTAACTTCAGTCACAAAGAGTTCATTTTCTGATCAATTCTTTTGGCCCCTTCCAGATTCACTGCCTTTCGAATTACCTATTTTACACACCATCCTACACATACTTCCAACCACATATTAGATCTCTGAATGGCACATTGTTAAGTGAAGTCCAGTGTTTACCACAAAACCTAAAATCCTACAGCACCCTTCTGACATTGACACCTGCACACACACACTTACAGTCCCAAAGGATTTGCTCCAAAACAGCTCTGGAGACTGATATTTCATTAATAATCTCTTCATCGCAAACTATGAGGAACTGCTTTATATTCTCTCTACCTGG
The DNA here is from genome assembly GCF_000001405.40 of Homo sapiens. Classification (NCBI taxonomy): domain Eukaryota; kingdom Metazoa; phylum Chordata; class Mammalia; order Primates; family Hominidae; genus Homo; species Homo sapiens. The sequence goes on from NC_000023.11 coordinate 100,331,318, forward strand.
CAGAATGATTGGTCTATGGGGTTCCACTTTGTCCAGTTGCAAAAGAGTCTGTTTTATCTATCCACTGTGAGCTTTACAAGTCCATCTAAGACCTAAGCCTAGATTATGTCAGATCTTTGAAAATATGCCCAGAAGAAGAACCTGTGTGTGATCCCCTAAAAAGCAACTTTTCTGATGTTCCTAAAAAGAGCAGCTCAAACCTTTTCTAATTTGGTGCTTGATGATTGATATGGTTTAGCTCTGTGACCCCACCCAAATCTCATCTCAAACTGTAATCCCCATGTGTTGAGGGAGGGACCTGTAATCCCCACCTGTTAAGGGAGGGAGGTGATTGGATCATGGGGACGGTTTCCCCTATGCTGTTCTGATGATGGTGAGTGAGTTCTCACAGGAGCTGATGGTTTTAAAGTATAGCACTTTCTCATTCCCTCATTCTCTCTCTCTCCTGTCACTTTGTGAAGAAAGTACCTGCTTCCCCTTCTGCCACGACTGTAAGTTTCCTGAGGCCTCCCCAGCCATGCAGAACTGTGAGTCAATTAAACCTCTTTCCTTTATAAATTACCCAGTCTCGGGCATTTCTTTATAGCAGTGTGAGAATGGAGTAACACAATGATTTTTCTAGGCTGGAGTTTTACTGGGGATAAGCCTTATATAAAGAAAGAGAAATTAAAAAGGCTTTCTTGTCAAAAAGCCACGTTTCCAAAGTGGATGTATCAATTAAGCTTTCCTTGATGCAAAGTATACAGGGCACTGAGCCATCTGATAAAAACAAGAGACCAAAAATACCTTGGGCAAGTCCTGACCCTGGATGACAAAAAGCATCTATCATAAAAGAGGAAAGCCATCTCACGACTATTTTGTCCACAGAATAAATAAATGATACATAATTTTGGTATTGTTGAAATTGCTTTTAAAACTATGGGGCCAGGGGCGGTGGTTCATACCTGTAATCCCAGAACTTTGGGAGGCCAAGGCGGGTGGATCACCTGAGGTCAGGAGTTCGAGACCAGCCTGGCCAACGTGGTGAAACCCCGTCTCTACTAAAAGTACAAAAATTAGCTGGGCTTGGTGGCACAGGCCTGTAATCCCAGCTACTCAGGAGACTGAGGCAGGAGAATAGCTTGAACCCGGGAGGCGGAGGTTGCAGTGAGCCAAGATCGTGCCATTGTACTCCAGCCTGGAGCAAAACCCCGTCTCAAAAAAAAAAAAAAAATGCTTGGTATCAATCCCTTAAACTGGCTATGAATGGACTTAATTCCCCATATTTATTTCATAACAAAAGGATTAAGAGGAAAATAAACAGAAAAAAATACTCTACAAATATTTAAAATCCATGTTTAGATTTATCATTTCCCATCCTGATAAGAGTTTATGGCTCTTAATCATCTTATGACAGGACAGAAATAATGTTAGGCTGGGAGCGGTGGCTCATGCCTGTAATCTTAGCACTTTGGGAGGCCAAAGCAGGAGGACTGCTGCTTGAGCCTAGGGGCTAAAGACCAGCCTGGGAAACATAGCAAAATCCCGTCTCTACCAAAATAAATTAGCCAAGCATGCACCTATGGTCCCAGCTACTCAGAAGGTTAAGGTGGGAGGGTCGCCTGAGCCCAGGAGGTCAAGGCTGCAGTGAGCTGTGATCGCACCACTGCAGTCCAGCCTGGGTGACAGAGTGAGACCCATCTCAAAAAAAGAAAAGAAAGAAAGAAAAAAGAAAAGAAAAGAAAGGAGGGAGGAGAAGGGAAGGGGAAAAGAGAGAGAGAAAGAGAAAAAAGGAAAGAAGGAAGGAAGGAGGGAGGGAAGGAAGGAAGGAAGGAAGGAAGGAAGGAAGGAAGGAAGGAAGGAAGGAAGGAAGGAAGGGAGAGAGAGAGAAAGAAAGAAAGAAAGAAAGAAAGAAAGAAAGAAAGAAAGAAAGAAAGAAAGAAAGAAAGAAAGGGAAAGTCCCACAAAACAACTTGATTTGTCTCTCATCTATTAACTTATTGGCAGTGTCCCTACTTTTCATGGCCTATAGAAGTTGATTTTTCATGAAGCTACTGGAAAACATTCACCTAGTAAATCACCCAAATAGAGCATAATTTTATCTAGCATACTATGTTGGGGCCTGGCTTCCACCATTCCTCCAAAGAGATCACATTACACCAAAGTGTCCTTTTAAATGCATTTTGGTCTCCAGCTCAAAAATCTTAATTACTTTCTTCACCGATCCTATGTAGTCTATTCCATACTGGACCATTTTTGCTGTTGGGCCATAAACTACTGGAGAATGAAATTCTTAATTGTTCATTGTGCTCCTTTTACATATCCTGCATCCTCTAATGCTTTCAAAATGCTTAAAAATATGGAAATTCTTAATGTCAACTAATCAAGAAAAGCTTTGGCATTTATTTTTTGATGAGTAATGAATTCCTTACCACAGGTAGTTTTTTTTCTGTTGTTTTTGTTTTCGTTTTTTGTTTGTTTTTTTCCTCTTCATTTTTTTTTTTTTTTTTTAAGACAGAGTCTCACTGTGTCACCCAGGCTGGAGTGCAGTAGTACAATCTCAGCTCACTGCAACCTCTGCCTCATGGGTTCAAGTGATTCTTGTGCTTCAGCCTCCCGAGTAGCTGGACTTACAGGCATGTGCCACCATGCCCAGCTAATTTTTGTATTTTTAGCAGAGACAGGGTTTCACCATGTTGGCAAGGCTGGTCTTGAACTCCTGGCCTCAAATGATCCACCTGCTCCAGCATCCCAAAGTGCTGGGATTACAGGCATGAGCCACCATGCCCAGCCCACCACAAGTAATTATTAGTAATAATAAATATTAAAATAACCTTGAATATCAGACAACTAAAAGTTCCAAGTAGATTGGGAAAACACACATGCACACACACACACTACATATACAGAGAGTAAGAAAGCAAGCATAAATATACATATGGAAAGAAACAATGTATTGTATATTTCAAGATAGCTAAAAAAGAGGATCTTAAAAGCTATTACCACAAAGAAATGATAAATGTTTGAGGTTAGATATACTGTTTTGCAATTCATATGGTTATGTCTTCCCCAGTTTTGCTCATATAGAGACTTTTACAAATGTCTTCATACTCTTGCAAATATAAGTTTAATTACTTGAATCCAGGAATGTGGGACTAGTGTACATTTCCAGGGCATGATTCCCATAAACCCCAATCTCATATCAGGATTACATATTTAAGTAAGAATAATGGGATATCCACATCATCAAAAATGGTTATGCAAAGAAGCAAGGAGGAGCCAGACCCTGGCCCCCACTACTCAGCTCAGAGATAACCCAGACAGGAAGAAATTCAAGCCCCATGATACCCCTAATCATGCAACAAATCCATGAGCCTCTGGCACCTCTGACCACTCTACTTGTCAATCACTCTTTTTAGAGACTCTCTGCAGGAACCGCATAACATATATATAACCAACGTGTGTGTGTGTGTGTGTGTGTATAGTGTGTGTGTGCATGTGTTTTCCCGATATATATACATATAGATATACACATATATATACACATATACATATATATGTCTGTATATATATATATATATGTTGGGAAACACAATATGCTATAACACAATATGTTAAATAGATATGCTATAACACAATAGCGTATCTATTTAAAATTAGACAAACGGTTGATATTATTCTTAATGTCCTGCATGAAGAAACCAATGGTGAACTGTCCTAAAACAATTATTTGACCAAAGGGCCCATGCCAAAAGAATACTAGCAAAGAAATTCTAACAACAGGGAGGTTTCCATTAGTGAAGAACAACTTTTTATTTTAGTGATTATTTTTCCAATAAAATGTAAATGTTGCCTTGGAAAAAATCCAATTATGTGGTACAGCAGATAATTGGTTTTGAACTAAAAAAAAGAAAAAGCTCCACCTGTCACCTCTCTTCCTACCTGCCCAAAAACTGCTGAGACTGAGAGAAAGGATAAAGTTTCTGGGCATCAGAAAAAAAGGGGTACTAGGCATTGAGTGCTACTGACTGCCTCTAAACCAGCAAGGTAATTGGACATGTCAGAGATTAAACTTAGCATCCTACAATGACATTAACCAAAGATGAGTAGGAAATTCAACCTCACAACAGGTGGATTTTAAAAAAAAATGTTTACCAATGTGATACTGTCCAAATTAGAACATCAAAGGAGGAATATTTCATGACATTCCCATTGAAAATAAGATCTTGATTGTAACAGTCTTTTCATATTGCTTCTCTTGCTTTACTGGCACAATATTCACAAGGTTTTTAATGGCCCCAAAATCTATTCTTATAATTTTTTAAAATAGAATTATTCATTTCATCATTGAGCTGGCCTTGGTCACCTCAGTAAACCCCAGATTAATAAAAGTAAAAAGATAACAACTTTTACAGTCAATAACAGCAGTAGTTGACACATTCAATTCCCAGAGCCAGGCACATAGTGGGCACTCAAAAATATTACTGAGTAATGAGTGATATATATCTGTTCATGGTTTATTCCTGCCTAGTATACCAGAGGCAGGATGAAAGCAGCTGGAAATCACATATATAGAAACGCTGTATACACATTCCTGGGTTCAAGTAATTAAATTTCACTAGGTATATTTGCAAGAGGATGAAGACATTTTTTAAAGTCTCTATATGAGCAAAACTGGGAAAGAAATAACCACATGAATTGCAAAACAGTGTATCTAGCCTCAAAGATGCTAATTCAGGTCCAGGGGGATCTAATCAACCGCTTTGTTCACGTAAAGATAAAACTTTTTGACAGCAAATGCTATTCTGATAAAATGGAATTTTCAATTACTCTATGAACATCTGGCCCATGCTACCATATCTGGAGCCCAGCAGCACACTGCTTTGCAATGACACAAAATAGTCTCCATTGAGAACTCCCTATTTTGCCAAGAGACTAATTGAAATGAGTGTTTCAAAATTCAGTGAGGAGAGAGGTGAGTCGGGGGACAGATAAGAAGATAAAAGAAGGATGTTCAGTCATGGAATCATAATTTCTTTAAATGGCTAGAGGAAACAAAATTACATATTGTTGGTAGAGTGTTGAAAGTGTAAACATCTTAATATACCTGTGGTTGACACTAGAATAAGCATAGTACGCAGCCTACAGAACATTTTCATGGCAAATTTGTTAACAGCAGTTGCATTAGGTACAGATCAAGTTCTTCAAATCCATGTTATACACAGCAAACATGTTAAATGCTATTCAGGTGATGAAACTGGTAAATAAACAAGTCTACTAAAACAGAAGAATCTATACTTCCAGAAATAAAGCAATCATTATATTGCATTTGGACGCATTTGGATATGAAAAGCAGCTAAATCTTACAAAAAAATTCTGTAAGTTGCTTCCATTTGGTATCAGTTAGCATGGAGGGAAACCAATTCAGTGTTGTAGCGAACTCCAAATTGGGTGCATATTAGAGCAATTAGAGTCATCTTTTCATCTGATGAATTTATAATCAATAATTAAAACCATAAGGAAAGAGGGACTGAGTGTAATTTGAAACAAAATAGCTGAGCTTGGGACTAGTGTACACTTCTAGGGCATGATCCCTATAAACCCCAATCTCATATCAGGATTACATATTTAAGTAAGAATAATGGGATATCCACATCATCAAAAATTGTTATGCAAAGAAGCAAGAAGGAGCCAGACCCCAGCCCCCACTACTTAGCTCAGAGATAACCCGGATAGGAAGAAATTCAAGCCCCATGATACCCCTAATCACGCAACAAACCCATGAGCCTCTGGCACCTCTCACTACTCTACTTGTCAATCACTCTTTTTAGAGAGTCTCTGCAGGAACCGCATAAAGGCAAAATTCTTATCCCCACCAAAGGGTGGTAATTTTACCAGGTAACTCAGACTCCCTCAAGCCAAGTAATTCCCTCAGGGACAGAAGGCATCAGTTAAAAAATTTGAGTGTTGACTCCCAAGCTCAGCACCAAATTGCCTCAAGAACCAAATCAAGTGGTAAAACCCGCCAATGACAACACTTACTTGGTCTCAAGCCACTCAGAGCTATTAAGAGACAGCATTCCAAATTGCCATTCTACAATACACCAGTAGAAAGCACAGGATAAAGAATTCTCTATCATCTTCTTTTCTGGGAAGCCATAACAAGAGCTGAATACTAAGGACAAACTGAAACGTATTAATTCATGGGCACTGGATAACAAATCAATTTGTAATTCAGTCAGCTGGCAACCAGGAAATTCAGCTTAGCCAGTTCATCAACCAACTGACCTGGTCTTAGGCATGTCAAGAGAAATACCAAGATTGACAGTAATCCAGAAAGCAGAGATTCCTGTCATTCTCTCTCATTTCCACCCTCACTGAGCTCACGAATGTGTCTGGTTGGACAATCAAACACAATCCTTCTGGTGTCTATACATAGTAGGGTGACTATAGCTTATAACAATGCATTGTATATTTCAAGATAGCTAAAAAAGAGGATCTTAAAAGCTATTACTGCAAAGAAATGATAAATGTTTGAGGTTGCTGGATATACTAACCACCCCGATTTAATTATTATATAACATATACATGTATTGAAGCATCACATTGTACCCCACAAACATGTAAAATTATGATGTGTCAATTATAAACAAAATAAAAAATAAATTTAGACATTTTTAAAAATTGAAAAGGAAACACATAATCCAAACTTCCTAGTGACTAAATACCTGACTTTTGCCCTTTGAGTTCAAAAGTCTTCTAGGCCAGGCGCGGTGGCTCACGCCTGTAATCCCAGCACTTTGGGAGGCCAAGGCAGGTGGATCACTTTAGGTCAGGAGTTCGAGACCAGCCTGCCCAACATGGTGAAACCCCGTCTCTACTAAAAATACAAAAAATTAGCGGGGCGTAGTGGCGGGCGCCTGTAGTCCCAGCTACTTGGGAGGCTGAGGCAGGAGAATGGCGTGAACCCGGGAGGCGGAGCTTGCAGTGAGCCGAGATCCCGCCACTGCACTCCAGCCTGGGCGACAGAGCGAGACTCCGTCTCAAAAAAAAAAAAAAAAAAAAAAATACAAAAATTAGCCAGGAGTGGTAGTGCGCATCTGTAGTCCCAGCTACTTGGGAAGCTAAGGCAGGAGAATCGCTTGAACCCAGGAGGCAGAAGTTGCAGTGAGTAGAGATCGCACCAGTGCACTCCAGCCTGGGTGACAGAGTGAGACTCTGTCTCAAAAAAAAAAAAAAAAAAAGAAGTCTTCTAGATATTCTCCTTCCTTTATTGAATATAACATTCTCCTTCCTTCATTAAATATAGTGATTCTGGGTTCCCACCTCTAGGAATGTTCTCAGAGAAGGGTTACTGAAAATTAAGGAATTTGGGCCCTTACTCAGAGTCACAAAGCACCCTTGTCATTCACACCGATCATTCTTCTGCTACAATAAAATCTTAAGGACAAATCCCATAGAAATTTTGGCAGTGTGGAAAAGCACAGGGCCCAGGTATCTCTTAAAAAGAGGAGCAAATATAGTTTATACCTTTACCCCAAACACAGGCAACACAATACCAGCTCCTTGAACAAACCATTCCTGCTCAAAGGAAAAACTAACAGATGCACAAAATTATCTTTATTTTGAAATTCTGAGATTCCCCTTCAATCATGTGTCCACATACGTGCAAGGAAATATGCAGTACTAATATCCAAATTAGAAAAGTCACAGAGAGAACTACAGACATGGAATACAAGGTGAGCCAAACTCCCCAAAACAAAGGTGTAAGGTACGCTCTTGTTGGATACATTTGGCCCAACTTTGGAGTGGTTCTGGCAGGACTAAAAGAAATACCAGGATCAGAGTTAGCCTGACAAATTCACTACATTCTTCATTCTGCTCCAGTGACACCTACCCAAACCTCAAGAACAGTTGCTCTGGAACTCCAAGAATTTCAGAACACTTGGGTTTAAGATTCCCATCACACTGTCAATGAACCAAGGGGATTGGGGACTAGTTTTTTTCTCCTCAAGGAATTCTTGAGATTTTCAGTACAGGTCTCAGTCCAGTGCAGATTCTATTTTCCCTTCTCACCTTTCTAAATTGGTAATCCTTTGAAGCAACAATACCATGTTACCCTGGGACAATCTAACTAAAATGGCTATAAGATCAGGCATGCATGGTGGATCACCCAGTGACTGCCTTTCAACCACTGTACCTTAAGATAAAATGTGATATACTTATTATGCAAATGCAGACTTGAGATATTAAAATGCTATGAAATGTTAATTGTTGGAATTGTTGCTCTTTTTTGAGGTTGCAGTATCAGTCCAAGTGAACTGGTGATGGAATCTGTGGCAAGCCTGAAGTTGCTATGGGACACACAAGTATTATTACAGAAAGCTTCAGAAGTAGTGGGATATCACAAGGGAGAGACTGAGGTATAAACAAGGCCCAAATTCTTTTTGTACCTAAACTTTAGGCAATCACACAAGTTGAAAAGAACTCACTCAAGGGTTGGCTCAAGGTTTAACCACTGCCGGAATAATAGAAAAAATGAAGATACACACATGCAAATCAAATAGTAAGAAACAAAATGTGAAAGTGTTGCCAAAATGGCCCAGCAGAAAGTGTGTATGTGTGTGTATGCATGTGTGTGTGTGTAAAATCATCATCTTATATGTAGGGGAATCTTGGAGTATTGCCACACATTTCCTTTAGAATATTCTCATTATTGATTATGCCAAGGACACAGATGTAAAGTGAGGTATACAAGGCAAACTGGGTTATGTGGTCACTCTACCTATATGGAGACTGGTGGTCTCTACCTTCAACCCAAATGACTAAGCTGAAATAAAATTTAGGTATGCATTCACAAAAAAGAATACTCGTCTTATTATCCAATCTACACAGTACACATATATAGATATATACACACACACATATATATGTAATACATCCAATTTGTAAGAAACACTCTCTCAGAAAAAACTAGCTGCAGTTCCCTGATACTGTTTTCCTAGAGAAATGTGACAAAAAAATAAAACAGATGTTGTTCTAGCCAGGCATAAAGTGAGAATCAATTATGACTATTTCCTTTCCTGGAGTCATTTCATTTTAGAGAGCATCTAACTAAAACCCTTTCTTGATATAAATGAAAAAGCATTTCTTTGAAACACACAACTAGTAAATGATATATATCAGTTTGCATCCTGTGACATACTGCTAATCCTCTGAGTATTAAATTGTCTCTGTTTCAGTTATATAACTGTTTAATTTTTTTCATCTTTAGTCATAGTAAGGTTTCCCAGAAAGTGTATTATCTCTGCAGATGTCACCACTCACCAATTAGGGAAGACAGCAGTGCACAATTCATAGTGACCTCTCTATATAATAGACTTTGACACTTGGGTCTGCTGGGGAGGGAATGGATTAAGACAATTTAATAGAATCTACAGTGACTAATTTTTTTCCATGAAAAACATTTTGTTTTGTGGATAGTACATTTTTTCCTTTGGACTTATTTCCAAAAACCAAAACAAAAGCATTTAATGATGTTTACAGTGAAATGAAACAGCTGAAGACCAGCACATAATCACCATATTTTGTTTTCTCATTTTTAAGTCTTTTAGCAGTAGGGCTTCCAGCTGAGCTTGAGTCTAGCTTTTCTCAAGACATAGCCAAGCATTCTGAAGCTTCACTGAGCCTAACCACCAAGTTGAATTCATATTTCTTAATTGAAAAAGACAGGCTGTTTGCATAGCATGTTTGCATCAGTAAAATATTGAAAATGACATTTGTGCCCAAGTCCATCTAAACATTCTGCCTTAGCTGAACTCTGCTAATGTTTTTATACCCTGGCTTCTGCCTAGCAAAGTTTTAAATAGTGCCTCTCGATAAAGCATGTGTGGCTGAGTTCCGAGTTCACAGAAATAGACTCTTCTTCATACATGAGGATGCCACTCCTGACATGTGCTTTGAGGTGCCTTTCACATTAACGGAATATTTTACATTGACTCAGCCACGTTCTCTTACCCTGGTCTCCCCTATGACTAATGGCATGGTTTTGTGTGGAAGCTAGAGGGAGGGATTTGGCATAGCAGCCCCATAGACAAAATGGGAAGTTTGGTATTTTCTATCCTCAGTAAATAGTACACAATCTGTAATGAGAGAACAGAGTCTCACTCTGGGTAAAGCTAACCAGTCTGATAGGGAAATAAAACCCACCCCTTTGGTCTCATTAGTGCTGTGTTCTATGCAATTCGATTGATCAGCTGAATTCATGTACTAAAGCAAAAATAGGCATTTATTCCTGGAGAGAAGGCATCTGTTCATCTCCTATGAGCTCAGTGCAGTTTTATTGAAGAAAATGTATGTAATATGCACATGTAGTCAGCTTCTAAAGTGCCTGAACTTTATACAGACCTAGGGGATCCACTTAGGGAGGGCAAAGAAGAATCTGGCTAGGTGTCAGGACATCTCAAAAACCTGTAGATGCTGCTGAGGTGTGAGCTCTGTAGACACCTTGATAATACACTCATTAAGCAAAGTAGTATAGTGTGCCTACAAACATTTTGGGTTCTTTGGAGTCGATTGCTGCAACTTACATCCAACCAGTCCTTACCATGATCAGGCATCTGAGATCCCATGGAGGTCACACTGGTGTTCAGCACATCGTTGACAGCAGTATCACAATACAGGCTCCGCTGGACATCATGCTCACTGTCAGTTTGGTCACTCTCCTCATGTCCACTATCCTTCAGGCTGTTGCCCTCTAAGTCCTTGAAGGTGGAGCTGCTGGGTTGAAGACAGAATGATAATTTACGACCGTGACAGATCTGATTTTAAAAATCTTTCTGAGCCAGGATGATGTCGGCTCTGTAATGAGGCAAACAGTGGCTAGACTGTCCAATAGGGTAGGAATAAGGGGAAGAGAAATTTGTGCTTAAAGATAATAAAACTTAACATTGCACAGAGGTTCCCACTATTGGATGCTGATACAGCTAATATTTTCGTTCACTTATCTTCAATGCATCACTACAGACAAGGTGGAAGAAGCTACAATTCTAAAACTGCCTCTAAAGAATGTCATCATTTCAGAAGACTTTTCTCTTCCTATAAAATCAAAGTAAAATAATAATAGCTAGTGTTTACTGAGCAATTACTATTCGTGAGGCACTGTTTTAAGTGTTTGACATTAATTAACTGTTGAAATCATCACAACTCTGTAAGAGAAAGGTGCTACTAATATTCTCATTTGCAGATGAAAAAAAACAGAGGTACATGGAAGTGAGATAACTCGCCCAAGGTCACACAGCTGGTAAAAAATATAGCAGACCTAAGACTGAAAACAGGTAGTCTAGCTCCAGAGCCTGCCTAGAAATTTAACCACTATGTACACTGATTCTTAAAAGATGTCTACTAACCAACTGTAAAAAGCAAAGGTAGCAGAAATTGAAGTAGTGCAACTAAAATAGGAAGGATTATCAGGATCAGAGAACCCAGTAAGTCAGTTTTATCTGAGAAAAATAGATGAACATATTCAAAGAAAAAGAGGAGAGTCAGTAGCTGAGCGTGGAAGGTGTGATGTTTAATTTTGTGAGTCAACTTGACTGCACCATGGAATGCCCAGATAGCTGGTTAAACATTATTTCTGGGTGTGTCTATGAAGGTGTTTCCAGAAGAAATTAGCATTTGAACTGGCAGACTCAGTAAAACAGACAATTCTCTCCAATGTGGGTGGGCATCATCCAATCCATTGAAGGACTGAATAAAACAAAAATTAAGAAAGAAGTTGAGTTTGTTCTCTGCCTTACTGCTTGAACTGGGACATTAATCATCTCCCGCCTTCAGCGCTCCTGGTTCTCAAGACTTCAAACCCAGACTTGAATCTACACTATTGGCTCTCTGGTTCTCAGGCCTTCAAACTACACTTCCATCTTCCCTGGTTCTCCACCTTGCAGATGGCAGATTATGAGATTCCTCAGCCCCCATAATCACATAAGCCCATACCTTACAATAAAACTCTTTCTACATATTTATAGATTTAGATATGCCTATTGGTTCTGTTTCTCTGCAGAACCCTGACTAATATAGAAGGCAAGACAAAAGTGAGAGCCAGAGAGTGAGCACTAATGCAACTCTGAGTATAGTTATACTAAGAACATGAAAACTTTCAGCTCAAGTGTTGATAGGTAAAATGATTCTTGCATTTATTAAATCAATCTACCATACAATGCACTATGCATGCAATCCAAGAACTTCACACCATTTCTCATGAAATGGAGAATAATGCATAAGGTACAGCTATAGGGCACCCACCTACTATTTCTAATACTTTGTATGTCCTGACAGAATCCCCAGCTTTGCTACACCATGAACCATAAATTATGCATCTGAAATACCTAGTAGATGGTGAATCCATTCCCTAGTCGGTGAGGAAGCAGCAAAGGCACACTCAAGAAAATGTGTTGTTGCCTCAACAAGGAAGAATGGCATGTTTGTGAATTAACACAAACCCTAATAGACCTATGCCTCTGAGAAAAGAGCCCTGTGGAAATGACACCGCAAACTCACTTGATCTGCTCAACCTTGGACATTCACAGGCCTGGCTCTCTGAGACTGATAAGAAGATTCAGCACATATAATGAAGAGCTATGCCATGGACACAATGGATACATTGTCACCCTCCACACTTAGTCAAGAAGAATCACAGCAGATTTTTAACATATGACCAACCTAGATGTAGAATGCTTGCTGACCTGAATATAAAAAGGAAAGACCAGGAGGCCAGTAACTGGAAAGCCATAATTATAAGAAAATGAAGAGCAGGAGAGAGTGAAGCATTGACCTGTTAGCTAATTATTTTCAGAAAGAATAACTGAGCATCAACTGCACTAAAATTAAAATTACTCAATAGGCCAGCTCACTCAGCTCCTTCAATTTATGTCACACAGCTAACTCAGCCTTATGGACCCACCAGGATGCCGTTCTTTAAAAAACAAACAAACAAGCAAATTATCTTACAGTTCTTTTATGGCCATGATGGCCAATTGGAAACACATGATTTAAAGTGTTTCACCATTTCTAGCTTTATGGCACATATTACGGAGTTTTCTGTAAATACTATTATAATCCCACAGTTTAAATAGATGTAAAGTTTGTTTTTTAGAAATTATTCTCTGTCACGTGAGGTGAGTGCCTGCCTACAAGCACCCCTGTACCTCTGGAGAAAGGAAATGACCTGCCTGGATGATATTCAGGTCCATTTTTATAACAAATACTTAACTTTCCAACCTGTATATTTTCTGGTATCTGAAAATGTCCTTAATCCACAACACAAAGTTGTCACTTTAAGCCAGAGAATTCAACTCTGAATTCAGCAGCTGTTGAAACTTGCTTGAAACATATGATGGTGAGGGATCTAGTATGGGGGCAATGTAATTAACCAGCCCTTGGAGCAGGGCTTCCCAACCTTGGCAATATTGACATTTGGGGCTACAAAATCCTTTGTTGTGGCCGTCCTGTGCATTATAAGGTGTTTAGCAACATCCCTGCCCTTTATCTACTGGATGCCAGTAGTGACCCCCACTTAAAGGAAAAAAACCAAAAGTGTCTCCAAAGAGACATTGCCAAATCACCCCACAGTTGAGAACAACTGCTCTAGGTTCTTTATTTCTATAGCAGACTGTAGTAAAGAGCACTGAACTTGGAGTCATTAGGACAAGTAATAATCTATAATCTGCCACTTCATCTGTGTGACCCTGGACCTGATATCTGATGTCTTTGAATCTCAGTTTCTTTATCTGTAAAATGTGTTTGCTAAAACCCCCTTCACAAGGCCATTTAGAAGACTCAAAGAGACTCTGTACATGAAGTACCAGATACACATAGATGCTCCATAAATGGTTATTGTTTAATACCATCATTATTCTGTGTAGTAATGTTTTCACTGAGTTACAATTAAATATTATGTCCATAGTTTTTATAGGATTGGTACAGAAAATTTATATTTAAAGAACACTTCTATATCTTCTGTAAACAATAGTCACACACTATTATGTGTGTGTGTGTTAATTTCTTCTAACATTAAAGAACAGAAAATAATAGTTCTCCTGTCAAATGGCCATCCTTCCTTTAATGAATAATTAAAACTATATCACTTGGTGTACTTACTGCTTTGTCTTCACTTCTCAAAAACTTCAACATAAATGTAATGTTTAATTGCAGTCAGTTACCTCCCTGGATGCCAGGGATGTCTACCTTACTTCTCCTAATTGGTTTTGGATCTGCCTTTTAAAAAATTGATCATCTTTTTCATAGGCATCTGAATGTTACAAACAACCTCAGAGATTTTGCTTTTTGAATAGAAATTATGGAAATAATAAAACAGTGAAGGATTAGCTACTAGGATGTAAGGGACTGGTAGTGTGAGCACGAGAAGTTGTGTATTCTCAGAACAAAAAGCAAGGTATAACAACTCCCCCAAACCTTGGAATAGTTAACTCATTTAAAGATTAGTTTGCCCATCTGACAAACTAAGCACCACTTACACTGATCTTGTAAGAGCATTTAGTGGTTTAATGAATGGATTTGTGTAAGGCAGTTTAAGACCCAGTGAGCAAGATGCCACATATTGTAAAATAGCCTGGTAAATGGCTACTCACCCAAAACAAATAACAATTTATGCCAGGCATAAAAATGCTGATTTCACTTGCTTTATTACCTGCATACCTCTTGGGAGATGAAGGACTTGTAAAACAACTTTTGTGGGACAATAAATTAGGGGTTCCTGTTTCCAATGGTATTGTAAATGCCCATGTTTCTATTACTGCTCTGGTGGCCAACAAAAAGACAGATATGTTTGAAAACACCTAGAACAGGGTTCTGCACAGAAGAGTTACTCAGCAGATGCATGACGAATGAACATCACACAAATTCTGACCCATATTTACCATCTGAAATATTAGAACTCTTTTCCAAAAGACATAAGACTCAGAATGGAAACAGGTTATATCTTACTAGTAGGTGATACTACATACCCAGGGAATGATATCTGAGGCTAAGAATGAGCAAGGAGTGAGAATGAAGATTATTATAACTGTATTTAAGTAATACAAGGAAAATCCTAGAGTGGTTTCTGGACCACCTGTATCACAATCACCTTGGGAACCTGTTACAACTGGAGGTTCTCTAGGGATGGAGCTAGCATACCTGCGTTTAACAAGCCTTCCAGGTGTTTCCAATGCACATTAAAATCCAGAAATCACTGGCTTAAAGAGAAATCTAGTGCTAGTCTTTAATAGAAAAATGCTAAGATTTTCTTCCATTTCTCTCATGCATTCATTCAATAAACATGTACCAAGCATTTATTATATACAAGGCACCATACGAAGTGCTGGAAAAACCCCAGGACAATTTGGGTGGAAAAAGAAAGCATTGTGCATGATTTAGGGAGCCAAAGCTCCTAATCCTTTCCACGCTGAGTCAGTGCTTTGTTCATTTCCTATTTCATTTTCTTTGGGCCACAGCCTTATGCCCTGCTTGATATTGTTCCCAAAGCACTGTAGGAGTGGATATCAGACAGCAGCCCACAAAACAGGCATGAGGAAAGAGTGCTGCAGCAGCGACAAAGTACCACTGCTGGCTTTCCTTGCTCTGAGAAGACAGCAAGAAACAAACAGAGCAGGAAGGAAGTCCATTCAGAAGAAACTCTGCACTGCCATGATTTGTTAATCTGGGGCCCTCACATAAGCCTCCTTGGGTACACCTGCGGGTTGCAAGTGACAGTCTGGAAAAAAAAAAAACTACAGAAATATAATGCTAGATTCCTTGGTGCATAAAATTATGGGGAGCCTGCCATATCACTTCCTTTTCCCACAGTTGAGATCCTTCTCAACCTTGATTTGTGCCTATGAGAACCCCCTTGCCCTCTGGCTTTCTGTTGGGTTTAGCCAAAGGAAGACATCAGCGGGAGATCAGAGCAGGGGAGGACAGTGATATCAGGATATTGATTGTCTCTGCTCCCTTCCTCCAGGGTCACTTCATGATGACTGGATCCCTTGGCCAACCAGAAGTCACTGTTACTCTCAAGTCAATGTTCCCTACATGCTCTCTTCCCTGGTCCTGTCTGAAGTATTTTTAGCTCCTCCAGTGCCATAATACTGCAGTATCCCTTGAGGTTCACTAACCGTGCCCAAGCCTTTGTAAATGGTCCTCTTTGTAAATAAACTTTCCTCAAGCCATTCCAATTTAGGCGTGCCAACTATTTCATGTAGGAACCCTGACTGATGAAGGAAAGAACCAGAGGTGGACAGTGGTAGCTGCTGTTCAACTACTCAAGGTAGATAGATGTAAAAGAGGAAAAGATGCCTGTATGTAAACAGTCTGGCTAAGAATGCTAACAACTGCTAGAGAATGCCGAAAAGAAGGGTCCAAGAAACATCCTTGGATAAGTAGAAAGTGAATAGAAGAAGAGAACATGGATAGAAAAATAAGTTCTCAGCCAGGCACGGTGGCTCACACCTGTAATCTCAGCACTTTGGGAGGCCAAGGTGGGTGGATCATTTGAGGTCAGGAGTTCAAGACCAGCCTGGCTAACATGGCGAAACCCCATCTCTACTAAAAATAAAAAAAAAATTAGCCAGGCACGGTGGCGCATGCCTGTAATCCCAGCTACTCAGGAGGCTAAGGCAGGAAAATCACTTGAACCCGGGAGGTGGAGGTTGCAGTGAGCCAAGATCACACCACTGCACTCCAGCCTAGGTGACAGAGCAAGATTCCGTCTCAAAAAAAAAAAAAAAAAAAAAGAAAGAAAGAAAGAAAAAGAAGTTCTCAAAGTTAGCCTGAAATTGTATTGTATTGGCATTCAAAGAAACAGGGACTTGATAGTAAAATTAAAACTGATAATCAGATTCAGAATTTCCTGGCCAAGAGCGTTTACCATGCATGTAAATGGATCTTCAAGAAACCACATACAGCAAAACCCTTTTCAAACACTGTTGTGAGCTATTTGAACAGGCTTCGCATGACTTTATCACCTGGTGTTAGCCACCACTCTCAACATTTTCCACACATTTTACATTTAACACAGTTGGTCCCCAGAACAGCATAGCACACAAGATTCCCTGTATTTTTCTAGGTATTATGCTTCATCTAAACTCAATTGACCACACAAATTCAAGGCCTTCAGAGTTTCCCAAAGCTCTCATGGCTCTGTAAACAGAACCCTGGCAAAAATGCATGTGTCCCTGAGTTTTCAGATGTTTCCTCTTCATCAAGGTGGTCCCTGGTTTTATTTAAAAAAAAGAAGAAAAAGCTATCTTTGATTTCATGCAAAATCAGGAGACTTTTTCACCAAGAGCCCATTAAGTCTAGGTTGTGCCTTTTGTGTGTATGTGTCTATAAACAAAAAACATATAAAGTAATTAACCAAAATCAGAGGTTCCCAGTAAGTCTCAACGCTGCTGTGGAAATACATGTATCCCCAAAGATAAATGTTCAAACATAAGTTTTTATCTATCAGTCTACCTTGTAAATTGGATAGTCAGGACTGATGTAAGATGCAAGGGTCCCTGGGAGTCTTAGCTTTCTTCCAGGCTGTGACAATCAGACTCATACTATCAGGTTTTTTTATTTTATTTATTTATTTTTCTTTTTGGTAGAGATGGTGGGGGGTGGGGGGGAGGGGTTGCACTATTTTGCCCAGGCTGGTCTCCAACTCCTGGCCTCAAGCAGTTCTCCACCATCAGCTTCCCAAAGCACCAGGATTACAGGCATGAGCCACTGCGCCCAGCATCATGTTATCTGTTTAACCTGGCTATAGAATTCCCAGGTACCCTGAGTTAGCCCGAGGGACCTGTGAGGGTAAGGCAAGTCACTGTTTTTATCAAAGTTTTAAAATGGAGCTTTGAAAATAACAATTCGGAAGCAGAAACAAAGCAGATTTCTGCTACAAAGGCACTCTAATCAGTGCACATAAGAGGGTTATTTTTTTCTTTCTAAAACAAATTCGTCAGATAATTTTGAATTCCTCACCTCTTGCTTTTATTCTGTGACCCAGGAAAATATTCTAAATGGATTCCTCCCAACCCCTCAAAAAAAATTCTCAACTGTGCTTTCACTGATAATACAAGGGCTACCCATTTTCAGACAACTAATGATCATCACTTAAGGTCACAAGCAATTCCAGACCAATACAGATAAACTTAGCATGTTTTAGGGGTTACTGAAGCCTCATGAATTAAATCAGACATGAATGCAAGTTACTTGAAGCTTGTTTATTCCTTGAATTCTACTCTTCTGGTGATGTAAATTTATGGGATTAGAGCCAGCAAAATAATACAATTTGCAAGCCTTCTCTGCTACAGCTCTAACATACCCTGCTGGCCTCTCTGTTTCATTTCTATTATTTTAACAAACATACTCAGAGTTCAATTTTAGCTGCAGAATAACCACTGGACCATTTAAGTGATATTTACATGAAACAGCAATACAGGCATCATTTGAAAGGTTAGGACTGGTCTTTCTGTGCAAGAGGTTCTCTTCTTTGCTCAGTTTCCACCTTTTAGAGGGCTTCCCAAACCCCTTGTCCTTCTCCCATTGGGTGCAGCCCACTGCACCAGATGGGATCTTTCTTGGCAGGATTCAGCTCTGTACTCACATCCATTATGGCTCCTTGGATACTAAATTATGATCAACCAATCACATAAATCTCAACTTTGAATGTTTCCTCTGAAACACTTCTAAAAATTTTAAGAAGAATCAGGCAAATTTCTTTTTCTCTCTCATCTAGAAAGGAAAGGATTGGCTTCTCTGTCATTAAAATATCTTTAAAATGATTTCAAAGTTGTTGAAATAGCATCAATCTCAAAACTCATGGGAAGTTCTACATGAAAAACATTTTTAAGGCTTTCCTTTATTTAAAGTGAAGAGCAACAAGAATTTTGGTATCAACATGATTGTGAAAGTTTTCTATTGTATATTTCTAATATCACATTAGAAATATTAGAAATAATATTAGAAATTAGAAATATTAGAAATAGTGAATATTTGTAATATCAGATTTCTGTCACTAGATAAAACTATATTTTAATATAATTCCAATTTTATTGTTGAGTGTTTATACGTACATTTTCATACCAAGAAATGTAAAATGTCAACAGTGATTACCTTTGGTTGATGAAATTACCAGTGATGTTTATTTACTTTTTTATGCTTTTCTCAATTTTCCAAACTTTCTACAAATAGTAGGTTGGACATTCATTTTAAAATCCCCCAAAAAAATACGTTTTAAAAATTTTAATCTGTTTTGCTTTTTAATGTTAAATCAAGCTTAGTTGCAGCAATAAGCAAGCAAACCAACATACCTCTTGATTAAATGGGCTCGGCTATTCACGTAGTTGGAGTCAAAAGAATAGTTTTCAGTCTGCAATGAGAAGAAAAAATTAAAAAGGTTACACAGATGATTCATAAGTAGATTTCGAACTGCCCTACTTAGAAGGAATTTTTCTTCTGGGTCAAGAAGCAGTGAGTGAATTGGAACCCAAGGCCACAGTGCAGCAGCAGCCTCTGCCTCCTTCAGGCCCTAGGGGCTCCGTGGAGGCAGCAGCTCCCCGCTGCAGACCAGGGCGGCCTTGGCACAAACATTCCCTAGAATATGACTGGCTACTGACCATGCAACCACTTACTGAGAAGAGACAACGTGACCTACAATCCTTACAGAAACTAATTACTTCCCATTCCCCAGTGGAGACAATTCTATGGCCCATCAAATTGACTGGAAGTTCAAAGGTATTTTTATTAGTAGTAGATAATTAACATGTTAAAATATTTATTCCAAAGATATGGAAATGCAGGCAAGGTAATACACCACTGTGGATTTAAACTCTGCACTTCCCTTTGTTTCAAGACATTTGCTCAGCACTGGTTATGCAGGAAGGCCTTTGTTTTATCACAGATACAAAAGCAAACAAATACTATGCCTAAAACAGGGTGAAGGGCAGTCCACAGGGGGTGCCAAAGCCTTTCATGTGAAACATGAAGTTTGCAAGCAAACCCCTGTCTCAGCTCCTATCATTAGAGCACCCCTGTTTAATCTGGTTACAGCAGACTGCTGGAGCAATGGCTTTATAAAAGCAAATGCAGAATACCTGCCAGATGAAAGAGATGGAAAAACAGCTAATGATCACCCAGAGGTTGGGAGAACTAGAGGGGAAAAGCCTTAGAAGGGTGAAATCCAGAGAAAAGTCGACACTAAAGTAACTGAATGTCCTAGTAAAGTGGATCTCGCCCCCAGCACTAAAGTACCACTCTTCTTGAACCATTGTATGATCTAGAAACTACCCAAACACATCTCCCCCACCCTCTTGCCATCCCACTAGAAATCTCCACTGTTCCCACCATTCCTTAGGAGCCTTCTGAAATTACTTCAACTGGGAGTGTTTGGAAAAGGAAACACAATTTCTGTCTAGCAAACAAAAGAGCAGATTCCTCTCAGACCTCTACCTGTCAGATACTAACTGTACTAGGCTCCTAGATGCAGCCCTTGCTTCCAAGGAGCTCACAGTTTGATGGAGAAGAAAACAGAACAGGCAATAGCAGATCCAGCTACCACATGGGCACCAAACAGCCAGCAGTCAGAATACAGACCCCAAGTGCCTACAATAGGTAGGAAGGGGGACGGTGAATGTGTGAGAGAGAGGAGGAGACAGTACTTAAAAGGAAACTAAACCCCAACATTGCCCTGCACTTACTCAGGTATGTTCATGTGCCCACCCATGCCCCTCATTTGAAGATGCACTGTGTAATATCTACTCACACTGCTTTTATCTAGAAGTTTATATCTCCTTTTTAATGTAAACTCAAGCAATTTTTAATGCTATTGGAAGCATGGGTTGGGGGATTAAAAATCAAAAGGGTCAGTTCATTTCTGGTTTCTTCATAGAGAGTGAATGCTGAAATTGTCACAAACAGGAATAGGAGGCAAACTTGGAAGCTGTGTTAGGAATACAATCCAAGTATTTGCTGGAAGAAGTTTATCCAACAGTCAGTCAACCAACAAACACTCTTTGAGTTAATTCGTTGTACCAACATAACAGGTAAAAATGATGTTGGTTAAATGTGTTCATCTACGATATTCAGTACAATATATAATTTAACAAGTGGGAAGTTCACTACCCCACAAAAATTATGCTACCCTGTTGATGTGGTTTGGACCTGTGTCCCCACCCAAATCTCATGTTGAATTATAATCCCCAATGTTGGAGGTAGGGCTTGGTGGGAAGTGATTTGATCATGGTGGCGGTTTCTCATGAATGGTTTAGCACCATCCCTCTTGGTACTGTTCTCTCGATAGTGAATGAGTTCTTATCACATCTGGTTATTTAAAAGTGTGTAGTCCTTCCTCCCCATCTCTCTCTCTCTTGCTGCTCCGGCCATGTGATGTGCCTACTCCCCCTTAACCTTCCACCATGATTGTAAGTTTCCTTAGGCCTCCCCAGAAGCTAAGCAGATGTCAGCATCATGCCTCCTGTGCAGTCTGCAGGACCACGGGCCAATTAAACCACTTTTCTTTATGAAATTACCCAGTCTTAGGTATTTCTTTAGGGCAATGTAAGAATGGACTAATACATCTGTTAAAACCCGGAATTGATTAAGCACTCAGCAGTTCAAATATTCATTTCACTCTGCGATCTTGGGCAAATTACTTAATCCTTGCATGCCTCAGTTTCCCTCTCTGTAAAATAGGGATAATAGAACATGAATCCAAAGGAGAATTTCAGCTGCATTTATCAGACCCATGACAGGAATGGTGGGAATCCTGATCCCCTGCTTTATACAGAACCTGCAACTAACTCCAAGTAGGATCAGGAATTTGACCTCATTCAGGCAATAAAATAGTGGCACATGCATGTTCCATCTCATCTTTCAAACTAAATCATTTTTTCAAGAAGATTGGTAAAGAGACAAAAATACAAAAAGGAAATCTAGAGGATACTGGCTTTGCAGGAAAAGGATAAGCAGCAACCCAAGCTACTGTATTTAAAGAATCTGTCTTTACTGCCTTTAAAGAAGACAGTTCTCAAGTAGAAAATTTTCCATATCTTTGCAAATGAAGGCATGGAACCTGTGTGCACTCTGCATCAAATATGAAGCTCCGCGGAGACCTGACCTCCAGGCATGGTGCCAGAGCCACGTGTTCAGGCAAAGAAGCAATACCATGCACATTGTATCACTAATGAAAATACTACTTCTTGGTCCTAAGCCATAATATATCTCATCATGAGGATTCCCACTCCCAGGCACTGAGTTGAGAAGAGACAAGTCTCGAGGGCTTGTTAGTAATTACCTTAACAATTCTTCCCCCAAATACAGGTCAGTTAACCCCAGGCAGATGTGCCAGGCATGATCTGCTACTGTAAAGAGAAGAATATCATAGAAGCTTGTAACCTTCCTATCTTTTATCCTCCTTTTTTAACTCCAAAAGGAATAAACCACCCATTCTTGTGGGTCCTGACCTTCAAATGAAAATATATCATTCCCCCAAATCAGCACAAACCATCATGGGCAGATGTCTCATGCTGCATCCTAATGCAATTAGTAGCGCTAGTCAATGTGGCAGGTTCCTAGAACCGATTTTCCCAGAATGGATGGGGCTATGCTGATTCACCCATTGTCCTGTGCCTTTGTAATCCGTCTCAGGTCTCTTTGTGAGGCAGTTGGGTTACAGTTATGGGAAAAATCTATGCAGCAGAATTATTCTAATTGGATAGAATACACTATTCTGGCCTCATTAGTACTACATTCCAAACAACTGAGTTAACTGGCCATAGATGGGCTATTATATTATGGGTCTATGTATACTGACATCAAGTGTTCTAGCTCATACTGGTTCAAGGTGTATGCCCAAACCCAACTCCTGTGCACTGAGAGAGTATATTTTTTCACACTTCTGGTGGAGCAAAGGATGAGACTCAGATCATCAGATCATCCTGAAGAAGGAAATATTTTCTTAATGAATAGTTTGTATGTCTTAAGCCAGTGGTTCTCAGCCCTAACTACACATGAGAATCATCTCAGAATCTTCTTCTTGTAAAACATAAAAATAAAAATACTGTCACCAAGGACCCACTCCAAGAGATTCTGAGGTAATTAGCCTGGAATTGGACCCAGGCACTGGGTGATTTTTTTAAAAAGCTTTCCAGGAAATTTTAGTGTACCTCCGGGGTGGCAAGTAACTGTCTTGAGCAAAGGACTGGCCACAGGCTCTGACCTAATGTGCTGCATTTTCTAAAGCAAGCCCAGCTGTTTAGAAGATGTCATTTCTTTTGTCAGATTACCTGCCAAGGTCATCTCAATATGGGATAAAGAACCACAGAAGAAATACATTCTTTAAAATAATACAAGAGCTTTTTTTTTTGCATGAATGTATTGGCTCCTAGTTAGCCTTATTTAATCAAAATTTGCTTGACATTATTCCAATACCTTCTCTAAGTATGCTAAATGGCAAACAACATGAAACATTTGAGAGAGGAAATTTTCTCTAAATGTCACATTAATTTCACTAGGAAATGTCCCCATTTCTAATCAGACAGCCAGGTTAACACAAGAACACAGCAAAGAGATAAGAACAACATTTGCTTTGGAAAAACCTAATTGTCACATTAAAAAAAAATGGGTCTAGAGCAAACTTTTTTATTTCATCTCAGTGGTAAATAAGAGTCACTTTCTTATTATTTAGTATATTTATCACAAATTCTTTTTCTAATTCGAATTCTTTATCCTTGGGTATAACACTGAAAGCAGGTGTCTCACATGACCTAGGTTTAATAAAATGTTGATTTTTAAAAATTCTCAAACAATAAATAATTCTAGACAGCTCAGTTTTCCAGATAGCTTAGGGTGTTATCCTTTAAGAACCAAAACTTTGATTTAAAATCCTAACCATCTGCCTTGTTTCTGAAACATATCACAAAGTTGCCCTCCTTAAAATAGGGTATAAAAAACATAATTTAACCACTTATTGGTTACTTAGGAGCATCTTTATAAATGTAAATTATTACCCCATGCAGATTTTGCCTGTATACTCAAGGACCCCAAACTGCTGTGGTTTTTTTCTTGTCTTTAATTTTTAACATAGGATCGTCACCAACCTTCTATCAAACACAGCGTTTTTAACTTTTCAGTGCTGTTGGTATATCAAAAGTAGCTTTTCTTCCATTTCAAGTTTGATGCTTTTACTCTACTGTGTTCTTGGAAACTATACAATTATATTTGTGTCTAGAAAAAAAAGAGTTGTAACGTTCTGCATAGACAGCTGAGATGTTGCGCTCCTAAGGGGGAAATCACATGATCTTTAATATAGGGACCTTTGTGCAATGTTTTGATTTTCGTTGTTTGTTTCTGTGTTTGTTTGTTAGCTGCTTGGGAGCTTTCTTTGCTTACTACTTGCTGTTCTCAGGTCCCTTCTGGATATAGGAGGATTCTAGTAAGACGTTTGGGTGGGGGATATGTTATTACATTTCTACGTTAGTAAGTCTGGCATATCAGAAGTCAAATACTTCCACTTTGTCAGGCCCCCAAGGTACCAGAGAATGCCCTACTTTAATTGTCATTTTGCATTACTTTTACAGTTCACTGAATCGTGCCCTAGTCTCTAGAAGAGTGACTGCAGCTCTCTCAGCACCACATTTATCAGCAGAGAGACTTCAAACCTAAGGAGAAGGAAGCCCAATAAATGCAGATATCCAGGACTAGACTCTTTGTCCAGTGGCACAAATCCCAGGTCACTATACCAAGCAAAAAAAAAAAAGGTTGCAGACATTGGGATTAAAACTGAGGTTACTCAAATCTTTAGATTTTCATTTGAAAATGAACGAACTTTTAAGTTACACTTTTAAAGTCCCATCGAGCTGAAAAGCATTATAACTATAATTTGCTACCTAATTTTTTAAAGTTTTTAACTCTTAAGTCATTTTAGCAATCAAAACAGGAAAACTGGAATCCCGTATCAGATACACAACAAAGTGATTATAAAACGCTGCTTCTTTTTTTAACTGCTGACTTCCAATAATGATAATTGTGCCTATTGATCCATAATGAAAAGACACATAACCTTTCCTAAAGCTGGTTGCTGTTTTAGATGTTCAAATGGTCATCTCCTCACAAAGATGGCTTTTGGAAATGAGATAATAAATAGTTTTTGCCTACTTCCTACCCCCAACACATAAAAATGAATATGCAAATTCTGTATAAAAATAAAGCTGACGTGCCTCCAGCTAGAATGTATATTCAAAGACTCATCCATCCAGACAGCAGCAACTGAAGCAGGAATTAGTGAAGGTGGAATAAAAGGCACCATCCCCAGCTGCCAACATTACAAAGTTCATATTTGCCCTGAACTAGAAAACGTGCTAGGTAAACTCCTACTAACCACTTATTGTCAGTTGTATGCTCCCCACACACCCCAGCCCTAATTCATTCTCTCTCTCTCTCTCACACACACACACTCACACGCACACACACAAACACACACAGTTTGACTACAGAAAGCAATGTGGTATAGTGGGGACAGCTGGATTCTCTCCCTAGGATTGTCATTAACTTACAGATGACCTTGGATGAATCACATTAACCCTCTTGAGGCCTTAATTTATCTTTCTTTAAAATGAGGAGAATAACCAAAAGGACTCCATGTTGCCTTCAAGCTCCACAATTCTAGGCTTCTAAAACAAAGTGATTCTTAATTTATTCATTTATCTATCCAGTAAGCATGAACCAAACCCTGGGAATTAAAAAAAAATAGCCTGCACCTTCAAGGAGCTCACAAACTAATGGATCTTTTACCAGAGATGATCAAAATGTCAGACATTCAGGTAAATACACATACACAGACTGGCACCTATGTACCTGCAGATACAGGCATATACTTGTACGCAGGCTACTGGACTGCAACTTGGAGAATTACACTGCTACTTTGTAGAACTAAATAACACCCTAATGGCTCAATGGCTGTAGGTGACTCACATGGGAGAATTTGGCCCTCATATGTGTCATATGTACATAACCCCCATCATAAAAGGCAAGAAATCTCCCTATCCTATCAAATAGGTTATACAATTCATAACGTTCTTAGAAATAGCCCATATTATCTGTCCTTTTGGCTCCATTTCCACAGCCTTCATCACCTTGTGTCATTTTTTTCTCACCTGCATTTGTTCTACCTCATTCTGCAAAATGCTGTTTGGAAAATCTTCCTCACCCACTATTTTCATCACATCACTTCTCTTTTCAAGACCTTACAGTAGCTCCTTGTTGCAATTAACATTAAATCTACATGAAGTCCTTAGCTAAGCAGTCATCCAACACAAGCCATCTAATTTCCCTCATTTCTAATATATCTCCATCACTGATCATCCCACGTTCCTTAGCATTTTCTCAGCACTTTGTATACAGACTGTACAATGTAATTATGCATTTCCTCAGGTTCTATGATTATTTCATGTGTAGTGTGTCAGTTCATCCCTCAACGGGACTGGAAGCTCTCTTTTGAGGTCCCTGTGCCATCTGCCACAACGCTAAACATTTAGCATGCGTTCATATAATGCATCAATGAATGATCAGAGAAGAGATGGAAGGGATTAAGAATGAGGCTACTTATCACAATTAAGGCAGGTGACGAAGTTTATTAGGCCAAGGTGGTTCTACTTCTTCAGAAAGCATCCACTCTGCACACTGCCTTCTGTAGTTACAATTTGTTCACTGTTATCACTCCCAACTACTACCTTATAAATACACAATAGCCTATATATAACTGAAAGGGATAAGATGACACAGTTAGGTGCCTTCTGCCCATCTAACTCCATCAGTCCTGCCACATCTCTGGGAATGGTGGTGACAACATATGATAGTGTTCCTGAACCCAATTTGATAGCGTTTCTGTGAGAAGACGAGGGTTCACCAGAATGTAGACCTCTGAGTCACAGACGGACAGTGTGGCAGCTACTTTTCTACAGGTGGTAAACAACTCTAGCATCCCAGTGACTGTCAGGACAGGACTATCAATGAGAAACACAGGCCATGTGGTTAACATTCAACAAATTAAATTGAAAGAATTCCCCTCCTAGCAGCCTCTCATCGTCATTCCTATTGTTTCACTGGCACCATTGATGTGGTCACCCTACCTAGAGGTGGCAAAGATGGCTTAGGGAAAGCACTTTTCTTTGCTCTCATCTTTGGGTCAAAGTTATGCCTTTAGAAGAGCAACCCAGTTGTGAATTTCACTACAGAGGCCTCCTTGAGAAACCTAGCAGCTGTCTGCAGTAAACCATACAATTCAAAGCCTGCTGAAAGACGAGCTTAAACACCATGCCATAAAACAAATACAGGCTTCTGAATAAGGCCCTCGACCCTTTTCTAAGTCCTTTGTGGGGCATAGTGCACTCTGAAATAGTATCTGCTTATAGAAAGCTCTCTGGAACCAGTTAATGCCTATTATATGTACAAATGCAGAATCAACAATATCTCAGTATGAGTAAGAGTACCTCAAGAGCAAATAAAATGAAAAATTCAGTCATGTAAGTCAAACTATTTAATCCCATGTAAACAGAACTTAATGGAGAACCAAATAGCTCTCAACCACATTTGCCAGTGGAACAAATTCTGGAGTCCAATCGCCCTACCAAACATGTAACTACAACACATTAAAGCTATTTTGCAGGCACAGAGTGCCTTTCATCCCCAAATATCAAAGCACTTTACAAGCAAGTGCCAACTGTTATTTCCCCTTTAAAGAGCCATGAAAACAAACACACACGTTAAGTGCTACAGCCACATTAAGTACTAACTCAGCTAGAGCATGCCGCAACAAGGACAATAAGAGAAACCCCAGGAGCACCGTTTTTGGCATTTTCTGCTACTGGGATAGGAAGCAATCAGAAAACAGTAACATCAGGGAAGTGATTAGCCTGCTTCCTACCTATGTTTCTCTGAGTGATTTCCTTGGCTAATTCCAATGAAAGAGTCAGGGGACTATAGTCCAGCAGTTAGACAAAGGAAAAACTTGGCACACACTAACTGGAAATCATTCTCCAGACCTAGCTGGAGGGCCTACTCACAGAGCCCAAGGGATCCAGAAATGAGCCACTTTGTTCCCTGAAACCTTGGTGACCATTTTGGTTGCCCTTTAGAGGCAATGGCAACCATTGTTAGAAGGTGACCTAAGATGTAAGATTAATAGTCATGATGGTGGTTTCAATTTTAGAAGCTATGATTTGGTAAAGCTGGTCAAACTGACAATAAGAAACCCATATAAGATCTCCCACAAGAGGGTTGGGCATTGTGGCTCATGCCTGTAACCCCAATGACTTGGAAGACTGAGGTGGGAGGATCGCTTAAGGCCAGGAGTTCAAGACCAGCCTGGGCAACATAGCGAGAGCCCATCTCTAATAAAGAAATAAATATACACATATATACATATACATAATATATATACATATATGTACACACATATAAGAGTGTGTGTGTGTGTGTGTATGTGTGTGTGTGTGTGTCTGTGTAATCTCCCACAAGCAATGGGATCCAGAAACCCACAGTATGAGCTCTCCTGGATCCAGCCTACCTTTGAGCCCTTCTGGCTCACAGAAGGACTAGCACCCTCAGAACCTGAGCTGGTCCATTCCTTTCTGCTAAATTCTATTATATCAGTGCCTCAGTTCTCTGCCACTTACCAGCTACAGAGCCCTGACTGCCTGCGGAGTGTGCAGAGTACAATTTCTATTGAGTAAGCTTTGTCAGCTGAAAAGACTTTCAAAATATTTAGAGAGAAAGCGGTGGGTGGCCTTGTGCCTTTGGGCCAAAACAACACCCCCAAATTCTGTTCCAACCCCAATCCCATTATTTATATTATGTGCCACTAAAAACCCAGTTGCCTCTACAAGCTTATTTAAGACTGAAGGAGCAACAGCCTTTGGCATATCATTCTAAATTCATTTCCCTTGTACCAGCTTGTTGCTCAAGCCCGTAAAATGTGATCATGCTGACAAAAAACAATCAAGTGATAGACCATCTTGGAAACAGTGAATGCATTAGCTTCTAATATTGATGTTTTCTAATTAGATACAATACAATAGATCATTTTCTTGTTTGTGATCAATGAAACCTGCCATAGTTCTCTTTTGTCGCAGATATTGTGATTACTGCCTTGGCAAACAGAGGGGTGTCTCAGTACACTGAAATGAGTAGAGTCAAGGATATGTACACACAGCATTCACTTATATTTACTGTCACAAAAAATATAAACAGATTATTTATTTCTGACCTTTAAGTACTCATTTCAGATTTAATGAGGCACAATAAACATTTCTCAAACTCAGATTCCATGGTTGCTTAACACTGGCAGCCCTCTAATTATGACTGTAGTAAATAAAGGGCATTTGGCTCTGTTGAAATTATTAGGCACAGAAGGAAACCCACAGGAGCCTCCAGTTTCTAGCAACTTAAACAAGCATTGCAGCAAATCAGCGTTGGAGGCAAGATAGACCTTATACTTTGGCATCACTTCATAAACCATAACTGACAAGCAATAAGAAGATGACTCAAAAAATAATAATAGAAATGTTTTCTCATTCTCTAAAATACCCCACCTGTCCTTCTCCCAAATCCTCACAGTGCTTCTCATTTTATTTGGGAAGGGGGATGAGGAGGGATGAGGGTGGGTTAGAATTTGATCTGATTTAAAATAGAGATTAACCAAAAGGCTACTATAATCTGACATGAGAGTGCTGGCAACCATGCATAGAAAGCCATAATTACCCTTCACAAAGTGGCTAATATCATCAGCATCTTGAAACTGCCAGAGTATTAGAAATCTGTAATGCAGTTATGCAAGGCACCAACAGAACAATTACTGAAGCACCTTGTATTTCTATGAAATCTTTTATCACAAAGACTTCCAGAATGTCTAACTGCCTATTATAAAAAGGGTTCATTCCCCCCACAGCTGAAACACAATAGTCATTTTGCACCAGTAATGGTAAGCATAAAAGATTGCAAAAGAGAGAAAAACTACTAAACCTTAGAAAAACCACATAAAGAAGAAGAATGTTTTTAGATAGGGAGAAAACAGACATCCAAGTTCATAACTGGGGCTGAAGGTAGCTACATTTTCTCAGATCTCATGGCACAAAATTGAAGAATTTTCCTTCCCATCCAGCCAGCAAGACTTTCATGAGGTGCTGAATGACCGTAATGGAGCAGATGCTTCCTGTTAATAAGAATTAGCATTTGAAAATGCACACAATACAAAAAAACTTGCCTTTTCTTTTTCTCAAAGCCTTTTAAACAACATTAACTATTTAATCCCCCTGCTGCCTTTATGAGCTAAATAAATATTATTAACCCTGTTAACGGCATTACAGAAGAGGTCAAGAGACTTGCCCTCTACTACATAGAAGCATCTAGCATCTGCAACTAGAATTTGAGAGTCTTCCTGCCAGGTCCTGCGCTCACACCACTAGGCCACACCTCATTAGGATTCTGGAAAATGCAGTGAAATCAAAGTAAATAGGACTGGCTGACGAGGTATACTATTTGGGAGAAAAAAAATACACTAGCCTGCTTAAACACGACAGGTTCAAAGGCAGTGAACACAACCAGAGCAATTTCCTCCTGCAGGAAGATTAAGAAATGAAATAATGAGGGGAACACCTCACTCTACCTCTACCATCAGACTCCCAGCAGCAAAAATCAGGACCAATTTTAAACTTAACTTTCAAAAAACAAAAGTTAACACTGTCAGAAACATAACGCTGTACTGTGTCAGACAGCATACTCCTCAACCAGTGTGGTTGATGTGTCCTTTCCTTTCCCCACATTGTTCTCAGCTTCCTCCCTCCACAGCTCTCTCTTGGTCAATTTTTCAAATATGTTTAGAGACCCCTTTCTTCTTTCACTCTTATGTACACACCTTTCTCTCGAAGGAAGCTGGTACACCCTTTCCTCATCCTGGTCGGCTCAATACCTGTGTCTATTTGATAGCAAAGAAACACTTTTATCGGGGCTAAACCAGTAGAAACAGGTGTGGGCAGTCATTTCTTAACTGTGTGTGTGTGTCTATATATACGTATATTATATATAATTTTTGTGAAGGAAACAATGATGTACCTTTGTGTATAGGTATTTTTAAATGTTGGTTCCTGGTAGACCCAGCTTCATTTAGGGTCAAAAGTTACTCTGGGCCCGGTGCAGTGGCTCACGCCTGTAATCCCAGCACTTTGGGAGGCCGAGGTGAGCAGATCACAAGGTCAGCTGATTGAGACCATCCTGGCTAATACGGTGAAACCCCGTCTCTACTAAAAATACAAAAAAAAAAATTAGCCGGGCGTGGTGGTGGGTGCTGTGGTCCCAGCTACTCGGGAGGCTGAGGCAGGAGAATGGCGTGAACCCAGGAGGCAGGGCTTGCAGTGAGCCAAGATCGCGCCACTGCACTCCAGCCTGGGAGACAGAGCGAGACTCCGATTCAAAAAAAAAAAAAAAGTTACTCTGGTGATTGTTTCTTGCAGATGGTTATAAGCTTCAAAAAAAAAAGCACATAAGAAAAAAATGTAAAAGAAAAATCCTACAAAGCCTCCAATCACAGAGCCTTCAAGATGAAAATAGAAAAAGTTCTTACTAGCTGTGTGCCCTTGCAGACATCATGGAGCCTCTCTGACTCTTGATTTCCTAATCTATAAAATGGAAATAATATCAGCCGAGTGCGGTGGCTCACGCCTGTAATCCTAGCACTTTGGGAGGCCAAGGTGGACGGATCACCTGACGTCAGGAGTTTGAGACCAGCCTGCCCAACATAAAACCCTGTCTCTACTAAAAATACAAAAAATTAGCCAGGCGTAGTGGCGCATGCCTGTAATCCCAGCTACGCGGGAGGCTGAGGCAGGAGAATCGCTTGAACCCGGGAGGCAGAGGTTGCAGTAAGCCAAGATCACGCCACTGCACTCCAGCCTGGACAACAAGAGCGAAACTCCATCTCAAAAAAAAAAAAAAAATGGAAATAATATCTGTCCCAAATACCTTCTAGGGGATTTTTTTTTTTAGGACCAAATGTGCAAGCACTTTCCAAAACTGTGAATCACCAGACAAATGGCAAGTCTTCTTACCAGGTCGTAAACTTGATTTCTTCTGAATATTTATTTCTATGTCCAACTAAACTCCCATTGAATATTGTGAATAGTTTTCTTTCTGAGGTTTCCTACTAGGATATTTTATCTCAGTCTCCCTTTATCTACGCTATCAGAAAAAGAATAATGTGATGAAGAGTTGTGTTTTTGGCATGGGAAGTTTTATATATATATATATATATATATATGGGCATATAATATATATTCTGTACATGATAAATATATATAAAACATATTTTATATATAATATATTTATTTTATATATAATATATTTATTTTATATATATAAATAATATATATATAAAATAAATATATTATATACCCAACTTCTCTAATTGCTGATTCAATAGGAATACAAGGAGCCCCATCTACCACAGCAGACACTTTAGGTAGAATGTGCGTGCGTGTGTGTGTGTGTGTGTGTGTGTGTGTGTGAGAGAGAGGGAGAGGGAGAGAGAAAGAGAGCTAAAACTCAGCTTAAAGAGAGTTGAAATTACCTCACACCATCTGAAATTATGTGAAAAGCAAGATTTCAGACATTTTAAAAGCTTTTATAAACTAGTTTTCTTCGACCCATTTTCTTCCTTCATCATGATTGAACTGTCACAGAGTACCCTTTCTTTACGGCAGGGTTGGGGGAGGGGAGTGAGGGAACCTCATGCCATGGTTGAGTAACACACATTAGCATGCATAATTCAGAGTTGTCGGCTGGAAAGGAGCCATTCAAGGGCTAGTGCAGTATTTGGATAGGAAAACAGGGTTAAAGGACAGGGGCAAATTGACCAGAGCTTTCTATGATCCAACTCAGGACCTCCTTGGAGCCTGACTGTGGGCTCACACTACCATTCCTCAGGGGGGTGCTGTCCAATAGCATAGACATTAGCCACATGTAGCTAGTTAAATTTAAATTCACAAAATTTAAATTAAATTAAAATTTTAGTTTTTCAATCATAGTAGCCACATTCCAAGTGCTCAGTAACCACATGTGGCTACCATGTCCTGGACAGAGCAGACATAGAACATTTCCATCATCACAGAAAGTTCTACTGGACAGCAGTACCTTAGAGAGAAACCGGAGGCTTGTCACCCAGGATTCGCCGGTTCTGAAATGTTACCTAAGGAAATATAAGGAATATACTTACCTCTATCACATCACCTAACACATTGTGTTGCTTAGTTATATCTCACCCCCACTAGGTTGGAGAACTCCTTAAGGGCAAGAACCACACCTTTAGTATTGGTATCTTCAGTGCCTGTCACTGTCCCTGGCACTGGCTAAATGCTCACCCACTGTTGGTTAACTGATTAACAGCTGATAGGAACCTCTCACCTGTCTCTTTCATAGATTGAATCAGAAATGCAAAGTTTGCAAAGCTCTTTTAAGAAAGGCTGATGTGCTTCCTAGACTTGTATTTCTTTCAACATTTCCCAAGAACTTAGTAGAAAAAACTGGCTTTAAGTCAAAACCAAACTAATGTTGTTTCCCCATCCCTCTATTCCCATTCCATTGAAATGCCAATGTGTAATATACATAATATTGAACATGATATAATCCACACCTTCAAAGACAATGTTTCACAATCTAGCACAATGAGAAACACCTGTAGAACTGTGTATCTCAATGTCCCAATTTTAAAAATTATTTTCTCAAATAACACCTTGCATTAATATAGCAATTGTTTTTTTTTACAAAGCCTTGACCTATGCTCCCTTCTAATAACCACAACAGTCTGCAGATGTATATAGGCAAAATACTCCTTTCCCCTTTTAACAGATGGAAAAACTGAGGCCCAAAAGTTTCTGAATCCATGATCATAGCCAATTACTGGCAGAGTCAGAGCAAGAACCTAAGACTCCTTCTTTCCAAACCAGGGGACCTTCCACCCAGTCTAAATTTATAAACAGTAGAAAATGGAAGCCCAATTGGCTCACTTACTGTTTCTGCTTTCAATCTATAGTCCCTTTTGAGATCTATCCTTCATAAATTAAAAAATATATATTTTTATGCAATATTAATTATTTCTTCAGGCCATGGTAGAGCCTACAGTAGCTTTATTGCCAAATGTAGTCATTTGCAAAGGTTCTCGAAATCATTACTGCAACCTGACAATGCTATGCTGTCCACTGAAAGCTTTGAAAAACTGAAAAATTCCCCTTTGGGCTCATGAACAATCACAGAATATATACTCGTAAAGCATTAAAATTCAATATGACCTTAGAGTTCATCTAATCTATTATCTCTCTTGCACACGCGCACACACAAACGTGTGCGTGCACACACACAATATTTTGAAGATAAGGAAATGGGCCCAGAGAAACTTACAACCACCCCCAAAGCAACGCAGCTGGTTATTGGAAACTCAGGCATGGATTCAGAACTGAGCTCTTCTGACATTCTCTCTACTTGCCCAGCTCCTTCTTGTTAGTTCTCTTAAGAAATCCTGGAAGAATAAAACCTAATACTCAAAGTCTTGTCAACTAAATTTCTCATGGGAGGAAAAAAGTGAAAATTAGTGTAAATTATGTTTGTAGATCACTTCTTCTCAATACCCTATCATTAAGAAAAGTAATTGTTCCTAGGGATACTGTAGAAAGAGGATGTATGATCCACCCAAGGAAATAGACTGCCTTTAGCTGAGTGATCCAGAGAATATTGAATGATAAAGCTCTGTGAAATACGGCCTCATTCTAGCAAACAACTTGCTTTGTTGCCACTTAAATTGCTCATTTATAATTGCTAGAGATAAACTGCAATCAAAATACAGTATCTTCTATTAGTTTTGCCCACTGGGGATTGTTTGATCGTAGTGAAATTATCTAAAAGGTAAATTTTCTCATTTTTACTGCCTCAGTGGAAAGAAACTCTCTGGCATTAGACCACCAAGGGGAGCTGGAATGATGACAAGTATTGCTCCCTGGTGAAGGGAGCATTTTTCCTCTCTAAATAGTACTGAGCAACTAACTATAACCTTCTGCCTTTGCAACTAACACCTAAGTAGAAAAGGGAAAATCTGTTCTGCTCACTTCCTAAAAGCATCCATCTCAGGCTTACTTGCTTTCCCGTGTTGGAGTCATACCTTTGCAGTTCAGATTTCAGTAATTCATATTTGGTGAGCATTCGGATAGAGCTAGGCTGCTGTTTCTATTTTTATAAAGGTTTGCTGGGCAAATTGTGGTATAAACAAGGTTACAAGGAAAATGTTTAAACTAACAAGAATAAATTGTTTTTAGGCACTTTAGAAGCAATTTACAAACAATAAGTATGTTAATTGCACATCATTCTTATTTATTCATTAAAACAAGTCCAAGGACTTCTACTTGGCAAAACTTCCTGGCACAGACTTTATTAGTCTACTTCTTCTCATTCTATGAACTTGAAAGTAATAAAATTGCATTTCTTTTCTACCAGTAATTCTGACTGCCCTACCACCAAATAAGTCTCAATCAGACTTGACTATGCCATATAAAGCATGAGTAAAATGAAAAGCCATCAGCCCCGGATCAAAAGACAAAAAAGTCACTGAAGATCCTGCACTGTTTAAGACTTCTGTTTGCACAAGGTGCAGGCAACCAGTAATGAAAAGGGATAGATGGAATCGATGAGAAGGGTAGAAGAAAAAGGCAAAAACAGATCATTCAGAGGCTTCCCCACAATTGAAAAGATTTGCCTCATGCTCCCTAGCTGTCCTCGACTGACTGTTGCAGAACAAATGACAGCTTGTACAGCTCAGGGCTGAAATAATTTAATTCAATTCAACAAATACTGTTAAGACTATGTGTCAGGCCCCATGGGAGACGCTAGGGATCTGGAGATTAACCCGATTCCACTCCTGCCCTCAAGGAGTTCACATTTCTAGTGCTGGGGACAGTTAAATGGAGAGACAATTATAATGCAGGGTTGTAAGTGCTACCATAGTGGTATCTCAGTCTATTTGTGCTACTATAACAAAATACCTGAGACTAGGAAATTTATAAAGAAAGGAAATTTATTTATCACAGTTCTGGAGGCTGGGAAGTCCCAGATCAAGGTATCAATAGATTTGGTGTCTGATGAGAGCTGCTCTCTGCTTCCAAGATGTTACCTTGTTGCTGTATCTTTCTCTGGACGGGAGGAACACTGTGTCCTCACAAGACAGAAGATGGAAGGACAAAAAGGTGCTGGTTGGTTCCCTGGAGCCATTTTGCAGGGCCAATAATCCCATTCATAAGGGTGGAACCCTCATGACTTAATCACCTCTTAAAGGCTCCACCTTTTAATACTATCACATTGGGTCTTAGGTCCCCAACATATAAATTTGTGGGGAACACCAACATTTAGGCCATAGCAAGTGGTATATACAGTGTGCCATGGGAGCACGGAGGAGAGAGCAACAGAGAAGAAAGCCTCCATGGGTAACACATGCCATCAGAAGTGCCCTCAGACTATATGATCTAAGGGGGATAGACCTAGGGAAAATATTTGGTTTGGGGGAAGAGTTTGCTTCTCTCTAGCTGTGATTTTGGATTTTGCAAGTTACATATAAATGTCAGGGGAGAGAGAAAGACAGAACGTAAGCCATGCTTAATAAAATCAAGCAACTTCTCTACAGCCACAAATCCAGCTGGATTTGGGTTGGCTCTTCCGTAAAGTTTGGAAGATGAGTTACATTCTGTACAAGTGCTAGAAAAATCAATATCCGAAGGGGTAGCTAATTAAACCACAGAGACTTATTTTTTGAGCCAGTAAAGGTTTTCTCCAGTGGTCAGATGTTCATGAATTTCAAATTCTTTTTGCAGACTTTGCATAAAGATGAGTCCTGAGACAAGTCAACCCTAGCTTGGATAGCCTCTGAAAACTGGCTCTACTCCCCTTGTCAAGGATAGGAAAGGCAGACTGAGCTCTTTCCTGCAGCAGCCTGTAGGTGGAGACCTTCACCTTCCTGAGCAGGTCAGTCCCACTCTCTGTCAGCCCTATGAATAGAGAATACACCATAAAACTTCCACACTTGGTGGGGAGCAGAGAGAGCTTTCCTTTCACCATTTATGGACTTTAAGGATGTGGATTTTATGCTTGTTTTCTTCCTCTCCTGATTGCTTGACACTGTGCCTTTTCTCCAAAAGAAGCTGAAAAGTTACTGGGTCACCTTTCTCCCTTCCAGGAGCTGCTGGACCCTGAGTCCCTTCCTGTCTCTCACCAACTAACTGTGTGCCATCCCTAGAGGCCTGACCCCATTCAGTGCCCAAAAGAGGAAGAAGGTCACAAGAAGAAACGAGAAATCTTGGGTCGCTCAGAAACACTGTCTCTACTCTGAGAACGATGTTTCTGTGTCTTCTCTTCCTGGATAAGAGGGCCTGAAGGACTCTAAGGCCAGAGTCTTTCTGTCCACCACAGGCCTTAAGCCAACAATGTACACATTGTGTTGCTGTGCAAACAGGGATTACTTTTATCTCTTCCCCCCAAAGTTTCCTCTGCTGTGCTTTGGAAAAGTAAATCAATAAGGCATGAGAAGATAGAGAATTAATAAATAAAGGTATGAATGACCTCTCCCTAGGTGATCTAAAAAGAATAAGGTGGTCAACCATATTATAAAATTTGCCTTTTGAAATTTTATTTTCAGAAGTTAATATTTCTTCTGTCATTTGGGCATATTATTATTACTATTATTATTACTACTACAAATGCCTTTTGGAAAAAAGCCTGTAGCACCAGTAAATTTAAAAATTTCCCACTATGTGTTCATCTTCTCAATATTCCTAAGAGGAAATCAAGCCACATCCAAGGTTTTTCCAAGATATTAACTCCTTCCTAACCCCACTAAAGCATACCACTACAAAGCTGCTAAGGGTCTCAAGAAGATGGAAGACAGCATAACAGCCATCAGTCCATCTTTTCTAGGAACCCCACCTCTGTCAGTGGTGAGCATCTGTTTTTTAATGATTAGAAGATTAAATACAGAGCACTCTACAAAGGGAAGGGAAATCTCCATGATCACCCAAGGGTCAGTCTTTGGCCTTATACCTAAGAACGAATTGCCCTTGCTGAGTATGTGAAAGCTGTTGTGCTGGTCAGTTAGCTGGTCCTAGACTCAAATACTATAAATATTTGTACTCAACGTAACTAATTAACAAGCCAAACACTAAGAAGAATGTGTCATGCTTTTGTGAAAGTTTAGTTTTAGTCTCTTCATTTCAACACATTTGCCTACTGCAGATCAATGTTAAGGTTGGCTTCATACAACTTTTTGCCTCTCTCATAATTAAGCAGTATGAACATTGTTCCACAAGTGATGTGGTCTCCAGGCCGTTTATCAGTCTCTTAACCTCCCTTGAAGCTCATTCTAGTGTGTCAGTGTTTCACATAAAATAAGGCATCCAGAATCAGACATCATTATCCAGATGTAGTCTTAACAGCAAAGAATTCAGAGGGACTAATACCTCTTATAATCAGAAAACTATACCTCCTTAATGAGGCCTAAGATTACATTTGTTTTAGCGGTTCATTTAACTTCAACGTGATTCCCTCATAACATATCTACCCTTCCCAAACACTCCTTCCATTTCGGCATCACCAGCTCCACTCTGGATTGGTGCTGGGTTGGAACTTCCAAAACGACCACCAGATAGGCAAGCAGAGCCACTGAAGGAAAAGAGGACCAAAAGGAAAAGTAACAGTCATCCCAAACAAAAGAAATTCTACTGGAAAAGAAAGGGAACAGAGCAGTTAACAGTGTTACCAATGCACACAGATGTAGAGGGAAATTTGGGGACTACCAGATCTCGTGGTAGGGAAAAGAATATCACAGCTGTGCCTACTGCATTCTTCATTTGTAAACAACTAATTACTTCTGCTCACAAAAGTAACACCACATCATACATAAAGGCAGAAATCAGCACAAATAACCAAACTGTTGTCTACTTGAAGAATAAACTGAAAGGAAAAAAGAGTTCTCTAAAACTGTATTCTAAAGCTGTCTATTTAGCCTTTATTGAAAGTCAGACTCTCCTAGACGTATTTTTCCCTGACCTAATCTTTTGTTCTTCTATGCCCCTCCCCTGCTAACCTCTCTGCACGATTAAGAATTTGGTAAATATAGTCAATTATTCTAAAGTTGCCAAAACTCTCATTTCAACTTGTTTCCCAGTTAATGTACCATAGCAGAGAATGAATCGCTATTACAAGGAACTAAAAATAA
This sequence comes from Homo sapiens, assembly GCF_000001405.40. Taxonomy (NCBI): domain Eukaryota; kingdom Metazoa; phylum Chordata; class Mammalia; order Primates; family Hominidae; genus Homo; species Homo sapiens. The sequence goes on from NC_000023.11 coordinate 100,370,625, forward strand.
AAATGTTTCAGAGTCCATAATTGGCTTGTCTTGCTGGACTTTTTATGCAGCCAAAGTACCAGTTCCAGACTATTAGCCCTTGGTTTGTAGGAGAATAATATAATATATTTCCTCATTAAAATACTTTGCTGTCTACCATTTAAAAAGTAAAAGATGCATTTTTTCCTATAATCTTTCATTTTTAGGAGGTTTTGAAGCTTTGGAGGCACAATGAAAGGACAAGAAAAAACAAATAGGTACTCTGCTCTAAAAATCAGCCATTACCTTCATTAACATTTTCCCTCCTTCTAAGCCAGTTTTCTAGCAGTTCCACAATACACCAAATCAAAAGGTCATTTGTTTTCCAAAGAATACAACAGTGTGTGTGCATGTGTGTGTGTGTGTGTGTGTGTGTGTGTGTGGGTGTGTGTGTATGCATGTGTTTAAACTCAAATGCCAGTAATTGCCTAGGTTGGAGGCTGAAGGTTTCTAATAAAATTATGGCAATCAAACATTTGAAATCACAAATTCACAGATCCCTAGACACAGGTTAAACCAAATGAGACTTGTGGCTTTGTAATCATGTCATCGTGGTCCTTCCTACTAGAATCCAGGGATACCAAATGTTTGGTGGTCCATCTGTGGCTTTTAGCTTAATACAATTAGTAGCTGTGTATTGGCCTCCATATGTAGTATGTGTTAGTACTTTCTACTACTTCCATCACACTTATCACAATTGCAAGTAATTATCTGTGTAATTATTTTTTTCAACGTCTATCTCCTGTACTTTGGGCTCCAAAAGGGTAGGGGCAAGTGTGTTTTGTCCTTAAATGTGTATTCTATACCTGGTAGGATATAAAGGTAGGTAGAGTAGGCATTAATGAATGAATGAACCATCTGCTTTGCTGGAGAAGAAAGTTTGTGTGTGAAGTGGTAAGAAATAAAATTAGGCCTCATTGAAGCCTTACCTAACCACCCTATTTAAATTTGCAAATTTTCTCCAAAACTCATTATCTTCCTTTTCTGCCTTATTTTTCTCCATATCACTTATCTTCTAAAATACCATACATTTCACATATTTATTTTGTTTATTATCTCTCTTCCCCTGCTAGAATGTTAACTCCATGATGTTAGGAATTTTTTGTCTGTTTAGTTTACTGCTGTTCCTGGAACCCTGAAAACAGCTCCTGGCACAAAGTGTTTATCAAGTGAATGAAGGTCCTTCATGGACGAGACAAATGACTATACACACACACACACACACACACACACACACACACCCACACAAAACTTAAAAATACTAAATATATGATACCATGGCCCATTTAATAATAACATATCAAGAAATGGAGGCCAGGCACAGTGGCTCACACCTGTAATCCCAGCACACTGGGATGCCAAGGCGGATGGATCACTTGAGGTCAGGAGTTCAAGACCAGCCCGGCCAGTATGGTGAAACCTCATCTCTACTAAAAACACAAAAATTAGCCAGGAGTGGTGGCGCACGCCTGTAATCCCAGCTGCTTGAGAGGCTGAGATGGGAGAATCCCTTGAACCCAGGAGGTGGAGGCTCAGTGAGCCAAGATCACACCACTGCACTCCAACCTGGGTGACAGAGCAAGACTCCACCTCAGAAAAAAAGAAAAAAGAAATGGGTCTCTGTGTGTCAGTTTTCAGCTTCCTAAGATGTCAGAACCTGATCCTGATCTCTGACTTAGTAGGACAGGGACACCTGGAGAACCCTAAACCACTCCATCTTCCATATATCCTGTGCAGCTTCCAAGCACCACCAAGCCACTTCTGCAATAGAAAGCCTTTCTTCCCTAACAGGGCAACTGAAAGTAAAATAGAGGAAGCTACCTTCTGATCATGAGATTCCAGTATGACATGGGAAGAAAGTTGGCACTTTTTCTAACCTATTAATCTAACACCCTCTGCTAAAAGCATTTTACCAGAATTCCTCCCAAACTTGAATTTTATGGGTCAGCCAGAATGCTGGCACTGACCTAGAAATCTCAATTGCTGAACAGGCATTGAAACAAACAAAATAAATGGGCATTTATATTCAATAGAAATTTGTGGCGTGAGCAAGGCATCTGGAATTCATGAAGTACTAAAAGCCTCTTGCTTTTTTGGGGAAACTCTGTTCTAGCTGGTGTAGAAGAAAGGAGACTCTGGATCAGAGACTTGAGGTTCAAGTCCTGTTTATGTGTGATCTCAGAAAAATACTTAACTTTCATATAATTTAGTTTATTTACCTGTAAAGCTAGGATAATAATGTTTCCAGTCTCAAAGAGTTGTTGGGAGGATTAGTTAATATATGAAAAGTACTGAGCCCAGAAACTGACATAGATTAGATGTTTAATTAACATCCTCAGTTCTCTTTCTGCCTTGTGTCCCTTCTCTTCTGTTTTTGTTTTTGTTTTGATGGAGTCTTGCTCTGTCGCCAGGCTGGAGTGCAGTGGCACAACCTCAGCTCACTGCAACCTCCGCCTCCGGGGTTCAAGCAATTCTCCTGCCTCAGCCTCCCAAGTAACTGGGACTACAGGCGCGTGCCACCACGCCCAGCTAATTTTTGTATTTTTAGTAGAGACGGGGTTTCACCATGTTGGCCAGGATGGTCTCGATCTCTTGACCTTGTGATCTGCCCCCCTCAGCCTCCCTCGGGATTATAGGCGTGAGCCACCTCCCCCAGCCTCCTTCTCCTAGTTTTATGCAGGAAATGGAGAGAAATTGATTTGCTGTTCAAAACCATCACAAAAAGTCTTAAAGTCCTTTTGTGAACAACATTTACTCTGAAAGAAAGAATCATCTCATTGGGGAAAAGAATCAGCTTCAGTTTTTAACCTCTCCCTTTCTCTCTTCTTTGCACTAGAATAAGAAAAACAACTTAATATGCTGTGATGCAGAGAGAAGAAACTTGGACTTTTATCCTTTACTTTTTTAAGGAAGAGAAAGAGAAAGCTCTTCAGAGCTAGCCTATTTTCCTTTCTTCGAAAAAAGAGCAAAACCACCATCAGGCAATGTTAGATGGTCCCTAAGGCATTAAATTAAAAAAGGCCTCCAACAAAATTAAAACTTGGAAAACCTCAGAGGGGCAGAAATGTGGGTGAGAAAAACTCAGAATTTCCTTGTGAGGGAAAAATAAGAAAAAAAAATTATACAATGAACAGGCTGCAGAGCAAGGCAAGAAAGTTCTAGATGAGCAAAAAACAAAGCAGGGCTCTGCTAAAAGTAGAAGCCAGAGGGATGGTCTCTTGGGAGTTCTCACAGGTGACTAAAAGGAAAGCAGCAGCCTCGGGGAACTGACTATTTAGCTTCTCTTTTTAACTACTTTTTTTCAGTATGGCTTGTGCTTGCTGACTCTGAAACATCCAAAAGTAGGAGAAGGTCCCATAAAAATGAGGGTTTCTCTAAGGGAGCACCTTTGGAAGGTAGGTAGCTTTCATTGATTTCGTCAGTAGCTTTCTTAGCAGAAGGATTCAAGCATTATTTTAAAGTTTACACCCCTCACCCTTTTGATAATGCTGAGGCAATATCTTGGGAAAAGGGGAACAAATAACAGTTATTAATTACCCTAATTAACCCAATTCATAAGACATATTTGTATGGCTGTCATGACAACTGCTTTGACTAACTTGCCAAGAATAGCTTAGCTGTCCATTCAAATAAATCCCTGATAATTACCAGTCTAGTTTACTGGGCTTCTGTGATAATAATAATTAGTGCTACTGTGCCAAAGGTCGCACTAAACAATTTATGAATGATGCATTTTGCATGGTGATTATGTGAGTCACAGGCAATGTACAGAATGTTTGCCATTATGCTATTAATATTAATGTGAAAGGGGGTGGCTAGATTTCAGGCAGTGACTGGCATTATGGTCTTTATAGCTAAAAATGAGCAACAGGGGGAAAATGGAAACTTTACCATTAAATAAGGCATGTCCAAGGAATCATAAGATACATTGTAACTCATTGTTTCTCTGAAGCCATCATCCATAAATTATGCTTACAAGTCTTGGATTCAAAAGAAGATGAAATATGAAATATTTGGCCAAGCGCAGTGGCTCACGCCTGTAATCCCAGCAATTTGGGAGGCCGAGGCTGGCGGATCACAAGGTCAGGAGATCGAGACCATCCTGGCTAACACAGTGAAACCCCGTCTCTACTAAAAATACAAAAAAATAGCCGGGCATGGTGGTGGGCGCCTGTAGTCCCAGCTACCCGGGAGGCTGAGGCAGGAGAATGGCATACACCTGGGAGGCGGAGCTTGCAGTGAGCCGAGATCATGCCTTTGCACTCCAGCCCAGGCGACAGAGCAAGATTCCATCTCAAAAAAAAAGAAAAAAAAATGAAATATTTGAGCTATGGAAGTACATGCCCTGGCAGGAATGTTTGTGAAGGTAGGAACATGCTACATTACACATAGCAGGAGCTCCAGAAAGGTTTGGGGACAGCATTAGGGAAGAATAAAGTCTGTGTCTAGATGTTCATATTAAGCCCTATATGATTTTTTTCTTATTTTTTTATTATACTTTAAGTTCTAGGGTACATGTGCACAACGTGCAGGTTACATATGTATACACGTGCCATGTTGGTGTGCTGCACCTATTAACTCGTCATTTACATTAGATATACCCCCTCCCTCCACCCCAAGACAGGCCCAGGTGTGTGATGTTCCCCTTCCTGTGTCCAAGTGTTCTCATTGTTCAATTCCCACCTGAGTGAGAACATGTGGTGTTTGGTTTTGTGTCCTTGCGATAGTTTGCTGAGAATGATGGTTTCCAGCTTCATCCATGTCCCTACAAAGGACATTAACTCATCCTTTTTATGGCTGCATAGTATTCCATTGTGTATATGTGCCACATTTTCTTTATCCAGTCTATCATTGATGGACATTTGGGTTGGTTCCAAGTCTTTGCTATTGTGAATCGTGCCGCAATAAACATACCTGTACATGTGTCTTTATAGCAGCATGATTTATAATCCTTTGGGTATATACCCAGTAATGGGATGGCTAGGTCAAATGATATTTCTAGTTCTAGATCCTTGAGGAATCGCCACAATGTCTTCCACAGTGGTTGAACTAGTACAGTCCCAAGCCCTATATGATTAAAGACAAGCCTCGGAAAAGAAAACCTCCCTGACTACTGGTGATAACCATGGACAAGAAAGTAGGGCATTTCAATTGAGGATCAACATGCTATTATTCTAATGAAATGGTGCTATGGTCCAAAGGCTTTGAATAGTAACACACCTTTGAAAAATGAGTTCTAAATGTTGCTGTCACTTTTCCATACTAATAAAGTCTCTTTATGCTACACAATTAGGTTAGAAAATACAGATATCGGCCAGGTGCAGTGACTCATGCCTGTAATCCCAGCCCTTTGGGAGGCTAAGGTGGGTGGATCACCTGAGGTCAGGAGTCTGAGACCAGCCTGACCAACATGGGGAAACCCCGTCTCTACTAAATTACAAAATTAGCTGGGCATGGTGGTACATGCCTGTAATCCCAGCTACTTGGGCGGCTGAGGCAGGTGAATCGCTTGAACCCAGGAGGTGGAGGTTGCAGTGAGCCGAGATCACGCCATTGCACTCCAGCCTGGGCAACAAGAGTGAAACTCCGTCTCAAAAAAAAAAAAAAAAAAAGAAAAGAAAAGAAAAAAGAAAAGACAGATATCATACTCTGAATTTTAGACACACAATACATATGAGTAGTTAGAAAAGATTGGGTAGACAGCAAAAGCATTGGTCCTGTGACCTCTTTCCACTTTGACTTACTTTTGGTTCCCTTCCTTCCAGGGATTTTTTTTAAAATGACACAATATTTTATTGTTAAAGAAAAAACTTAAACCAAAGCTTGGGTTTTTACTGAATTCCTATAGCAAATAGCTTTTCTTATTAGCTAGGTCTTTTTCTAAACTATTTTCTTTTTAAATCACTGTCATTTCAAGCTTCAGACTATGCTAGGAGTGCTGTTCACATCAAATTAGAAATTTGGCATTAATGAAGTGCTCTGGTTGAATTGGCAGAAAGGGATAAAAACACATCCCTTTGTTGCCAGTAACTTAGATTTTTTTCTTTATCTACAGCAAATGCAGAGAAGATTCATTTATGATGAGCAATAACTGGGATTCTACAGTAAAGCATCTGGAACAGTGCCTGGCACATGTTAAGCATTCAAGGAATGAGAAGCTACATGAAGAAGGTATTAGGCAATATTTACACCATTGTGAGACACTAGATTGTGAATTTGCAATGAAGTTGAGAATGCTGAGCAATAAAATCACAACTGGTAATGCCTTCTCCACTTTCTGTTGCTTGTGGGAAACCATGACTTGCTCCACTTTGTATTACTTTTGGTTCCCTCTCTTTCCAGGGGTGAATAAAATTGCACAGTATTTTGGTACCAAAAGAAATACAACAGAGATAGATCCTAGTTTGCAAGTAATGTCAAGGCATGTTAGAGCACAGTCTACATAGCAATGTTTATTTCTCTATGCCTAATTTATGTCTCTTAGAATTATATGATTTCTAATACTGTCTTAAGTCTGTATGAAGGCAGGGCTGTTAAAAGAGTTTGTTAAGAGACCTAAGAGTTTTCTACCAACTCTACCAATAACTGCATTGGAACCTGGTAAAAGGGTTTTTTTTCACACAATTGTGTTTTTAATGTTTTCTTCCCATTATGGAACAGAATGGTGGCAATAATGGCATTATGATGAACATGTTGCCTTCTAAGGTGCTTTAAATACGCCAGATACTAAACTGTTTCTAGGAAAAGAGTAAAACCAATACTTAACCTTCACGCACATAATTCTTCATCTTATGCACTGCCCTGCCCTGGATCCACCCCAGTAGATTGTAAACTCTTTGAGGGCAAGGATTATTCAGCACTCATTTTTGTAAACTCCGCAGTATCTAGCCCAGACTGATGCATAGGTGTTCAATACCACACAGCTGAAGTAAACTGAATCTGGGCAGATATGGCTAAGGCATTGAAGTGTGAGTTCAGAGCTTTGGAGAGCTGTGTGTCACAGCATGTGCAGGAGAAGTGAATCTGCAAGTGTGTAATTAACAACCCAGTGACTGCTGATGAGAAAGAGAATTCGATACTACGCAGCACTGAACACAACTTAACAAGCAGCAACTCATGTAAGGGAACCTAATACTCTACACGTTGTGGAGAGAAAAATCCTGAGAGGCAGTGAGGTGTAAGGGAATCTAATCTTCTGTGAATGGAAGGCAGCCAAATAGGGTTCGATGTGATTGGAAATCCAATGTACTGGTATAGAAGGAAATCCAATACGAAATAGTGGTGAAGAGGGAATAAGCGTTGGTGATTAACCAGACTGGTCACTGGAAATTTCCTTTGTTCCAAAAACACAAAACCAAGCTGGATAAATATTCAGCCCAGGATTTCAAGTCCATTGAGAAAGGGCAGAAATGACCCTGACTATACAAACACTATTCTTAAGTTGTTCATTTATACCACACAAACTAAGGAGTAGCCTGGGCTCAACTCCCAATCCTGCTCTCACCGTACAGAAGCCATCCAAGAGAAAGCGAGCTGGCAGTACCACTTGCTCCATCAGAAACAGTTACTGTGTTAAATGTCCTTTGTGTTTAGATTATTAGTGTTTTGCTGGCATGGAAATAAGAATGTGTCTATTGGGTTCTCCAGCTAACATGCAATCTGCCCACGTGGATCCTTGAGATAAGGGGGAACCCCAGAGCCCCAAAGGAAAAAGCTGAAAAGTATTTTATTGAGTAATCATTCTACTTTTAAAATAACCTGTTCGTCAATACGGTTCTTTTTCAAGCTCACTAACAGTAAGGAAATTTACATGAAAAATGGCCTTTAGGAGCCATCAGTATTATTTATGAGGAGCTATAACCGTGTCTGATGCTTTCCAATAGGCAGAATATGCTAAACTAAACCTTGCCTGTTCTTCATGTGTAGTTATTATGAGACTAGTTGGTTATAAAACACCCTGCACTTGTATTAACGTGCTAGCCAGTATAACCACCACAAGCCAAGCAATTCTTTCTGTCACTGGAACCGTCTGAACAAACTACAACAAAAGTCAGGTTAAGACATCAGAAGGAGATTAGCACTACGGGCAGATAAACCTGAAGTGTGTGGGCTTTTGTCAGAAGACTATACTAAGCTGCACACTTCTTCACTCCCTGCAGCTGGGCCATGGATGTCTTCTCTGATTATGTCATCGACACAAACAAGTCTCCCCTTTCGTCAGCACTGCCATACCAAGACATCTTTGGAGCAGCTTAAACTACAGCTCTCCTCTGCCTCTCACGTACCATTCACACAGCTGTCACAGACAAACATGGATCACTCTCTGCAGCCAGAGATGTGGGAGGCAGACAGGCCACAGCTGGATTCTCTGACCTTGGGCAGAGTAAAAAGGGCACACAGTTAAGAGGGGACAATCCTCTTTGGACTTCAGTAAGGGGAAAATTCAATGAAGAAGTCAGATTAGGGAAGAAGATGAATCTCCCCCTGGCCACATCATCTTCATTATTAGGACATGTCAGGAAGCAGGGCAGCTGCTATCAGGACAACAGCCCCGGGAAAGCAAAGAAGAAGAGGAACCCAGACTGTCTGCTTTGCTATTGGCAAAACGAGTCCTTCCCAAATGAGTCACGTAGGGCACCAACAACTCTGAGATCTGTCACATACACACACACACACACACACACACACACACACACACACACACACATTTCCTCCCAGCTCTCAGGAACACAACTTCTTTCCCTTTATCTAGACAGTAGCTTTTGCCCACCTTTATAAAATAGGTAAGGAATGGTTGCCCTTGATGGTACTATTACAAAGAGAAAACGCCAGGATGTATCCCTGCCTTTGAGGAATGTAAAGATGAAGAGATAAAGACAATGAAATTACGGTGGCCAAGTTGAATAAAGGCTGGCTTTTGATGCGTCTATACGCCCTCTGCTGACTGTCAGACAGAACGTCACAGAAAAAAAGTTGGAGCAGAAAGAGGGAAAAAGAAACAGATTGGAAGCAGAAAATAGGGAAGGAAAGACGCCTTTCTTCTCTGGAGACTGCTGTCTGTTTATCCAGAGGGAATATAAAGAGGAAGAGGCCCTTGACCTCCTATTTATCAAGAGTAGCCAAGAAAGAATATAAAATGATAAATATTGCCTTGACAGTACTCTGATTCTATGTTATAAATGTGACTAGATGAGCCTTGCATGCCCTAAAACACTATCTTACTGAGCTGCATCTGCACACCACCCATTGACATTGGTTGGGGGTGGGAGGTGGCATGGACTCAAAAGGGCCATCGAGCAGTAACTGGAGGAATGGATTTGAGCCACAAACCATCCATCTGAAGCTGGCTGCAGGCTGCTTCTTTCTTTACTTTGAAACAGATTCTTTTCATGGCTGCTTTTCTGAAATGAATTTGATTTTTTCAGAATTCATGGTAGACTCTGTGTGTTACCACAACCACCACCTCCTGCCTCAGCCTCTTTCCACTTTTTTAACGAATGGCTGTGTGTTGGATTCAAGACTTTGGCACTCAAATTCAGACCACCTTGGTGGGGGAGGGGTGGGAAATGGTTCCCTGAGATTAGGCCAAGAGTTTAATGTCAACAGCCAGCCGTCAACCATCTTCCTGTCCCCCACCTTTTTGCCTCACAGCTCCTGCTCACCCTTCAAGGGTCAGCTCAAATATTACTTCCCTTCCCCCAGACTAGGTTGAGTTTCCCCATTTTACTCTTTCATAATAATATGCTCTTTTCTTTCATAGCATTATAATTTTATATTGTTGGTGTTTTGTCCCCCCACCCCATGAAGGCAGGGGACTATGTCAGTTTTGCTGACCACTATTTAGCCATTATCTAGAACAACACAAAGAATGGCATAGATACTGGAAAAAAATAGCATAGAATGAAATAAATTAATATATCCATAGTAAAGCAAACTAAACTATTCAACAAAATGAGTTGCTAGTATTGAAATAACCCTTAAGAAAGCATTTTGAAACACTTCCTCCAAAGTCTCTGTTCTCTGATTCTTATTCCTCCCAAACACCCAGATATATTCAGTTACTTCAAAAGTGCTGGCAGAAATGTTATGCCACAGCCTGCTTTCTGCTTCAATCACCTTTAATTTTGTTTTCAAATTCCAAATCAAAACCCGTTTCCCTGCTACAACTTACCACTGCAAGTGCTTACGCTATGTTTATTTAATTTTGCAAACCAAGGAATCAATAAAACATTGTATTGATAATATAATTTCATTGAATCCTGCAAACAGGCCATCAGCGGATACTGAACCAATTAATATTGAATTCTATGTAGTCTCATTTGGTCTAATAGTCACATGTGATATTTACAAAGTCCATTATTCAGCAATAAAAAGTCCCAGGATTATTTGATCTATTTCTGACCTTTCTGGTTCTAAGCAATCTTCTTTTTTTGTCCACTTTGAAATATTACCTATAAAGCATTTTACAAAACTGTACTCTGTGAGCAACGTAGAAGGTCCAAGGCCAAAGATAAATATTAGTTGTAAACACCTCATCTTACTAGTAGGTGACTAAACATGTAATATTACCTAGCCTATGAATGTTCAACATTGATAAGAAAAAAACTGGAAGGTCTTGGCTTACTTGAATTTCACATACCTGACTTAAAGATGAGTTAGTGCAATCCACCAACAGAGACATTGAAAGTCTTCCCTATAGTATATGTCTGTGATAATGAAAGACAGTATAATATGACAAACTGAAACCCCAGTAAGACCAAGCCTCTTGTAGCCGTTGAAGATAGCTTTTTTCTCTGCTACTCAATGACAGGGAAATTAATTTCATTTGAGGTTAATGCTTACTTGATATGCTGTGGAGGGAATTTTTCTCCCCTTGGTTCTTTACTTACGCCAAGAGAAAGCACATCCCATGGAACATTTTAGGTAGACTGTAAAGGTTACTGGCACAATGAATATGATACACTTCTCTCTGCTACATCAATTATCAACCATTAAATTACCGTAGGCCTGAACAAAAAAGCAAGAACAAAGTAGGGAGATCTGTTTAGTGCAGAGAACCACTCCTAAAATTAATTTAAAAGAAACTGTCCACCTGAAATGAATCATTAGATAAGCCTTGTATTTTGCACATTTCACAATGGTTGGGATGATGTAATATGGGCAATTACACACAAGCAACTAGAAAGCTGTCGTCCAAAATAGCTGCAGCACAGCTGAGGTTTACTCTGGGTCTGTGGTTTATAGCAAAGCAACAACCTTCCCTACACACACAGCCACTACAAATTCAAAGGAAAACTGCATTTGGATATCATTTTAATTATACGTGCATGGATTACAACTCTATAAGCTAGAGAAGGAAAATAATCAGCCTGTACTGAAATGAACAGAAAATGGTTAGTACTCAACTGCTGACTATTGGGAACAATATCCAGTAATTTAAAAAAAAAAAAAGAAATAGACACAACCACCTACCTATTATTTTCTTGGCAATGCTTCACTTACAGTGAGACTCTGTTTGGCAGAGTTCACACATTTCACATTCAGGTTAAATATTATAACAGATAACCAAGCTTTTGTTCTCCCCCTCCCCAAGCCACCTAGCACTTCCTTAAAACCCCCCACAAGCATAAATTGTTCCACAAGTTGCCAAAGTGAAATTGGAGTCCCTGCCCTAGGCCACTACACTTCACCCCAAAATTGAGAAAAGAGTATAAAATATTCTTGGATAAGAGATACAAGAAGCTGGTTTCCTGGGTAGAAGTAAAACATGTCTGAGACAGAGCATAGTCCTGGGAACATGATCTCAAAAGTTCCTCACCATGAACTGGCTATTTAAAATTCATTTGTAAGTCACTTGCATGAAAGAAAGAAGAAAAGGCAGTGGCCCTGAAACAGAGCCCAGGTCTGCGGAAGCAGCAGGTCACAGGATAAGAAAGGCTTGGGGTAGTATTTATTAAAGTGCAGGTCACAACCCCAAGCCAGTGGTCCATGAAATTGCCATCTCCAGAGCTTCCTAGCTAATGGAGATACCCAGCACAGAGTCATGCAGGAGAAAGGTTGAAAAATGCCAGATTAAGGCCTAAATTGATATCCACTGACTCTGGAAAGAAAATACTAAGGGATAACATCAGAAGAGGGCTTCTGGCTCTCTGGCCAGCACATCTAGCTAACTCTGATTCACGTAGGACCTCCTCCCACTTCACATTTGAACTAGAGATGGGTGTCACAGTAAGGAACAATGAGAAACTCTGAAGGAGCCACTAAGGAAAAGAATACTGTGATGTAAAAAGGAATTTGTGTAACTAAAAGCAGAAAAGCACACTGAGGTGGAATTTGTTTGCAGTAACAGAATAGAGGCAAATGAAAGTTTTCTTTAATTTCAAAATTCAATTGTGTTGCCCTCTACAGTACATTGCTAGAGGCAGTAAGAATCTGATTGCCTCCTTCCAGATTAAGAGGCACAAATTAGATATTTTCCTAGTCAAAAAGAGATCATAATAGTAATAGCTACTTAACATTTACTGATGGCTTATTATGTGCCAGGTGCTTGAACACTCACATTGAATCCTCACAAGAATCTACGAGGTAGGTCCCATTACTCTTATTTTACAGATAAGAAAGCTGAGGCACAGAGAGGAAGTAATTTCCCTAAAGCCACTTGGCTCCTGACTCTAACTTCTAAAAGCAAAGATGCAATAAATCAAAATAACTATTACATGAACACTCAAGTGACAAACCGTATCTAAGAAAACATGGAGCGCTCCATACGAAATAGAGATGCAAAAGTCAAGAGCTCTCGTATGTACTCTGCCAGCTTTGCCTGATTAGAAAATGTAATGGAATAAAGAGCCCACTCAAAATAACAGTGAAACCATTAAATAGCCAGAAGTAATCTTAACAAAAAATGTAAGGAGAACTATGTAAATATACTGATGACATTAGAATGAAACATGACTAAATGGAAAGATGTCATATTTCTAGATAAAAAGACTAAATATTATATACATGTCAATTGTTCCTAAATTTATCAGTTTGGTACATTTTCAATCAAAATCCCAACATAATCATTTTTGAGACTTAACATGACTCCAAAGTTCATCTGAAACAATAAACAGAAAAATTGAAACTCTTTTTAAAGACAAAGAATAAGGAGAAACTAAACCTACTATCTATTAAAATCTATTATAAAGTATCAATAATCAAATCAGTGTGGTATTGGTATAGTAGACAAACAGATCAGTGGAAAATAAATGAATAGCCCAGGAAAGGGCCTAGTCTCTATAAAAACTCAACATGTTTTTCAGAAGCACCAGAAAGTTACGGTGAAGAAGAAGAAATAAACAATAAATGGTACAAACTCAACCAATTAACCATCTAGGAAAATGTTTTTTACATCATACTTCCAACTATATGTCAAAATAAATTCCTAATGAATTTAAAATGTAATGTAAAAGTGAATTCATAAAAATACTGGAAGAAATATTATATATATAGTCTCTTTGTTGGTAGAAAGTTGAATAGCTTAAAAGCAACAGAAGAAATCGCAGATTAAAGCACTGACAAATTGTTTTTTCATATGATTCCAAAACACTATGTCAAAAATAAGCATAACAAATTAAAAGTCATTCAACAAACTGAAGAAAAGTATTTCCAATAAATTAAACCAGGGATTTACCTTAATATATATATTAGTAATCAAAGAAATACAAATTTCCACTAAAATTAGATACTCATTTTCCATCTATGAAACTAATAATTCTCCTTCCCACCCCTGTCCCCTATCCTCTTATTGGCCATTCTCCCAACAGGTCTCCATTCTAATTAATTTCCTATTTATTCTTCCATACAATTTCATGTATATATAAACCAATAAGATATATATTCTCTTTTTCCCTCCCTTTTTCACAGAAATAATAGTGTGCCCTACGCTTTTTTTTGAATCTTCCTTTTATTTAGTTAACAATATATTTAGAGATTTTCCATATCAATATATAAAACACTCCTTTAAAAAAAACTTTCCACTGACAGACATACACATTGTTTCCATTGTTGCTATTTCATGTAATACATCAATGAAGAACCTTGTATATACATCATTTTTCATGTGGTCAAGCATATCTATAAGATTAAATCCCTAAAAGTGGAATTGCTGGGTCAAAGTGTACATGCATTTGTAATTTTGAGAGATATTGTCAAATTGCCCTCTATGGGACTGGTACTAATTTATACTCCCAGGCCGGGCCCGGTGGCTCACGCCTGTAATCCCAGCTCTTCGGAAGGTGGAGATAGGCAGGTTACCTGAGGTCAGGAGTTCATGACCAGCCTGGCCAACAGGGTGAAAACCTGTCTCTACTAAAAATACAAAAATTAGCCAGGCGTTGTGGTGAGCACCTGTAATCCCAGCTACTTGGGAGGCTGAGGCAGGAGAATCGCTTGAACCTGGAAGGTGGAGGTTGCAGTGAATGGAGATGACACCACTGCACTCAGACCTGGGCGACAGAGTGAGACTCTGTCTCCAAAAAAAAAAAAAAAAAAAATTATACTCCCACCAATAATGCATGGGACTGCCTGTTTTCCCACAGCTTCACCAGATTGGTGGTGGTGACGTTTAAAACTATAATAATGTTTTGCCAGTACAGTGAAATGGGCTTTCATACACTGTCAGTGGGAGTACACATTGCTACAACTTATCTGGGGGAAATACCACTTTTAAAAATATATAAACCCTCAGATAAAACAATTTCACTTGTAGAGAACTTATTACAGGCAAACAATCAGAGATCACAACAAAATTTATATATAAGGATAGCCATCATGGTGTTATTTATATAAAACAAAAATTTAAATAACCTCAAAGTTCAATGCTAGCGATTGTTTGAGTAAAACTAAACCCTATCTGTAGAACAGAATACAATTCAGCCACTAAAAAATTGCTTATAAATATTCTCTAATGACATAGAAAAAAATGTTAGCTGGGCATGGTGGCTCATGCCTGTAATCCCAGCACTTTGGGAGGCCGAGGCAGGCGGATCACTTGAGGTCAGGTGTTCGAGACCAACCTGGCCAACATGGCGAAACCCCGTCTCACTAAAAATACAAAAATTAGCCAGGTATGGTAGCAGGCACCTGTACTCCCAGATACTTGGGAGGCTGAGGCAGGAGGAACTTTTGAACCTGGGAGGCAGAGTTTGCAGTGAGCCGAGATCGAGCCACTGTACTCCAGCCTGGGTGACAGAGTGAGACTCCATCTCAAAAAAAAAGAAAAAATCTTATAACATAATGTAAAGATGAGAAAAGAGAAATAGAATGATCTCAACTAAAATTTTAAAACATTAAAACCATGGATGTTTTTCTCATTAATTCAACAAACATTTATTGGGCATTTATTTAGTCATGACATTAATATATGTGTTTTCAAAAATACCAACTCATTGAGATTAGTATTGGTTGCAGGGAGCTTTTGTGTATCTATATCTCCCTACATGGTTCTATCTCCCTCATCGGCACTGGTAAATAAAAACATTTCAGTCACATCATCCCATCAGTTCTGTTCTTGGGACCTAGCGAACAGCAGCCATAGGAAGTGGAGGGTGGGAGCTAAGGGTACCTCAAGGCCTTTTGGTCTGTCTGGGGCCCATAAGCAAGTTCAGAGTCAGGCCTTCACACACATCGAATAAAGCATCGTGTGCTTAGTAGGGCTCTCTTCACAGCCAGTCCAAAACCCTCACTGATTGGCAAGTGTAAATAGAATTTGAATTCAATAAACAAAATTCCTTGCTTTCGATCTTCTTATCACCTTCTGGGGTTTTATATTAACTTTCATGCTGATATGAATTTACATAATATTACATAAATTTTTTTCAGCTAGAACACTCTGCTTTATCACATTAACTTTTTCCAAATCCTGGCTTAACTGCAATTAAATATTTTAATTTCATGGAAATTCTTTTCTAATCCAAACAATCTCAACTTTAAGCCATCTGAAGAGAAAATATGAATCTTAAGTTGCTCCATAATCAAGTTTCAAACATTCTCAATACTTCTTTAAATGAAGACTTTTACTTTAAGGAACTGAACTACAAAGGAGGCTGGGGTGGGAGGTCCCTCAATTTTTAGACCCTTCTTTCATGCCCACTCACATGAAAAAATCAAGATATTTCTTTCTATCAAATGCTCCATGCTGTAACATGAAAACCTTATAATTCAAATTTAAACCCATCTAGTTAAATGGTTGCACATATAAGAAATATATAGTCCTGCTGAAAGTCATAGTCTCCATTTATCCAAGGGACAGACTACAGAATTAGGCCACAGACACTTTCCTGTAGCAAAGATTTCATTCACAATCAGAGTGATGTTGTACAGGGTTCTCATGCATTGGCTATGGGGTGGAGAGTGAAGCATCTGTGTGAGTTTTTTTTCCATGAGAATTTTCTTTACAATATCTAAGTAGTTCTGATGTCTATCTACACAGGACCACTGAATTAAATATTTTGCCCTTAACTGTGCTGCTTAGGATGTGAGAAGTTTATACAGCCATCAATTAAAGAGGTGTTCCAAAGGATGTTGGCTTTTGTATTTATGCTGTCCAAAACTAGGTTACTAGATGAGGAAGCAATCAAATAAATCTGCCTTTCAGAAAAGGATTGAACCCATTCTAATTTGTTGAAAAAAGAACACAAATAGTGCATTTAGTCAAGGTTGAATTTAAAATTTTTAGCATCTCAATGACCACCAAATCATTGACTCCTTCTTTTTTGTGTTCCACATGGTTGGGGCTATCATGTTGAAACAGGATGCTTCAGAGCCGAGAAGCAAGAACATGAAATCAAGTATTGGAGAATACTAAAAAAGCACTTCCCTCCAAATTGGCCATTTGGTACTGAAAAGGGCACTGAAAAAAATATATTTTGCCAAAAGTGGCCCTTAGATAAAGCCTATATCATTTCTATAGTATTAAATATATGTATAAGTTGCAGTTAAATTTTACTATTTTAAAACCTCTCATTCTAAAAATAAAGTATGTGAACTAGATGTCTAACACTGGTGAGACAAATCAAATCTACTTTTACAAGAGTATACACAAGGACAAAAAGAATGAAAAAGGAAACAAATATTGTTCATAACATTTCTCACATTTAAAAGGTAAACTGTAAATAAAATAGTTATTTTAAAATGTAAAACTTCATACTTGTTACCTTCTGAGAGAGACCTCCAAGAGAAGAAAATTAAGAAGAAAAAATTGGTATGATCTAATTGGAAAATGAAAATAAGGAACATTTTGGTCTGCCCCTCCTCGGAATAACTCATTAAAAACTGTCTATGCCACCTTTTTGGCCCTTAATACCTACTGCATAGTATTACGGTTAATTTAAGTAATTGCTTTTCTGATGTCAAAAATAACACATGTTCAATGCAGAAAATTTGGAAAATTAAAAAAGTATACCATTTAAAAAGTAAAAATTGCCTGACTTCCTACAACCTGAGATAACTGTTAATGCTTTGGTAATTTTCTTTCTAGTCTTATGTGTGTGCATATGTGCATGTGTATGTGTGTGTATGAATATATATATGTACACACACACATACACGCACATATATATACACACAATTGGAATTGTTTATATATTATATATATTTATATATTGTATTATAGTTAAACAATTGGAATAATATATGCATACATTAAACTGGAATTAATCTATGTGTGTTATTTTCTGATTTTTTCAATTAATGTATATTATACCATATTTTCATGTGTAATTAAGTATTCCTCAAAACATTCTACTGGCTTCACAGTATTCTAGCATATGTATATATCATAATATATTTAGCTATTAACATATTGATGATATTTAGGATATTTCCGATGTTTTATCCTCATAAATTATACTGAGATTAACAACCCTGTACATGAATTTTTACGCTGATCTAAAATTATTTCCTTAGGATAAATTCCAGAAGTAGAAATATTAGATATCTTAGGGCTTTTAATGTGTATTGCCAAATTGCCCCCAGGAAAGATTATATCAATTTTTTAAATTATACTCCATGTTGCAGTGTATCATAACCACACTCTTGCCATCACTGTTTTTTTTTTAATCTTTGCTTATTTGATAAGTACAAAATGACATCTTACATATCAAATCGTTGTCTGTGATTCCCCTGAGGTAACAGATTGGTGAGGAAATAGTTGTGGAGACTTTAACTTTTGTTTTACACATTCCTGTGTTCCTTGACTTTTTAGTAGTAAGTAGGCATCATCTTTGCAATTAAAAATTAATAGCAGTTCATTGCTATTATTTGATTACTATGGTTGAAATATTTTTATATATCTATTGGCCATTTGAATGGCTTCTTTATTAATTACCCATTTGTGTTCATTTTACATTTTTTATATTGGGGTGTTTGTCTTTTCATTGTTTTGTAAGAGCTCTTTATATATAAGGGTATTGTTTAAAAGTCCTCTTATTTGAGATGTCTTCCCTGACCTTCCTAGAGCAATCCTCATTCTCGACAAAACATGTATGCTTCATACTTCCTTATTTTTCTTCGTATCACCATCTGTCCATAAAAATGTAAACTCAATGGAGACAGAGATTTTTGTTCACTGTTGTATCCCTAGCACCTTGAATAGTGACTAACATGTGGTAAGCACTCTATAAATAATTGAAGCATTAATTAATGAATTAATAAGCACAGGTTCTTCATAGAAGGAGAACAGAACGGTGGTTGCCAGGGGTTGTGGGTGGGGGAAATAGGAAGATATTGGCCAAAGGATACAAAGTTTCAGTTATACAAGATAAGTTCTGGAGATTTAATGTCTAGCATGGTGACTATAATTAACAATACTGTATTGTATTCCTGAAATTTTCTAGGAGAGTAGATCTTAAGTGTTCTCACCATTTTAAAAAATGGTAACTATATGAGGTAAAGGCTATGTTAATTAGTTTGATGGTGGCAATCATTTCACAATGTATACATGAGTCAAAACATCAAGTTGTACATCTTAAATATACACAATTCCTACTTGTCAATTACACTCCCAATAAAGCTGAAAAACAAATTAATAAATATAGGTTCTCTGCGCTATAAATTTAAAATATTTTCCCAGCTTATGGCTTATTTTTTAATTTAGTTTATGATACTTGTAGATATATAGACATTCCTAAATTTTATATAGTCAGAGCTGCTGGTATTTTTCTTTGTGCTCATTTTCATTGTTTTTATGCTCTTGAAGTCCTCTTCAGCTTCAAAATCAATTGGATATTTATTTATATTTTCTTCTAATGATTTTATTATTTGAGTTTTCATATTAACTCTTTAATAAATGTGAAATTTATTTTTGTCATATAGTGGGAAATAAATCATATTTTTTCCAATTGTTAACCAATTACATGGCACCATTTAGTAAATGATCTCTGCTTTTCTCATTGACTTAAAGAAAATGTGCTTAACTTCTATCTTGTCTCCTCAGTGGCAATATAAACTACAAGGTGAGGTACTACTTATGCTTTCTCTATGTCTCTCTGGGCTGAATACAGGCCTGGTCAGTGAAGGATGATCTATAAATATTTGGTGGATGGATGAATGAGTGGATATTTTCAAGCCAAAATATTTTTTTAAAGAGCCTAACTACTAAACAGTAAGTCCATTCACTAAAGTCTGGAGGCAAATCATCATAGAGGGCAAGGTTTGACCCAGAATAAATGAATACTCTCTAACAGCAGGGCACTATAACCACTATAGAGCTAGTCATCAGTAACAAAATACATTTAATAAACACCTGACACTATCCAAAAGAAACTGCATAGAGTTGATCCTACCATCAAGGAGCTCCTACAAATTATTGTTTAGGGAGCCTAGGATAGAACAGAACTTCCAAGGGCGTCCCCACCGACTGCACCTTCCCCTGAAGTAGCAGTGACTCCCTGAAAGAAATAAATTGCTTTGTTACAGAAAGTGCCCCAAATCCTGCTGGATGCAGTCCATCAGCCTCCAACATGCATTGGGTTTAATAATTCTGGAATCAAATCTAGTTTAAAAGAAAATCTACCACATTTTTGGCTCTTAAGTCAAACCCCAAGTGCCAAGTATATATTGATTCTGTAGGGCTCAGTCAGCCTCCTATGGCCTGAAATTAAAAATAACAGCAAGAACAAAAATACATTTTTTATTGAATTCTGGCTCTTTTCTGATAACCTATAACAAACATCAAAATGAGCAGAGGCATGGTGGACTGCCTCTCACGCCAACAAATCCCACAAAGAGAATGACAATCAGTGAAATATATTGTTAAGCATGAATAGTAGCTAAAATATTTATCTCTGTTGCAAGGTATTAAAATGAAAAAACTTTCAAAGTGGAAGCTTCAAGCAACTGCATTAGAAGTTGCATAATTTGGTTAGACTGACCTTAGAATGGAATAAAAAGCTGCTTATTTCCATAATGTTGGCCTTCAACTGTATAAAAGGTTAGATAATTTATCATGATATACAAAACAGTTTTCAAGAATACCCAACTTAAAAGGAGATCTCGGTGACTTCCAGCTCTATAAATTTTTAGGTAGAGTGATAATCAACATAATTTATGTTTAAGTGAATTTGTGCTCTCCTGAAAGGTCTAGTTTGCCAGGCAAGACGCGTGCATCTCCTATTCATCCCTAGAACAAGTACAAACCAAATGAAGCAAGGTTAGAATACCCATTGCTGCCTTTATGGCAGAACTCGCGTTGGACAGGAAGACATATTTGAACAGAGAGGCTCTGAGTTTTGGCATGCACACTCACAACTCAGATTATACACAGAATATGCTGCCCTCATTAAAAGCTAATGTGCTGTACCTATTGTTTCACCTGCCATAGCTAAGTCCTCTGCCTTCAATACCACCTACAGAGCAACCATTGTCATCACATGGACTCAAACTTCAATGCAGGCAGCTATATGAAGCCCTTCAAACCAATGCTGCAAACATTCACACATTTACACCCAGAGCTGAAAGATAACTTGGAGATCCCCCAACCCAATCTCTTCACATATTGTTGCAGGTTTGGTGTAGTTTGGCATTTGTCTGGAATTTTCAGAATTCTCTATGTCTTGGATTCTGATTTCCCTAGTAATAACAGGCTTCAATAAACTAAAGCTTCTCTTTTATGAGGTTTTTAATTGTTTCATCTGTTTTGGTAGTGATCTCCCCTACCTCAGAACTGCAGATTTCTAGATGGTTATCTTTGATGATACAGTCACTTGGGCTCACTCACACACTAGAGAAAACTGTCCTGATAGAGTTTGCTAGGCTCAAAGAGTGAGGACAGCAAAGTGTTGGAAACATCACACACATTTATTTGATCCCATATTTCCAAATATGACACCATGCATAGCCACAAACCTTTACAGGTACGGATTTTTCTCCACCTTCCATGATCTCCTCTTGAGGGTACCTGGTGATCAGATGTGCAAAGACCAAGCCCCGGATGTCATTCCAACAACGCCCAGTGCCATGGTATTTATAGCTTACCAGTTTTATAAGGTTTTGCTCCATCAGGCCACTACATAATGCATAGTTTTTGCAAAGGCAGGTTAGCTTTCTTTCCATTTCAGAAAATTATTATATTTTTTACTGCAACAAAGCACACTTCTTTTTCTATTTCTAAAGAATTACCAGTAAAGGCAAAATAGAATGACCTAGAAGTGTAAGCACACACATGCCATTAGTAAGTGCACAAGCCACACAGAAAATTGGTGTTTCATATGTAGTATTTGAGATTCGTTTCCAAAAAGCCATAACTACCATAAAATTATTTTGCAATTTTAAAATCAGGCAAAATCTTCACTACGAAAAAACCATTATTTAGTACGAATGCCACTGTGTTCTCTCCCCTAAGCTTTTAGGAACAAATGTTACCATTAGCATACTCCATCACTCAAAAGTCTATACTTGAAAAAATGGAAATGCACTAATTAAAGAAATGATCAGAACAGCAAGCTCATAGTCAATGCCAGTCTTATGAGTGCAGTGTGTCTGTGTCCTTACCATGGCCTCTGTGCCTGGCAGAACAGAGGAGGAAATCAGTCTTCCAACAAGCCGTTCACCATTACCTGTAGCCATATGCCTCTGTTCGTCCCTGTATCTCCAGAGCCCTGCCTCCCTCAAGCATGTCAAGTTTCAAATATGAATGCTAGATTACGGACATTTTTAGTTATAAAAAAGCCTCTTAAAGGTTAAGCCAATCCCTCTGAATGCAGTTTGACAGGGTCTCCCTGTCCATTCTTCTCACTTAGAAAAGATATGGTTTTATAGCAAACGACCTGTACACATAGGCAGTCCATAGCAGACTCCCTCAAGCCAAGAGAATTAAAGAAGAGGAAAGCTTGATACAGAATTGTGCCCAAAAGAAACAAAAAGAGAAAGCAAGCCTCAGAAAATAATTTCTAATAAATTGAAAATATGCACTATAAGGTATTCTTAAGCTGAGTTGTATGCACAGCAATGATTATTTGGCTGCTTCCTACTCACCGAGATCTCAATTAAAAAGAGTCTCTGAGAGATCTATCCTTGAGCTATATCAAATTGGGGTGTCATGGCCTCACATTTGGGGGATCACACCCTGCTGTAACTAAGCTTATGAGCATTTCCTCAGGGAGACAACCAGCAGAATGTCAAAGAGTTGGGAAGGGGGCTCTGAGGACCTAATATCATAGACATGTGTACGGTCAGCCCAGCCGGCAAAGGCTCCATCATCACAGAGGCAAAAAAAGTGAGTGAGAGAAGCAGATAATGTTCATTTTATTCCCTCCTGCTTCTTTCTCTCTCTCCTTTCCCCCTCTCCCTCTCCCACACATACACATACATACATACACACACACACACACACACACACACACACACACACACAAACTCCCCTAAAGAGGGATCTGGCCTTTGGATTGAACTTTTCTTCCTGTCGGCTTACACAGGGAATCCATTTTGCTCAGAAGAGCAAACTACACAATCTGAGAAGAGGTGCCCTTCATGCTCTGGAAATCAGATTTGGGAGCGAAAATAATCCAGAAGGCAGAGACCGCCAAGGCCAGTGCTGGTGGCAGTGAGGGAGAGCAGCTTGCCACAGAACAGCGGCCAGATGGGGCCCAGTGGGAGAAACTGAAAACTGGCCACCCTGGCACTCAGAGACTTAATGGAGCATCAGAAGACTATGCACATCAAGACAGTGCTTAAGCATCTAACATTAAGAAGCCAAGATGCAGCCAGGCGTAGTGGCTCATGCCTGTAATCCCAGCACTTTGGGAGGCAGAGGCGGGTGGATGACCTGAGGTCAGGAGTTCGAGACCACCCTGGCCAACACGGTGAAACCCTGTCTCTACTAAAAATACAAAAAGTTAGCCGGGCATAGTGGTGCATGCCTGTAATCCCAGCTATTCAGGAGGCTGAGGCAGCAGAATCGCTTGAACCCGGGAGGCAGAGGTTGCAGTGAGCCGAGATCATACCACTGCACTACAGCCTAGGTGACGAAGTGAGACTCCGTCTCAACAACAACAACAAAAAGAAGCCGCGGTGCTAGTCCATGAACACTGAGCTCAAGGAGAACACAGACTTGACACCAAGCTTCCTGCCTGCTTCAGTCCCAAAGGGTCTGCTCAAAATTCTGTAGGTAGCTGGACCTAACATGTGTCTGTCAATTTGTCTGTCTCACTCTCATTCTCATTTTTTCCCCATTCTGAAAAGTGATTTTTCTCCCTCCCCAAACACTGAATTTAAAGGCAAGTCTAAGAGAGCTCTTTCACTTTCCAAAGTAATTCCCAGGCTCTACCCAATCCAGGAAATCCTTACTGACTTGGGGAGCTTTCATAATCTGAGACAGCAAAGGGGAAGCCATCTCTTCAGGAACGAGCTCTACAGGTGAAGACAAAAAAAAATTCGTGATGGGCTTCTGTTCTTTGAGCCAAGGGTTTATTTACAAAGGAGAGAAAAGGATGGGAAGATGGCAGCTGTCATATTTTATTTCATTTTTTTAGAATCTGAAGCAAATATTAAATGCTAATACTTGTTAAATTTCAATGACACGTACCCATCTTTTCTGGACACTATATTTTAAATATTACATAGTTGCAAGTTGTTTAATTAAGTAAAAATCAAACAGGAAGGCTAACCAGTGAGGATTCAAGGGCCAGATTTCAATCA
The DNA here is from genome assembly GCF_000001405.40 of Homo sapiens. Classification (NCBI taxonomy): domain Eukaryota; kingdom Metazoa; phylum Chordata; class Mammalia; order Primates; family Hominidae; genus Homo; species Homo sapiens. Next base: position 100,394,820 of record NC_000023.11, read on the forward strand.
AGGGAAAAATGAATTGGCCCACCTTTCAAAGGTTTTGTAAATCTTGTCAATTTGAGGAATCTAATTTTTTTTTTTTTTTTTTTTTTGAGACGGAGTCTCGCTCTGTCGCCCAGGCTGGAGTGCAGTGGCGGGATCTTGGCTCACTGCAAGCTCCGCCTCCCGGGTTCACGCCATTCTCCTGCCTCAGCCTCCCAAGTAGCTGGGACCACAGGCGCCCGCCACCACGCCCGGCTAATTTTTTGTATTTTTAGTAGAGACGGGGTTTCACCGTTTTAGCCGGGATGGTCTCGATCTCCTGACCTCGTGATCCGCCCGCCTCGGCCTCCCAAAGTGCTGGGATTACAGGCGTGAGCCACCGCGCCCGGCCTGAGGAATCTAATTTTAAGCAAACAAGATATGTGAAAATCCAGACTTACAAAAGAAATCAGTTAGGAGTTGATTATTCACATTATATAAGGACTCTCCTTTATGAAAGGATCCATCACAGGCTTTCTTTAAATACAGAATTCCACTGCTGTGATTAGCATGGGGTCTAATTTACAAAACAAACACCCTTTGGCTGACCAGCTTTTCAGGAACACAACTACCATCGAAAGTATACCCGCAGGTCCTCCTAGAGAGTCCTGTCAGGTTTTTCATTATGTGACAGAAAACGCTTGGAAGCTGCACCAGAGGAACTACTGTGAAGCAAAATGGAGGCTTGTTTGGCCGCAAATGTTGTGTGCCTGGGTAAGTCATTTGCCTTTTCCATTTTCATTACTGTAGAGTGGAAACACTGGTCCATTCTGACACCTCTTCTAGAAATGCTGTGGAGCTGTGTGGTCCTAACCAATATGCCTAATGATAACAAGTAAGGTTTCTGCACAGGAGCTCAAGCTCCCGGAGTTGGCAGAGTTGCTGTCCCCACAGCTGCAGGAATGTTCCTCATCATTCCCCTGGGGGGCACAGGGAGGTGCTAGCAGCCTGGGTACACCCACTAGAAGCTGAGTGACCCCACTATGCAGCCCACACAAAAACTACTCTAAATACACAACAGCCAAATAGGAAATGTAACTTGAAGAGCATTTCCCTCTGCAAACAACTGATCCTCTGGGATTTTCACTTCAAGCCTCTCAATTGTTCGAAGTAAATGAGGCTCACATCAAAGGCCAGCCAGTCACGCATCAAGAAATCAAGCCTCTTCTCCGTGGGGGAAAATGGCTGCTCCAGAGCCATCCTCCCACCTCTCACACACAGGCCTCTTGTAAAAACGGCTTTATTTACCCAAATCTGAGACACTCGATTCAACCAAGCTTGGCCTCCCCTAAATCCTGGAAGCTGAGGTACACATGCAGAGGGGCCAACATCTGAAACTCGAGGCAGACGCCTAAGAGCCACAGCACTGCCACAATTGAAAGACTCCAGCTTTGCCAGGAGGTGACTTCATCCTTTTTCAGTCCCCTAATTCCTAACAAGCAATCCCCTAAGCCCTTAGCTTCTGCGCTGGGCACAATAAGCCCAAGCCACAGCACAAGCTGGGGCAAGGTTAGGGAGAGAGAGGTCTGCAGCTCATCCTACCTTGTAAGTCTGACTGACAATCAGAGAAAAAACCAGGTGGAGCCACCTGGACCCAAAACAAGTGGTCCTCTGATAAGAGGAATTCCAAAGCCTTAGAGCCCTCTGTGGAAAATGTCCTGCCTCCAGCCCCTTGGGGAGAAAAATCTCAGGATGATTAGCAAGAGCTCTGGCTGAGCTCAACTTCAGTGAAGGTGTACGGGGAGAGAGGTGATCTCTAAGGTAACCAGTTAATTGCCGATAAGGAATGATAATAATAAATTAGCAGATACTAATGTAAACTAACTCAGTTCTGCAGTTCTGTGGCAGTTGCATGGAGACAACAGAGGAACAGTTTATTCTGGAACACATCTTGCAAGCCCATCCCCACTGGGAAACCGGCTGTCTCAGCTAGAGGTGAAACATGCCAATAAGATACAATGTAGGCAATGGGTGGCCCTAGAATGACTGCTGGTAGAAATTGAGCCCTTGATTTTTGAAGAAAACTGAAATGAGAATGCTCGAAAAGATGTGGGCTGCATTGTTTCTCATTGCTTTCTCCTTCAGGGTTACTTTTGACCCTTAGGGATAGGACTTAAATGATTCCAAGACCCTACTGTAATAAGGAGACAAACAAACAAGACGCGCACTAAAGGGTTTGTTGGTTTCTTTTAATTAGAGGTGATGCTTTGTGTCATTTCCATGCTATCCAAACCAGCCTTATCATACCTATTATTTTTTAGTGCCTTCTGAATCTACTACCTGATAGGTTTGTGGCTGTCTAATTTAGCCCAGAATTTCATTCAAGTCACTGCAAATCTCTAACTTTAAAACTCTGTTTTAGGAACTAAAGTGTACTGGGCTATTTTTTTTCAAAGCCTAACTGATGTTTTATTTTCATTATTTCCACTAAGATGACCATGCATTCAGACTTTTTGTAGGATAATTGGAAGCATTCAATTTGGCTGCCACACACATTCTTGTTCTGCAAGCTCTTCCACGGCTACGTCACTACTTATGAAGACTGTTGCATGAGTGGCTATAGCAGAGCATGCACACACACCCCTTAGATGCCTCATATCAAAGAAACTACAGTTTGCTGATGAAAGGTAGAAAATAGAATTCAAGATTGAGACTGAAACCAAAATTTAAATCCCTACGGACCTATGACTGGAATTCTCTAAGTTTTTGCCTACTATCACTCCCTTACAGCTGTCAGCTCAGAAACATTCAACATCAGAAAACTAAAATTTAAAAATACTGCACAAAGACACTGGGTGTTTGGGCCATTTCACCCCTCCTGGAGGCAAGAAGAAGCCTCACCCAAGTCTCCATTTCCAGTAGAAGCAATGAGTTGCATTTTCTTCCTCCAATAATGACTGCAGCCAGGTGACAAAAATGGTAATGCAGCAATGCTGCTGTACAAAGGAATAACACTTTCCAGCATCCAGAGACACCAGTAGGCATGTCTCCATTCCATAAGACCGGAAGAAAAATCATTTGCCTTACTAAGGAGCCTCTCAAAAAATTTGGACTATTTTTAGAAAGATCTTAGCAAACTGACAAACCTACTATCTTTCTTCTCCATTTTCCTTCTTTTTCAACCTCCTTTCCTCTCTCTTCACTCTTTTCTACGCCCTCATACACACACACACACACATACACACACACATACACACGCCCTCTAATTCATTCACATATACACTAAGTCTATGAGTAAAATAAACCAGGATACCAAGGAATGCAAACCTCACCTTTCAGTTTAAAATATGTAAAAGATACCTGACATCAATAATTCTACAAAAGTCTTCTGTAAACAGCAAAGGCATCCTCCACTTTGCCCCTCAAATTTGTGTACGAAACCACAAAATCCACATAGCTGATTTCCCAGCCAACATCAGAGGACAAGTAAATAATGATATACAATTCTACACAAGATTATCTCTGCAATACTGTAAACTGAGTTCCAATTCTTGATTAGTGTTCCATTCCCTTTACCTTGCCTACCTAACTGCATTCAAAGTCATATTTCTGTTAGCTTCTAGAGCCAACAATGTTCAGATGTGGCTAGGTTTGGACACTGATACAAGAGCTATCTTCCATTCAGCACTAAATTTTGAGGGTTCAATGGCAAATCTACATAAAATGTAAGGCTGCCATTAAAGGAGGAGAAAGGAGTTCTTAGGAGTCTACAAAGCGACAGGTGATCAGAAACTATCTTGTATTGCTTGCCCGTGAAATCATTGTGGGTGATCTTAGCTCCCCAACTAGACTGTGAACTCTCTGAGGGCAGAAGTTACGTCTTAAACTTATTTGGAATCTCCATGGTCCCTGCCACACAGCTGAGCACATAGTGGATACTCCAACAATGCTTGCTGACTTGATCTAATGCCATGGTGATAAATTTCAAAGTGTGATAGAGTGAGTACAGCTAGCACGCAACAGGTCTGAGTGGACTCGTCTATAATCCCTTTGAGAGTAAGCCCTGTAACTGGATCTACAGCTCATAAAGGGACTGGGTTTGACACAGGTAACCCAACAGAGGAACCTACTATGTAGTACCCTTTTGTCCCAACCTGGAGAGTAAGAATGTAACGTGCTCAGGAATAGGATGTTATTCTGAATTGAAATTACCTGTTTACTTGTCTGTATTTCTGTAAGCTCCCTGGGTTCAAGAAACAAGTGTTTTATTATTTTTGATCCCCGGGAAGTAGTACATTATCTGGCACATTCTAAATGTATAATAACTGCTAATGGGATAAATTAATGAACAAATGAAAGAATGGTTTAATGAAATAATATAAAGAACAATGTAAGTAACATAATATAGAGAAATTTCTATAGAATCTTATATTTGCCACATCATAGCACTTATCATTCTATGCTATAATTGCTTAATAAATGTTGCTTTCTTGAATGGATTAATTAATTAATTAGGAAAATATAAAGATAATGTAGGAAATATATCAAAATGTTATTATCCTAGCAATGGAGAATGTCCCATTGCACCCTATATTAGCATTTATTACTCTATATTGCAAATCACCTATTTACTTGATTGTCTCACACTTTAGAATGTGCATTTCTTGTCTTTTTCATCTCTCTAACGCCAGAGCCTAGAGCAGTGCCTTACAAAGAGTAGGCTCAACAAATATCAGTTGAATGAACAAATCAATCATCCCTGCTCTTCTATAGATTTCATTGGACCTAAGTATTCCACCGAGTCCAGTGGCCTTTGGTATAAAAGAAAAGAAGTGTCATTTTCCCTACGCAGGGCATTGTGACTGATTCAGGTTAAATGGCCTGGTCTGTATTCAGCTGTAAGTGGGCCTCTCTCCTTTCTGAATGGGTTTGCCAGTTGAACTCTCCAGGAGGGACTGAATATTAGAAATACACACAACCTCACTATGTCTAGTACACACTGTCTTGGCCATGACCAGCTGTACACACCAAAACTGTGTAATTTTGTTAACCAAGGAAAAGCATCTGGCTTTGTGAGTCAGAGACAGGATCAGAACTGAGATTTTAAACGGCTTTTCTAAATAATTGAAGCAATATTTTGTTTCATTCAGCCCATGGAAGAATCCCAGAAATGATACTAAGTCTTAGGTAAACCAATCAGATGTCGTCATATGTTTTCTGTCCTCTCCATCTATTTCATAGACACCAGAACTCACATTTCTCTAGTGCCTTGAATTGATTGCCTAAGTGATCACCAAGTCCTCAGGATTCAACCCTTTTGTCCATCTCCACAAGTAACAGTGCCGTTACTTGTGAACAACTGAACCCCACAACTTTGGCATCTTTCACCTCTATTGTTTAAATGATCAATATGAGTAGTATGGCCATAATACTTTGTAGGATGTATCTATATAGAAGCAGCCTAAATTCCTCTTTGGTTACAAGTGCCTAGGGAGACACAATCAGTAGTGCAAGCCATTGTAACACTGATTCTCCAACTGTATAGTGAAGAGGTCTACTATTTTGGGGACACCAATGAGTTGAACCTACTACACTACACAAGTCATATTCCTTGGAACAACTTTGCATGACAGGTGTGCCCATTTTGTAGATAAAGAAACAGAGTCTTATGTTCCACAGCAAGCAGTGATTCCTGGATTCAAAATCATGATCAATCTGATTCCACTACACACCACTACCTCTCACTTTCTATTGCTGAGCTATTGGTGATCCACAAGTAGTCTTGTAAGTAGTCTACGGCCTAGGCCTTAGTAGTATTCACTGACATTAATAATTATAACTGAGTTTACCTAGCACAATACTGGACTTTCAAAAAATCCTTATTTATAGAGTTATAAATTGAAAATATTGGTGCTTTTGTTGCTGGCAGAATACCATCAGTTACTCATCAAAAGCACTGCTGTTTGGCCCCATTAATTCTGATGGGAATTATTGTTCAGGAACTAGAAGAAGCAATCAATGTAAGTGGTCCTAAGACCCCTTATCCTACAAAATTGACACAAATACTATGAGGCCATTTTATGTATGCATCATAGCCTGGGTATGTCAGGCTGAATTACTTTTAAGGCAGGAAGGTGTCACTGAAATCACATTTGCCAGGCAGTATAGAGTCCTTCAGTCTCGTCCTCCCTCTCTTGATGACCAGCTTTGTGAGTCTGAGTAAGTCCCTTAGCATCTCTGGACCTCTGTTTCATCATCTACTGAAGGGCAACCTATCAAGATACCTGATTGTGAGGATCAAACGAAACAATGTTTGGGAAGGTGCTTTGAAAGATGTGAAAGTGCTCTCTAAGTATGCAGTATTCTTTTCGCTGGTAGCTTGGAAGAGGACATATGCCTCCCAGTGCATCAGATTTCTAACCAAAGAGGGACTTAAGCAATTCATGGAAAAATGAAATCAACTTAAGAAATGTTACTTATAGCCTTCCTCCCAGCCACCCACCAGCCATCATCCATATACCACTCTACTGCCCTAAAATATTTCAATAGCCAGCAAACATCTGACCACATCACATTTTAAAAAATATTTCTACTTAAGCCCGGTGCAGTGGCTCATGCCTGTAATCCCAGCACTTTGGGAGGCTGAGGTGGGAGGATCACCTGCAGTCAGGAGTTTGAGACCAGCCTGACCAACATGGTGAAACCCCGTCTCTACTAAAAATACAAAATTAGCTGGGCGTGGTGGTGCATGCCTGTAATCCCAGCTACTCTGGAGGCTGGAGCAGGAGAATTGCTTGAAGCCGGGAGGTGGAGGTTGCGGTGAGCCAACATTGTGCCATTGCACTCTAGCCTGGACAACAAGAGAAACTCCATCTCAAAAAAAAAAAAAAAATTCTACTTAAATACATTCATTCCCAGTGAAGAGAAAGAAACAGAGCTCACTCAAATGCATAGATAATTCTTATTCTTATTCTTACTCTTTTTTTTTTTCGTTGTTAGAGACGAAGTCTCACTATATTGCCCAGGCTGGCAAGCTGGTCTGGAATTCCAGGCTCAACCGATTCTCCTGCCTCGGCCTCTCAAAGTACTGGGATTACAGGTGTGAGCCACTGCAACCAGCCAACTAATTCTTAAATTTTCAGCAATAATGACAGTTTCAATCTCCTCAACCATCAAATGTTACCACTAGAACTGCTAAGAAATGGCAAAGTGGCTTTTTAATTTTTTTGCTTTGCCTCCCTTTAACCAGCCTATCCATATTCTCTCACCAAAATGCTAGAGAACAGTGATGTGACGAAAGAAAAAGCAAATGGGGTCTTTAGGAGGCTGAATCACTCTCACACTGGAAAATTGGTCCCAGGGCATTAGAGGGTTTCATCCATTTTCAACACTACTTGATGACTCTTTCTAAGCCACTTTACTGGCATACTGGTACTGCTGGCTGTCAAGCATGCTATATTTGCAACAGGTGGAGCAAACTTGAGTTATGCCAGGATAATGATTTCAAGGGCTCAGACTCTTTGAGTTACCAATTCCAATACCCATACCTACACAAAGGCCCAGTATGTTGGGTTACCTTTTGCTCCAAGAAGCACTGATAGCAAACCCTTAGTATGAAAATGGGCATAAGCAGAGAAATTCTCCCCACCCCTGCCAGGGGATGTGCCAGCACAGCAGCTTATGGTATCCAGCGAGCAGCTAAAGAAGGAGACCTGGGAGAACCTCACAGAGCCACTTAGCTGCACTCACCTCAGGCAGAGGCACACCGTTGATAATCAGGTCAGGCTGCTGGGGCCCCTGGCTGTTGAAAGAGTGATGGTAGATGTGGTTAGCACTGGTGTTGCGGGTATTCTGGTTCTCCACATTCAGGAAAGTGCTCTCAGAGCGGCGGCAGCCCAGGGGCAGCGTCTGCTGGTGGTAGTCAAAATAGTTGAGGGAGGAGGTCAGGGAAGAGCAACTGACAACGTTCATCTTGTCTGTCTCCTCCACATCCCGGGGTACCAGGCGGATGTCATTCTTACTGATTTTTTTCTTCTTGCTTGATTTCTTTTGATGCCCATAGGAGTACTCAGCAATTCTATGTGACAGAAAAGGCAGCATGAATCACTAACACCCTCCCAAATCATGCACTGATTAATAAACATTAAGCACCCCAGAGGGTTGCACCCCATCTCCGCTCCAGCTCCTTATTCTGGTGCATTACATCATCGGGTTTCTCCCTGTGCTTTTTACAAGGGAAAACAGGCTGAGGGCCATAAACTTTTCATATTAAACATAGTAACCTCCCACCAACCCCCCCTAAAAAAGTTTCTATACTTTGGATTTGGAATTTTTCATTGTGAGTGGCCTGTGAGCACGGGTGGGGGGACAGGGAAAGTTGAGCCTATGGGAGAGAAAGCATGAAAATGCTCAAATCTGGAGCTTCCCTGGAACCAAAAGGAACTCCTAGGTGAAATACAAAGCAAGTCACCAAAGAGGAGATAGAGGAAAATAAAAAATACCCGCCCCCACCCCCTTGCCAGTTCCTCCAGGCATTTGCCATGTGGCACACGCCCTCAATCAGCTTCCTCTATGACTCACTCGATCAGTTTTGGACTGGGGTAGGAGATCAGACCCCATTCTTTCGCGTCTCCTCCACACCCTCCTCCCTGCCCTAGCCCGGTTCCCTTTTACTCACCCCCCGACCCCCTCCTCTCCTAGAAAAATCTAATAGCCAAACCCATTTAAATGAGGGGAAATGCCTTTTTACCTCTTTCCCCTTAGGCTCACTTTCTCCTCTGTCTTTTTGTCTTGCTCCTCGCTAATGGGAGAAACCGAGATGCAATGCAGACACTTGCTGTTTTGTCCTTTTATAAAACAGCCGAGGAGACAAGTGATGGTTAAACAATTACTGCAAAGGAATTTAAAGGTTAGTGCATTCAGCATCCTTCTCCATTCAGGTGTACCTACAAGCAGCTGTGCTGCAACTGGAACATAAAGAGCTCAATTTAATTAACACTGACACAGACCCAGCAACGTGCACCAAAGACACCAGGCATTAAGAGACTTGTCAAAAGAAATACATTTAAATGTAGCCAGATTCTCAAAGTCATTTATTACTTTGCACATAATGATTCAGTTTCTTTTTTGGAAATTCGATTTCTGGGCAATAATCAGCAAAACAATAGGGTTAATAAGTAATACAGGTTGATCTTTACAAGGGAAAGACTGTGCCTTATTCTCACTCGACAAAGCTAATTGTCTGAATACAAAAAGGGAGCCCAATTCAAGCAGCAATTGCAGATCATCTCGCAAGTCTCATAAATGAATGCATTTCAGGAAGAGGTTCTGCGGAGGCTTAGAAAAAGAAACCTCTGCCTAATCACATGGAAAGACACGCTCCTGAACTTTAGGTTTCTAAAAAGTCTGAGCAGATAGGGAGACTACACATCTACAGAGGCAAATTCTTGCTCTGTCCCCAGGATCTACCTAGAGTTAAGCAATTGAGTTCCCCTCACCCCTTCGCTCTGTGCTCAGGAAGATTTGCAGTGATGGCAAACTGGTACTACTGGGGTTTGGGAGCAGATAAAATCCCCAAAACCCTAGTACTAAGGTTGATTTTCTATTCTAATCTGTTTACAGAATCAATGGGAAATTTTAATCATTTTGTTTACCCAAGATGAGTAACTTTGGCAATGCCCCATCAAATTATTCAGCTGAAGCATTCATTGTGCAGCCCTTTCTGTATTAACCAATTATTTAATTATACTGTACTTCATTAATCCCAAACCATCACAGGAAACAGAACGCTTCACAAAATACACATTTGGGTGAAGTTGGAGAGCACTGAGATTTACTCTTTTTTTTTTTTTTCAATATTCAGATGCTCTCCTCCTGTTTAATCATCTCCTTGGCAAGTTCTCAGAAAGGGCTCTCACTTCTAGTCATACATCACCAAGAGGTGGCAAAGCCTTCAATATCTTTATTTCAAGCTGATTTCTTTTTCATCAAGGAAAGGATCTTATGCATTTACTTTATGCTGAGAAGATGGCTTAAAAAGAGTCCTCTCCATAATTATCTCCATATAAATAAAATTTTATTGACCCCACATTTTTCTCCTATAAAAATCGCCACTAGCAGTCACAGGTTTGAAAGCTAAGAGCAATATTAATTTACATTTCTCCCATCTGAAATGACTTGGTGCTGAAGGAAAGAAAAGTCATGGCCATTTCACTAGTAACAGGATTAAAGCATTTATGAGGCATTGCAGCTGCTCTTTTATGGCACCTGATTGATATTCATGTGTGGTTAGCATTTGTCTACTAACTTGTGTAACGCAGAGAATAGTAAAAGGGAAACAATAATTGCATGGCTGTTACATATTCAGGGGGCTCTGATTCACAGAAGTGTGCATTTCAGACGGTGTCAAATACAAACTGAACCTACAGGAACATATTTTGACTGATTAACATGCAGACACAAATGGCACAAAAGACACACTGATGTGTAGGTGTGTTGAAAGCACACACACACCTTGGTTGTAAATAGCAGCATCATTCATTTTCAGCAAACTAAAGAAACAACTTTTTTCAACTGTTTCGATGAGACACTGCTGGAAAAAAAATGTCATGTATTATCCTAAATTGGATTCTAGGATTCTAGAAATGCTTAGACTTATGTGCTCTATCCAAATGTAAGAAAGGGCTTCAGTAAGACCTTCTAATGTGCTTATCAGGAAATCTTTTTAAAAAATACTGTGTTTCTTCTTTTCTCCCTTTTCCTCCCCCTTCTATCCCTCTCTCTCTCCCTCCCCCCCCCATACACACACAGACACACACACATCCTTCACACACTTCAAGAGAAACTGTAACACAATAGCCCACAGTGACATCCACTGGTAGGAACCAGATCTTAATGCCACAACACAGTCTCACATTAGAGGAAAGCATCATCAACTCTAGAAGATTGCTATTTTTACTGAAACATCTGGATGCAAAGTCTTGTTCCTCATTGGGATGTTTGGTCTCCACACTACCAACCAACCAGATATTTGAAAACATACAGATGCCTGATAGAATTTCACTTTATATAGCCAGATGTTTGGGGACTAGATAAAAAACAAGCCAAGAATAAACTAAAAACCACTAATCACCTGCATCTCCACACACTCCTGTTCTCTCCTCCCCCTCATCTCCCTTTCCCATCTTACACTCCCACTCCCAGTCTCTCTCCAGAGTTCATCACTGCAACAAGACAGGGTAGCTGCCAACACTCCCTCTCCTTTCATTCAGTACCTGTCCCAAAAACACTGTGCCCCAGACACCAAGTTGTGGTAGTTGGTGGTTTTCCTAAAAATATGATCTCTCTCTCTCTCCCCCTCCCTCTCTCTCTCTCTGTTTTTCCTACCATAACTTCATGGAGACAGCTATGCAAATTTTAAAATGATAATTGCGTTTCTGCTCACCATCATTATGTGACAGAATCCATTCAAACACTAAATGATTGTCTTCCAGCAAATTGTCAGATCAAAAGAATTGATCAACTTGGACTGTCACAAACTTTTCACCCTACAAAAAGAAGCACTGCAAGTATGCTGCATGCATTTAAGTAGGAAACAAAAGCACCAGGATTTTCACACAGAGACACAGATAAACACACCTTATTCATCCAAGACAAAGAAAGAAAACTTGGCTTTACCTGCAGTTGTAGGTCCGGATCTCTTTGTTGTCTCGCTTGCACTTGATTGCCACGAAGATCATAGTTACAAAGAGGATGCCCGCAATGGAGCCCAGGGCAATAATGAAAATCAAGGACAAGTTCACAGAGCCCATTGACTCTTGGGCATCGAGAGCAGGGGACAAGTAGATTAGGACGAGAGCAGAGGCAGAGAGAGATGTCTTGCCGTGGTCGTGAGCCACCACGATAAGCTCATAGGAGGACTTGGAGCTCTCCCCGAAGGTGCGGGTGGTTCTGACTTCGCCATTGACCTGGTCTATTTCAAAGAAGCCGCGGTCGCCCTCGGTCATGTCGTAGGTGACTCGGCCATTTTCGCCCTCATCGTAGTCTTCTGCCTTGACAACAGTCACCAGGTAGCCTATGCCAGAGTTGCGGGGTATGTAGACCTCGGCAGTGCCGTTAATCAGAGGTGGGGCTGTGATGACCGGGGTGTTGTCGTTGACGTCGAGGATGATGACCCGCACCGTAGCGTTGCTTTGCAGTGAGGGAAGGCCGCCGTCCTTGGCCAGCACCTTGAATTCGAACGCCTTGGTCTGCTCGTGGTTAAAGGATCGCAGCGCGTAGATGTCGCCTGAGTTGGGATTGATGGAGACATAGGTGAAGACAGGCATGTCCCGCACCTGCGACGGCACGATCTGGTAGGAGACACTGCCGTTGAGACCCAGGTCGGGGTCGCGAGCAGACACAGAGAGCAGATAGGCGCCAGGCGTGTTGTTCTCCTGCACAATGACCTGGTAGTAGGGCTTGGAAAAGTGCGGGTGGTTGTCATTTTCGTCAGTGATGAGCACGGTAAAGGACTTGGCACTCTGCAGCATGGGCACGCCGCCGTCGCGTGCCTGAATTGTGAGGTTGTATTGGTCGTGCTGCTCGCGGTCCAGCCGTCCGTCCACCAGAATAGTGGAGAAGCTCTCATATTCCTGCAGTCGAAAGGGCACATTGCCCAGCAAACGGCACTGCACACGTCCATTGAGGCCTGAGTCGCGATCAGACACCCGCACCAAGGCGATCACGTAGCCCGGGGGGGCGCTCTCGCTGACCTCCACAAGCTCACTGTTGACTGACAGCAGGTTGATGACCGGCGGATTGTCATTGGTGTCCAGCACGCTGACGGTGACCTTGCAGTGTGCCGGGATGGAATTGGGCCCCAAGTCCTTAGCCTGCACGTCCAGTTCGTACACGTGCCCCTCTTCGTAGTCTAAAGCGCCAGTGACAGTGACCAGGCCACTGTGCGGGTCGATCTGAAAGAGCTCGCGCGTGCGGTCGTTGACGTAGCCATAGAAGGAGTAGACCACCTGGCCGTTGGTGCCCTCGTCTGGATCGCTGGCGTTGAGGCGGATGACGGGTGTGTTGGGAGGCGAGTTTTCTGGCACGCTCACCGCGTAGGTGGACTCGCTAAACACCGGGTTGTTGTCATTGGAGTCGGTCACCTTGATACTAAGGCCAACGGTGCCCAGGCGCGGCGGGTCGCCACCGTCTAGCGCAGTGATTCGGAAGCTGTAGTGCGACTGCGTCTCGCGGTCCAGGCTCTTTTCCACCACGAGTTCGGCAAAGCGGGAGCCGTCGCCGCGCGTCTTGATCTCCAGGCCGAACAGCTCGTTGGGCGTGAGCTCGTAAGTCTGCACGCCAAAGCTTCCTGAGTCTGGATCGTAAGCGCTGTCCAGCGGGATGCGCGTGCCAGGGCTGGCTGCCTCCGAGATCTCCAGCTCGATCTGTGCTGCCGGGAAACTGGGCGCATTGTCGTTCAGGTCCTTGATCTCCACCTTTATCACGCAGATTTCCATTGAGCTGGACATGACCTCGAGCGAGATGATGCACTTGGGGCTCTGGCGGCACAGCAGATCACGGTCAATCTTCTGCTTGGTGACCAGCAGGCCAGAGCTGGGATTGATGTCCACTAGGTGTGGAGCCGAGTTGGACACCACGCGAAAGGCTGAAGCCTGCCGGGGGTCCAGCGCGAAGCCCGCCTCTCGCGCGTCTTTGGCCACGTTGGCAATCACCGTCCCGGCGCGCTGCTCCTCTTCTACCGAGTACTTGAGATTAATGAGGGCGGCAGCCTGCGTCCACAGTATGGCCAGCAGCAGCAGCACCGGCAGCAGGAGCGACTCCATGGCTGCACGGGGCTCTGCCTGGCCTCGCCTCTCCACACCCCTCCGAGACCGACGCCGTCGGCGCTCCAGCTTCCCGCCGGCTCGGGCCGCCTGTTGCGCGCGCCCCGTGGCCCCGGAGGCCGCGGGAGAAGTCCCGCCCAGGGCGGCCCGGCGGCGCGCGGGGGACACCCGCGGCGGCTCCAATGCTGAGGTTGCGGCGGACGCGGCGGGGGCTCGCGGGGGCCCCGGGGGCTCCGAGGGGCCAAGGGAGCGCCGCGCGGCCCCGAGCCCCCTCCCTCCAGCCCGGCTACTCAGTTTTACCCCTTCAAAGTTAGCCGGGCGCGACTGTCGGCAGCCGCCCAGGGCTGCGGGTCGGGCGGCGTCTGCGCGGCCTGGAGGACGCACCGCTGAGTCCGGACAGTACTTGAGGCGAAGGTAAAGAGGGCGGAGGAGGCGCAGCCTTTCAGGCACTGCCCGGCCCGCCGCGGTGCACCGGCACTGAGGCTGGCGAACTCGCTGTCTGTGCACCTGGCATGCGCAAAGACCTCCCCCCAGCGCTCCCAGTTCACTGCGGAGAGAGTACCCGCTTGGAATGCGCCCTCCGGGGTCTGGGGGGGCCACACTGGCCTCTTCGAGGCCTGTTCGGGAGAAAGGGGGTGTCGCAGACGGGAGTCAGTTACTGGCAAGCGCCGCGGGCACCCGGTTATAGGGTTGAGTCGGATGGCGGTCCCGGGGCCAGCAGAGGAAGGGGGAGGGGAGAGAGGCTGCCAGAGCTTGAGCGCGCTCCCTCGCGCTAAGGCTGGCTTCGAAGGGCTTGGGGGCGCGTCTGTCCAGGATCCGAGGTGGGAGCGGAGTTCCCCCCACAGAGCAGTTGAGGGTCTGCGGGCGTTTTCGTCTAGGAAATCAAAGTTAACAACGCAGTCCGACCCTCCACGTCAAGTTTGTGGAAACGGGGAGATGGCAATTTGTCCAAGAAAATCAAAGCCCCGGTCTTTCTAATGGCCGGGGGTGGCGGGGAATGGGGAAGAGGGAAGGGGAGGCAACAACAGTACCGGCCAGGAGAGGCGGGGCCGCCGCCGTGGGTACCGGGTGCTTCTCTTCTCTCCGTTTGGGCTGGGGTGTCGCTCCAAGGTCCGCCGCCGCCGCCGCCGCCGCCGCCGCCGCGGGAGGAAGCCCTCCTAGCTCAGTTGCACGTCGCTGGGGTCCGCCTCAGCAGCTGCCACAGTCGACGATTTTGTCGCCGCCGAAGTTTACTTGCAGGAGCGTCTTGATTTCATCTTCCCGGAGAGGCGCTGGCCGCGCTGCGTTGGGCTCCCTTCCTCCCGGGCGCTCGCGCACTCGGGAGGTCTGTCTCGCTTTCTCTGTCTGTCTCGGGCTGTGTGTGAATGTGTGAGAGAGAGAGGAAGAGTGAGTGTGTGGTGTGGGGAGTGTGAGTGTGGAGTATGAGCAAGCAGGAGGCAATGGGTTTGGGGTAGGAGGTTTAGGATTTCGGATGAAATCGCTCAGCCGGAATGCTGCGGAGCGCAACGCGCCAAGGGCCAGCGCCGGGCTAGGGACGCGGGTGCCAGTGCCTCCCGGGCAAGCCAGGCATGGTGCACGGGAGCTGTGCTGCCGTCTGTGCCCGCTCGTCCGTCTCCGCGCTGCGCCAGCCGCCGCCGCTACTGCTGCTGCTGCTCCTCCGGATGCCGCAAACTACTGGCCGCGGAGTCTGGAGAAAGCCGGAGAAAGCTCAAGCTGCCGAGCCCGGCTACGCCAGGCCCTGGCCAATCAGCGCGCCGCCAGCGGGCTCCAGTCTTGGGGCGGGGCCAAGCGGAGGCGGGGGGTAGCGGGGGGGCGGGGCCAAGCGGAAACTTCACACCGGCGGGACCAAGTGGTACCCCGGCCCATGGAGCCCTGGCGGGATTCATGGGAGGACGGACAGACAGGCCAGGCAGGCCAGGCAGGAGCAATAGGGCAGGAATGAGCAGGGAGGCGGTGTGCTGGCGCTGCGGCTGAGCCTCGCCGGGAACTGTGCGCTTCTCATGTTTGCAGAGATTTCAGGAAAGATGAGGATGATATGATTGTCTTATCGTGTTTACCTCCCTTACATATCTTCATATCTTGAATATAATATATACATATATATACACATATATATATATATACACACATATATATATCCCTCTATTTCTCCTTGTCTCTTCACCCTAAAAAATCGTCTGTTTTTGTTTTCCTCTCTTCTCATTCTCTGGTAGTGGAAGGAAGAAAGGGAAGGAGAAAGCGCCCCTGAGGTGGTCATTCATCCAGCTCTTAGCCGGTGTGTCTTCACATCAGGCCAGAGCCACGGCCGCCACCCCCCCGGACCGTCACCCCCATCCTTCCACCCCGGGCAGACGCCGCACTACTCTCTGCGTGCCGCACTCCCAGCAGGGCCCCTGGATCGGTTCGCTCTTGTCTGTTGCTTGTTAATCAAATGGGATATGTGGCACAGAGAATGAGCTACGGAGGGGGCCGGACACATTTCATTGCCCCTCACCCCACCCTGTTGGAGAATTTAGCTCCCTATAAATAAACTGTACGTTTGAGAAGAGCCGGTGGAGCGGACGCCGCCGCGCCGCGCCAAGCCAGCAGAGCTCAAAGCCGGGCAGGAGCTCTGGGGCGGGCACGCCATACATGTCCGCTTAGGTCGCCGACAGCTGGGAGCCGGCGCCGATGTGCAGGGCGCCCCAGCCTTCCCGCGGGGTCTCGGTCCCAGGGGGCTGCCAGCTCCACTTGGGCGGCGGTGGTGGCTGCGGCATGTGCCAGTACTGGGAAGCGGGAGGCCGGCGTGGCCAGGGCTGACATCAAGCTCATCCTGCCTTCTGCACTGAAGGCTCCCTGGGGGCAGCGGGGCATTCCTCCCCACCCGGGCTCTGAGGCTTTTAATTAAGGTCGCCAGCGGCAAAAAAATCAAAAACGTGCCCGTTAAACAAGTTTTTTTTTCTCTTAGAATGTGGGGAAGCTGCTTCTGAATTCACAATTCTTGGAAGAGTAAAAATGTCTTCTGAGTGAGTCGTCTCGGATATTTGGGAGTGGGATAAGCAGACTCATAATTAGCCCAGCGACATTGGCTCGAGCCTGTGGGCTTCACATGAGCGTCATTTTTGCCCTCTAAAAAGCGTTAAACAAGAAAAGGAAACCGGCATTTGGACACATAATGGGTTTTCTCAAAACTGCCATCTTCTTGTGGAGAGCAACCCAGCTGCTTTTTAAAATATTTTTCCTTCCAAGAAGAGCTACTTTAGCAGCCTTTACCTTGGCGGTGGGAGAGGGGAAAGGCGGCTTCCTCTTACAGAAAGAAATTATTTCGCGAGTGAGATTGCGATCCCCTGAATATGTAGCCGAGGCCAAAGGGAGAGCGTAGGGAGCCTGATCCGCTTTCCGCGTGGGGGTCGTTTCACTGTTTCACGTTAGGATGTGATTCGGCCCAGAACAACAGGGAGAAAACCGATGCTTCTGCAATGAGTATCATTTAATTTTGGTCATTTAGAGCTGCGGGTGGACACCAGAGTGGTGGCTCAAGGGAGCCCGGTGGCCCGACCGGTTTTCTCCAGACACCGTTGGAGAAATGGGCAAGTAGTAGAGAATGACAACATGGCAGGCAGCGGTGGGCGCACCTCGCGGGCTCCGCGAAAGGAAGGGTTCCATTTGATTTATCACAGTTATTTACCTTTGATGTCAGAGCATGGGAATGAAGTGCATCTTGGTCTAATTAAAAAGGCCTAAAAAGGCATTTGAAATGGGTTTGCTATCTGATCACGGGATGTGAATTCGGCGTTTGGCAGCTTTCTAAAATATTGCTTGGACTATTTAAACAGAACAATTAGCAGCATGCTAAAATGTTTGCATGCTATGCTTAGAAGCTTTTAGCTGTAAACTTTAAGGCGATCTGTTCCCCCTTTAAGTTAAAAAAGGATGATGCTGCTTCCTTGTGGCGAAGGCTGTCAGGAACCCACTGATCAATAAAAGTAAACTGGCGCCTCCACGGCTTGATTGAGCGGGAGCAAAGAGTCTGAGAAGTAGTCTCGGCCATTAACAATCCCCCAGGTAACGAGAAATGGAAGAATTACTCAGGTAAAATGATTAACATTGTCGTAGCATCTGAAAAGATGCACACAACAAGATAAGAAGACTGCAGACCTCTTACCTTAGGGAGTGCTAATAGAATGTCTATATTCTGCTGTCTTTTAAAGATAAATAGGAGAATTCAATTCATGTACAATGTCATTACCTTCATAATTGCAATCACAATGTAAAGACATGTTCTGCATTTGCAAAGACAAACCCTCTTTGCTAAGGCGATGCCACCGTGTTCCCTGCTTCCTGCTCGCTGTTCACACTCCAGGCACCCCTCTTTTCCAAGGAGAGCATCCAAGTACTTCCAGCTACCAAACCACTTTTACACAAGCCAGGTGCTAAGGGAGGCAGGGGCGTGTGCCTATGCTTTCCTTCTTTCCTATTATCTCCTCCCCACCCCTAATCTCAAAGTGACAGTTACACAGCCTTCCCCATCCCCACACACAAAATAGCTCTTCCATCCCCCAGTCTATTTCTACAGATAATCCTAACAACAGCCTTTGCCCTCAGAATTTCTTTTTTTCTAATAGGCACACTCGATCATTATACTCCAAGAATGCCATTGACTAAATGAGTAGCCCAAAACACTTTCATGATCAGGAATTTATTAACTAACTGAATAAAATCGTTCTGCATGTAGATAATAAAAACAAGAAAGTTCTCTCCGTTTTAGCTTCCCTTTACTTCAATCCTGAAGGGAGCCCCGCCTCCTCAGCCTCTTTAGAGACACAAGAGGGACATCTAGTGACCATCCTCAGTATTTTTTAATCCAACAGCTACTAAGAAATACTAATACTAATGGTGCTATGCCGCCTACGGCTGCTCTCCAGGTCAAAGCAGCTCCACTGAGGCCAGAATCAAAATTGGCAAAGAGAATTTTTTTTGTCTTTAAAATGTCATCCATGCCACTAAAATCATGCTGAATGGCAATAAAAGAGGACCAAAATGGGAGAAATCTTACTTTTAGATCAAACCAGTATGTGAAGCTAATTCTTGTTCTCCTAAGATTGATAAGGGTATGGTGAAAGGTTTTGTCCAGAAAGGTGAAAAGTAATGGTAGGAACCAAGATACCAGTATATGAGGGACTGTAACTCTGACAAGTTTAAGGAAGCTTTCTGAGATGTGTTTGTTTTGTTCTGTTGTTTTAGAGACAAGGTGTCATTCTGTCGCCCAGGCTAGAGTGCAATGCTGCAGACATGGCTCACTGTAACCTCAAACTCCAGGGCTCAAGCAATCCTACCACCTCAGCCTCCTGAGTAGCTAGGATTATACAGGTGTGCACTGTCACACCTGGCTCATTCTTTTCATTTTATTTTTTGTAGAAATGGGGTATCTCTCTGTTGTCCAGGCTGGTCTCAAACTGGCCTCAAGCAATCCTTCTCCCCTGGCCTCCCAAAGTGCTAAGATTACAGGCATAAGCTACTGTGCCCTAGCCTGAGATATGTTTTTTTTTTTTTAATGTTTGCTTTAAGCTCAAAAGAGATTAGCCTTCAAATAACTCCAGTCTCTCTCTTTCTCTCCTCCTCCTCCTCCTTCCTTTTGCCCCCTTCTCTTTGCCCTGGCTGCAGAAAAGTGGGTCATCTTCTAGCTTGGCTTTCACTGCATATCATGGGGATCCCATTCCACCCAACTAGTTTGACCAGCTGCCTGATGAGGTTCTCTTAGAAAGAAAAAATTGATTTTAAAATTAGCAAATTCAATCAAACTTCTTCTGACTGCATATCTGATCTCCTTACTTAGGTTACAATGCCTAGAGAAGAGAACATCAAAGAATGAAAATGGAGGAAATGGGAAAAAAACTATAAAGTGTCATTATTAAAGTCATCATCTTATTTAATTTTTACAATATCCCTGGGAGATAAAGACACTTTGCAGATGTGGAAACAGTTGCAGAGCAGTTCAACGATTTTCCAAGACGACCTCATTACACAAAACTCAACCACTTCCCTCGTGAGATCAACAAGTGTTGGCTTTTTGTCCAGCATTGTGTTAAGGATTGAGAATTTTTTTTAGTGGACCTTGCCCTTATGTAGTTTAACATGCAGTTGATTAATTTAATAACAGCATGTATGTCTATGTACTATAAATTTTCCTAGAGGAGAAACTAGGATGAGATATATTATGTCGACAGCTTCCTAAAATTCTGTTCTCTTCTGCCCACAATGATTGCCCGATTTCTAGATAGTCCTTCCCTCCCTTCCTGCCTCCCCCGCCACTGTCCCAGACAGTATAAGGAAAGGCATCAACAGCAGCAATCAGGGATGTGGACCTGCTGGGCAGGGGTGGGGTTATCCTGGATGCTGTTTCTAACCCTTCTGGAACACCAAGAAGACTAGGACAGAGGCCAAGAAAAACCTTTGAGGTCCCTCACACTTTTCCCTCTCTTCCTCTCAAACTCCACCCCTTTTCCTACCCTGTGACAGAGGATAACATTAACAGCAGGGAGCTGTAGCAGATAAACAAAGTAGAGAAAGTGTTTCTTAAGTGCTAAAATTGTTCACCATGGCCCCGATGCCTGCCTTTTCCAAGAAACACAAGAGATGTGCGGGACAGTGGAGAAAAAGAGACTGAGAAAGTTATTAATCACTTCATGTCTTCCCATTTTGACAAGGCCAGCATCCTTGAACAAGCTATGTCCAAACTTCCTCCATGCCTTATCCCCTCCCTTTAGGAATGGCACTTCCCACAGGACCAAACCCCTGCTGCTGCCAAACTCGTAACTGTCCCTAAATAAGCACACGTCATGGGGACTATTTAATTAGCAAAGGCTAAATCAGCAGATACATTTCAATAAATGACACTGCTCTCTAACACCTTTTGTACTGCCCTGCAGTGATCACCTGTGATGTTTTGACAGCACCATTTGGGCTCTCAGCATTATTGCCTCAATCTTTTCATGTGAATTTTCTCCAAGTGGACCCCAAATGCTGGTTTCCTAGGTGCAACCTCATGTCAGCTGTTACTCCCCACATCACCACTTTTGAAAACAGAAAGCTCTCCCTTCAAAGGCACTCTGATTAAATCATGGCCAGCCTTCCCACTGCTGACTCCCTCATCCCAAGGAGGAGGGTAAGGGTGACATTCCACAGCTCCCCAGAGGAAATGCTTTTTTGACAGCTTGAAAAAAAAAAAAACTATCACCAAATTGGAGACCTCAAAAACCACCGAAATATGAACCACAACGATACAAAGAATACGTAATTGAAAGTGAGCAGACTTTCACTTGGGATGCACTGTTTTAGGCCAAGGCCAAGCCTTTTTGTGTGTGTGTGTGTGTGTGTGTGTGTTGCTGTCCCCAGCCTCTAACACTGCAACCTAGTAGGTAGATCCCAGGCACCTTATACCTTGTGTAATTTCCTCAGACTGGAGCTCCTGATTAGGGCTTGGCTTTTGATTCCCACCCTAGGCTTCTATCACAGTCTCTTCTGCTATTTCTGAAGCAGTACAAGTGGGGCAAGAAAGGAAGCAGAACTATCACTGAAAGGAATGGTTGAGGCTGAAAGAGCCCTGGCCGAAATATCAGCCTTATAGGATATGCCCTGAAGATCAGCTTTCCAAATTAAAAAATAAAAATAAATATCTGTCTGGTTGCTTGATCTTACAGGAGGCTGAGTTCTTTCTGGAGATACCCACAAGATTGGAGAAAACAAACCAGATCTTTCAAGACCTTGAGATATACGGTACTGGAGCTGAGGTGAGTTTGTGAACTCCACACTACAGTACCCTGTTGCATTAAGTTCAAATGAACAATAATAGCCAGAAGAAGAATACAAAAGTCAGTCTGATGAGCCAGTTTCCTGGGCTTCTCTTGGTATCTTGGGCAAAAGATGATCTCTGTGAGGCACCAAATCTATTGTATACTCTTTAGTTCTAAGTGACCAGGCTGGGCCTAGATTTGCTCTTGGTTCCTCCCAAGTTTCTCCTAGAACTCAGGAGAGGCCTAGCATAGCTCCTGGGAGTTCCAGCTGCTCCACCAACTGATTTTTCACTGAACTAGGAAACTTGCTACTTGGCTAATGTCAGCTTAAAAGGGAAAGAAGAAAACTAATAAACATAAAGAACTGCCAGTTTGACAGCTGCAGTTACATTACCTGGGCTAGCAATAAAAGTACCAAAGGCATGTCACGTATGCCACTAACAGCACAAGGCACAGTATCTGTTCAGGTTGACAAGCCCTGGGGCAGTGGAGAGTAAACTGAAAGAAGGAGATCCCAGAAGGAGGCAGAGAGAGCACCACAAAGGGGACAGATAGAGCAGAAGTGACAGAAAAATCATTTTAGCAGCATGGAAGTTATGTACCTTTTTTCGAATGAGAAGAAAACAATGACTTGCCAGCTGGGAAAACATCCTGTTTTGGGGTCCAAGAGTTTGCATATTGGTGCACTGGATTTGGGGGAAAGCCTATTAATTTGTGTCTGTTGTCTCCGGGCTGAAGCCAGAATGGCCATAGAGGACCAATGACCTTTCTTCCAAAAGCTGGGAGTTGAGAGGGTTAGGGAGAGTGTCCTGTGTCACAGGAGATACCAGCTGGGCTGAGCTTGGCTGATCTCTTTTAGCAAAGATCACAAAATGCAGTGACATCAGTAGCAGGCCATATCCACCCAGAGACAGCAACCTAGGCAGCAGTGATCAAATTAAGTCTTGTACCTACTGATGGGTTAGTAAGAAAACTAATAGTCATAGAGGACAGTGAGGCCAGTTTGAGGCCTGTGCAGCTCTGCGTGTTCTCTGCCCGGGGAAATGGTGGAACTTGAGAAAGCCTCGCTGTCTGGCTGTGCAGTTTCATTTGGGAGAACAGGCAATCAGTTCTGGAAGCCTGACTGAAGAGAGTGGACAGAATGATAGCTCAAAATGAGATCCATCAATGACTTTGTTGCAGCCCCAGCCAAACAATCAAAAGCAAATAGTCAGCTTCTAAAATCAATGCTTCATGAGATGATGAGCCAGTGGAGTTCACGTGGGGGTGGGGTGGGAAGGAGGTTATGGAGGGAGGATAGAAAAATTCCCTCTTTCAAGCCACCCACCAAAGCAAGCAGCTGCATTTCCTTGAAACAGCAGATTTGGTTCCTAGCAAAATCAGAACTGCAGTCTCCTAGCAGAGCAAAACAAAGGAGCAGGGGGCGAGACAATTTTGAAAACAGGAAGGCGTTTTGGCAACAATCACAGAAGGGCTGGTAAGCCATTGTGCTCTTGGGATCCATCTGCTGAGCTCCAGAACATCCTCCCCCCACTCCACCCCCATTCAGAGCTCAGATTGCATGCTTAGGGTCAAGAACAGGGTCATTCAGGAAGAAACGGTAAAGTGGAAAAGACAGACTCAGCCTCAAGATGTGAAGCAAGAAAAGCCAGGCCTGATTTCTTCCATCCATGGAGGATGCAGTGAAAGACACAGGCAAGCCCTTCTCATTCTTGGTGCCGTTGCAGGGGAGCAAAAGTTGGCTTGATTAAATTAATGGAAAACACATTTAAAATCAGCCTAGAATTTCCTGCTGTTAGAGACCTTTGAGAGAAGAATAGTGACTGCATCTTTAAGGACCCGAATAATTTTTTAGCTATTAATAATGTTGTTAGTCATGCAATATAAGTGAACGCTAGCAAGGTAATCAAATTGCTTGCTCTATAGCAGAGATCAGGGTAATCTGGAAAAAGAAATAGAAAGTTTTTCTTCAATGCAATGTATATGAAGACATCTTCCCCAGACCTCTATTCCTAATGTAGAGAGGATAGGAAGTCATATAGTTATTTGTAATAGAACAACAAACTTGATCTCATAGTCTGTGAAACCACCATATTAAAACCCCAGCAGCAGTAATCACCTGCAAGTGTTAAAAGAGAATTCACAACACTTAATTTCATATCTTTTATTGTACATTTCAAGAGATTCATGCATGGGCCTCCCTTTCTTTATAACTCGGGGCTCTGAATATTACTTAGTGGACCATTAACCTGTTCTAATATAGCATTAGATTTTTTTAGCCAAGGAGAGTAAAATAAAGATGCTTAATTTAGTTCCCTTTTCCCTGAGAAATAAATAGCTGTCACACATCCAGAAGAGCAGGGTTCATGAACTGCTTTGGAACATGGAGATCAATGAAATCTGATCCTCTCTTGAGAAAAGGAGCTCCACGTAGAGTTTAACCAAAGATTTCCTACCATAGGCAGTCCCTGATCATCAGGAAGCCTTTGAAGACCCTCCTAGGTTTCCTGTTCAGTCTTGTTTGATCTCCAGTGAACATTAAAATGATTGTAAAGCAGTTTTATAAATGTAAATTATTCCATAAATGCAAAATAATTATGTCCAGCCTAAGCAACTGATTTCTGGTTTCTGGAAGTTCCCATGGATCCGTCTAAAATAGACAGTAGACATAACAGGATAATTCAACCTCTGAAGCAGATTTATTTCTAAGGATGGTGGTTATGATGATGACTATCTATTTCTTCTTTGTTCTTTCAATTTCTTATTCCAGTAACTAATATTTGCACATAAAAGGACTGTCATGTTTTGATACATCTTTATGTAATATAGATCTCTTGTAATTATTCATGAACCTAACTTCAGTTTTTGTCTCCATTTTAAGCCAACAGGAAATATTAATTGCTTTCTCAGAAAATATTAATTGATTGCCTACACTTGATGCATAAGACTGAGAATGCATAATAGTGTGAAGCATGTATTGTGCCCTCCAATTGCTTACAGTCTAGCTGTGGATATCATAAAAGGAGAACTAAAAATACAAGGATGTATTTTTCAGGTGTCGGAACAGCAGTGCTCAATGTTGGTATAACCCAAGTTACAAAGGGGTGACTGATGACCTAGAAGCTGTGGGAGGCCTTTCAGGTGAGGGAAAGGGTGTTTGCAAAGGCATATAAGCTTCAGTAAGGTGTGTTAGGAAAACAATGAAGAGTGCAATTTGGCTCAAGCACTTACTCCACAAACACGATTGAAGTGCTTTGTTGTAGTTATTAAGGGCACAGGCTCTGGGGCTAAATGGATCTGAGTTGAAGTCCTGGTTTTACCATTTCCCTAGTTGACTGACTTTGAGAAAATATTATAATGTCTGTTTTATAAAGTTGTGGTATAACATGAGATGATGCCTGCAAAGGGAAATGGTACCTATAAAGTACTTCATGTTTTACATGCCTAGCACAGAATAAAGAACTCAATAATTTTTAGTTGTTACATTTTCTGAACACCACAAAGTGCCAGATACAATTCAAGGTGCCAGTCTGCTACTAAAGAAGAGAAATCCTGTGCCCTCAAGGATCTCGTGGAAGGATTATAGAGTAGAATAATGGGAGTTGAGATTAGAGAGGTAGGTAGAGGCTATTGTGTAGAGCCTTGATTGCTAGATTGAAGGATTAGAACCTTATTAAGGTCAGGGAAGTCATCCAAGGCTTTTGTAATAGGGAATAACTAATGTCATTTTTATGATTTGTGATTTTTTAAATTTCAAAATAATGTCAGGTTGGCTTCTTCAACCTTCCTCCACTTTGCCCACATTTTAGGTTACGTCACTAATTCTTACACAAGTCAAATTCCAGTACAGCATTTACCAAAGCAATATAACTAGAGTGAGCTCAGAAGCAAGGGCTGCTAAAAATGGGTAGGAACACTGAGATGGGGCTATTGTAAGTAGAGGAGGCTGGTATCAGCAATAGCAGCTGGGTGTCCAAGGCATTGTGTTCAAGGAATTCATCAAGTCCCAAAATGCTGCATGGAAGCAGAAGATAGGATATGTCAACAGAAAATTTCAGTCAACAAGCACAGGTGGAGTCTTTGCTGGTTCTAGGACATCTGGCCATCTGTGACAGAGGGTGCAGTGGCAAGATTTATGACTTGGAGGCTACACAAACACCCAGGGTTCATCTCTAACACACTTCATGCTAGGGTAAGGGATCTTTACAGTATACACAACACTTCAATTTTTTTTTTTTTTTTTTTTTGCCTCAGCCTCCTGAGTAGCTGGGATTACAGGTACCCGCCACCATGCCCTGCTAATTTTTTTGTATTTTTAGTAGAGACAGGGTTTCACCATGTTAGCCAGGATGGTCTCAATCGCCTGACCTTGTGATCTGCTGGACTCAGCCTCCCAAAGTGCTGGGATTACAGGCGTGAGCCACCGTGCCCGGCCAACACTTCAATTATTTAACATGTTTCTACCTTTATAATTTTGGTACCCTAGTCTACATCATCAATAGCTTGGATGATTGACAGGATTTGGGTCCAAGCCTAGGGGTAGGTCCCATTAGTAGATCTAGCTGTCAATAGCTGGAGAAAGCAAAGGCACTGGTGAAAAAGAAGGGCTGACATGGAAAACTGTTTGGAATGTGTTGCCCTGGCATTTTGTTTATAGCAAATATTCCTTAAAACAAAATGCTTCATTGATTTGTATCTAGGAGTCTTTTTGTTATAAAGAGATTTTATGGCAATGGGAGCTTGGGGTAATGAGATTTATAATATTTGAGTTGTTTAGGGAAATTTTCTTAAATTATCATTCATTCACTTGGCAAGTATTTATTGAGTTCTTGCTGTGAGCTAAGCACTGTGCTAGGCACTGGGGAAAGAAGAATGAACAAGACGACCATGGTTTCTGCCCTCATGCAACTTTCAGAACAGTGAAAGAGACAAAAAAAAAAAAACCAGAAAAACTGACACCTACAACAATTTCAATTCATAATAAATGACATGAAAGACACAACACAGGCTCAAATTATAATGATAATGGTGATAGGCACTGTTCTGAGTGCTTTATGCACCATCACGAATCCTCATGATAACCCTTTGAAGTACATACTATTATTACGCCTGTTTTAGAGGTGAGGAAACTGAAATGTAGAGAGGTGAAAGTAACTTGCCTTGGGTAACATAGCTAGTGGTGGACAGAACCAGGGAAGTAATGCCTGGCTCTGGAGCATGTTTTCTTAACCACTATACCAAAAAAAAAGAGGTTGGAGCAACCAACTTTACAGCACATAGTCAAGGAAGGCCTCTCTGAGAATGTCACATTTAATATGAAACGTAAAGACCATCTAAGGCAGTCTACATTGATAAGAATTCACTAAATGCCAATATATAGCCTGTCAAATAAACCTAATTTTCTTCAAGATATTTCCTGGAGATTAGACCAAGAAGGTTTTGGTAAAAGCAATAAGTGCTTTTCCAAAAGGTTACACAGTGTAAGGAAAAGACAGTGTAAGGAGAGCAGAGGTTAGTATCAGACTTAGTGCTAGAAATGAAAATGATTAATTCTGAGAACTCTGACAGTATAACTGTAAAACTATGTATTGCAATGATTTGCATTTTCTTGGGAACTGAATGTCTTGGAACAGAACTCTCCTGTGTATTCCTACAATTTCTACTTCTGTCAGATCTTATGACTGCACAAGAGGTGTGGTGTGTTCCACGCTTGTAACTTACCTCTCTTTAGGTCTTTCCTTGGCATAATGAAAATTAAATGTGTGTCTCAGAGCAGCCAGATGACCAACACTACCAACTAACCTCTTTCATGTGAACACAAAGCAAGCCTGACTTTAAAAGTGAATTCAGCAAATGATAGCTCTCTTGGTGCTCTCCACACACTTGTTTTAGGCCTGACACATGGACCAATTACAAAGTTCAGAAGGCCGTACATGGTTTGAATGTATGCATCCCTCCAAAATTCATATGCTAGAACTTAAATTCCAATGTGAGAGTATTAAGAAGTGGAGCCTTTAGGAGGGGGTGATTAAGTCATGAGAGAAGAACCCTCATAAATGGTATTAGCAACCTTATAAAAGGCTGGAGGGAATTAGCTAGTTCTTTTTTCCTTTAGCATCCCTTCTACCATGTGAATACACAGCATTCTTCCCCTCCAGAGAACACAGCAACAAGGTACCATCTTGGAAGCAGAGAGCAGCCCTCACTGCTTCACAGACACTGAACCTACCAGCACCTTGATCTTGGACTTCCCAGCCCCCAGAACTGTGAGAAATAAATTTCTATTATTTATAAATTACCCAATCTGTGATATTTTGTTATAACAGTGAGACAGGAGAGTTCTCTTGACCCCTTCACAGGAATTGCAACAGGGGTGTGACTCGTTTACTCAGCCTCCAAGCTCAAACCCCTTGCAGGAGGGGGAGCATGTAGGTGAGCAGGTGCAGGAGCCAGGGTGAGTGCCTTTGGGTGACAACCAGCCTGCAGCAGTGTCTAGAGGTTGCACACAACCACTGGAGCCCCAGAGGGTGTGAGTTACAAACAATGCTATTTTAGCTTTGCCATCTGTGGACAGCTTAAGTGTTAAACAGCTCAGGTGTAAGGTGTAAGTGTGGTGCATGTGGAGGATTTTATTGAGTGATAGAGGTCTCTCAGTGGGGTGGGGAGCTAGAAAGGGAATGGAGTGGGAAGCTCCTCTCTGACTGTCCCTGGCCAAACTCCTCTTGACGTTCAGATGCTTCTTTTCTCTCCTTCTCTGCCATGCCACTCTGCTCCTCTGCCAGTGGAGCTTGGGGTTTTTATGGGTACAGGGTTGGGGGACCTGGTGGGCCAAAAGGCAACATTCAGGCAGAAAAACAGGGATGTGAAGTTCTCATTTAGGGCAGTGGGCCCAGGCTTGAGGGTGAAACCCTTGCCAGGGGCCCTGCCCTTTTCTACCTGGTATTTGAACAGACTAAGATAAAAACTTACCCATCTTACACTAGGTTTCACTTATCTATAAAAAGGTAATCCCAGACAGGCATGGTGACTCATGCCTGTAATCCCAGGACTTGGGGAGGCCAAGGTGAGAGGATTGCTTGAGCCCGGGAGTTTAAGACCAGCCTGTGCAGCAAAGTGAGACCTTGTCTCTACTAAAAATAAAAATAAATAAATAAAAATAAAAAGGTAATTCCTACTCTCTCCTTTAGCACAAAGATCGTAGCAGATCAAGCAGCGAAGTTCACCTTTGTCTTCTGCCAAGACTCACAATTCAAGTCTGCCATGAAAATAATCTGTGGTTGTCCCAAACCAGGAACTAGCAGTGCAGATGAAACCAAGGAGATAAATAGCAAGGTTCTCAGCACAGGTTGGTATTAGGAAGACAGAGCAGCCAACCAGCTTTCCAAAACTTCTTAGGTCTCATAAAGCATATATAGCATATAGTATATATAGTGTAATTAACAAGGAGATCCTCAGTCTCTGTTGATAGCTATATGTCCTCAGACAAGAGGTTAACAAAGACAGTTGGAGTGCAGTTGGGCCGCAAGATTAATCATGCCTTACCACTGGTCAGACCTAGGTTACTAATGCACTGTTTTATTAATCATAATGGATAGCTGTGGCTGGTAGAGTACAAGAAACCTGTTTAAAGATTCATCACTGCCAACCTTGTAAATTTCATCAGTAGCCCAGAAACCAAACCCTATTCCATATCAAGCACTCCCCAAAGAATCAGGAAGCTTCCGGAGAAAAGGATTTTTCTCGGACAAGAGAATAAATTCAGCATTCTTTCTGTAAATGAATGACTGCTAAGAGTGAGGTAAGGACGATAGCTGCTGAAATACTCCCCAACCCCAGGTGGTGGCGGCACAGCTCTAGCTCCAGAAGCTGAGGCTATTTCATGCTAAGCCTTGGAGCAACTCAGCAGTTACAAATGGCTGGAATCAAAGCAGAAACATAAAGTCACAGCAGATGACCAAGTCAGACTAGGGCTGTAACTGAGGTTCCCTCAAGCTTGTCCCTGCTGTTCAGACACAATTCCACTGAAGCCCTTGGATCCACTGACAGGAGTATCCTGGCTGGCTACTTCACCATGTTATCTGCACAAAATAGGCCCCAGAACGTTTCCATGCCACTCAGAAGGCCAACGATGGATCTTGTCTGTCCTTTTGTAGGTTTCTGCTTCAAAAAATAGTGCCCCCAACAGAGATTGGAAGGCTGGGAAAGGAGAGAAATGTGGGAGAAAGACAGAACAGTTCCTTTCTTTGGCTGGGCTACATTCTTCCATCTCTAGTTCTCAGCCTAGAAAAAAAAAATGATGTCGGGCCTCCCAGAATAGCTTTGATCTACTCAAAGTGGTTGGATGAAGTCAAAGCTACAGAAGAGCTGAAATGCCATCTTCTTTTCCTCTTTACCACCCAAAGTCCTCATCTTACAAAGGATGTGCTATTCCAGGCATGACTGGAAAGTGGAGACAACTCATGCCAGGGATGGATATTATTTTCTTGTAAATTGACCTATTCCCTCAGCTTGGTATCACAGTAATGACAAAGGTAAAGAAAGGTGTACAAAAAGGCCACAGGCAAAATTGACATAAGGACATATTCAGGACTAAAATTGATTCCTTGAGTATTATAGAGGAATAATAGTCATTATAGTTCTTATTCCTAAGGAATTCTATGGGTTTTTGTTTTACAAAATATTCTCACACACACTGCTACATCTGAGACTCCCAACAACACCGTTTTGCAGATGAGGAAACTGAAGCTCAGATGATTAAGGGACTTGCCCAAGATCTCTCAGCTAGGAAGTAAACAGAAGCCAAGACGCAAACCCAAGTCTGTCTGACTCCAAATTCAGCTCTTTTTCCTATACCTGTTGCTATGGCCTGAATGTTTGTGTCTTCCCGAAATTTACATGTTGGAACCCTAATCCCAATGTGATGGTATTCAGAGGTGAGAATTTTGTGAGGTAATTACGGGTGGAGCCCTAATGATGGGATTAGCGCCCTTATAAGAAGAGACATGAGAGATGTGATCTGTCTCTCTGCCATTAGAGGACAAAAAGAAGTCAGCCATCTGCAAATCAGGAACGGAGCCCTCACCAGACACTGAATCTGCCAGTTCCTTGATCCAGGACTTCCCAGCCTCCAGAACTATCAGCAATAAATATTTGTTCTGTAAACCACCCAGTCTGTCCTATGTTGCTTTAGCTGCCTTAATTGACTAAGACACCTGTGATTCCCAATCTTCATGAATATAAGGACCCCTGAAATAGTTCAAAATATTTCAGACTCCCACAAAAGGGTTGTTGTTCTTTTTTTAGCCCCTGGTTTAATAAAATGAATCATGACAAGAAGCCAATTTTAATTCATTAATGCTTTTATTTATTTTTGAGATAAAGTCTGTCTCTGTCACCCAGGCTGCAGTGCAGTGGTGCAATCCTGGCTCACGACAACCTCCACCTCCCAGGTTCAAGTGATTCTCCTGCCTCAGCCTCCCGAGTAGCTAGGATTACAGGTGCCTGCCACCACGACTGGCTAATTTTTGTATTTTTGGTAGAGACAGCGTTTCACCATGTTGGCCAGGCTGGTCTTGAACTCCTGACTTCAAGTGATCCACCCACCTTGGCCTCCCAAAGTGCTGGGATTACAGGCGTAAGCCACCATGTCCAGCCAATTCATTAATGCTTTTGAAGGAATTTATAGTTTACTTACTCAAACACTAATATTCATGTAATAATATTTGTTGATCACATTAATGTTTTTAGTCTACAGATAATGCTTGGAATATATATAGAGAGAGAGATTCATAGGCCCTGAAAATAGCTAGGAACCACTTCACTAAACCACCAGGAGAGGAGAATTTGATTCTTATTCTGACCACTAAATGATATAACATGGTGACTAAATACTTAGGCTTGGGAATCAGACTTTCTGGGTTCACAGTAGTATCTACACTAAGGTGCAGATACCTGGTTCTGATAACTTACTAGCAGTACTGCCTTGGGCAAGTTAGTTAACCTTTCTGTCTCTGTTTTCTCTTCTTTAAAACAGGATAATAATGATACCTACTTCATAAGGTTCTGGAAATTAAATGAACTATACACTAAAAACAATGCCTGACACATGGAAAACACTTAAAATGTTGGATATTATTATCTGCTACTAACCAAATGTGTTATCTTTATTTGATCGCTGGAATTGTCTTCAACGATTTCACCTGTAAATGGAAATAATGGTAGCTTAGTTGCCCTAAAGCAGGTGGCTTACCATGATATCATGAAGTCTCTTCCAACTCTAAGATATATGGTTCTCAGACCATCACCAGCTCTTCGTAATAACAGGACTGCTATTAGATTCAAGGATCCATAGCAAGTAAATCTAGATTCAGAGAAACCCATGAAAACTCCACTAATTCAGAACAACCCAAACAATATATGTGATCTGGTATGACCTCATCCTAATTTGATTACATCTGTGAAGACCTTATTTCTAAATAAGGTCACATTCACAGGTTCTGGGTGAACATGAATTGGGGGTGCAGGGGCACTATTCAACCCACTACACCTGGGAATGTCACTTAATCTGCTCACATCTCAGTTTACTCATCAGTCAACTGGGGAGAAAAGTATACTAGAAATATTTTGATGATTATGGCAATCCCAAACATTCCAGAGTTCGTGAACTCTGGAATGTTTGGGATTTAGTTTTTTTGGTTAATTAGAAAGGCTCTTTCCTGTAGATCCTACCAGAATTTAGTTTCTTCGTTAATTAGAAAAATCAATCTGATTAGTCAAAGGGGATCATTCTAAAACCCCAAAGTGATCAAATCCCAATGTCTGGGATTTAGTTTCCTTCAAGCTCAGTGTAATCATGGGGGACTGGCACATTAGAAGAGTTTACAAAAGAAATTCAGAAGGGCAGGGCGCAGTGGCTCACGCCTGTAATCCCAGCACTTTGGGAGGCCGAGGTGGGCAGATCACGAGGTCAAGAGATCAAGACCTTCCTGGCCAACATGGTGAAACCCCGTCTCTACTAAAAATACAAAAATTACCAGGCTTGGTGATGTGTGCCTGTAGTCCCAGCTATTCGGGAGGCTGAGGCAGGAGAATCGCTTGAACCCGGAAGGCGGAGGTTGCAGTGAGCCGAGATTGTGCCACTGCACTCCAGCCTGGCAACAGAGTGAGACTCCATCTCAAAAATAAAAAAGAAAGAAAAAAAAAGAAAGAAAGAAATTAGGAAGGATGCAAGTTTATGGTCTATTATCCAAGCAGATCATCTCAACATTAACTGACCACAAAGTATCAACTCCCACACTGTGCCAATACTGTGGTAAACACTATGACAGTGGGGATCAGGTATTTTATGTGTTTTGAACAACTAACACCTTGCACTGTGGGTGTGTAATAAATGTTTAGCATCATCATTATCATAATTATATCATAGGTTGCCAGCGGAGATAGCTAGTGCTCATTATAGCTCTGTTTTGAGACAATCTCAGTGGGGGAAATCAGAGAGGAGGACTATGTTCTCCACATGACATAGATTGTCCAATACAGCAAATTTTGCCTGTGGACAACATCTATGGGATTTTTATACTGCTGTCCCATTACTGGTGTCCAATCTGTCACCTACCTCCTTATAATTATAATACCCTAAAACACAAAATGCCATAAATCCCAAAGATAATGATTTTTTATTTTTACTGGGAAGAGTGAGAATAGATGAAAAAGGGGGTACTCACAGGGAGACATTGAGGTATCCTGGAAAAACAAACACTGCATTAGGGGTTCAGAAAAGCCAAACCTAACCTATGGATTCCCTATCTGTGCCTCACTGGTATATTAGTTTCTTAGGGCTTCCATAACAAATTACTACAGACTGGGCAGCTTAGAACAGCAGAAATTTATTCTTTCACAGTTCAGGAGGCTAGGAGTCTGAAATCAAGTTGTCTACAGGGCCATGCTCCCTCTGAAGACTCTAGGGAAGATTCTGTTCCATGCTTCCTTCCTATCTTCTAGTGGTTGCCCATAGTACTTGATGTTCCTTGGCTTGCAGCTGTGTCCCTCCAATCTCCACCTCTGTTGTCACATGGCCTTCTTCCTTATGGCCTCTACGTCTCTCTGTCTCCAAACCTCCCTTTCCTTGCAAGGATGCCAGTCACTGGATTTAGGGCCTACCCTAATTCGGTATGACTTTATCTTGACTTGATTATATTTGCAAAGACCCTATTTCCAAATAAGGTCCCATTTACAGGTTCTGGATGGATATAAACTTGGTGGGGGTGGGAGGGTCACTATTCCATCCACGAAACCTGGGAATGTCACTGGATCTTCCCATGCCTTAGTTAATTTATCAGTAAATTGGCGATCATAGCTTTAGCCGTGTTTATGACACAATTATATTCCTTTTGGGAAAACCATTTGTACTTGTAGAATTTTGTACCCACATTTGTGATTCCAGAGCTAATTTGAAAGATGGGGAAGTAGTTTTTCTACCCTTCCAAAATACAGTTGGTTGCTTCTTGCAGGAGAGATAGTGAAATGGAAGCAACACCATTACATGCTACAAAACTGTAGGCTGGGTTTTCATAAACCAATCATATATATTGCATTATTTAATATAAATAATAGATGTTTCAGAGGTAACCACTTTTGAAAAATAAAATGTGCTGTCCTTTAAATAGAAACAACCCTACTGAGCCACAATCAGTGAAACACACACTTTGAAGTGTTTTTTCAGAACAGGAATTCATCCAAACACCCTCCTGCACACACACCTGCCACTTAGTCCCCATAGCATAGATATAAACCCAAGGCCAGGATAAACCCAATCTCAGGCTGCTTCAGGTAGCTCCCTGTGTATTCAAGACTCATTTAGCAAGTGATTACACAGTATATTGAGTCCTGTTCAATTTCCCTGAATCATACATAGATGGAAATACACCAGTAAGTTTATCATTATTTGAGGCTAATCAACAATGAGCTTAAGGTTAAGTTGAATAAATAGAATGTTCTTGGTTATAGTTTCCTTATGCTGGAGGCTTTATAGTTTTCTACTTGGTTCACTGAAGCTGGTTGTTGGTGTTGCATGTGATCTTGTGGAAAGAGGTGTACCTCCCATCAGCAGTACTTTTACCACCACTAAAATGAAAAGAAAAGCAACACAGAGAACAAATCAAGAAATACCCCTATGGGCTAATCCCTGAGTAGTTTCCCTTAGGCCTTCTGTGTACTTAATGATGGGTTGTTCTGCCACACTAGAGGACTGAGAAAATCCATCCTCTCTTTCAGCTCAAACCATCTACATCTCAGTAATAGTTTTGCTCAAAGGAAAGGAGAATTGTTTCATATGAAAATTAGGCAGCCAAGCAAAAATTTTGGTAGACATTCCCCAAACAACAGCTGGGTGTCAAGCTACATCTTCAAAAAAAGATGTGATTTTGATCACTTTGAGGTGTTAGAATGATCCTCTTCTTTGACTGATCAGATATTTCTAATTAAGAATTAAGAGGGAACCAGGCAGCTAAGACTATTTAAACCAGTCTTTGCAATTGGGATTTATCTGGTTCTTTCCAGAAAGAAACAGCCAATTTGAATGATGACATAGGCTTACTGGGATCAGACTTGAACACCTGGAAAGGAGATATTTGTGTAGACGTCTCTAAAATATGTTAGAGAAAGAAGTTGTGAGATTTGGAATATGGAGTCACTGCATACAGAGTTCAAGAGGTTTCTCTGCAGAAGTAGTCTCTCTCCCCGATCCTGTTAGGGTCAGCCTGTTACTATAACTAGATTATCAAATTTACCTAAAAAATTAAAAATAATTTTATATTTTCTATTTAAAAAGTAAAAGAGTCATGATGTCGAAAATCAGATTTTTGGACTTGCTACACTTATTTTACAGTTTAGTATAATTTTCAGTTTTGAATTACGTAAGTTGAGGAGTTGAGATTTCTTGATTCACTGAGGATGATAGAAAAAGTACAGGATCAGTAAGGAAGAACTATAAATTTTTCAGTGCTTAGAACCTCTAGGTGTTAATCTGGCCAGGAATGAAGCACATGGTAAAGAGATGCTTGGGAGCATTGTTAAAGGATGTCTGAGGAAGAAGGTATGAAAATCTGGGGGTCTGCAGTTTAATGATTCTTTCTACAAACAAAGGCACTTTCCTGTTGATCCTACCAGAAGCCTTGTGTCTGTTTACAGCAAGTTAGTTGGGCAACTGAGGCCAGACTCTCAGACTAGTTTCCAGAGAGCAGATGCTAGCTGGTGAGCCCTGTTTACCAGGCCATGGCAGGTCTGCCAAGCAGAAAGACCCTGTGGAGAGGCTGTGGATTGGAGACTTACAACTGTAGCTCTTCTGAGATGGTCCAGGACTCCAGAGCTGCCAAGCAGGCACCTGCTCCCAGCACTGAGATTAGCAGAGAAACCAAGCAAACAAACATTCTCATCAACCAGTATTTAACCTCCTGTTGCTCGGAGTTGAGATTTCTTGATTCACTGAGGATGATGGAAAAAGTACAGGATCAGTAAGGGGTGAGTTCTATACAGGCTAATGCCAAAGAGGTTAGAGTTTCCTCTCTGAAACAAGCCAGTACAAAGTGTATTCAACCTCACTGTGTGATTAGGGGTCACATTTCAGTCACTCAATCATGCAAATGAACCTTGTTGAAATTCTGCATGCCTTTTTAAACAAACAGGGACTTCAATCTTCATCCCAGCCTCTTGCCTGAGTCTATATTAGACAAATATGGAAATCCAGTTCAGGATTTTACTTCCACTGTCATGCGCTGAAGCATTAACTCAAAGACTTGGCCCAGCGAGACAACTCGATCCCTACCTGAGCCAGTGCATTCACTTGAAATAATTTAGTAGCAGGGGCTTTCACCGCCGG
The DNA here is from genome assembly GCF_000001405.40 of Homo sapiens. NCBI lineage: Eukaryota > Metazoa > Chordata > Mammalia > Primates > Hominidae > Homo > Homo sapiens. Next base: position 100,431,245 of record NC_000023.11, read on the forward strand.
CAAGCATAGGTAAATCCTGGATTAGCAGTCCTTGTCATTCCTAAATGGACTGCACATCTCCTGCTGCTGGGCCTTCATTAACAAACCACAGAATAAACTGAAGGGAAATAAACAAGTCTCTTGTCGTGCACACATGTACTCGCGACCTCCTCCACTTTCCTCTCTACTTCTCTTGCCTCCTGGGATTCTCACTTCATGCTGGGATCTCTGAAGAGTATTTTCCTCAGTGCCTTTTTACTCCAATAACACGTCCACTTCTTTTAGCTCTTCTCTCTTCGACTCCTCTTTCTTTGCTCCCCAACTGCACAATGTCATCATCTCCCATGGATTTCTTTTTTTCCTCTGTCTACAGTGACAATTCATACTCAAAAATAGAGCTCTCCCATTCTCTACCTTTTGCCCTCCCCTCCCAACATGAATAGCCCTAAATAACAACCCATGCCATTATAGACGAGGAGATCAAGGCATGTGTGATTCACAATACCTTAACCATACTCAAAAGACTGGACAGTTCCATTTCAAAAAGGATCATGAAGAAGGAATTGACATGGGCAGGTGGGCAAGAAGGAGTCCTGAGTTTGGTGCCAACTGAATGACCTTGACAATTTCATGATAGTTCCCTACACTTCTGTGTGCCCATCTGTTAAAAAAAATACAAACAGCTACCTGATCATTTTATAGGAGATTTATAAGTCAGTTATACAAAAGAAAAATTCTAGAAAAGACATAACGAACTCCATAAATCCCTCTCTGGAAAAGTGGGAAGAATAGTGAACGTAGGAGTAAGAAGCTGCCAAATTGTGCCCCTACAAATCTGTCCTTTACTCTCTTCTCTCCGTTCTCTCTTCACAAGTGCTACGGTCTGAGTGTTTGTGTCCCTCCCAAAAATCATATGTTGAAACCTAATCCCTAATTCAATAATATTAAGAGCTGGGGCCTGTAGGAGGTGATTAGCTTATGAGAGTGAAGCTGTCATGAATGGGATTAATGCTCTTATAAAAGAAGCACAAGGGGCCTGTTTGTTCTTCCACCATGTGAGGACACAGCAAGAAGGTGCCATCTATGAGAAATTGGTACTCACCAGACACCGAGTGTGCTGGTGCCTTGATCTTGGACTTCTCAGCCTTCAGAACCTTAAATCGATAAAATTTGTGTTGTGTGTAAGTTACCCAGTTTAAGGTATTTTGTTATAGCAGCCCAAACGGACTAAGACAATGAGATAGCTCATAACTACAATTTTAATCATTGTGCTGAGGACCTCTAAATCTGGATCTCTGGGCCTCACCTCTCCACTGAGCTCTGCATTTTTATATCCAATTGCATACTTACTGGGTATCTCATATACACTTGGATATATCATAGACATTTCATAGTTAATTTACCCCAAATCCTCTTCTCTTTTTCCTTAATCCATAAAAAGAGTAATTATCCACCCAATTTTCATAGCCAGAAACATGGAGATTAGCCCCTCCCTCATTCCCATCTTTATTCAGTCTACCTACGTAACATAAGCATTTGTCCCTTTCTCTCCATTCACACACTGCCACTCTAGCCTTGGCTAACATCATTTTTCACTTGTATTACTGCAACAGTCTCCTAATTGGCCATTAACCCTCAACTTTCTTTATAATCCTCCATACACTTGTCAGTGTGCTTCCCCACCCCCTACCACCCCCCACCATTCCACTCTTCCTTCCTAGACAACTAAGTACCAACTAGCGTCAGGCACTGTGTTAGGACCTTTATATGCATATTCCCACTTCATCCTTACAACAACCCTTTGAGATAGGTACTATTATTGTCACCATTTTACAGAGGAGAAAATGAAAGCTCAAAGAAAAGGAGTAATTTGTTTAAAAACAAGCGGCTAATTTAAATTCAATCGTGGCCGGGGTGGTGGCTCACCACCTGTAATCCCAGCACTTTGGGAGGCTGAGATGAGTGGATCACCTGAGGTCAGGAGTTTGAGACCAGCCTGGCCAACATGGTAAAATCCAGTCTCCACTAAAAATACAAAAATTAGCCGGGCGTGGTGGTGGGCACCTGTAATCCTAGCTACTAGGGAGGCTGAGGTATGAGAATCACTTGAACCCAAGAGGTGAAAGTTGCAGTGAGCTGAGATTGCACCACTGCACTCCAGCCTGGGCAACAGAGTGAGACTTTCTCTCAAAAGAATAAATAAGTAAAAATAAATTCAATCATACATCTGCCAGACTGCAAAGTCCATATCCTTTCCACCACGTTACACTGCCTTCCTTTTTCTACCATTATATTTAGAATTATTCATTAGACTTATTTGGTCCTTTTCTCCCTCCTAAACTGTGTTTTGAGTGTAGGCACCATGTTGTTCTGGTTTACTACTATATCCCTAACACTAAGCACCATGCTTGCTGTCTAGTGGGTACTCAATATGTAATCACTGAATAAAAATAATGACTGACTGAGATTCACTAAGGGATGCTCTCCACAACTTCACACATCTCAATTTTTCCCACCTTACAGTCTCACTGGGGCACTACTTCATATATTGTGCCCAATATGAGGCTGGTTTGGAACTATAACCCGGGAAGAATGTGTCAGGCTAATTCTGCTGATTCTCCACTTCCCTTACAATATCCCAAGATACTTATAAACCTGCTGGGTTTTCTTGCCTAGTAAAGCCCTTTCTCAGTCCCAGCACAGCCAGGAATGTGGCTGAGATGGCATGAGTCCCAGCTACCAATAAGATTGGTGGGGTGGAGATGGGGGTTGAAGGATGATTTACTTTTACCCTCGACAGCTTCAGAGGGCATAACACTGTGCCTTTCTGAGCTCGTCAGTGAAAATCAGGCTCACCAAATATTATACATTTCTAACCAATAGAATTTGGCCAAGAGCCACTCATTTTGTTTAATGATGCAGCACATGCTCTTGGCACTTGAACTCTAATAAGGACTGTACAGGCATTTAGCAGCACACATTCTATCAAGAGGTTTTGACAACTAGAAAACAAACAAAAGGACAATATAAATGTAACATCACATCCACTCAGACTGTCACTCAAGTGCCTACCAGTGATCTGACACCAAATCAATAGTATTATGGTTCATTGAAGTCAGATCAATGGCTTCACAAAGTTTCAGAGCAGCAGCAGCAGCACAATAGCAAACTTCATGTCTCCTGTCTATTATTACAAAGGAGGTAATCACTGTCTGGCTTCTCTGAGGGCCAGAGCCTCAGCACACTACTGCCTGAAGACTCTGGGATTCTAATTGAGATGACTGGGTACGCTGCCATGCCATTTTCTCCCCACCCACCACCTCCCTCTATCCTGCATCCTCCTGCTCCAGGAAGGAGTTTGCAAAGGACTTGCCCCACCGCAACCCAAGAGCCAGGAAGAGTCTGTCTTACACAAGCTCTGTGAGGAGCCACCACAAGAGTGCAAATTCCCAGGGAAAAGACCACTTTTTAACGCTAGCTCAAGCTTGGAGCATTTCAAGTGTCTCTTGGTCTCTTTATTATTTATGTATTCAAGTTTGCTTGACCTTGTGACCTATTAAGAGGCTTATCTTTTCAACCGGTAGAGGACCCTCTCCCAATTGCCACTTTCCACACTTTTCCATTTCCCCATGCCCCCAAAAGCTAACACTTGGGAGTGTCAATTTTCTAGAAGTTTCTACAGAGGAGTTTAATCATTTGAACAGCTTAATAAGGATTATACAAATAAAAATCCCCCAAAAAATTAAACAAGGAAAAAGCACTGTTTCCAAATGCTCTCAGTACTCTAGAAAGGGGTACTATAGGAGTCTAATAAGGTTGAAAAGCCTCTAGTCACAGGCCAGAACAGCATTAGACGGGTGGGTCAGACAAGGGGTACATCGATTTGAGAACTCAAATGAATTTCTCCCCCGTGCCAGAGCACTATTGCACTCACCAACCTAGCCAAAGGCTTGCACATCAATGAGATGAAGATGAATTATTGAAAAGCTTCTGTATAAAATGCTGCACTCTGCCATTTCCTACAAATCAAATTATCGAGGGAGATATTTGATTGTAAACATATTTAGAAAATGATTTCATTGTCATTCGGTTGGTTTTGCTTGCTCCCCCACCCTTAAATTTCATTTGCATTAAAGTGCTACAAAGTTAAAAAGGTCACACACACCCACCCCCAACCAGGAGCTTGCATACCAGCCACAGAAGCAACTAAATTCAATCAGCAAAAATGAAAACCTATTATAAGCAATAGAAAAACCCTTTAAATCATGCCTAACATGCTTAAAACAGAATTGTCTCCTCCTTACCCAGGCCTCTAACACACGGTTATCCTGAAAACAAATAGCTGTTTTTTTAAGATGGAGAGAACTAAATTCTATTTATTGTTTTTGAGATGCAGACCTAATGGAGTTAACCAGGTTCCGCTGTTAGTTCAAGAAGATCTCTATTTCAGTCACAGTTCACTTTCAGGGCCTACTGTCTTTGGAGATAGAAGTGTGACCCCACCCTGCTGGGTCTCAAATAGGCTGCACCCATAGGCATGAAAGCTCACTCAGCCTAGGCTGAGCAGATTATTTCCTGCTACCTTGGGCAGAATAGTCAACAGAAAATGAGGCACCAGATGACCCAAAGGCCAAATTGCTTCTGTTGAAAGACTTGCCTAATGGCATTCAACTAAGATGCCATTGCCTAAGGGAGTTCTCATCAATGCCTTTGGCTCTAAGCACTTGAAAAACAAAGAAAACAATGTCTTAGACTTCCCTGCTGTGACATATGGTGACAAGGAGAAGAAGAATCTAGTGGCAAGGGTGAAGGATGCATTAATTCAATATTCATTCTTTTTTCTCAACAACTATGTATTGAGTGCCTGCTATATGCCAGGTATTGAATGAATTTAAACCAGAATGGTGAAATCCCATCATCAAATTTCCAAAGCCCTTAGACTCAGTCTCTACATCAAAAAATGACAGTAATGCAGGTGAGTCATTGAGATGTCAGGGAATTTGATCTATTAGAAATGAGCCTCTGGACAAGTGAACTGGTAATTGATTTAGCATGTATTTATTTATTGCTCACATTCTACAAAGAATTGAACTAATCACAGTGACCAATGGAAATGGGGGGTGGGAAAGGATACAAAAGAAAGGCAATAATACATGGTTTCCCCCTCAAGTTGGCTGAGATGACAGTGGAGATACCAGGAAATAACCAGAGACAAACCCAGTATTAATTCATTTGGCTCTGTTTGAACTGCAACTGAACAAGATTATTTGGTGTTTTAAGTTCAGTTATTCCTTCACTCATTCAATATTAATTGAATGCCAGTGCACCCATCACAATGCTAGGAAATCTAGGAAGATAGACATAATGGTTTATATAATAATAGTAACCATTAACTGAGGATCTACTATATACCAGGCTCTGTGCTAAGTGCCTTTACAGGATCTTTTGCATCAAATCTCACAAAATCACTGTGTTTCCAATGATCTTGTGTGTAATAATGTATGGAGGTCACTTCTAGGCACAGGAAAAAATATCATCTGCTAGCTAATGGTTCCTTACGTGTAACAGAACAGCTCCCCGAGAAATATAACCTTAGGAAAGGTTATTATTTTATTATTGTTTCTTGTAATTATTATATCCATTGTAATGATGGTCACAGGTGGGACCATCTATTAATGTGCCAAACACTGTGTTAGTGGCTTTCCATACATTATTATTTTCATTCTGCACAACCACTTCATGGATTATTACTATCCTTATTTTACAAAGAAGGAAGCTGAGGTATAGAGAGTGAAATCACTTGCCTAAGACTCTGCAGCTAGTTAAGTGGCAGAGTCAGGCTTGAAACTGACTTGGCTGCCTCCAGAGTTCTTTCCATTACCCTCACTTTAAGGTTGCTGACTTGAGGTATTTCCATCGTGGTGAGGAAAATGAGACACATCCAACAAACATGTTAAATATGTGATTGTGGGCATGTCATCTAAAGACTCAGTTTCCTCCGATAAAAAGAGGATAATAATATCTACCTTAATAAACTTGAAGGGTAATTGTGATAATCAGGTGAAATGTTTTGGAAACTTATTTATAGAGCATTGCAATTTATAAAACAAGTAAAAGAAGTAATGTATGCAGTAATCAGCATAAGATTCAGTTACTCCAATAGCCAGATACCTAGCTGACCTTCTCTGTGTATTTTTTCTTACCCTTTTAATAGTAAGACCCCATACTCTAGCCAAAATAAAGAAGTCTTGGGGCCTTAACATTTTCTGTTCCCTCTGCCTTAAATGCTCTTCCTCTAGAACACTCCAGGTCTGTGATAATCACCATAAAGAAAATAAAATTGTGTGTACCCCCCTTCCCTCCCTTTATGTTACTGCTCTTTTTTTCCGTGGTTCTTATCGCTACCTGAAATTATCTCCTTTATTCCTTTGTTTGTTTATTATCTGTCTATCCCCATTCACTGGAATATATTCTCCTTGAGAGCAGCAACTTGCTTTCTTTGTTCACTACTTTCTGTATCCTCAGTTCCTTGAATAGGGACAGGAACATAAAAGATGCTTAATAAATATCCGCACAAAGAATGTAATTGTTACAGTAGGTAGCTAGTCAGGCATGAGCAGGGCAGGAGAGGGCTCTCCCTCCCACCCACCAGGAATGTCAGGCAACCATCAGGTGATGGTCCAGCTGTTGTCACACTGCCTCTCTAAAATAATAATTGGTCACAGCCAGCTCAAGCAAGAGGCAGCTTCCTAACAGATAAAAATACCTGAAGTTGGTAATCAGCAGCTTTCAGGAATTGGGCAAGTGGGATCAAGCATGCACATTAAGAGGCAAAATGGCAGAGCGTGACCTTCCAGGGGCATTCCACAAAAAGGGAAGAAAGCCTCAGGTGAGATGCGTACAACTCCAGTAAACACAATGTGCATGCTCACCTCCCAAGTGCAAGCAGTGCACCACGCATGCAGGTGGCTCACCCTAAGGGAAGAATGAAAGGAAAGGGGCGCAAGATGCCAGAAGTAGGCCAGCGTATATAATCTGAGGTTCAAGGTTAAATGGGGCACTTGACCTCCAAGGTGCCCACTTGGTTCTCTTCCAAGTGTACATTCCTGCTGCAAAACTGTATGGAGTTGCCGCCACTAACATATTTTGGTGCCAAGTAACTCGGATATTTGCCACCAATAACATAATAACAATGCATAGCAATGAAACAAAAGGCATTACAAGGCTTTATAATATGAGGAAGTCCAAGCATAAGAACTAGAAATTCAAAAGAGGAATTAACTATTCTGAGCTAGAATAAACCAGTAAAACATCAGATTGGCATGAACTCAGAATTCCTCCTTGAGGACTGGGGAGCATTTGAATGAGTGAAGGGCAGCTAGGAGGGCAGAATGAATGGTGTCAGGAGAGGGTAAATGTAGGAGGAAATATGCCTTGTGCCAAGAATAGTGGAAGGCCCAGCCAGCTGGAGGTTGACAGGGTACAAAAGTTGGAAATGTATGAAGTTGTGGGCAGATAACAGAGATCCTTGAGTGGCAGGTTAAGAAGCTTGCCATTTAAGGAGACTTTTGCTAGGGAAAGCAATGAGAAGTGATTTTTAAAAACAAGTGAAATAGGAGTTGGAAGAGAAAGACACTACTATTTTATTTTCTTTATGGTCATTATCACAGGCATGGGAGTCTTTAGGGAATGGCATTTCAAGCAACAAGAACAGTAAATGTTAAGGACCCAAACCTTTTTCTGGTTATAATATGGGCATCTTACTACAAAGTGCCTCCTTCTCCTTCCTTTCACAGGTGTTGATCCCTAGTAAACATCTTGTACTCTAAACTATGCCTCTGCTTTACTATATCACAGATTCCTTTATATACTATCCTCGAAATAATCCTACAAGATAGGTATTATTATCTTCACTGCACAAATGAGGAACTGAGGCTTCAAGAGATTAGGTAACTTACCCAAATATACACACCTAGGAAGGGCCAAGCCTGGAGAAAGCAATTCTTTGGCAGAAAAAGTGTCCTCCCACGCACCGTTCTCTTCCCCAGCTTATCTTCATGCAGAGTTGATTACCTAAAGTTGTGTTGCCATTGACCAAAATCCCCACCCCAAAATTATCTCTGTAAGGTACACAAGATCCAGACAATTGTTACTACTTTTACTTTCTTAGAGTTACAAGTCAAATGTGCTCACCTGGAGTAATTCTTCCATTTTGATTTAAGTGGACTACATCCTATGTCCCTCAGCAAAACAAGTTCTCAGTATTGGCTAAATCCATCTTAAGACTCTTGAAATATGCCCTTTTACAAATCATGGCCAAGAGGTGCTGCACTTGCATCTCCTTATGAGGCAGCTAGTTAATATTATGTTACTGCAGAATGTAGACCCCTTTCCCAGCAGAAACTGCAACTGAGCAACCACTGCCAAATAAGGAAGAGCCACTGCAGTCCCTCCCTATGGGTGCTGTTCGTTTCTCTCAATCAGGAAGACTGTAATTAACTGCATGGGTATCATCAGAAAATGTCTAAAAGAGGCCTATAAATTCAAGGAATGTGTAAGGGGCCAGAAGTAATAATAGAATCATCTTGGATATATATTTAGAAATGCTGAGGAGGTTTGAGGTGGTGAAAAACAGCGTTATGTGTTAAAGTTTTAGAGATAGATACTCCACCAACAGGAATAGTGTGTGAAGCAAAGGAGGGTAGAGGAACACCATGGACCCTCTTGGTTGTAAATTATCTCTACCAGTGGGTTGTTCTTGCCGTTGTTGTTGTTTATAAAGTGAAATCAATTTTAGGCAGGTCCAGCTAGCAGAAGTATTAACACAGTGTGAGGAGGAGTAGTAATTCTTGGCAAAGTTTTATATTATTATATTATAAGTGAGAGTCAATTTTTCCAGTCAAAATACATCTATTTCATTTGTTTGGCTGTTTGCTACAAGAGGTCAACGGAACATGGGATTCCTTTCATAAAACCTTACTTTTAGAAAACATAGCTATTCTAGGGTGTGGAAGGGATTCCAAGTCTTATGAAAGGAAACTTAGAGGCAGATGAACACAGCCCAAGATTCTTTTGCCTACAGCATAACCAAACATGCTTCAGCTCCACATTGGCTCATTACAAAGGTGACTTCTACACTGTCCCTGGAATGAATTAGGCCACTTGATTAGCGTTTCACTTGCCTCTTAAGCCTTTAAAAGCTCAAAAAAAAAAAAATAACAGATATTGTGCATATAAGATGTGCATTAAAATAAAAAGGAAAAGTTTTAAGAAATTAGCTGTAAATAGCCCCCAAATTAGTTCCTTCCAGGTGGAAATCTAGTCTCATTCATAATTGTATCCACCACAGGGATTAACATAGTGCCTGGCACCCGGTAGGTATTTGATTGAGTTTCTTATAATTGAATTGAAAAGGGTATATAAACCAAGTTGAAAGGAATTAATGGAGGCAATTCATTGTAAACATATTTAACCGAGCAAGTTACATCCTGCCTACACCTAGGGCACCAAGCTGTTGATCTCATGTGGCTGTCTTAATCTGAGAACTAAGGCCACCTACTTTTTCCTATTAACAGAAAGGGTAGCTATGCCAAGCCTTATTGCTTACCTCTTCCCCAACACAGGGGTTCATATCATAGGGCTTTTAATGCAAACTATTTTTTTTTTTTTTTTTTTTTGAGACGGAGTCTCACTCTGTCACCCAGGCTGGAGTGCAGTGGTGTGATCTCGGCTCACTGCAACCTCCGCCTCCCGAGTTCAAGCAATTCTCTTGCCTCAGCCTCCTGAATAGCTGGGATTACAGGCGTGTGCCACCACCACTGGCTAATTTTTGTATTTTTAGTAGAGACAGGGTTTCACCATGTTGGTCAGGCTGGTCTCGAACTCCGACCTCGTGATCCGCCCACCTCAGCCTCCCAAAGTGCTGGGATTACAGGCGTGAGCCACCACGCCGGGCCACAAATTCTTTTAAAAGCAGAAATCTGTCCAGTTTCTGTCAACAACTGACTCATTTTTTTTTTTTTTGAGGCGGAGTCTCGCTCTGTCGCCCAGGCTGGAGTGCAGTGGTGTGATCTCAGCTCACTGCAACCTCCACCTCCCGGGTTCAAGTGATTCTCCTGCCTCTGCCTCCTGAGTAGCTGGGATTACAGGTGCCCGCCACCACCACGCCCAGCTAGTTTTTGTATTTTTAGTAGAGATGGGATTTCGCCAGGTTGGCCAGGCTGATCTTGAACTCCTGACCTCAGGTGATTCACCCTCCTCAGCCTCCTAAAGTGCTGGGATTACAAGCGTGAGCCACCATGCCCGGCCAACAACTGACTCATTTTAAATGATCAAATCTTGTGTGTAGTCACATAGTGTAACATTTTTCAAGTAATTTTTTTCTAACCTAGAAACGGCTTTAGAAATTTCTGTCACACTTACAACAAAGTGTTCTGCTGAATTCTTTTTTTTTAGGAAATGCAATTTATCAAATATTGGTTGCCAACAAATATATCCCAATGTTGTCTCCTCAATCATTCCTATTTTAATCTTGAGAGCTCTGCTTTTACTAAAATGTTTACACAAGCCATAAATTTTGCCTCAAAACATGTTTCTTGGTAACATAAATTTACCCATTTGGATGCAATAGAAAAATCAAGAGGTAGTTTGTTCCTAAAATTTGGCCCAGTATCCAATAAGAGATTAAAGAATCCTGGGCTATTGATGTAGAGGAGGCTCTGCACTCTCACTCTGCTATTGGGACTACTAAGCATCATTTCCCTCCTGCTGCACTTGCATGAATAATGAAAATCAAACTGTCTATGCCAATTAAAAAGCTAAGTTTTTAAATGCAAGCTTTCTTAAACGTTTTTATTATTGTAAAATAACACTTTTTTTTAAATTAATGTACAGAAGGCTTTAAGTTGAAAAGCAATTCCCTCCCCACACCACACTTCAGACCACCACCAATCCCCCCAGTCTCATTCTTCAGTAGGAATCAGTATGAACAATTGATTAGATATTCTTCCAGAAATTTCTGATGCATATACATATGTACAATATGTACATATGTATATATTTTGATACATATACATATGTACAATAATTGTATTGCATACAAAATCATACATACTGATTTACAACTTGCTTTTTCAACTTATACATCTTGTTTATCTTTCCCAATGAGAACATATATAATATCTCATTCTTTTAGCACCACATAGTATTCCATAATTTACAATCGATTTAACTGGTTCCCTATCTATGGATATTTGATTGTTTCTAGTTTTTTGCTATTACAAATGATCATCCTTGTACATATTTCTTAAAGTACATGTAAGAATTATTGGATGAAAGATAACATGTGGAAATGTAAAATAGTGCACCCACTTTGGAAAACAACCTGACATTTCCACAAAAGGTTAATTGTACAGTTGTCATGTAACCCAGCAATTTCACTCCTAGGTATATATGCAAGAGAAATGAAAATAAATTTGCAGGCAAAAAGTTGTACACAAATGTTCATGCCAGCATTATTCCTAAAAGCCAGAAAGTGAAAACAACTGAAATGTCCGTCAACTAATGAGTGGATAAAGTAAGTATAGTTTATACATACACACAACTTCATTATACATACAGTGAAATATTACTCAGCCATAAAAAGGAATGAAGTACTGATTGATGTTGAAACATGGATGAACCTTGAAAATATTATGCTAAGTGAAAGCTTACGTATTGTGTGATTCCATTTATATGAAAAGTTCAGAATAAGCAAATTCATAGCCAGGAGCTGGTGAGAGGGTGGGAAGTGGAGAATGGGAAGTGATTGCTAATGAGTACAAATTTTCTTTTTAGAGTGATAAAAATATTCTAGAATTAGATAGTGGTGATGGCCGCACAGCCCTGTTAATATACTAAAATACATTGACTTGTACACTTTAAATGAGTAAATTTTGTGGTATGTGAATTATACCTCCATAAAGCAGTTTCTGAAAAAAAGGTAACATGAAGCCTTTGAAAGAAGGGTCAGTCTGGAATATATATGGTCCACGGGAGTACTTTTATCTTGGGGTATTCCCTACACACCCCAGAAAAACTTTTTCTTTATCAATTTCTCCCACAAGACAGTTAAATGTTTTTCCTCATTTCCTAAAGGAAATGTCTGCATTTAAATTTGAAGAGAAAAAATTAAATCAAAGATTAGCTTTCAGAAACAAGCTTAAATGTCTTTTTTATAGTTTCTGTGTTGCTGTTGTTTTTTTTTTTTTAATTATAAAAGTAGCACATACTCACTGTATGAAATTTGGGAAAGACATAAAATCCTGAAAAGAAGAAAGTAAAGATTATCTGTCATCCTACCACCCAGACATAATCATTGTTAACATTTAAGTGTATCTTCTTCTAGTCTTTTAATATACTTTTGTATGTGAAATTGAGATTATATTTTGTATACACCGCTTGGTATCTTACTTTCTTACTTTAATATTATGACATCATGAACATTTTCTCATTTCAAAACATGATTTTTAATGGCTACATAATTTTCTATTCTATGCCTATACCATAATTTATTTAACCAGTTTCCAATCTGAGGGTATTTAGTTGCTTCCAATTTTTGCTGCTTCAATTGTTTGTGTAGCTAAATCTTTTCACACATCCGTAATTATTTTCTTAGGATAAATACCTAACAGTGCAAATGCTGGGTCAAAAGATATGCACATATTAAAGCTTTTGGTATGTATTCTCAAATTGCCTTTCAGAAAGTCTACACCAATTAATACCTCCACTAGAACTGTATTTGAGTGTCTGTTTCTGTCTTAACCAGGCCAACACTGGCTATGGTCATTTGTTTTTAATTTTTTTTTTTTTTTTTTTTTTTGAGACTGAGTTTCGCTCTTGTTGCCCGGGCTGGAATGCAATGGCGTGATCTCGGCTCACGGCAACCTCCACCTCCCGGGTTCAAGCAACTCTCCTGCCTCAGCCTCCCAATTACCTGGGATTACAGGTGCCCACCACCACGCCCGGCTAATTTTTTTGTATTTTTAGTAGAGATGGGGTTTCACCATGTTGGCCAGGCTGATCTCGAACTCCTGACCTCAGGTAATCCACCTGCCTTGGCCTCCCAAAATGCTAGGATTACAGGCGTGAGCCACAGCACCTGGACTGTTTTTAATTTTTTAATCCTTGTCAATATAATGTGTTAGGCATTAATGAAGCACATGATTTCATTGTTATTTTAAATAGTGTCTATTGGACATTTTTATTTCTTTGTCTTGTGTGTGTGTAAATGGTTTACTTCCTTTGTCTTTTTGTCTGTTATGATGTTTGTGTCTTTCTTATTAATCTGTAAGAGCTCTTTATATATTAATAATATCATGATATTAAGTATTTGTCTATCATATGCACTTATCCTTTAAAAAGCATCTCCACCCTCACGGTACTATTGTACTTCTCTGGAGTCTTTATGTCTTCATCAGGGCAAGGTTTTCCAAAATCCAAAGAGGAAAAAGGACATAAACATTCCTTTTCCTTTCTTTGGTGCACAGACTGGAAGATATAAGGAACCCATAAATGATCTTAAAAATAAATGGACCACGTTATTAGAGAAATAATTCAGTCTCCCCATGGATCTATTAATGGTGTCTATAACACCTTTTCTCCCAAGTCTCTCTGGGCACCTAATGCCTGTTCTAAATCAATAGCCTTAGAGGCTGCAGGCTTGCCTAAACCTTCCCTTTACACCAACAACTCAAGCTGAAGCTTTTTTCATAGTCCTGGGCACTTTAACACTTGCTGGTACTTAAAGAGCAAACTCTAGAGATTCGAATCACTAAGTCTAATTACAATGAAAGGAAAATTTTCACTGAAAAGTTAAAAAAAGAAAACCATTACCAAGTCAAATGGGATCCCATTCTCTTAACCGCCTGATAATGTGGATTAGACTGTTTCCAAAACCTAACTTTGGAACCACAACTATGATTTAGGGGGAGAATCTGTCCTTCTTACCACCCAAGAAGGAAGAGCCCTTGGGAGCTCCGTAGAACATGCTCATTTCTGAACTGTGTATAGGCCTGGAGTACAGGGGGACTTGGCTTTCTTACATTTTGTTATGGTTTTAGGGGCACCTAAAGGCCCTGAGGTTCAAATAGTCGTTTTGTGATCTGCTATGTACTGAATTGTGTCTCCCCAAAATCCATACATTGATTCCCTAACCCCCGCTCCCCATGTGATGATATTTAGAGATGGAGTTTTTGAGAGATAATTAGGTTTAGATGAGTTAATGAGGGAATGGCCCTCAGAGGAAGAGACACCAGGGCTATCTCTGTCTGCCAAGTGAAGTCATAGCAAAACGGCCACCGTCTGCAAGCCAAGAAGAGAGCCCTCACCAAGAACCAAATTGGCTAGCACTTTGATCTTGGACTTTCCAACCTCCAGAGCTGTGAGTAAATAAATTTACATTATTTAAGCCACCCAATCTATGGTATTTTGTTACTGCAACTTAAGCTGACTAAGACATGTCCACTGATTAATGCCTGAAATCCTACCATGAGTATAGGCTAAACATCTAGTGTTCAGTTCAAATACAAGCAACTACATAAAGGAAGTTTCATGAGTCATAGACACCTCAGTCAGAGTGAAGGGTATTTGGCTCCTTCCACAGGCATAGGTGTGGGAGAGGCACAGGGAGTGGAAGAGAAAACAACTGTACAAAGTGTCTGAGGAGGGTAGATGAAGGGGATACTACCACAATGCAAACTTGATCAGTTAATAAATCTGCCCAAGTCCAGCAGTGACAAGAGATAACTGCAAATACTACTCCGATGTTGCTTCAACGGGCACAAGTGAGTAACAGTTTTTTCCTAACAGTATTGCCATTCCAGTGCTCCCTTTGACCTAGATAAGCCTCCTCTTCACCCTCTGAGGCAAGGAAACAACACAGTATCTAAATTTATCTTATAGCTTCATAACAGAATCTTGTCACATAGCTCTATCTATGGACCAGGGACAGTTCTAAGTGCTTTACATGTATTAACCCATTTATATTTCACAATCACCCTATTGGGGTAGCTATTATTATATTCAATTTATAGATAAAGAAACTAACAGATAAAGAAGAGGTAGAGCTGAGATCTAAATCTAAGTGTCGGGGGACTCCAAAGTTCCTATTCCAATCCATGCTCGAAGGCCATTTGTCCATTGCTAAAGAGACAGCATTCAAAGCATTTAAGCCAAAGCATCATTATTACTATTCCATTTCTGATTTGGTGCTATATCTTGGGTGTTCTTTTAGAAGTTATTGAAATGGCGGCAGGGAGGATGAGGAAAAGCTTTTTGAAAGACTTAAAATGATTGGAAGCACAAACTTAGAAATCAAAACAGGCTTGGAATCATGTCCTAATTCTGCTACACACTAGCTCCATGAATGTCAGCAAGTTACTTAACATCTCTGAGCTTCGGTTTCTTCCTCTGCAAAATGGATTTAATAATAATAATCCCTACTTCACAGGGCTAATGTGAAGATTACATGAGTTAATATGTGTAAAAGACTTATTACACTACCTAGCACCTAGCAGACACTCAATAAATATTACATAAATATATTACAAAGCTGGAGAAGACTTCAGAGCTGCACTAGAGTTTAACTTCAGTTTGATATTACTCTGAGTGGCAAGAAAAATACACAGGCACCAGCCCCACCAAGTGGGGCAAAGCCTCCTCTTGAAAAACGGGGCCAGGCAACAACTGCTCACAGAGCCAGGCTCAACAAATGGCAGCTGCAATGGTGACCAACAGCACAATTTGTATACTGACAGGAGGGGAGGGAATGGGCGCAATGTCCTACTGAAGAGTAGCTCTGTCTTCTCAGTCACACCCAAAAAGTATCCCCTTCAAAATCAAGTACAAAGCTATCAGATACTCTTCATCTTTAGCTTATCTTATTTATGAGAAGTTTGTTTATAAGGCTTGGGAACTTGAAATTCAAATTTAGTTTCCCTATCTTCAGAGGTTCAAGAAAAGATAACTAAAATCATATTTATATTCACAGACAAAAATTCTAATTAATTCATAAACACAGAGTACGGTATATTGTAATATAATGGCCAAAGAAAATAGATCCAAGTAGACTTCAGTTGTTGTCAGTTATAGGTTGTGTGACTTTAAACTAGTAACTTAACTTCCCTGAACCATTTCCTATAAAATCAAGGACAGTAGTGGTTGCTACAGGTAGTAAATAATATGTTGGATGTGAAAGTGCTTTGCAAACTCCAAAGGATATACAAATTGTGATATGCTAATAGAGTCAAACATATGCAAAGAAAAAATATTAAAAATTAAAATTGCTGCAGGAGTAGTTAAAAACACAAGAAAATATCACTGAATTACAAATCATGTATTATTCATTTATTATTACTATTGTTTTGACTGACAAGGTTTTAGGAAAAGCAGGCAAATGGCAGCAAGTGAAAGAGCATAGAGACCTGTGGAGAAATTCTCAAGAAAGCTTGTGGGCAGTTTTTACGACTGTAGATGGCACTAGCTCTTCAGAATGTCTCATTTCTCTGTAAAATACATGGCTTCTCTTTTTCTTGATTTGGGGTGGGGAGAGGATAAAGGATTACCCACGATGAAGGGTTCTCCAAGACCCCAAAGGAAAGAAAAGTGTATATAGGCACGTTATAAACTGGAAAGGACGAATACTGCGGCCATCCTGACTCCTCCCAGAATGAATCCCACTCTTAACTCTCTGGATCCCTTGCCCCAGCTGAGCCCAGGCAGCCAGGGTTGCATTACTGCCATGTGGCCACTAGGGACACTCTTGGTGTCCTCCTAAATTTATAGAAATTAGTGTAACCAGAGGAAATTTTCTCCTTAGCTTTTCTGAGATAGACTAAAATTTTTGAAAAGTGACCTCGCAGAGAAGCTAAGGAAAAAGAATACTGAAATAGGCAAAACAATTCAAAAACAGAGAGACCAATGAGTTTAGAGAGCACTAATTTTGTGCCTCTGCTTTTATAAACTCTAATTACATAACTTGGCAGTTATCTACTAAATTTTACATGAGCATATTCTCCAGCTGAGCAGTTCTACTTTCAAGTCTCTATCCATAGAAATTCTTGCACATCAGCAGAAAGAGGCATTTATAAGTATTCTTGCTGTAGTACTGTTTGTAATGTCAAAAGAAAGAATGACAGAAATGGAAGGACAAAGGGACAGAAGGTGAGAAGAAAGGAGAAGGCATAAAAGGGGACCATTTACATCAATTGGCTTGCCCAAACAATAAAATATAGAATACTGTTCAATCATTTAAAAGGAGATAGATCGGTTCATACTAACGTAGAAAGAGCTATAACATATATTGTCGCGTGAAGAAAGTAGGCTGTAAAACAAAGCATACAGGAGGATATTATTTATGTAAAAAACCACAAAACCAAGCAAGATAGATATAGATATAGATATAGACATATATATAGTTAAATTCATATACAAATTTCTGAGGGGATGCATATCAGATTAGTGGTGGAAGGTAGTTCAAAGATAATTTTTACTTTATCATCTTTGGGTATTTTTTTAAATGAGAATGTATTTCATATACTTATAGTTTCCCTTTTAATTTAGAAACATAATTGTAACTTCCAGCCACGAGAACCCAAGGTGGCTTATGATTGGCACCATAACAGCCCAAAGCCATCCTCCAATCAGTTCCCGTAGGTTCAGATTGTCCACTGTGGTCCAGACTGCATCCTACTTCAGAATGGCAGCCTCAACCGCCTTCCTAGAGTCTTCCCTAAGGTTTGGTTGGAATTTACCTTTCTGTTGCTCTTAAAAGCATTTATACATTCACTATTTGTTCAAATCCATCAATTAATTTTTGAGTGCCCACTATTTGCTACGGGCTGAGAGTAAAATTGTAGATAAAAACAGACATGGCCCTTTTTTATGATCCAGAACTTAGAGTCAATGTTCTTGAGTGGAAAGAGCTTGGGCTCAGTGCCAGGGTTCAGTTTCATCTCTACATCACTTGGGACAAGTATCTCAGTGTCCTCATCTGTACAGTGGGAAAATAATGCTACTTACTTGCCAAGTTTGAAGTGAGGATTCAATGAAGTAGTGCAAGTAACTCATGAAGAAAAGCACCTGGAGTATAACAACTGCTTGAAGAGTGTTAACCTCTTTCCTTCCTTCTTCATATTTTCCTGCATTCAACTTTTTAAAAGAATATTAGGTGGAGCTGGGCCAAGATGATGGACTAGAAGCAGCTCATGTGTGCCACTCTCACGGATAGAAAACAAAAGGCTAGTGAATACTGTCCCTACAGCCTGATCATCTGAGAAACCATGTTGGGATTCATCAAGGCAGCAGGGGAACACAGAGAGCAGAGAGGAACGAAGCTGGGCCCCACGTTGCCTAGACTCAGTGTGGAGCTGGGAGAACCTCTCCAACATAGGAAAGGGTCAGTGAGTGAGATCCCCCAGGGGGATTCACATTCCCCACAGGGACCTGTGCAAGACTGGGAACAGGATAATACCACTGGTTCCCCTGAACCACCCCCGCACCCTGCTTCTAGACTGAGGCAGAGAGCCACCTGGATGTTTTGCAGGGGCAACTCTCCAGTCCAAAGGGACCTCTACAAGCCTTAGGCCTCAGAGTAAACAAGCGCTGGTGCCATAGCACCAGTAGAGGCCACCGTTGCCATGCCTGGGAGCAGTAACATTACTTCACCACCCCCCTTGCGAGACAGGGCTCAGTACCAGCTTCCAGGCCAGTGGTCCCACTTTTGTTTGAACTTGGCCGGCCACTCCACCCAACTCCGCCATTGGCAGCCAGACGGGCAACACTTGCTAGAGCTTCCCGCACAGTGGCCTGGCTTCTGTGTGAACTCAGCCAGAGTGGGCAGCTTCCAGTTGTCCCAGGAAACAACTGGACAGCAGAACGTACAACGCCACCTGCCCCCACCACTGGGAACCAGGAGGGCAATGCCTGCTAGAGCTTCTAGCTCAGTGGTCCTGCTTCTGTGTGAATTCAGCGAAAGTGTACAGCTTCCTGTTGTCCAGGGAAATACCCAGAACACAGAGCACATGGCCCCACATGCACTCAGGCACCGTAGTCCTCCTACAATGTGAACTCAGCCAGTGCTCACAGTTGCCTGTTGTCCCAGGAAGCACCCAGACACCAGGGTAGGTGACCTTACCCCTGCTGCTGCTAGCCAGGCAGGAAATGCCTCCTAGAGCTTGCAGGCCAGCAGTCTCGCTTCTGTGTGAACTCAGCTGGAGGGTGCAGCTTCCTGTTTTCCTAGGAAACTCCCATTTGGCAGGGCAGGCGTCCCCTGCCTGTAGCCAGGGGAGCTATGCCTGCTGGGGTTTCCAGCCCAGTGGCCCTATTTCTGCCTGAATTTGCCGAGGGCTACAGCCATGGAAACACCCAGACAGCAGGGCAGACACTCCACCCACCCCCACCTCTCATAGCTAAACAGGCCAAACCCACTAGATCTTCCAACCTAGTGGACCTGCTTCCACCTGAACTCTGTGGGCAGGCACAACCCTGTCTCTTCCCAGGAAGCACACAGACAGCATATTAAGGCCTACTTGGCAAAAATAAGGCTTGTCTGCCAATTGTGGCCCCTGTGGGGAGCCCCGTGGACCAGAACACCCCAAAAAAGAAACACAGGCACAGAGACAGTAATCAGAGGGGGCTCCTCCAAGATGGAGGAGTGGACTAGAATCGTAGCTAGTCAACTGAACCCACCTTATGCCATAATCAAACCCTCAAGGGTATCAAAGAAGAAAACAGAAAAAAAAAATCCATTCAAAAGATGGCAACTTCAAAGACTGAAGGAACATCAGCCCACGCAAATGAGAAAGAAACAGCAAAAAAAAGTCTGGCAACTTGAAAAGCCAGAGTGCCTTCTTACCTCCAAATGGCAATACGAATTTCCCAGCAATGGTTCTTAACTAGGCTGAAATGACTGAAAAGTCAGAAATAGAATTCAGAATATGGACAGGAACAAAGATGATCGACATACAGGAGATAGTGGAAACCCAATCCAAGAAATCTAAGGATTAGAGTGAAACAACACAGCAGAGGATAAAGCAAATGACCATTATAAGAAAAAAACAAACTTGTCTGACAGAGCTAAAAAACACACTAGAATAATTTCAAAATGCAATCACAAGTATCAACAGCAGAATTGACCAAACTGAGGAAAGAGTCTCAGAACTTGAAGACTGGCTCTCCAAAACAACTCAGTCAGGCAAAAATAAAATACAAACAATAAAGAAGAATGAACAAAACCTCTGATAAATATGGAATAATGTAAAGACACCAAATCTATGACTCATTGGCATCCCTGAAAGAGAGGGAGAGAAAACAGGCAACATGGAAAACATATTTCAGGATATAATGCATGAAAATTTTCCCAGCCTCACTAGAGAGGCCAACATTCAAATTCAGGAAATGCAGAGAACCCTTGCAAAATACTAGAAGACCATCCCCGAAACACATAGCAATCAGATTCTCCAAGATCAAAATTAAAGAAAATAAGTTGAAGGCAGCAAGAGATAAGGGATAGGTCACCTACAAAGGGAACCCCATCAGGCTAACAGCAAACCTGTCAGCATAAACCCTGCAAACCAGAAGAGATTGTGGGTGTATTTTCAGCATTCTTAAAGAAAATAAATTCCAATCAAGAATTTCATATCTAATCTGACTAAGCTTCATAAGTGAAGGAGGAATAAGATGCTTTTCAGACAAGCAAATGTTAAGGGAATTTATTACCACCAGACATGCCTTACAAGAAGCACTTAAGGGAGTGTTAAACATGGAAAGGAAAGACTGTTACTGGCCACTACAAAAACACACTTAAGTACATAGAACAGTGACACTAAAGCAGCCACACAAACAAGTCTGCATAATAATGAGCTACCAACATAATGACAGGATCAGACTGCACATATCAATACTAACATTGAATGTAAATGAGCTAAATGCCCCAATTAAAAGGCACAGAGTGGCAAGTTAGATAAAGAAGCAATGCCCAATGGTATGCTCTCTTTAAAAGACCCATCTCACATGCAATGACACCCATAGACTCAAAGTAAAGAGATGGAGAAAAATTTCCAAGCAAACAGGAAACAAAAAAAGGCAGGGGTTGCTATTCTCATTTCAGACAAAACAGACTTTAAACCAACAAAGACCAAAAAAAGACAAAGGAGGATTATATCATAGTAAAAGTTTCAATTCAATAAGAAGACCTAGCAATCCTAAATATATGCATCCAACACAGGAGCACCCAGATTGATAAAGCAAATTCTTAGAGACTTATGAGAGACTTAGATAACCACATAATAATAGTGGGAGACTTCTACACCTAAATTGGTACCTAGGGAGTGGGGTACTGCTATAAAGATAACCTCATGTGGAGGTGACTTTGAAACTGGGTAATGGGCAGAGGTTGAAACAGTTTGGAGGGCTCAGAAGAAGATGGGAAGATATGGGAAAGTTTGGGACTTCCTAGAAACTTGTCGAAAGTGCTGATAGGGATGTGGACAATGAAGCCCAGGCTGAGGTGGTCTCAGATGGAGATAAGGAACTTACTGGGAACTGGAGCAAAGGTCACTCTTGTTATGCTTTAGCAAAGAGACTGGCGGCATTTGCCACTGCCCTAGAGATTGGTGGAACTTTGAACTTGAGAGAGATGATCTAAAATTGGAACTTATGTTTAAAAGGGAAGCAGAACATAAAAGTTTGGGAAATTTGCAGCCTGACAATGTGACAGAAAAGAAAAACCCATTTTCTGGGGAGAAATTCAAGCCAGCTGCAGAAATTTGCATAAGCAATGGGGAGCCAAATGTTAATCACCAAGACAATGGGGAAAATGTCTCCAGAGCATGTCAGAGACCTTCACAGCAGCCCCTCCCATCACAGGCTGGGAGGCTAGGAGGGAAAAATGGTTTGTGGGCTGGGCTCAGGGCCCCGCTGCTTTGTGCAGCCCAGAGACTTGGTGTCCTGTATCCCAGCCAGCCACTCCAGCTCCAGCTGTAGCTAAAAGGGGCCAAGGTACAGCACGGGCCATTGCTTCAGAAGGTGCAAGCAGTGTGAGAACAGACTAATACATATGGAAACACCTGGATGTCTAAGCAGAAGTTTGCTGCAGGGGTGGAGCCATCATGGAGAACCTCTGCTAGGGCAGAGCAGAAGGGAAATGTGGGGTTGGAGCCCCCACACAGAGTCCCCACTGGGGCACTGGCTAGTGGATCTGTGAGAAACAGGCCACCATCCTCGAGAACCCAGAATGGTAGATCCATGAAGAGCTTGCACTGTGCACCTGGAAAAGATGCAGACACAACACGAGCCCATGAAAGCAATGGGTTGGGCGTGAGGCATAGAGGGCTGTACGTTGCAAAGCCACAGGGGCAGAGCTGCCCAAGGCCATGGGAGCACATCCTTTGCATCAGCGTGCCCTGAATGTGAGACATGGAGCCAAAGGAGACTATTTTGGAGCTTTAAGAGTTAATGACTGCCCTGCTGGATTTTGGACTTGCATGGGGCCTGTAGCCCCTTGGTTTTGGCCAATTTCTCCCATTTGGAAAGGCAGCATTTATCCAATGCCTCTACCCCCACTATATCTTGGAAGTAACTAACATGTTTTTTATTTTACAGGCTCATAGGTGGAAAGCACTTGACTTATTTCAGATGAGACTTTGGAATTGGATTTTTGAGTTAATGCTGGAATGAGTTAAGAGTTTGGAGGACTGTTGGGAAGGCATGATTGTGTTTTGAAATGTGATGACATGAGATTTGGGAAGGCCAGGGGCAGAATATGGTTTGGCTCTGTGTCCTGACCCAAATCTCATCTTGAATTGTAATCTGAATTATAATCCCCACATGTCAAGGGAGAGACCTGATGAAAGGTGATTGGATCATGGAGTCAGTTTCTCCCATACTGTTCTCATGATACTGAGGGAATTCTCACAAGAGCTGATAGTTTTAAAATTGTTTGGCAGTTGCTCCTTCATTTGCACTCTTTTGTTTGCTCTTCTCTCTCCTGCTGCCTTGTGAAGAAGGTGCTTGCTTCCCCTTTGCTTTCTTCCATGATTGTAAGTTTCCTAAAGCCTCCCCAGCCATGTGGAACTGTAAGTCAATTAAACTCCTTTCCTTCATAAATTACAGTCTCAGGTATTTCTTTATAGCAGTGTGAAACAGACTAATACAACGCCCCACTGATAGTTTTAGACAGATAATTAAGGTAGAAAACTAACAAAGATATTCAGGACCTGAACTTGACACTTGACCAAATGGAACTAAAAGACATCTACAGAACTCTTCAACCAAAAACAATAGAATATACCTTCTTCTTATCTGCACATGGCACGTACTCTAAAATCAATGACACAACTGGGCATAAAACAATCCCCAGCAAATTTAAAAAAAAATCATACCAACCACACTCTCAGACCACAGTGCAATAAAAATAGAAATCAATGCTAAGGGGCTGGGCATGATGGCTTATGCCTGTAATCCTAGCACTTCAGGAGGATGAGGTAGGAAGATCACTTGAGGTCAGGAGTTTGAGACCAGCCTGGCCAACATGACAAAAACCCTTCTCTACTAAAAATACAAAAATTAGCCAGGCATGGTGGTGCATGTCTGTAATCCTAGCTACTCAGGAGGCTGAGGTGGGAGAATCACTTGAACCCAGGAGGCAGAGGTTGCAGTGAGCTGAGATTGTGCCACTGCACTCCAGCCTGGGCGACAGAGCAAGACTTTGTCTCAAAAAAAAAAAAAAAGGAAGGAAGGAAGGAGGGAAGGAGGGAAGGAGGGAAGGAGAGAAGGAGGGAAGGAGGGAAGGAGGAAAGGAGGGAAGGAGGGAAGGAGAGAGGGAGGGAAGGAGGGAGGGAGGGAAGGAGGGAGGGAAGGAAAGAGGGAGGGAGGGAGGGAGGAAGCAAGGAAGGAAGGAAAGAAAGGAAAGAAAGAAAGAAAGAAAGAAAGAAAGAAAGAGAAAGAAAGAAAGAATGAAAGAAAGAAAGAAAGAAAGAAAGAAGGAAAGAAAGAAAGAAAAGAAAGAAAGAAGGAAAGAAAGAAAGAAGAAAGAAAGGCAGGCTAAGAAAATCACTCAAAACCATACAATTGTGTGGAAAGTAAACAACCTACTCCTGAATGACTTCTGCATAAATAACCAAATTAAGGCAGAAATCAAGAAATTCTTTGAAAGTAATGAGAACAATGATACAGCATACCAGAATCTCTGCGACGCAACCAAAGCAGTGTAAGAAAGAAGTATATTTATATTTTTCCTTCTTTCTTTTCTTTTTATTTAATTTTTATTTTAAGTTCAGGTGTATATATGCAGGTTTGTTATATAGGTAAACTTGTGCCATGGGGATTTGTTTTACAGATTATTTCATCACCCAAGTATGAAGCCAAATACCCATTAGTTATTTTTCCTGACTAAGAGGGACGTTTATAGAACTAAACATCCAAATCAAAAAGTTAGGTCCCAGATTAACAACCTAACATCACATGTAGAAGAACTAGAGAAAAAGAGCAAACCAACCCTAAAGCTAGCAGATTACAAGAAATAACCAAAATCAGAGCTGAACTGAAGGAAATTGAGACACAAAAAATGATACAAAAGATTAATGATTCCAGGAACTGGTTTTTTGAAAGCATTAAAAAGATAGATAGACCTTTAGCTACACAAATTTTAAAAAGAGAGAAGATCCAAATAAACACAATCAGAAATGACTAAGGTGATGTCACCAACTTTACAGAAATACAAAAATTCCTCAGAGACTGTTATGAGCACCTCTGTGCACACAAGCTAGAAAACCTAGAGGAAATGGATAAATTCCTGGAAACATACAACCTCCCAAGATTGAACCAGGAAGCAATTGAATCCCTAAACAGACTAATGAGTTCTGAAATTAAATCAGTAATAAAAAGCCTACCAGCAAGAAAAAGCTCAGGACTACATGGATTCATAGCTTAACTCTACCATATGTTTAAGGAAGAGCTGGTACCATTCTTACCGAAACTATTCCAAAAAATTGAGGAGGAGGGATTCCTCCCTAACTCATTATATGAGGCCAGCATCATCCTGTTACAAAAACCTGGAAAAGACACAACAAAAAAAGAAAATGCCAATGTCCTTGATGAATATAGATGCAAAAATCCTCAACAAAATACTAGCAAATCAAATTCAACAGCACATCAAAAAGCTAATCCACCATAATCAAGTAAATTTTATCCCTGGGATGCAAGATTGGTTTAACGTACATACATCAGTAAATGTGATTCACCACACAAACAGAACTAAAGACAAAAACCACATAATTATCTCAAAAGATGCAGAAAAGGCCTTTGATAAAATTCAACATCCCTTCATGTTAAAAACCCTCAACAAACTAATCACTGAAGGAACATACCTCAAAATAATAAGAGCTATCTACGAGAAACCCACAACCAATCACATGGAATGAGCAAAACCTGGAAGCATTCCCCTTGAAAACCAGCACAAGACAAGGATGCCCTCTCTCAACACTCAGATTCAACGTAGTATTGGAAGCCCTGGCCAGAGCAATCAGGCAAGAGAAAGAAATAAAGGGCATCCAAATAGGAAGAGAGGCAGTCAAACTATTCCTGTTTGCAGATGACATGATTTTATATCTAGAAAACCCCATAATCTTGGTCCAAAAGCTCCTTCAGCTGATAAACAACTACAGCAAAGTTTCAGGATACAAAATCAATGTACAAAAATCAGTAGCATTTCTACACACCTATAACATCCAAGACGAGAGGCAAATCAAGAATGCAATCCCATTCACAATAGCAACAAAAAATAACACAGCTAGGAGTACAGCTAACCAAGAAATTAAAAGACCGCTACAACAAGAATTACAAAACACTACTGAAAGAAATCAGAGATAACACAAAAAAATGTTAAACCATTCCACACTCATGGATAGGAAAAACCAATATTGTTTTAATGGCCATACTGCCCAAAGCAATTTACAGATTCGATGCTATTCCTATCAAGCTACCAATGACATTCTGCACAGAATTAGGAAAAACTATTTTAAAATTCATATGGGACCAAAAAAGAGCCCAGAAAGCCAAGGCAATCCTAAGCAAAAAGAACAAAGCTGGAGGTATCACACTACCCAACTTCAAACTATACTGCAAGGCTACAGTAACCAAAACAGCATGGTACTGGTACAAAAACAGACACATAGACTAGAGGAACAGAATGGAGAGCCCAGAAATAATACCACACACCTACAACCATCTGACCTTTGATAAATTTGACCAAAATAAGCAATAGGGAAAGGACTCCCTATTCAACAAATAGTGCTGGGTTAACTGGCTAGCCACATGCAGGTTGAAACTGGACAACTTCTGTATTAACCCACTTTCATACTGCTATGAAGAAATACCCAAGACTGGGTAATTTATAAAGAAAAAGAGGTTTAATGGACTTACAATCCCACATGGCTGAGGAGGCCTCACAATCATGGTGGAAGATGAAGGAGCAAAGGCATGTCTTACATGGTGGCAGGCAAGACTGCATGTGCAGGGGAACTGCCCTTTATAAAATCATCAAATCTCATGAGACTCATTCACTATCATGAAAACAGCACAGGAAAAACCCTTCCTCATGATTCAATCACCTCCCATTGGGTCTGTCCCACAACATGTGGGGATTATGGGAGCTACGAATGAAGATGAGATTCGGGTAGGGATACAGCCAAACCGTATCACCTTCTTTACACCATATACAAAAATCAATTCAAGATGGATTAAAGACTTAGACGTAAAACTGAAAATTCTAAAAACCCTGGAAGAAGAAAAATAAGAAAATTCAAAAAAAAAAAAAAAACCCTGGAAGATAACCTAGGAAATACTCTTCTGAACATAGGTCCTAGCAAAGACTTCACAATTAAGACACCAAAATCAATTGCAACAAAACCAAAATTGACAAATGGAACCTGGTTAAACTAAAGGGCTTCTGCACAGCAAAATAAGCTATCAAGAGAGTAAACAGACAACCTACAGAAAGGGAGAAAATATTTGCAAACTGTGCATTTGACCAAGGTCTAATATCTAGAATCTACAAGGAACTTAAACAAATTTACAAGAAAAAAGCAAACAACCCATTAAAAAAGTGGGCAAAGGACATGAATAAATATTTTTCAAAAGAAGACAACACGCAGCTAACAAGCATATGAAAAAATCACTGACCATTAAAGAAATGCATCAACATCACTGACCATTAAAGAAATGCAAATCAAAACCAAAATGAAATACTGATATGGTTTGGTCTGTGTCCATACCCAAATCTCATCTCGAATTGTAATCCCCATAATCCCCACTTGTTGAGGGATGGACCTGGTGGGTGGTGATTGGATAATGGGGGTGGTTTCCCCCATGCTGTTTTTGTGATAGTGAATGAATTCTCACGAGACCTGATGGTTTTATAAGTGTTTGACAGTTCCTCTTTCACATGCTTCTCTTACCTGCTGCCACGTAAGATGTGCCTGCTTCCCCTTCCACCATGATTGTAAGTTTCCTGAGGCCTCCCCAGCCATGCAGAACTGTGAGTCAATTAAACCTCTTTTCTAATAAATTACCCAGTCTCCAGCAGTTCTTTAGAGCAGTGTGAGAACAAACTAATACAGATACCATCTCACACCAGTCAGAATGGCTATTATTAAAAAGTTGAAAAATAACAGGTGCTGGCAAGGTTGCAGAGAAAAGGGAATGCTTATACACTGTTGGTCTAAATCTAAATTAGTTCAGCCATTGTGGAAAGCAGTGTGGTGATTTCTCAAAAATCTTAAAACAGAATTACCATTCAACCCAGCAATCCCATTGTTGGGTGAATACCCAAAGGAATAGAAATCATTCTATTATAAAGATACATGCACATACATGTTCATCACTGTACTGTTCACAATAGCAAAGATATGGAACCCACCTAAATACCCATGAATGGTAGCCTGGATAAAGAAAATGTGGTACACATACACAGTGGAACACCACACAGCCATAAAAAAGGATAAGATCATGACCTTTGCAGCAACATGGATGGACCTGGAGGCCATCATCCTAAACAAACTAATACAGAAACAGAAAACCAAATACCATATGTTCTCACTTATAAGTGGGAGCTAAACTTTTAGTACATACGGACACAAAGAAGGGAACAATAGCCACCAGGGCCTACTTAAGGGTGGAGGCTGGGAGGAGGGTGAGGATCAAAAAACTACCTATTGGACTATGCTTATTACCTGGGTGACAAAATAATCAGTACACCAAACTCCCACAATATACATTTTACCTATGTAACAAACCTGCACATGTACCTCTAAACCTGAAATAAAAATTAAAAAAAAGAAATAATCAATTTCACCAAAAATGTAAAAACAAAATAATAATAGTTATTATTATAGCAAACATTTACTTAGCTTTTACTATATGCCAGGCACTATTCTAAGTGCTTTACACCTATTAGCTAACTCAATCTTTTCAACAACCTGATGAAATAGATACTATTATTATCCCATTTCCAGATGATGAAATTGAGGCACAAGTTAACTAACTTGCCCAAAGTTGCATAGAATTTCAAGCCAAGCAGTCTGACTCAAGAGTCTGTGTTTTTAACAACTATTCTTCATTTTCTCATAAGTATCTCTACGGGTATGGGCCTCTCTCCCCCCTCCTCCATGATCCATCTATCTTTGTCTTCGTACATTCAACAGATATTTATTGAAGACCTATGATGTGCCAGGCATGTTAGGCATAGTGCCATAGAAGTGAACAAGATAAAGTTCCTGCCACCATAAAGAATGTCTAAGGCCGGGCGCAGTGGCTCACGCCTGTAATCCCAGCACTTTGGGAGGCCAAGGTGGGAAGATTGCCTGAGGTCAGGAGTTGGAGACCAGCCTGGCCTCAACATGGTGAAACCCTGTCTCTACTAAAAATACAAAAATTAGCCGGGCATGGTGGCGGGCGTCTGTAATCCCAGCTTCTGGGGAGGCTGAGGCAGGAGAATTACTTGCACCCGGGAGGTGGAGGTTGCAGTGAGCCGAGATCGCGCCACTGCACTCCAGCCTGGGTTGCAGAGCGAGACTCTGTCTCAAAAAAAAAAAAAAAAAGAATGTTTAGTGGGGTAGAGCAGTTGAAGGTGGGGTGGCGGGGGTAAGAGACAATAAATTAATCTAAAGTGTGGCATCATGTAGTCATATGTGTTTTGAAGAAAATAGGAATAGGTCTTATTCACTTTGTCTGAGCGACAGTTGCTAACTACATATCAAGGCAGTTTTTTTTTCTTTAGGGAAAGTTAGGTTTGCTGTTTGTTGTTCTAGGCTCCCAGGAAGGTATGTGGCTTCTTGCTTGCCGGGATAGATAGTAGAAAACTGCAGTTTGGTCTCTCATAAAACCAAGCTCCTGAGGGGCCTTCCTACCTTGTTTTCATTTGATAAGAGCCATTTACAGAGCAAAGATGACCATATATCCTGAGGCTGGAGAAAATTCAGGTCTCTCCCAGCTCAGATTCTCACTTCTTCCCCTTCAGGGCCCTGCCCCAAGCGAATAATCTCACAACATTCCAACTAAGCCAATTTGACATTGCCAAATATTTCCAACATCCAGGAACCATTCATTCCACACTTGGCTCTTGAAGCCAGGGCACCCTGCTATGCACCAGGCATTGTATCCAGAAAAGCAAGTCAAGACAATTCATGCAACAAACCCACCCCATCCAAAAAAAAGTCCACTTTAGGTATCAGCAACTGTCTTTTGTGTGTGCCCAGACACTGCCTCTCAGAAACCCATTTCAAATCCCTTTTCCTTGTTTTCAGACCTGCTTGATCCAGTAAGTCATTTTGGTCCACTCATCTGGTTCTTCCCCCGAGCACCCTCTCTCTCAGAAGGAACTGCTATTAAGAGGTCCTCGGGTCCCTGCTTACAGCAAGCTCCTTGGTAGATCTTAGCAATTAAGAGCACAGGTTCTGGACTCAGAGTGCTTGGGTTAGACTACCGGCTCTGCCACTATGGCTGTGTAATCATAAACCCCAGTTTGCTCATGTGTAAAATGGGAATAATAATACTTACCTCCTAGGACTACTATAGGAATTGAATGAGATAATGCATGTAAAGTACTTAGCACAGTGAATGAACCATTAAAAAATGTTGATATCCTTCAGCATCCTTTCCTTGGCTTCTCCTCTTCTCACTCTTTGTTTGCTCTCTAAGAAATCTTATCTACTCCACAGGTTCAAATACTGCAAATATGTCAATGGCTCGCAAGTTTTACTACAGCCCAGGGGTATCTCTGGAGTTATTCAAAATGATGGTCAACTATAAGATAAGGAGCATGGCCAGAATTATGTAAGTCACCACCCCACTTCCTTCCTTGAGAAGGTCTTTCTATCAAAACAAAATCAGCTGAACTAAATAGTTTGCACAGTAAAATAGTTGATTTACAATCTAGCTACCTCCTTATCTATTCACACATCAGCAACTAAGAATTTGCAGATACACATTAAAGAGCAAAGACGTTTCTAACTAAATGCTCCACAAACACCTGACCTCACCACCAACGAGGAAAGACCACCTAGTGGTCAGCACCTGTCTTTCTAGACACTTGTTGCAGACATGCCCACCACCACCACTGCTGCTATACTCAGCCACTATTTCTCTGAAACTCACTATCACCTCATGGGTCCCAGGCTTCTGAATCAGTACATATACATCCATACCTGACTCTGGGCCTTTGGTGACTCTCAAGACTCCCTTCCTAGCTTTGGAAACGGCTTTCCTGCACAAGTTTTAGCTCTGCTCACATTTTTGGTTTTCACAACTCTACATTTACCCTGGCTCCATGGATCCCAACTCATCCTTCATCCAAACTCCCCATCAGAGACTGAGGGCTTGATATCATGCCTAGAACCCATGGTTTCAATGACATCCTGTCACCCAACTAGGGTCAAGAACCTGCAGATTTTTATGTGACATTGGTGATGTAGCTGGAGATCTTGCCCCATCTGCCCCCTAAGAAATCCTCAAGTTAATATTGGAAAAGAAACTTTGCTAGCATACACTTTGTATATGTTTTACCAGGCAGTATCACATCTGCCACTCCAGAACTTCTTGGCTTGCCGAAAAGGTAGAAACAGCTGGGCTTTGACCTACATCTCAATCCACTATCACAGGAGAGGGAGACATTCTGAGTTCCCATGGAACTGTAGGCAGGAGGCTGTCACCCTCAGCTAATTCTTGAACCAAAAAGCTCAATTGCCAACCCAACCAAAACTAGCTGTTGAGACAATGAGTACCCTCTGCAGGATAGCCTACTGACCCATTCAGTACAAACTGCCATTGAGCTGCAGTTACCAACCATCACAAACTCCCAGTTCTCATTCTCAGCTTCTGTTCAGTAGAGATCTATGCAGTTTTTTCATGGAAAATTGCACCTTGAACTTTTCTTCCCACTATGATCACCAGCATAGCCTATAATCTGAACTCCTACTTTTCCTTCTATCTTAGCTCAAATAGCTCTTCTCTGACTTGTCAAATCTCCCCCCATCCCATTGTAACATGCTCATTCATTGCACTTACCAAAATTACAATATTTACATTTGCTTATAAATGTACCCCCCCATTTGTGATTCAACCACTACAATCAGAATGGGAATGGAAACTATAAAGGGCAGAGACCATGTCTAGTGTTGCTCATTCTATATCCCCAGCAGTAGCCAGCACCAGTCACATAGTAGGGACTCCAATAAATATTCACTGACTGGATGACATGAATGAATTACCATTATGGATCACTTCTTGCTAATCCTTGAGCTTTGGAACAACTTTGCAGCCCAGACCTTCACAAAGCCAGACCAAAGGGGCTTATAATCTGGCCCAGCTTTCAAAGAAGAAGGCTACAAAATTAAGACTTCTTCTTCTTCTTCTTTTTTAACAATCAGCATCTTTTATCATTTTATTTTATTTTTTCATTCTACTTGTATTGTAAGTTCAGGGGATATATGTTCTTTTCAATCCAGCCTCAATATGAATACACAGTCATATTTTTCAGCTTATACAGTGCCCCTATTAGCTTTTAGTGATTACTGAATAAAGACTTTCCTAGTATGTTCTCTTGTAAACTTTAGTACACTAGGAACTACATTTCCCACAGTCCTCTTCCCTGGATGGTACTTGCTTGTAGTTGGCCAAAAGTGAGGTTGTGCAAGATTTGTAAAGCAGTAGCCATTACACTAAAAAATGTCATCTTTAGTTATAAGTATTGAGAGACAGAAACAGAAGTGTGGACAGGTTCCAGTTTCTCTTCATTTTTTCCTGCTCCATCTTTTGCTTTTCTTCCTATTAGTCCTGCTGACCAACAGCAACCCCAGGCCCACGACCAGATGCTTCACTGCAACCTCGCAGAAGCAGTATCACCATACAAAGCCAAAAATCTTGCTTAGTTTTCTACATCATCCCTGCTTCATGACCTAATGTTAGCAGCCTGATATGCCTAGCTTCCAGAATTTCCCGTAAGCTCCAACTCTTTCAACCTCATGGGAGCTGATTAGTGACCTTTCTGGTGATCTTTGAACTCCTCTTTGTAGACCTTCATTTTCCTCCTGCAATATGCTCCTCTTGCAACTGTAAGAGGTCTAATTCTTAAAAAAATCTCTCATACCATAAAACTGCCCTTCTGATTGAATTCTAAGTGATCCTGCACAAACTTCTGAATTGAAGCATTACTGGCTTTCTAAAAAATACATAGTGTCAGAGTACTGAGAATGTACTCACCTTACCGTACTGTCATTTCCTGTACTTCCTGTCTCTCCCATCTGCATTTTCTCATCTCAAACACGAGAAACTTTTAAATCCACTTCCTTACTTTTACTCTTTTTTAAATGTTTTTTAATTACTCAGGTAATACATGAATACATTCTCACCATAAAATGTCAACTATACAGAAGTATAGTTGACAATCCATTCTATACTACTCCCCAGAAGTAACCTCAATGCTGACAGATTTATGTATATCCTTCCAGAATTTTTCCTATGCATTTGCAAACACATAGAGTTTGAGATGTTTTATCTTTATAAAAATTGGATCATACTCTATACATTTTATGTGACTTGCCTTTTTTAATCTAAAAAATACCTTAGTGATCTCTCTATGTCAGTAGAGACAGGTCTATCTCATTTTGTTCCTGCTTCTGAGTAGTATTTCATAGCAAAAAGATATGATAATTTATATAATCCTTTCACTACAGATGGACCATTGGGTTGTTTACAGTCTTTTAAAACTATAAACATCCTTGTACAAGTCTCCTTGTTAAGATGTACAAACATTTTTATAAGTGAATTTGCTACATCAAAGTATATTTGCATTTTAAAATTTGATGGACTAGAGCCAAATTACCCAACAACATGGCCATATGGATTTACATTCCTACCATTATGTATAACATTATCTGTTTCCTACACACACTAACCAATTCTACATTTTATCAATCTTTTTAATTTTTCCTAACCTAATGGGAAATATGTATATATCTTATTTTTGTTTCATTTTGAATTCTTTTGATTACAAGTGAAAATAGCATCTTTTCATATACTCATTGGTCATTAGTATTTCTTCAATAAATTGCCTATTCATAGCTTTGCTTATTTATTGAGTGAGTTTTTTGTCAGCTTCTTATTGATATGTAGAAGCACTCGGTGTATTATAAATGTTCATTGTCTTTTACATATATTGTAAATATTTTTCCAGTCGTTTCTTGTGTTTCCGTTTATTGCACATGTCACAAATTCAAACAATTATAAGAGTCAGGAAGGTAATTTAATTTTGTGATGCTCACCAGGTTCAAGACAATAAGGAATAAGGCAAAAAAATGTCCACCCAACAGTTTTAAATACAAAAAATTATTTAAAGCTCTGTGCAGAACAAACTGTGTTGCATGTATGAGCCACCAGTTTGCGACCTAGCTTTTAGTGACTTTTTGTTGGTGGTGGTGGTGTTCAGAGGTTTTTTTTTGTTTTTGTTTTTACTTTTCTATTTGATGTTGTTGAATATGTTACTGTTTTCCATCATGGCTTTCCTTTATGGTTTCTAGGTTTCCTTCAGCATCGTGCTTATCAAGCCTTTATTTTCTTGTATTTTAGTCTAAGACTTGATATTTTATGTTCATTTCTCAAATCCATCTGGAATTTACCTTAGATTATGATAGAGAACTAACTGTGTTAAATTATTACTTTTTGTCCCAACATCTTTTACCGAAGAGTTCATCATGTTCCACTGATATAAAATGTCACATTTACCACATGATAAATTCCAATTTTTTAAATGAGTCTATTTTGAAATTCTTCTCTGCTTTGTTAGTAGCCTATTACATTCCTAAGCCATATTCACACTGTTTTAATTATTGTAAATTTATACCATATTTTGATATCTGGTAGGGAGAGTCATCTCCCATTTTTCCTCTTTTCCAAAACGTCCTTGGCAATTCCTGCCCATTTTCTTATTCCTTCTTTCTTTTTTTTAATGTTTAAGTTCAGGGATACAGGTGCAGGTTTGCTACCTAGGTAAACTAGCATCGTGGAGGTTTGTTGTAAAGGTTATTTCACCACCAGGTATTAAGTCTAGTACCTGTTAGCTATTATTCCTGACCCTTTCCCCTGCCTGGTTCAGTCTTGGGAGGGTGTATGTGCCCAGGAATTTATGCATTTCTTCTAGATTTTCTAGATTATGTGCATAGAGGTGTTCATAATATTCTCTGCTGGTTGTTTGTATTTCTGTGGGGTCAATGGTAATATTGCCCTTGTCATTTCATTTTTTTTTTTTCAATACGGAGTCTTGCTCATTCTCCCAGGCTGGAGTGCAGTGGCGCACTCTCAGCTCACTGCAACCTCTGCCTCGTGGGTTCAAGTGATTCTCCTGCCTTAGCCTCCCCAGTAGTTGAGATTACAGGTGCGTGTTACCACGCCTGGCTAATTTTTGTGTTTTTTAGTAGAGATGGGGTTTCACCATGTTGGCCAGGCTAGTCTCAAACTCCTGACCTCATGTGATCCGACCGCCTTGGCCTCCCGAAGTGCTGGAATTACAGGCGTGATCCACTGCGCTTGGCTACCCTGTCATTTCTGATCGTGTTTTTTGAATGTTCTCTTTTTTCTTCTTTGTCAGTCTACCTAGTGGTCTACCTATTTTATTAATTTTTTCAAAAAACCAGGTCCTGGATTCGTTGATCTTTTGAATGGTTTTTCGTGTCTAAATTTCCTTCAATTCAGCTCTGATTTGGGTTATTTCTTGTCTTCTGCTAGCTTTGGGATCTGTTTGCTCTTGGTTCTCTAGTTCTTTCAGTTGCGATGTTAGCTTACTAACTTGAGATCTTGTATGATGATCAAGTATTGAGTTCAGGTCCTGAATATCTTCTAGTTTTCTTCTTCAGTGATCTGTCTAATACTGTTAATGGGGTGTTGAAGTCTCCTAC
The DNA here is from genome assembly GCF_000001405.40 of Homo sapiens. Classification (NCBI taxonomy): domain Eukaryota; kingdom Metazoa; phylum Chordata; class Mammalia; order Primates; family Hominidae; genus Homo; species Homo sapiens. Next base: position 100,466,704 of record NC_000023.11, read on the forward strand.
TATTCATCTGGTTATCTAAGTCTCTTCATAAGTCTCTAAGAACTTGCTTTATGAATCTAGATTTCCCTGTGTTGGGTGCAAATATATTTAGGATAGTTAGATCTTCTTTTTGAATTGAACCCTTTACTTTATGATGCAATATCCAACTTTCTCTTTTTTAAAATCATAATTGGCTGAAAGTCTGTTTTATGTGAAATTAGCATAGCAGCCCCTGCTTTTTTTCTGTTTTCCATCTACTTGTAGATTTTTCTCCATCCTTTTCTTTGAGCCTATGGGTGTTGTTGCATGTGAGATGGGTCTCTTGAAGACAACATACTGCTGTGTACTGCTGCTTTATCTAACTTGCCACTCTGTGCCTTTTAATTGGGGTATTTAGCCCATTTACATTCAAGGTTAATATTGATATGTGCGAATTTGATCCTGTCATCATGTTGTTAGCTCGTTATTATGCAGATTTGAACCTGTGGTTACTTTATAGTGTCACTGGTCTATGTACTTAAGTGTATGTTTGTGGTGGCTGGTAATGGTCTTTCCTTTCCATATTTAGCACTCCCTTAAGGGCTTCTTGTAAGGCATGTCTGGTAGTAATGAATTTCCTTAGCATTTGCCTGCCTGAAAAGCACCATATTTCTCCTTCACTTAATGAAGCTTAGTTTGGCTGGATATGAAATTCTTACTTGAAGAATGTTTTCTTTAAGAATGTTGAATATAGGTCCCCAATTTCTTCTGGCTTTAAGAGTTTCTGCTGACAAGTTTGCCGTTAGCCCAATGGGGTTCCCTTTGTAAGTGACCTGCCCGTTCTCTCAAACTGCTTTTAGCATTTTTTCTTTCATTTCAACCACACAGAATCTGACAACTGTGTGTCTTGGGGATGGTCATCTTATTTAGCATCTTGCAGGGGTTCTCAGCATTTCCTGAATTTGAATGTTGGCCTCTATGGCAAGGTTGGGAAGATTTTCACAGACGATATTTTCAAATGTGTTTTCCAAGTTGCTTGGTTTCTCGCTCTCTCTCAAGGATGCCAATGAGTTGTAGATTTGGTCTTATTACATACTCCCATATTTCTTGGAGGCTTTGTTTATTCTTCGATATTTTTTCTTTATTTTTGTCTGACTGAGTTATTTCAGAGAACTGGTCTTCAAGCTCTGAGATTCTTTCTTCAGCTTTGTCAATTCTGCTGTTAATACTTGCAATTGTATTATGAAATTCCCATAGTAAGTTTTCCAGCCTTATCAGATCAGTTTGGTTCTTTCTTAAAATGGCCATTTCATCTTTCATCTCCTTCATAGTTTTATCGTATTCCTTAGATTTCTTGGATTGGGTTTCAACTCTCTGCTGAATCTCAGTGATCTTCATTTCTATCCATATTTTACATTCTATTTGTGTCATCAGCCTGTGTTAAGAACCACTACTGGGGACGCAGTGTGAGCATTTGGAAGTGAGAAGACACTCTGGCTTTTGAGTTTTCAGACTTCCTGCACTGGTTCTTTCTTATCTGTGTAAGTTAATGTTCCTTCGGTCTTTGAAGTTGCCATCTTTTGGATGGTTTTTGTTTTGTTTTGTTTTTGTTTTATCTTCTTTGATGCCCTTGGGGGTTCTATTGTGGTATGAGGTGCATTCAGTCAACTGGCTTTGTTTCCAGAAGGTTTTAGGGGGCCAAGGCTTAGCTCAGCAATCCTGGGCTGTGTGCTTTAACTCTGGGGACAGGGCGGGTACCAGGCCCCTGGCTTTGTTTTCTGGTCCCTTGAGTTTAGGAATCTGCTGCACTGGAGGGGCTAAAGTGTTCCTGGTCTGCTGGCCACAACACTCTGATTGGTGTTGCTGGCCAAAATGCTTCATCAGGGCAGTGGCAGCGAGATCTGTGCTCGCTTGCATGTGGCAGCTGCCACAGCAGCACAGCAGGGTTCCTCCATGTCGGCTGGGATCAAGTACCAATGGGAGTGGGGCTATGGAGTTTCATTGCTTGCATGTGCTCACAGTGCCAGCAGCAGCACAGAGTAAAGCCTTAGGTGTTCTGTTATACGCAACAGAAAGCAGACTAAGACAGATTTTTCACCTCTGGTTAAATTTACTCCTAAGTATTTTTTGATGCTATTATAAATGGGATTGTTTTCTTTATTTCTTTTTAAGATAGTTTGTCATTAGTGTATAGAAATGTTTTTGATTTTTGTATGTTGATTTTGTATCCTGAAACTTTACTGAATTTGTTTATTCTAACAGTTTTGTTTTGTTTTGTTTTGTTTTTTGGCTGGAGTCTTCAGGGTTTCCTATACATAAAACCATGTTATAAACAAACAGAGACAATTTCACTTTTTCCTTTCCTATTTGGATGCATTTTATTTTTTTTCTTACCTAATCACTCTACTAGGACTTCCAGTCCTATATTAAATAGAAGTGACTAGTGTGGGCAATCTGACATTTAAACAGGCACATCAACCAGTGGACCAGGATAGAAAGCCCAGAAAAAGCCCATGAATTTATGCTCAATTTACTTTCAATAAAGGTACCAAGAATAAACAATGGGGAAAGGATGGTTTCTTCAATAAATGGTAATGGGAAAACTGGATATCTACATGCCAAATAAAATTGAACCCTTAACTCAAACCATATACAAAAATCAACCCAAAATGGATTAAGGGCTTAAATGTAAGACCTGAAACTGTGAAACTACTAAAAGAAAACATAGGAAACTACTAAAAGAAAACATTTGTCAAGGCAATAATTTCTTAAAGATGACCCCAAAAGCACAGACAATAAAAGCAAAAATAGACGAATGGGATTGCATCAAACTAAAAAGCTTCCGTACAGCAAAGGAAATAAATTAACAGAGTGAAAACACAGACAGCCTACAGCCCCAATGGGAGAACATATTTGCCAACCATACATTGATAAGGGACTAATACTCAAATACATAAGGAGCTTAAACAACTTAATAGCAAGGAAACAATCCAATTTAAAAATGAGCAAAGGATGTAAACAGACATTTCTCAAAAGAAAACATATGAATGGCCAATAGATATATGAAAAAATGCTCAACATCACTAACCATCAGAGAAATGCAAATTAAAACCATAATGAGATATCACCTCACACCTGATAGAATGGCTATTAATAGAAAGAAGAAAGATAATAAGTGTTAAAAAAAAAGATGCAGAGAAAAGGAAACCTTCGTACAGTGTTGGGGGGAATGTAAATTAGCATAGCCATTATGGAAAACAGTGTTGAAGTTCACTGAAAAACTAAAAATGGAATTACCATATGATCCAGCAGTCCCACTTCTGGGTATATATTCAGAGGAATTACAACCAGTGTCAAAGAGATATCTGTACTTTCATGTTCACGGCAGCATTATTCATAATAGCCAAGATATGGAAGCAGCCTAAGTGTCCATTAATGGATGAATGGATAAACAAAACGTGATATACATATAAAATGAAATACTATACCACCTTTAAAAAGAAGGAAATTCTGTCATTTTGCAACAACAGGGATGAATTGGATAATATTATGTTAAGGTGAAATTAGCCAAGCACAGAAAGATAAATAGTGCATGATCTCGCTTACATGTGGAATCTAAAAATGTTGAACTCATAGAAGTAGAGAGTAAAATGGTAGTTACCAGGGACTGGGGGAGGGGAATGGGGAAAGGGGAGATGTTGGTCAAAAGGTACAAAATTTCAGCTGGACAGAAGGAATAACTTTTAGTGCTCTATTGCACATAATGGTGACCATAATTAATAATAAAGTATTCTGTATTTCAAAATTGCTAAAAGAGGCTGGGCGCGGTGGCTCATGCCTGTAATCCCAGCGATTTGGGAGGCCAAGGCGGGCAGATCACCTGAGGGTGGGAGTTCAAGACCAGCCTGACCAACATGGAGAAACCCCATGTCTACTAAAAATACAAAATTAGCCAGGCATGGTGGCACATGCCTGCAATCCCAGCTACTCGGGAGGCTGAGGCAGGAGAATTGTTTGAACCCAGGAGGCTGAGGTTGCGGTGAGCAGAGATCGTGCCATTGCACTCCAGCCTGGGTAACAAGAGCGAAACTCCATCTCAAAAAAAAAAAATTGCTAAAAGAGTGTATTTTAAATGTTTTCATCAAAAAATAATAAGTAGGTAAGGTGATGAATATGTTAACTAGCTTGCCTTAAACATTCCACAATGTATACTTATATCAAGCCATCATTATTGTACTCCATAAATATATACAATTATTATTTGTCAATCACAAAATAAAATAGAATAAACAAACTCCAGACTTAATTGCAACATTACATGTAAATATTAACCCATTTTGCTTGATACTCTCTGTTTTCCCCCCAGATACATCTCCTGACTTCCTAGCTGTACCCTGGGAGGATGAGATACACAGACTGCTTCATGTGAAGTGTCCTTGGTTTTTGGTTTCCAGTTGGGTTTGACAAATGGACGGCAATGGTAGGAGAGCTGAGGGTAGGAGGAGAGTAAGGTCAGGGCACTTACTTTCCCTCAAACATTCTCCTCTCCTCAGCCAGGCTATAGCTTGGGTAACGATTGTGTTTTTCTACCTATCATGACAGCACCTATCTAGTTGGCCCTCTCGAACAACTATAGGTCTCACTTGGTTCTAGTAACCATTCCTCTTGTGCTTTCAGGCCTACCAGTAGTAACAGCTTGCTACTATTGCTATGCTTGGGTATCACACTATCCTTTATGGATTCTTTAACTCTGCCCATAACTCTATAAATAGTCTTGCCATTAAACTATCCCTAGTTAAACGATCTGAGTATGCCATCTTTCTCCTGCTGTGATCCTGATCGTTACACCAATGATCATGAAAGGCAGGATCATGAAAATGAACAGAATCAGATTCAGATTATTTTAATGAGAAAAATGGAACTGTGGAAGAGAGCCATCTGGAAGATGCTATACTTCTGGAGATATGCAGCTGTCAGAGATGAGATACAGAAATAGGAAGGGAGCAGATAAGAAATACCCCAGCTTCCTTTTGCCCTCCAATCTTCTGCCAGTGCCACCCATTGAAAGAAATAATGAAAATCAGCCATGAAGGGAGACTGGGAAACGTAGTCTTCAGGAGTTAGTCTTTCAAGGCCCAAAGTAGGCAGAGAATGGCTCAGGTTTGGGAGCAGAGAAAATCCAGCACAGCCCCTAGTCCCTCTGAGAGGGCAAGGGCTTTTTGCCTGTTTTGTCCACAGCTATATTCCCAACACCTATAGTAATTGTTGGCATATGTAGGTGCTCGGTAAATATTTGTTGAAGGCAATGGAAGTATAGCTATGAAGTATTAAGGGGAAAATTTTGTAAGTCAAGAATTCTATACTTAGAGAAATTGCCTTTCAAATGAGAAGGTACAAAAAGATTCTTAAATATGCAAGGGCTCAGAAAATATAGCAGTCATGGATTCTTCTTGAAAGAAACTATTTAGGACATTCAGGTTAGCCGAGAGGTGAGTTAAAAATAAGAGAGCAATAGTGAAGCAGTTGTGGTTTAAAAAGTATAATATTTAGTCTCTCTTTCTAAGAATATATCCTAAGGAAAAAACACTGACATACAAACAAATATTTGTGGACAAAAATGTTTATGGCAGAGACTACTACCTGTCTCCCAATATCTCTTTTCTCTTTCCTCCATAGCAATAGACCTGCCAGGGGCATGGGTGCCCAGCTATACTACAGTTTCAAGCTTCACTTTCTTGTGTATGGCTGTATGATTAAGAAATGCAAGCAAAAGTGTGTATCTCTCCTGGGCCAGATCCCTTAAGAGATAGGCGTACCTCCACTCTGCTGTATTTCCTTTTCCTGTGATTCTAAGCATGGATGTTCAAGTGACATCACTTGCAGCAGGGCTGGTAGAAGAAAAGACAGAAATGATTTTTAGCTTTCTTGGATTGGGTTGCAACATACTACTGGAAGAGCAATCAGTCAAGGGAAAGAAAGAAAGGGCATCCAAATAGGAAGAGAGGAAATCAAACTATCCCTGTTTGCAGATAACATGCCTATACCTAGAAAACCCCATAGTCTCAGCCCTAAAACTTCTTAAGCTGATAAACAGCTTCAGCAAAGTCTCAGGATGCAAAACCAATGTGCAAAAATCACTAACATTCCTATACACCATCAACTGTCAAGCCAAGAGCCAAATTAGGAATGAACTCCCATTCACAATTGCCACAAAAATAATTAAATACTTAGGAATACAAGTAACCAGAGAGGTGAAAGATCTCTACAGGAGAACTACAAAACACTGCCCCCCAAAAAAATCAGAGATGACACAAACAAATGGAAAAACAGTCCATGCTCATGGAGAGGAAATGTCAACATTGTTAAAATGGCCATACCGCCCAAAGCAGTTTATAGATTCAAGGCTATTCCTGTTAAACTACCACTGACGTTCTTCACAGAACTAGAAAAAACTATTTTAAAATTCATACGGAACCCCAAAAACAGCCAGAACAGTCAAAGTGATCCTAAGCAAGAAGAACATAGCTGGAGGTATCACACTACTTGACTTCAAACTATAGTACAGGGCTATAGTAACCAAAACATCATGGTTCTGGAAAAAAAAAAACACATAGACAAATGGAACAGAATAGAGAACTCAGAAATAAGACTACACACCTACAACCATCTGATCTTTGACAAACCTGAGAAAAACAAGCAATGGATGAGGGGTGGGGGGAGGGGGGAGGGATAGCATTTGGAGATATACCTAATGTTAAATGACGAGTTACTGGGTGCAGCACACCAACATGGCACATGTATACATATGTAACTAACCTGCACGTTGTGCACATGTACCCTAAAACTTAAAGTATAATAATAATAAAAAAAACAAGCAATGGGAAAATAATTCCCTGTTCAATAAATGGAGCTGGTATAACTGGCTAGTCACGTGCAGAAGATTGAAACTGGACCCGTTCCTTACACCATATACAAAAATCAACTCAATATGGATTAAGGACTTAAATGTAAAACTCCAAACTATGAAAACCCTGGAAGACAACCTAGACAATGCCATTCTGGACATAGGAACAGGAACTGGCATAGATTTCATGAGGAAGATGCCGAAAGCAATTGCAGCAAAAGCAAAAATTAACAAATGAATCTAATTAAACCAAAGAACTTCTGCACAGCAAAGAAACCATCAACCAAGTAAACAGACAAACTACAGAATGGGAGAAAATGTTTGCAAAGTGTGCCTCTGAAAAGGACTAATATCCAGCATCTGTAAGTTACTTAAACAAATTTACAAGAAAAAAACCAAACAACCCCACTAAAAAATGGGCAAAGAACACAAACATACACTTTCAAAAGAAGACATTTATATGGCCAACAATCATATGAAGAAAAGCTCAACATCACTGATCATTAGAGAAATGTAAATCAAAAACATTGAGATCCATCTCACACCAGTCAGAATGGCTATTATTAAAAAGTTAAAAAAATTACAGATGCTGATGAGGTTGCAGAGAAAAAGGAATGCTTATACACTGTTGGTGGGAGTGTAAATTAGTTCAACCATTGTGGAAGACAGTGTGGCAATTCCTCAAAGACCTAAAGGTAGAAATACCATTCGACCCAGCAATCCCATTCCTGGGTATATACCCAGAGAACTATAAATCTCTCTCTTATAAAGACACATGCATGTGTATGTACACTGTAGCACTATTCACAATAGCAAAGATGTGGAACCAACCTAAATGCCCATCAATGATAGACTGGGTAAAGAAAATGTGGCACAAATACACCGTGGAATACTATGCAGCCATAAAAAAGAATGAGATCATGCCCTTTGCAGGAACATGGATGGAGCTGGAGGCCATTATTCTTAGCAAACTGATGCAGGAACAGAAAACCAAATATCACATGTTCTCACTTATAAGTTGGAGCTAAGTGTTTAGAACACACTGGGGTCTACCTCAGGGTGGAAGGTGGGAGAAAGGAGAGGTTCAGAAAAAATAACTATTGAGTACTAGGGCTTAATACCTGGGTGGTGAAATAATCTGTACAACAAATCCCCAGGACACAACTTTACCTACGTAACAAACCTGCACGTGTATCCCTGAACTTAAAATAAAAGTTAATTTTTTAAAAAAGAAGACAAAAATAAATCTGCATTTTTTAGTGAATGTGTTAGGAAGAATCACGACCTGACTCGGAATTTATGCCATTACTTGAGAGAGAAACAAATTGCTCTCTGATGTTAGCCCTTACATTTTAGGCAGTCTATTTGTTACAGCAGTTCAACATCATTGATAATAGGGAAATATCGAAACAATCTAACATAATGGAACGTCCAAAAAATAGAAAATGATGCAGTCTTCCTAAAGTATGTTTATAATAATTCATAAGGGCATTGGGAAATGCTTGCTACACAATGTTAATAAATCAAAGCTGCATACATATATATACAGCATAAGGTCAACTATGTAAAGAAAAATACATTAATTGTAAAAAGACTAGAAGGAAATAGACCAATATCCTTTTAATAGCTGCCTTTTGATAGTGAAACTATAGGTCTCTTTTCATGATTTATTACTTGATTTATTATTTTCTGTATTTTCCTAATTTTCTACAATAATCATAAACTTATAATAATCATAATCGGCCGGGCGCGGTGGCTCACGCCTGTAATCCCAGCACTTTGGGAGGCCGAGGCGGGGGGATCACGAGGTCAGGAGATCAAGACCATCCTGGCTAACACGGTGAAACCCTGTCTCTACTGAAAACACAAAAAATTAGCCAGGCGTGGTGGCAGGCGCCTGTAGTCCCAGCTACTTGGGAGGCAGAGGCAGGAGAATGGCATGAACCCGGGAGGCAGAGCTTGCAGTGAGCTGAGATCGCGTCACTGCACTCCAGCCTGGGCGACAGAGCGAGACTCAGTTTCAAAAAAAAAAAATTATAATAATATTGATTTTATAATTACAAAACATCAAATGAAACCTTGAAAAAGACTATTAAGATTATGTGGAGACATTGACAGTGTTTATGATATGATGCTATAAGAAAAAAGCCCAACTGTAAAGTCTATGTTTATTTCAGTTGCAACTATGTAAAAAAAAGTGTATGTATTTGCATGCAGACTAGAAAAGGAAATCTAAAAGTGAAAATAGCTCCTGTGTTAGAGAGCTTGTGGATGATTTTTTGTTCCTTTGTTTGAAAAGTTTTCCTTCAGTGCAATCATAATGTTGTTTTATTCCAATAAAAATATGACACACACTTTTTAGCCTAGTTCTTTATTCCCAAATGTTTACACTTCCCAATGTTTATTAAACTAATCACTGAAATTTGAGCTTCAGCTGCGTGTGAGATTTTTTGGGATCAGCTACCTCAAGGACTACAATCTAGAATGTTTCATCTTGAATTTATTCCTCAAATCAGTTTATCCTTGAACCAATCATTCCACCAGATTAAAGGCAATGTTGCTCAAAAGACAGGAAGAAGCATTGCTGGTGATGAGGTATGTATTTAACCTAATATCCTCCTGGCTATTTACCTCCATCTCCTTTTCATGTTGCTACTACAGTTTAGTTTAGTTAACAGCTCAGGGCTGTTTACAAGTTAACAAAAGAGATGATGCAGGAGTGCCAAGTATTCTCCTGGAGCTGGTGATGGGCTTTTGGCAATGGCACATCCTCCTGCAATGCTGGCCGCTTAAAGCCTATTAGTGGGGTGCCACATAGACTGAGTGTGTTACTTGGAAAGGAGTACATAAGTCTCACTGCCTTTAGCATATGTTCCTCCACACAGTGTAAAAATGCTGCAAACACACTCAGATTTCCCCTGCACCCATCTGAACTCTGTGACTGGCCATCTGCTACTCCTCTGCCTCCAGTTGTTGGTCCAACCCAGCTCTGCTGAAATGAAAATCAACCAAACCTTTTTTGATCAAACAAGCTAGAAAGATAATAATGAAGGTGGCTGTGGTATCTACTTCAAGAAGAAGAAGAAACTCCAGACCTCTTTCAAGCTTGCATCTTGATTGTGTGACTGCTGTTCTGCTACAGAGCAAGGCCACTGCCAGCTGCAGCAGCAAATCTTCCCTGCCAAGGCTGAAGAGGAGTGCAGATAAATGACACCCCAAGAGATTCAGCATGTGCTAGCCCCTGATGCTGGAGATCAGTTTTTCTTTGTTGTCATCCTTTTCCCTCTCAAAGGCAATGCTAACATGTCTCTTTAATTGGCAATTGTTTTTGTGTACAACCCTAGCAATGTCTCCACTATGCACAAGAGAACTTACCAAAATAGATTGTGGTTTTGAATATGGATCGTTTGGAAAGAGGAACCCTGATCACACCAGGCTGATCAGAAATTGGCATTTTTGAAAGAAAAAAAATATACTATGGGTCATCAAGCTTTCAGGGAAGGTCAAAAGAACTGCTAAGTCAGAAATACTACAACTTGCCTGCAATATATCTGCAGCCCTTCGAGTACTTCCCATATGCATAGTGCTGACATGTCAGATAGCTGAGAGTACTAGCTGCTTGAAGAAGAATCTTACCATTGCCTTGGGGTAAATTTTCCTAAAATTCCCATTTGAATAGGGCTAGTCATCCTTAGCAAAACTGTAAAGTCAGTCATTTGGCTTTCAGATTTCCAGTTTCTCCTTTTTTACCTTCCCAGTACTTACCACTCCCACTTCAAGCAGGCAATTCTCTTGTGCCATATCTTTGAGAGAAAAACTGCTCTCAAAAAGGATCTAACACTTCTGTAAAACTGCGACTATGGCCTCTGTTAGGAAGGTTGGGAGACTCAAAGAAGTATTGTGGAATGAAAGGCTCTGTCTCCTTCTAAAATAATTTTAGTCATCTGCCAAAATGTGGGAGAAGTAATATATTTTTAGGAATGTGACCCCCAAAATCCTCCCCCTTGGGCCTCAACATTTCTGGCTAGAGCAGATTTTGAGGCTGGAGCTAATCCTTCAAACACAAAACCCCAGGGGCCCCAGACAAATTGGTCCAGCAGTATTTCATCATCCACTTCCTTTTGGGTGAGCCTCAGGCTCTAACGGAGTTCTGGAAAATCCTGGTCAATTGCCCCTTGTGTTCATCAGTTTGGAACTGTTGCATTGATTAATCCATTGGTTATGACTTGGGTCTAACTTTGGCTAATAAACTCCCCTTAGTGTAAAGAATCTAACTCTAAACTTATATTCCAGGCAGCGACTCATAAAAATTGATTGCTTGGCATTGAAAATATATTCTCCCTGGAAACTCAAAACAAGGTAAAGTCATCATTGACAGGGTGGGACTTGGTCAAGGTGAAGAGCAGACCTCGAGACAGGTTTCACTGTGCTCATAAGTTTCCAGCAAGTCCAAAGTAGTTTACAAGGAAAAAAAAAAAAAGGAATATTCCATCCTCAGCTCTCACATAGGAAAGACACTTTTCATGGTCACGTTTCTCTCCCGAGACTGCAAGCTCTTCCAAGCACACCACACCCTTGCACTACACAGGCCAGTTAAATTGAGATTCCTTTAAAGTCCCACGAGGGTCTAATCCTGCCAAGTTTTCCAGTGGAAAGTTTCAGATGTTTCTATTTCTGATCTAATGGCAAGGCCCCCCTTCCTTCCTTTCTGTCCCCTTCATGCACCTCTTTGCTTTTAGTTCTGGGTGGAATAAAAGTCTGGAGGATCTCTTCTTGCCCACCTCTAGATCCATAGGAGCAATAGCGGCAAAGAGTAGGTGCTTTGCTTGTTCTCACTCATATGAGCCTTCAACATCTTACAGGCTATTTCCCTCTGCCTCATCTCTGTTCCTAGAAGGTAATTTGGCCCCAAGACTCTTCTCGCCATTTCACTTTCCCTTTCTCTGAGTGCCTTTAACATCTCTCCCTCCCCAGCCTCTTTATCCTTCCATCAGTCTGCTGGTCAATTCTACTATTCCAAGATCACAGACACTTCTCTAACTCATTCCTTTTCACTGGTGTCTTCAATACCAATAATAACTGTTCCTCTACCTATGCTCAGGGATTTCCATGATTCTGCAGGATCACAAAAAAAATGCAAAGAAAATTAGTCAGTGCTTTACGATAGTTATTTAGCCTGAACCATTTCTACAAGAAGACATTTTTATGAGGAGAGGCCAAGGGCCTTGACATCTTGACCCCTAAGAGCTCCAAATCCCACATGGAGTGACAAAAAGAAGTCAGGAACTCAGCTCACTGAGGAATTCAGCTCACTAAGTTCCATTAAACTCTGAATCCTCTATGAACTCAGATCTGTGAATGTTCTCTTTTAACACAATGCCTTGACTAAGATCTCCAGGGAAGGCCAATGTTGACATGTTTTAAGAAAGTTAGTGAGAAGTAGTGATAAGTATTTGTCAATCCCCTACTGTGCTTGTGTCATCTGCTATCTTGAGTTTGAGAGAGAATCCATAGGCTTATGACATCTGGTCCAGGGCACTGCTCATCAGAAAGCAAGGGGAAACTCCCTCTCCAAGTGCCTTGTCCTATTGAGACTGAGGTGTACCATTGTTCACCCTCCCCAGGCAGCTCTGTTGAGAGAACTCCATCTGGAAATGAGTTTCTTTTTTATGTATTCAGATGTGTCCAGACACACTGGTAGAAATGAATCACACCCTTTCTAACTACCACTGTGCCCTAAATAAGAAATCTAGACTAGAGCTTGCTGAGGGGCAAATTAGAGACACTAGTCACATGACCTGCCCTTACTCTAAACTGCCTAGTAGGAATAATTATCCTTGCTGGAGGGAGATTTAGTCTTCAGAAACTGTCTCTGGATTACTCAAGCATAAGAACACTAGGGAGGAAGTGCTGTACATCATAATCATCTAGTGACACAGTGCTTGAGTTTGCCATTCAGAAACAGCCAGAAATCTTGTCCTCTTTCCCACTCTGAATCACCCACCCGAGGAAGTGGGAGTAGTGGAACAAAGGAGAGAGCCTCTTATGTAACTCCTTTGATGACACAGGAAAATATCTCCAGAAGAAATTTTAAAATTTAAGAAAACTAGACTGTGACATCCCAAAATAAGACAGTGAGATAAAAGGTTAAATATAAAATGGCACTCAGAATACATCCCGTTGGAAATTGAAGTGTTCTGATTGCACATACCTACTAGCATATGAAATTCATGGCCAAAGAGGCCAATTACAGTACTAAAGGGAGTCATCAAAATTGACAAAGGAAGGTAGTGACTGAAGAGGGGAGTCTTTTGGAAAATGGTAAATACTAGTAAGGAAGGAACTGCTCTTGTCAGGACACAGGCAACCCCCATATTGACAAATCCAGTAGAAACCTCTCTGCCCTCTTACATAATGGCTCAAAAATATTCAACATGCTTAAACACTTTCTCTTTATTGATATCCTTTACTTACTTGGCTTGCATGACACCACACTCTGCTTGTTACTCCTTACCAGTCTCCTTTGCTGAGTTCTTCTCTTTTTGTCCTCTAAATGTGATAGAGTGCCAGAGTTTGATTCTAGGCCTTCTTCTCTTGAGAGGCAATAATAGTATAGCCGTTAAGAGAATGAACTCAAGCCAAACTGCCTGGTTTTGAATCCTATCTGCTACTTACTTAGTGTGAAATTGGAAAATTTGCCTAAGTCTATCAGTGCCTCAAATTCCTCTTTTGTAAAGTAAGGAGAGTAATAGCACCTACCTCATAGGGTTGTTGTTAAGATTAAATGAACCCAACCGGGCGCGGTGGCTCATGCCTGTAATCCCAGCACTTTGGGGGGCTGAGGCAGGCTGATCACGAGGTCAGGAGATCGAGACCATCCCGGCTAACACGGTGAAACCCCATCTCTACTAAAAATACAAAAAAATTAGCTGGGCGTGGTGGTGGGCGCCCGTAGTCCCAGCTACTTGGGAGGCTGAGGCAGGAGAATGGCGTGAACCCGGGAGGCAGAGCTTGCAGTGGGCCGAGATAGCGCCACTGCAGTCCGGCCTGGGCGAAGCAGCGAGACTCTGTCTCAAAAAAAAAAAAAAAAGAATTAGCTGGGCGCAGTGGCAGGCGCCTGTAGTCCCAGCTACTCAGGAGGCTAAGGAAAGAGAATTGTTTGAACCCGGAGGGTGGAGGTTGCAGTGAGCCGAGATCGTGCCACTGCACTCCAGCCTAGGTGACAGAGTGAAACTCCATCTCAAAAAAAAAATTAAATGAATATATATATATATATATATTCATTCATATTATATGCTAGGTGCTGTTCTAAGTTATATATATATGCACATATGTTTTATATATAAATTATGTATATAAGTTATATATGTTTATATATATCTAAGTCATATATATATAACTGTTTTATATATATATATAACTTAGAACAGTACCTAGCATATAAGCACTACATACATGTTCAGTATTATTATCATTATAATCATCGTCATTACTATCATCATTATTGTTATTGCTGTTATTCTCTTTTCTGTCCACACTGTTGCTTAGGTAATACAATTTATTCCCATAATCTTAAATACCATTCATAGGCAAATAACATAAAATGATATCCCCCAACTCTGACCTCTCCCTTGACTTCTGTATTAGTCACAGTTCTCTAACAAAAGAAAACCAATAGGATGGATGGATAGATAAACAGATAACAAGAGATTTCTTATGGGAATTGACTCATGTGATTATGGAGGGCAAGAAGTCCCACCATATGCCTTCTGCAAGGTGGAGAACTAAGAAGGCTGGTTGTGTAATGCAGTCTGAGTCTGAAGGCCTGAGAACCAAGGGAGCCAATGGTGTAACCCCAGCTCTAAGGTTAATGACCCAAGAATTGAAGGGCCACTGATATAACCCAAAGTCCAAAGGCCCAAGAACCAGGAGCTCTGATGTCCAAGGGCAGGAGGAGGTGGATATCCCAGCTCCTGAAAAGAGAGCAGATTCTCACTTTCTCCATTTTTTGTTCTATCCGGGTCCTCCATGGGTTGAATAATGCCCATTCATATTGGGTGAGTGGGGATCTTCTTTACTCAATATACTGATTTAAATGTTAATCTCTTCCAGAAACACCCTCACAGAGACATTCAGAAATAATGTTTTACCAGTTATTTGGACATCCCTTAACATAGTCAAGTTGACACATAGAATTAACCATCACAGCCTCCAAAGTCATATATCTAACAGCCTATTTGACCTCTCCTCTGAGACAGAGTAGGCATTTCAAACTTAACATGTCTTATATTTAACTCTTGTTTTTCTCTCAAGTCTGCTCCTTTCTCAGCTACTCCTATTTCAATAAATATACCATCATCCACCCGGTTGTTCGAATCGAAAGCTAGAAATCATCCTTGATTCCTCCATTTTCACCATCCCCAGTATCCAATTCATTAGCTAGTTATAACACTTCTACTTCTAAAATATATCTCAAATATAGCTATTTCTCTCCATCTCCACTGCTACCACCCTAGCCCCAGCTATTGTAATTTCTCACCTGGACTACTTCAATAAGCTTTTAACTGGCTTCCCTTCTTCTATTCTTGTCCCTTAAAATCTACACACTATGCAACAAAGTGGGCTTTTAAAAATATAAATCACACTATGCCATCCCTTCACTGAAAACCTGTCTATACCTTCCTATTGCATTTAGAGTAATACAAAATCTTTAGCAGGAACTGGAACACCCTTGTTCTGGCATCTGGCAGCTACCTGCCTCTCCAACTTCATTTCCTACCCCTCTCCACCTCACTCATTAGGTGCCAGCCATCCCGATCTCCTTCCTCTTCTTTGAACATTTTGATCTCTTTCTAAACTCAAGGCCCTTATATTGACTATTCCCTCTTCCTGGAATGATCATCTCCTGGCTTTTCATGTGGCTAGCTCCTCTTCATCCCTTAAGCCTCAATGTCAGCATTGCTCCTCAGAGACCTCTTTTGACCATCCTATCTAAATAAAGTAGTCCTCCAGTTACTCTGTATTTACTCTAAAAATGTTATGTGTTTTTTCACTTGTTTACTCATTTATTTGGTTTCCCTTCTCTCATTGGAATGTAACTCCACGAGGTAGGAACTCTGTTTTGTTCAGTGTTTACCTGACAAATAGTATAGTACCTAGCACATATCAGGTGCTCAATAATTATTAATAGTTGTTGAATGAATGAATGAAACCACTAAGCACCCTTACTGTGCTAGGTGCTTTAAAAACATGACCTTCTTTAATCCTTAGGATATGGCTTTGCAATATCCTTTATTCCCATTTCACAAAAGAAGAAACCAAAGCTCAAAAAATTGTATAACTTTGCCAGGATCACACAGGCAGTACCAGGATCCAAATCCAGATTTTCTGATTCCAAAAGCCTTGTACTTTCTACTTTAGCAAAATTATTTATTTATTCATTCATTCATTTATTCAACATGTATTAAGCATCTATTTTGCACCAAACACAGTGCCACATCCTAGGGATAAAAAAATGAATAAGACACCACTCCTGCCCTGCACAGAATCTTCAATCTAGTTGTCAACACAGACAAGTAGACAAGTAACCGAGTAATTACACAAGTGACAATAAGTGCTACATTAGCTATGCTAGGGAAGAGAGAGGCAGTCACGTGTAGGCTTTAGAGTCCGAATGCTTAGGTTTGAACACCAACCTTACCACCTCTTAACTGTATATCTTTGGGCAAATTGCTTAACCTATTGGTATCTCAGTTTCCTTATCTATACAATGGGAATTATAATTGAGTGTCTATCTTACAGAATGATTGTGAGGATTAAATGAATTAATACATGTAAAGTGCCTGGCACATAAGAAGTATTCAATAAATGTTACTTGTTTTTAGTGGTGCATAGGAGGGAGAACAAGGCCAGCAAAGCAGAGTTTATTAAAAGCTTCCAGAGGTGGTGAAGATGTCTGAGCTGAGCTTTCCAGAAATAGTAGATATAGTGATCAGCCAGGTTTAGAAGGTAGAAGACTAGGAACAGCTTGCCAGGTAACAGGAAAGCACATACAAAGGTAATTTTCCTGCCAGCCTGTTTCAGGCTCATCAGCCCTATCACAATTTATTCAGAAACCTGACACTGAACATTGTTCTTTCTTTAGGCTAAAATGGATTTCACGTATATCATGTGATTACAGTGATGCTCCCAGAATTTCAAAGACATATACAATGAGGCTGAAGAGAGAGACAGAAGTGGCGGGAACTCTGGATAGGCTTGTGGCCATGGAGAAAAAGCAGGACATGATGAAAGGTATCCCATATGCCCTGGTCTCTGTCCAATGCCTAGTGGCTGGAGAGGACAGCGAGAGAGCCATAGAGGAAACCAGGGTCCCAAGAGAGAGGAACTACTGCTAAGTTAAACAGTTAGGGGCTGGTGAAGAAAAGATGAAGACAGCTGGAAGCAGGACAAATATATAAAGCAAATTTAAAACTCCACAAAGTACTCACTCCCAGTCACATCAGCTTTATGCAGTTTCCCAAAGTCCTAGCAATCATCTAAAGAATTTCTTTAAATCATGTTTGCCATGCAGGCAGCCCACGGAAAAGAACAAGTCACTCTGTTGTGGTTATAACTTTTGTAGAGACATTTCTTGAGGAGCCCAGTAAATGGGCCAGATGAAAGACTGCCGGTGGGCCAAGAAATCCTGCCCTTGGCTTTGGCCCACATCAGAGAGTTGCAAAGGAAAAAGAAGAGGCCAGCCTGCATCCCAGTTTGTAACTCTGGAGAGAGGCAAGCCTGATGTTTGACGTTCTACACTCACAAAGAGAATTTTTAATGTCTCATGATGCCTCTTGCTTGACAAAATCTGCAGGAATTGGCCAATGCAATGTGACATTTTGATATCTAGAATCAGGACATAATTTCTTCCTGGAGTTCTTGTTCTATTTCTCTGGGGTGTGGCAGGGCTTGATGATGATATTAACTGGTGTTTGGGGCCTGCCTTGCTTTTTATGCATTCATGATTACAGTCTGCATGCAAACTTTGTAGCAGTTCTTCACCTTCTGAAAGCAGTCAGTGGAGCTGAGGGCTATGGTGGGGAGGAAAGAAGAAGCACACAAGCTTACTTTGTACCAAAGACTTGGAAGTCCAAAGTAGGATATTAGAAACCATCTACTCTCTGGGGAAGAAAGGTCTACCTGGAATGGGCATGTGAGTTCCCAAAGTCACACAGTTAGTGACAGCGCCCTGATCTGGTTTCAATCAGTGTTTTGTTCAGCTCAAGGGAAACATTGGCCTGAATTTTGTTTCTTTAATATAGCTAAGCACGATGGTTTTTTTGAAAAAAGAAAGCTACATGAGTCACGTTAATTCTCTTGGTTTTGCTGCAATGTATTATGACTCTGTCAGGAGGGTCCAGAGAAAACAATGTGATTTCCCATGCCAACAGGTTACTAACCTGCATGATTTGTGTGCCATAGAAATTTCCAACATAGCTTAGAGTGAAATTCAAAAGATTTAAAACAGCCTCCTTAACTATAAAACAAATAAGTCCTTTATTCATTGCCTTCCTAAGCCTTTCAGCATCAGCATGCCAAAAGCCTTCAAATGGCCCTCACATTCCTCAACAGGTCAGCCAAAATCACTTGCTTCCCCAACTCCTTGCACACCCTTCTCTTTCTCTCCCCTTTGCAACATGTCCCTAGCTGCCACTCGGTGCCTTGGCTTTCCTCCAAACTGTTCCCCCTAAGCAGTACCCAGTGGATCCCCATTTGTCCAGACACTCTTACCTTAATTTGTTTTTTTATTAAGCACTTTTTCCTTGCCAGGTACTGTGCTAGGTACTTTACACATGGCATATCGCTTAATCCCATAAGTTCCCTCTAAGCCTCCTGCTCTCACCCTTAGCATCCAGGAAAAACTTTCCTATCCCATGTCCCATGCTGTCAGAGCCCTGTTTGAGTTGCCAAAGTAACAGCTAGTTATCTGACAAATTAATCTGCGCTAAGATGTCAAATGACAGCCCTCAAATCACACCTATGTAGACATCTGTAAACCCATACATTGGCCTATTGGAAACCTATGGTTTGCCCAAGTGTCTAATTCAATACTCTTCATAATAATACCCTCTATTTCTACAACTTGTAAAATCCCTTTCACATAATTACTGAATATTATCCCTTAGCTGAGCTGAAGTGTTAATGAGGACTTCATCTGCTACCATATAATATAAAGCCATGTTTTAAGGTGCCCTTAGCATCACTAACCCACAGTTTCTTCTCAGATCCTGGCCATGCTTTGACAAATTTTGCTGGCTGACATAGAAAGTCAGAATATCCAGGCAATCTAGGGGACGGGGATAGAGAAAAAAGCAGTAACAGGAAGGCCAGGGAAGTTGGGAGAAATGCCGAAAAAGCAGTCTCCTAACTGTCCCACAGCCTAATCCTATAGGGGTCTGAACCTCAGACCAAACCAGTAGCCCAACCACTCCTGGCAGCTGCTGCAGCCCAATACCAACTCCCACTCCAGACTGAGGAGTTCTGCTTTCATCTCTGTTTTCTCCCCTGTCACTAGCACAATCTGGGGTAAGGAAGCAGACTTAACTAAAGCCTCACTTCTGGACTTCACCAAGAGCCTAAAATGTTGTGGTTTTCCCATCAAAAAGGCTATTCCTCAAGGCCGCTTTGTGGCCCCCAATAACACCACCACTTGTCTGACAGTGGAGCTTCCTGAGGGTGAGGCAGTATCTCCTCTAGTAGGCTAACACCTGCTGAGAAGAAAGGGCAACTGTAAACATTAAGATTAGATATCAGAATGGCAGAACTAAAAGAAAATGTTGAGATCATCCAGAACAGTGGATTTTAAACTTCAGCATGTACCAGACACCCCTGGAGGACTCATTAAAACACAAATTGCTGGGCCCTGCCATAGTTTCTGATT
This sequence comes from Homo sapiens, assembly GCF_000001405.40. Taxonomy (NCBI): domain Eukaryota; kingdom Metazoa; phylum Chordata; class Mammalia; order Primates; family Hominidae; genus Homo; species Homo sapiens. Next base: position 100,486,488 of record NC_000023.11, read on the forward strand.
CAGTAGGATTCTTTCTAACAAGTTCTCAGGTAATGCTGATGCTTCTGGTTCAGGGAACACACTTTGAGAACTGCTGCTCTAATCTATTCTACACATTACACAGATAAGGAAATTGAGTCCCAGTAAAGAGAAATAACATGTCCATCTTGCTGATTTTGGGAACTAATAAGCAGATTAGTAACTTTCTCAAGGCTACACAACTAGTAAGTGGTACTGACTTTTAAACCCAGGCATCTCAATCCCATCTCTACCCTTTGTTATATTACAGCAACCTCTAAAAGTATGGATTTTATGTTCTATGTTTGAGTCCCAGCTCCACCATCTCCTAGCTATGTCACCTTTAATAGGTTACTCCATCTATAAAATGAAGGTAATAATTGTACCTATTTCCTGGGGTTATTGTGAGAATACAATTATATATGTGATAACACATATGGGTGAACACTTAGCCTTGTGCCTCTTTATAGTAAGTGCTCAGTAAATGACAGTTGCTATCATCATCACAGCAAAAGTTGTTTTTGTTGTTAGTTGAGGAAGGCTGGGGGACACCCTTTCTCTTGGCTTCATGTTCCTAAGCGGAGAAATATCAATTAGTGTAACACTGTTGATCTCTCTTCACCCTCACATTTTCCCTTCCTCAGGAAGAAGGGTATTCTGACTGGTAGATCTGGGAACAGGAACAGGCTATGTGCAGCCAATAGGGATCTATCTGCTTTTAGAGGGAATGAGCTCTGGTCTACTCCGTGCTATAAAATCCCCCTTGCAGGCTAGGCCTACACTTTCCTTACATTTTCTGTGTCTGGATGAGTATCTCTGCCTAATTCTGGGTTAAGAAGTAAGAAGCTCATTTGTCAAACACATTTAACCCACTTTCCCTAGCACTTTTATCAGAAATGAGGCTCTCTTTATCTCTATCTCCTTTACTTCTGTTTGTCTTGGTCAGTTCAGACCTGGAGAAAGAAAAGAAAGGGTGTTATTTATTGGGCCACCTGAAACCTCTGCATTATTATTGCTCATTCATCTGAGTTAGTGGGAGAGCTTTTTCTGAACCTAAGTCTCCAAACTCCCACTCCAATGCTCATTAACTATCCTGGCATTATCATATGGAAAAAGCCTTCAGGGCTGCATTTCATTTACTTCATTTTTTGTAGACTTTTATTGAGATATATATAGAAGAGTGCACAAATTGTAAGTACAGATCAGTGAATCTTCACAAACTGAATAAACCTGTATAACCTGCACCCACATCAATAACCAGAATACCAGAAGCCCCCTTGTGCCCTCTTCCAGACACTGCTCCCCTTATTTCCTTCTATTTTTAATAAAAACATAAAACCTTTCATCAGTGAACAAGCTATTTACATCTTCTACCATCACAAAGTCTTCGGTTGAATAAGGAAATCAAATCAGCCCTCTCAGTCTTCATTTAAATAAACAATCTCCTCTCCACAAGCTGTGCAATTCGAGCATCATGTAAATGCTTCCAGCATCATGTAAATATATCCTGTGCATTCACTGGAATTGCCTATGCAAGATTCAAAGCCATGCAAACATCTTCCCTTCATTTTCATTGGAAGTTGCAGTTCATTCAGGAGTGACACCAGTAGATAGACTAGGAAATAGCCTCAAGCATCAAGGAAAAGCAGCTAAGTCTCCTTAAACAGTGAAGGTGATGACGTGGAAGACTACTGAGGTTTGTGGGTAGTCCTACCCACCTCCTTGACCTTCCAGATCTTGCAGTCATGCATATCATCCCTAACCACCCCCCCCCCACACACACACACACGCCTCAGATTGGGTGGTAATTGCTTGAACTGGAACTTGTGTCATGCACAAACGGACATTTAATTTGGGCTTTTGTCATGAAGAATATTAATTACTTAAACGCCATCCAACTCAGAGTTAGTTAAGATTTCTAAATAGGATCCTAAGTCACCAAGTTCATTCTCACAAAATCTTTCCATTAAGACAAGGGTGGAGAAGGCAGTTAAGGGCACTAATGGTTCACCATCATCCTTATAATAAAACCGAAACCCTTCATTTCATTATGACCTGTAAGCATCTATGTGATCCGCTCACAAGCTGTCTAGCACTCTGAAGTTTCTCTCTCTCTCTTTCTCAGTCTTTCTTTCTCTCTCTCCATCCCTATCCCTCCCTCAGAACCACCCTCTCCCCCACTGACCCTTTCTCCCCAGTTACACTTGCTTCCTTCCTTTTCCTTGCTCTTTCTTTCTAATCTTTGCAGACTAGCTCCTGAGTCATTCTAGATGCAACTTAGATGTCACTTCCTCAGAGAAGCCACCTTAGATCACCCCTCAATCAATTTCTCCTTATTTTGTCTTCTTCAAACACTTACGATTATCAGAAAGTTACATTGCATTACTTGCGTACTCATTGATTATCTGTTTTTCCCACTAGGAGGTAAGCACAATAAGAGCAGGGATTTCATCTAACTTGTTTGCCACTGTACCCCGGTATATAGAACATTGCTTGGCACACAGAAGATACACAACAAATTTATTGAATAACTACATGAATGGTTTTAAACTATTTATGTGGCCTAAAGTTTCCAGATGCAATTCATGGCATCACTCTTTAGCAGTCTCGGGAAAGCATGAACTTTGAAACCAGCTAAACTTAGGTTCAAATCCTGGTTTTTCACCTAATAAAACTGGGTAACCTTGGGCAAGTTTCCCAGTCTCTTTGAACCAATTTTATCTTCTGTATAATTGTCATAATCTCTATGTATGCAAAGTCCACAACACAATGAACTAGAAAAAGGTAGACCTCAAATCACAGACTCACTCCCTCCTCCCAAACCACCTTCTTGCTATTATATTTCTCTCCATTCTCCTTGATGGTTCTTCTTTTTGTCCAGGTGTGTCTAAATATTTTCTTTCCTCTCTACTCTCCCCACTTTCACAAGCTATTCAAACCAAACAACTACGGCAACAGCAACAAAAAAATCTGATGCCTGGCAAGGCCATATGACAGAATCATCATTTAAGCTCCCATTTCTTCAGTGATTGGCCTGTTGCTTTCTGCCTATCATCTGTCTTCTTCCATTACCTTCTGTTGTTGTGAAGAAATCAAGCTGAAGTACTGTAAGTATGGACTTTAAGTCATAATAAATCATTCAGATGTCAAGAGCCTTAATCTGCCAATCTAAGGGCAAAGAGATTGAATGGATTGATTGGAAGGTTCTAAAAGCTTCACATATCATTTTTAAGGGGTTGATCTTTCTTTCTCTTTCTTCTTCTTCTTGCTTACTTTCTTTCTTAAGAAAGGTTGGGAGGTACATCAATCTCCTTTCCTATGTGGAAAGCTAGGTGAATTACCATTGTTAACCCCCCAAATTTGAGACAGATGTCAATTAATTTAGAAAGTTTATTTCGCCAAGGTTGAGAACGCACACCTGTGACACAGCCTCTGGAAGTCCTGATGACATGCGCTCAAGGTGGTCGGGGCACAGCTTGATTTTATGCATTTTAGGGAGACATGAGACATCAATCAACATATGTAAGAAGTACAATGATTCCATCCAGAAAGGCAGGGACAACTTGGAGGGAGGAGGGGTTCCAGGTCACAGGTAGGTGAGAGACAAATGGTTGCATTCTTTTGAGTTTCTGATAAGCCTTTCCAAAGGAGGCAATCAGAATATGCATCTATCTCAGTGAGCAGAGGGATGACTTTGAATAGAATGGGAGGCAGATTTGCCCTGAGCAGTTCCCACCTTGAATTTTCCCTTCAGCTTAGTGATTTTGGGGACCCAAGATATTTTCCTTTTACATCATCAAAGAAATGTCTGCTACAACTCTACTAGGGAAAACTCTAGTCACTACGGAGTAAGCACTAAAAGGTACCGTGGAAGTCATCTAATTCAATCTCTTCATCTTACAGAAGAAGAACTGAGACCCACAGAGGAGGTGTGTCACTTGCTCAAGCTCACAGAGTTAATGGCAGAAATAGAGCAAAGCCCCAAGTCTTCTAATCAGCTTAGTGTCCTTTTTATTTTATTTTATTTTATTATTTGTTATTTGTTATTTATTTATTTATTTTGAGACGGAGTCTCGCTCTGTTGCCCAGGCTGGAGTGCAGTGGCGCATCTCGGCTCACTGCAAGCTCTGCCTCCCGGGTTCACGCCATTCTCCTGCCTCAGCCTCCGGAGTAGCTGGGACTACAGGCGCCCGCCACCATGCCCGGCTAATTTTTTGTATTTTTTTTTTAGTAGAGACGGGGTTTCACCGTGTTAGCCAGGATGGTCTCGATCTCCTGACCTTGTGATCCGCCCTCCTCGGCCTTCCAAAGCGCTGGGATTACAGAGTGTCCTTTTTATTAATACTAGACCAAACCGTTCCCTCACCGGAACTCAGAATCCCAAAGCAAAGATTGGAACAGCTAACTCAGACCTTTACAGAGAGATTGAGTCAAGTAAAGCATGCATGTGGCTTCCATTGATTTCTCATAGATACTTAGAAATGGTAAGAGAATGTACCAATCAGGATCCCAGCAGAAAACAGGCAAGTATACTCAAATTAAATAATTTGAAGAGAGTTTAATAAAGGGATGATTTACAAAGGTTGGTAAACTAAAAAAGAGATTATGGACTCCTGGGAGAGGTAGGAGAAGTGTTATCACCTCAGGCCTGAAAGGGTGACAGGAGAGAGCTGCTCCTAAAAGGAGAGAGAGTTTCATGGAGAGGGCTCTGACCTTTCACTGAAGGACACAATCAGCCCATGCATCCTGCAGGGGGAAGCTGCAGGAATAAATATCCACATTTCACTCTCTTCCTTCGGATCTCCCACTAGTACTTCCCATTGGTCAAATTCACAGGAAAGCCAGAGGACAAGTAAGCACAGTGCAGAAATGTACACAAGTCTGTCTTCCAGAACACACAGTAGTGTAGAAAAGGGTGGGGAATGGGTGTGGAAAGACAAAGATAAGACACCCAACACAGTTTGATAAGGTAAAGTGAATATATTATTTCTTCCATTTTACAGAAGAGAAAATTGAAGCTAAAATGAGTTAGATCACTTGTTCAAGGTCACACAGCTAGTATTTAAACCCAGATGTCAGAATTGATATTTGAGCCCAGGACTGCCTTGATTAACAGTAATAAATGTAGAAGTGTTCTCTCCTGTGTCCCGGCAGGTTAAGAAAAAGCAAAGAATCATGGGATAAATACTGTCCAAGTAGTTCCAGATATGTAAAAAAAGGTGCACTCACTTTTTAATTACTCCTTAGCCACCTTCTCCAAAGTGCTTAGTCTTTACCCTCTTTCCTATAAACCCATACTGGAGTTTTAATGGACAACTAATTTGTTAACTAGTAATTTAGCATTAATTGTTACCATTTGAAGGTGTAACTATTTCCAGGGGAGTATGCATTTTAATAGAGAACTTCTCCCTTGTTGTCTCACTTCCCTTCATACCTTTCCTAGAGTAAGTATATGAGAAGACTTTGTGCTAAGTTGGAAAGGCTGGTGAGCCTTATCTTAGCCTATAAGGCATTAGAAGATGCATCTATTGGAGGAAGTACACAGTTACACACTCTGACTCAATTATGGAGAAAAAGCAACTTGATTTTCTACATCTGACTTCATCTTGTTCTGGAGCCCCAATTCCCCCAGTATCTTTTAGGCTAATTTTTAGTCAATTCAAAGTTCAAACTTCCTATTAGGCCTCCCTCAATCTTCTCAAAATGTCTTCTCTTCTCCTTCCTCAAGATGGCATCAGGGTGCAGAGAGAAGTTTGTATAGCCTCAATGCAGCCAGAGAAGGGGACTTTGTGCTGCATGTTGGTCTCTGGTTCCTCTCTGACCTCTACTGAAATGTCCCTAACTATGGCTGGTCATCATGAATCCTGCATCATGTTTCAAGTCCACCTGTCCCTTGGGGAATCATGCCAGGAACACTGCCAATGACCTTGAAACTTGCCATTACTCTTAAGGTAAGGTTTCTACACTCAGCTCTCTCCTCTTCCTGACCCCAGTCCTCTTCGTATGCACCTGCCCTTTCTTCACTCTTGCATCCCCCACCAGGGAATGTGGGAAATTAAGATCTCTTTCATAGCCCTTCAGGATCAACTACGTGGTCCCCAACCCTCTCTTTGTTTTATCATGCCACCTCGATACTCAACTGTGGCTACTCTGTGTTGATATGGGGTATCATGTGAGGTGAGCCCCTCCATGAGTTATAGATAGGAAGGGCAGTATCATCCCCTTTCATAATCCAGAGTGTGAGGTCAACATCTCAAGCCTAAGCACATTCCTTCCCAAATATTGCCAAGCTCCTCTGACATCAAAACAGCTTTCAGGTTCCCGAGTGGCAGAAACATCCCTTATGTTAATATTCCTCATCCTCACTATACAATAGCTTATACAATAATTTACAATAGTAAATTATTTTCAAACCACCACATTTTGTTCTTGGTCTGTAAAGGGACTGTTTACCCTCATCAAAGCCTGGTTTTTGAAACTATTACCTCACTATACACTCAAAATTACCATTTGAAATTCAGAGCTAGGCAACGATATAGTTGTTCTAGGTCATTTCTGTCTTCCCCCGAAGCAATATTTGATTCAATGAGTAGGAAGAGTGCATGCAAGACAACAAGGAAATAGATTATCAGGAGCAAATGACAACAAAAATTGGTTTATTATTTCAAAAATATGTAAGACACACTTTCATTCTTCAATTTAGGCCAAAAGTACTTTTAAAGCACCTGTCATGCACCAGGCACTATTCGGGGTAGCTATACATAGTGAAGAATAAAAATGCCTCAGTCTATTTCTAGTATCACAAATTTACTGTTAAAAAGCTTTTTAAACAGTGGTCAATCCTTTTTGGCTACATTCAATACAACAACACACCAATGCAGCCAATCTTTTCTTTCTGCATCTGAGACTAGAGTATTGTGCCTGATCATTTTTGTCTGGGTAACTGGGGGTTAACTTGAAAATTTTATTATTTTTCAAAATTTATGACCGAAAATCCTATGAGTCAAATTTCCTGCCTTAGTGTGTACAATATAGTAAGTTGCATTAGTGAACAAAATTCAATATTTGAAGATTAAAGATATTGCCAGGTCTTGGAGTCATCTTTCCAACCATCAACGGCAGCAGTCCAGACTAGTCGTAAAAGGCTTAAGAGATTGTGTTTAACCCATAGCGAACCCAAAATACACTAGAAATGTTATTTTAAAAGCCCTAGAAGATAGTTATCTTTTCCTACCCCTCTTTCTGCAAAAATACAATTAAGTAAAAAGTTTTATTAATTAAGAATCCTCATTAAAGAAAGTTATATTAATCACTCAGATACTTGTTTGAAGCTCACTGTAATAAGATTTTGAACTTCATTATATAAAATTTTATTTCAAATAATGCTGCAAACTTCTTAGACATTCCAGTACAACTCCTTACTGAAAGATCTTTAAAAGTATTCAGCATTATCATTTTCCTTTATTGAGCCTAGAATGCAGTAGTTTTTTGTCTTTCCAAATATACCCTTAATAAAGTGCTTACAAGCTTTTCATAGCTGAAAACTACTTATTAGGGCAGTATTATTATTCCTAAAATTTTCCTGATTTTATTGTCTTGCCCCCATATTGTTCAAATTCAGTACAATTATTGCTCTAATTTGAGAGAAGCTGCCATTAGTTAAAGGGATTCCTTAGGTCACTGGGAATGTTTTGCCCTTCCTTTCTAAAAGAATAATTACATTTTCTACTTAATGAAAAGCTTGTGGTTAAAAAGCATCTCAAGTCGCAGCCAGGCAAAAACATGAAAGGAAGAGTCACTTACATGTATATGTGAGATCCCATATCTCTTTTATTTTAATTGCTAAACAAATTTTGCAAACTTGAAAAGGGCTAGTTTGACAGCCCTTGAGCAAAAGCCCTTTCTTATGAACGGTTAGAGCCTTAACCTATTGTAAAACAACATTAGACCAAAAAAGGGAGCAGCTGGTGGGGTTTCTTAGGAACAGGGTGTGAGAGTTAGGGAATGAAAAGTTACCTAGCAATTAAGGCGAATATCTTTGTTAAGGAGAGAGCACAGCACCCCTATTTTGCTTCCCATTTCTTCCCCTAAAGCCAGTAGAAATTGTTCTTATATTAGTTAAGCTAGGCTTGGAGATTAGGGCAGAAGTGTCCCCATCTGAGTTCAATCACCACTCCTTTCTCCCAGGATTTCTTGGAGAAAATGACAATTATTGATTTCTGTGCACAAAGGGCAGGCCACTCCCTGATGACAGTAAGGAAGTTTTGAGAATGTAATGGAGAATGTTCAAACAGTAGCTGGGATATTTCTAGCAGCAGCAGAAACAGGGAAGGCGGGGTGCTATGCAGATGAATGCTAGCTAGCAGAAGCCAAGAGGCCCAATACAGGGTTTGTCTGCTAATCACATTCAAACCAACACCTTGCCAGAAAGCCACGTCCCAAGCTCTCCAAATAATGCTTGCTTCAGGGGTCAATTTTTCCAAGAGCTTTCCATGAAAAGATTTTTAATGGAAATATAAGCTTCATCTGAGCAATAAGGGAAAAAAATGTAAATCTCTTCTCCACCTTGCACTCGCTTTTCCTGCTGTATTATAGGTAAAAGAAAAACTCATCAGAAATGACTCCACAGCCAGACTCTGACCTCCTCAGATCCTGCTCCCTCTAATCAGGCCACAGTTGACTGACAGTCAGGAAATAAACCCTTCTTTCAAGGTACAGCCAGAACAGGTTTACAGCAAATGACTAATATGATCTAATCTTCCAGCAATTTCGACAGTTTTCAATTCTGGAAGATTCATATACGTCTGTTTAACTTTCTGATTCTATCCTTCGACTGCTCATTGAATTATCCTTCAAGATTCAATCTTCTCAAATATTGCAACCTTTTTGTTATCAAACTCCAGTGTAATATCAGGGTCCACAATGTGCCCAAGTACTACAATATCCACCTGGGGGACATTGAAAAGCCAAAAGTCTAACAGCCAAAGCCTTGTTGGTAGGAGGAGTAGAAAACCACTTATCCAATTAGCAAATCCTCATTAAACTGCCACTAGGTGTGCTAGCCACTGTGCTAAGTGTTGTGGGTGGTACAATCATCAATTTCTGAGATGCCATTAACGTCCACTTGGCCAAAAATCTACCTCTCCCTCGAGCTCACTAATGCCTGAAATCCCTTTAATAAGGGACCAAGTCTTTAATTTCCATTCCTGTGAGAGAGAAAAAGTTTATTTAAATTCACAGAGTTGTAAATGACTAATATTAGGGCCACTCCCCAGACTGGATTGTAATAGGAAGGAAGAAAGAGAAGGAAGAGAGTAGGTAGTGCTGGAAGCCTGAAGGAAGAGGGAGTGTAGAGGAGGGGAGATAGTACAAAGAAAAAAGAGGGCAAAGCAAGGAGGCTGAGGGTTACAGAGACCAACATTGCCAACTCCACTATCTTACCAAAGGGCAATTCAGCATGAAACTTGAGTAAGCATCTATGGGGTCTAAAGAGGAAGAGGTCAAATGCAGCTGGTGCCAGCCAGGCTCTGCAAGAGTTTTACATTTTCTTTTGAATCTGGTAATAAAATACATCCCCAAAGGGTTCTGATTGAAATAAAAAAAAACATTGCTTCAAGTGTAAAGCAGAATTACTAATCTTAAAATTGCAAAGTGTATTAACATATAAATTATTATTCCTAAAAGCATTTCAAACTCACTGGTACAGGTGGATCATTTTCTCTGTCCCATTTCAACTATGTTTTACATTTGAAGCTCTATTTTAGACTCCACTATAAGGCCAGGTTTCAAATTACTTTTATTTACAATTTGATGCATGGAGCTCTGAAATTTCTTAACGTATAGTTCAAGCCTCAATCATCCTTATTTCTATCTTAATTTTCAGTGGGCTATGCAAGAAAGAGTTAATGTTTGCATATCAAGTAGGTTCTGCTCTGTGTGTGTGTGTGTGTAGAGGACAGGGTTATCCGTAATCTCACAGAGTGCATCTTTCAAATGGAGACATAAATGAAAGCATAGTCACAAGTCAAGGATGCCCACTTTCACCACTCTGATTCAATATAGTTCTGGAAGTTCTACCCAGAGAAATTAGGAAAGAGAAAGAAATAAAGGACATCCAATCTGGAAAAGAGGAAGTCAAATTGCTCCTCTTTGCAGTTGACATGATTTTATAAATAGAAAAACCTAAAGACTCCACTAAAAAACCCTTAAAACTAATAAACAAATTCAGGAAAGTTGCAGGATACAAAATGAACATACGAAAACCATACAAAAAACAGGCTCCTCACCCTGCCAAAGAGGAGACTAGCGATGGAGCTGACATTGCTGCTATCATGATGTCATTCCTCTGAGTAGGAGGTGCTGGGACTGTCACATTCAGCCAGTTTCTTGAAATTAGCATGCTCTTTTTGGTGTTTTTTTTTTTCAATGGGGTCTTTTAGAACCTTAGGATAGTTGATGAAAAGAATGCTTATGCTTATGTACAGCTGACAACAGGAATGATCTTTATGGGCTATATGGGAAAGAGACACTTCATATATAGAGAAGGACAATTTAAAGAAGGGGTTTCTTTCTATTTCTCATTTCTGTGACAGACAGTAATGTCTCTTCTGCTGGTAGCTTTCAGGGCAAGGAGGTTTGTGTAAGTTGTCATGAAATTCATTATCATACATTTATTCTCTAAAAATGCAATTGGAGCCACCCTTCATGTGTGCTACATTTAAAATAACTATTCTAAAAAACCTTATCCACATAAAGTACTAACAAGAACACCAAGATGGAAAAGAGACTTTTTTTCATTATTGGATCATATCTCAGAGCTGAGGACAATCACAATGCATAAGCCAAGTAGAGCAGAACACAGCCTTTTCAGGGGTGGCACAGTTACCTTTTCATTTGAGAATGCCCACCCCTAGCCAAAAGGCCTTACAAAGCAAGATTCACTTGACAAATCAGTTCACAATCCACCCAACTCACTCAGCTTTCGTGCTGCTTCAATATGCTGAAGAAATAGCAGAAATGTGTGTGTTAGACACAAAAAATTAGGTATAGAAGGAGCATACCTAAATACAGTAAAGGCCATATGTGGCAAAACCACAGCTAACATCATACTGAACAGGGAAAAGCTGAAAGCTTTTCCTCTAAGTACTGGAACAAGACAAGGATGCCCATTTCACCACTGTGATTCAATATAGTACTGGAAGTTCTAGCCAGAGAAATTAGGCAAGAGAAAGAAATAAAAGACATCCAAACTGGAAAAGAGGAAGTCAAATTGTCCCTCTTTGAAGTTGACATATTTTATACGTAGAAAAACCTAAAGACTCCACTAAAAAACCCTTAAGACTAATAAACAAATTCAGGAAAGTGGCAGGATACAAAATGAACATACAAAACCAGTAGCATTTATATACACTAACAATGAACTAGCTGAAAAAGAAATCAAGAAAGCAGTCCCATTTATAATAGCTACCAAAAAAGTGCAATACCTAGAAATAATTTAACCAAGGAGATCTTAACGTCATTAAAAGATCTTTACAATGAAAGCTATGAAACGCTGATGAAAGAAATTGAAAATAACACAAAAAACTGGAAAAACATCCATGTTTTTTAGCTAGGAGAATTAATGTTGTTAAAATGACCACACTACCAGTTGATCACGTGGCTAATGCCTGTAGTCCCAGCACTTTGGGAGGCGCAGGTGGGAAGATAACTTGAGCTCAGGAATTCCAATCCAGTCTGGGCAACATAGGGAGACCTCATCTCTACAAAAGCTTTAAAAATTAGTCAGCAGTGGTGGTGGGGCACACCTGTGATCCTAGCTACTCAGGAGGCTCAGTGGGGAGGATCATTTGAGCCTGGGAGGTCAAGGCTGCAGTGAGCTGTGATCATGCCACTGCACTCCAGCCTGGGTGACAGAGCAAGATCCTGTCTCAAAAAACAAAACAAAACAAAAAACATACTACCCAAAGCAATCTACAAATTCAATGCAATCTCTATCAAAATATTGATAACATTCTTCACAGACATAGAAAAAACAATCCTAAAATTCATATGTAACCACAAAAGACCCCAAATAGCTAAAACAATCCTGAGCAAAAAGAACAAAGCTGGGGGGAATCACACTACCTGACTTCATAATATACTACAAAGCTATAGTAACCCAAACAGCATGGTATTGGTATAAAAACAGACACATAGATCAACGAAATAGAATAGAGAACTCAGAAATAAATCCACATATTTACAACCAACTTATTTTCAGCATACATTGGGGAAAGAATAGTCTCTTCAATAAATTCTTCTGGAAAAAATGGATATGCACAGTATGCAGAAGAATTACACTAGATCTCTATCTCCCATAATATATATATAAATCAACCCAAAAATGGAACAAACACTTAAATGTAAAGTTCAAAACTATAAAACTACTAGAAGAAAATACAGGGGAAATGATTTATAACATTGATCTTGGCAAAGATTGTATAGCTAAGACTTCAAAATCACAGGCAACAAAAGCAAATATACACAAATAGGAATGTATTAAACTAAAAAGCTTCTGCATAGCAAACAATCGGCAAAGTGAAGAGACAACCCATTAAATGGGAGAAAATATTTGCAAACTTCAGTTGACAATGAGCTAATATCCAGAATATACAGGGAACTCAAACAACTCAACAGTAGAAAAACAAATAGTCCCAAAAGTGGACAAAGGATCTGATTAGCTCTTTCTCAAAAGAAGACATATAAATGATCAACAGGTATATGACAAAATGTTACACATCACTAATTAAATGGGAATTGCAAATTAAAATCACAATGATATATCATCTCATCCCAGTTAGAATGGCTATTACTAAAAAGACAAAAAATAACATGCTGGCAAGGATGTGGAGAAAAGGGAACTCTTATACACTGTTGGTGGGAATGTAAATTAGTACAGCCATTATAGAAAACAGTGTGGAGATTCTGCAACAAACTAAAAACCAAAGATAGAACCACCGTATGATCCAGCAATCCCACTACTCTGTATTTATCCAAAGGAAAGCACATGAGTATATTGAAAAGCTATCTGCATCCCCACGTTTATTGTAACACTATTCACAATAGCTAAGATACAGAATCAAACTAAGTGTCCATCAAGGGATGAATGGATAAAGACAATATGGTGTATATACATAATGGAATACTATTCAGCCATAAAAAATGAAACCATGTTATTCATGGCAACATGGATGAGCCTGGAAGACATTATATTAAGTGAAGTAAGTTAGGCACAGAAAGATAAATACTGCATGTTCTCACACATATATGGGCATTTAAAAAGTTGAGCTCATAGAAGTAGACAGCAGAATTGTGGTCACTAGAAGATGGAAAGAGTGGAAGTGGGGAGAGGAGGGAGGAGTTGGTTAATGGATAAAAAATTACAGCTAGATAGGAGGAATAAGTTCTAGTGTTCTATAGCACTGTAGACTGACAATAGTTAGCAATAATTTATTGTATGTTTTCAAATAGCTAGAAGACAGGATTGTGAATGTTCCCAACACAAAGAAATGATCAATGTTTCAGGTGATACATATGCTAATAACCCTGATTTAATCATTATACATTATAATACATGTATCAAAATATCACTATGTATCCCATAAATATGTACAATTATTATGTGTCAAATAAAAATCAAAGAAAAAATTTGAAAACAAACGTGGGAGTTAGTAAATTAGGGAACCAGGTCTGGCTCTGTCACTGATCAGTGTCATGACCTTAGTGGGTCTCAGATTTCCTATCTATACAGTGGAAGAAATGCCACTTGAACACAATAACACTTGAGCTTCCTGTTCCACGTAAGTTCAAATGTAGCAATGAATATTAAAGCAATTTGAAGGTATAAAATCCAATATGAATGAAAATTGAATTATTCTTTCCACTCCAGAGGAGAATGAGGTTCCACTGGGACAAAATAATGCCTAAATTTCTGCTCTGGAAAATATTCACAAGACCTTTTCTACTATTAAACTATGACTGTTGGGCTTTCGATCAATTATCAGTTCAGTTCTACCTCTAGTTCCCACTCTGTTCCAGGCTTTTTCTCTGTAAAGGTCTCCTATATACATCTCCCCAAGGATACTCTATTTTTTTCATATATCTAATGTTGCTATTGAGAAGTCTGAGATCAAACTGATTCTTATCTCTTTATACATATACTATTTGTTCTTTCAGGATGCTTTTAGAATTTTCTCTTTCATTCTCTTAATGTTCACTATAAAGTATCCAATATAGGTTTTCCTTTTTGCTCCTATTTAGCACTCTATGACTCTTTTCAAAATGAAGTTTTTTATTATTTTTCAATTCCAGAAAATTCATCTCCATTATTTTTTAAAACAATTAATTCTCTCCATTTTTATTTTCCCTATTTCTTAGACTCCTTTTATTTTATTTATTTATTTATTTATTATTATTATACTTTAAGTTTTAGGGTACATGTGCACAATGTGCAGGTTAGTTACATATGTATACATGTGCCATGCTGGTGCACTGCACCCACCAACTCGTCATCTAGCATTAGGTATATCTCCCAATGCTATCCCTCCCCCCCTCCCCCCACCCCACAACAGTCCCCAGAGTGTGATGATCCCCTTCCTGTGTCCATGTATTCTCATAGCTCAATTCCCACCTATGAGTGAGAATATGCGGTGTTTGGTTTTTTGTTCTTGCGATAGTTTACTGAGAATGGTGATTTCCAATTTCATCCATGTCCCTACAAAGGACATGAACTCATCATTTTTTATGGCTGCATAGTATTCCATGGTGTATATGTGCCACATTTTCTTAATCCAGTCTATCATTGTTGGACATTTGGGTTGGTTCCAAGTCTTTGCTATTGTGAATAATGCCGCAATAAACATACGTGTGCATGTGTCTTTATAGCAGCATGATTTATAGTCCTTTGGGTATATACCCAGTAATGGGATGGCTGGGTCAAATGGTATTTCTAGTTCTAGATCCCTGAGGAATCGCCACACTGACTTCCACAATGGTTGAACTAGTTTACAGTCCCACCAACAGTGTAAAAGTGTTCCTATTTCTCCACATCCTCTCCAGCACCTGTTGTTTCCTGACTTTTTAATGATTGCCATTCTAACTGGTGTGAGATGGTATCTCATTGTGGTTTTGATTTGCATTTCTCTGATGGCCAGTGATGGTGAGCATTTTTTCATGTGTTTTTTGGCTGCATAAATGTCTTCTTTTGAGAAGTGTCTGTTCATGTCCTTTGCCCACTTTTTGATGGGGTTGTTTGTTTTTTTCTTGTAAATTTGTTTGAGTTCATTGTAGATTCTGGATATTAGCCCTTTGTCAGATGAGTAGGTTGCGAAAATTTTCTCCCATTTTGTAGGTTGCCTGTTCACTCTGATGGTAGTTTCTTTTGCTGTGCAGAAGCTCTTTAGTTTAATTAGATCCCATTTGTCAATTTTGGCTTTTGTTGCCATTGCTTTTGGTGTTTTAGACATGACGTCCTTGCCCATGCCTATGTCCTGAATGGTAATGCCTAGGTTTTCTTCTAGGGTTTTTATGGTTTTAGGTCTAACGTTTAAGTCTTTGATCCATCTTGAATTGATTTTTGTATAAGGTGTAAGGAAGGGATCCAGTTTCAGCTTTCTACATATGCTAGCCAGTTTTCCCAGCACCATTTATTAAATAGGGAATCCTTTCCCCATTTCTTGTTTTTCTCAGGTTTGTCAAAGATCAGATAGTTGTAGACATGCAGCGTTATTTCTGAGGGCTCTGTTCTGTTCCATTGATCTATATCTCTGTTTTGGTACCAGTACCATGCTGTTTTGGTTACTGTAGCCTTGTAGTATAGTTTGAAGTCAGGTAGTGTGATGCCTCCAGCTTTGTTCTTTTGGCTCAGGATTGCCTTGGTGATGCGGGCTCTTTTTTGGTTCCATATGAACTTTAAAGTAGTTTTTTCCAATTCTGTGAAGAAAGTCATTGGTAGCTTGATGGGGACGGCATTGAATCTGTAAATTACCTTGGGCAGTATGGCCATTTTCACGATATTGATTCTTCCTACCCATGAGCATGAAATGTTCTTCCATTTGTTTGTATCCTCTTTTATTTCCTTGAGCAGTGGTTTGTAGTTCTCCTTGAAGAGGTCCTTCACATCCCTTGTAAGTTGGATTCCTAGGTATTTTATTCTCTTTGAAGCAATTGTGAATGGGAGTTCACTCATGATTTGGCTCTCTGTTTGTCTGTTGTTGGTGTATAATAATGCTTGTGATTTTTGTACATTGATTTTGTATCTTGAGACGACTCCTTTTATTTAATATTGTCACTTTTAGTTCCAACTTCCATATCCTTTAGCTTTTTTATGTATTTTTTCTATTTCCTTATTCTTCCCTGCTACCTTCTAAAAAAGTTCCTCAATTTTATCTTGAACTCACTAACTTGTTTTTTAGCTACATTTATCCAACTATTGATTCTACCAATTATATTTTTTTAGAGACAGGGTCTTGCTCTGTCACCCAGGCTGGAATGCAGTGGCATGATTATGGCTCGCTGCAGCCCCAACCTCCCAAGCTCAAGTTATTCTCCCACCTAAGCCTCCAGAGTAGCTGGGATTATAGGCGCACAACACCACACTTGATGAAAAAAAAAAAAAAAACTTCTCATTTTTTTGTAGAGATGGGGTCTCCCTATGTTGCTCAGGCTGGTCTCAAACTCCTGGCCTCAAGAAATCCTCCTGCCTTGGCCTCTCAAAGTGCTGGGATTGCAGGCATGAGCCACTGTGCCTGGACCCCAATTGTATTTTTTATTTCAATTATTATATTTTTTAAGACTAGAATTTCCACTTCTACGCATGACTGAAAAACTAGCACTGGACCTGCCCTCCTACCATAAGTAACTAGAAAACTGGACAAAATATAGGAAACAATTGCTTTCAGACAGTAGACAAAAGGGAGTGCAGAACTATGATCTTCGAGATAAAGGAAATAAATTATGTAATCTCTGTTATTGCCTAGCTTGCTGCTTGGAGGCAATTTCTGGACCACAGCATAAGGATGGAAAACCCAAGCAGAGCACAGTGATCTTGCTGATTTAGGAGACAGAGATCTGAGTCCAGGTAGGCCAAGACAGCTATAATTTGCGGGGCAGGGTATAAGAGAGGAGGGAGTTATGCAAAGAAAGAATTCCAAAATTTGGCATGGGGCTCCCTTGAGTCTTTGCTGAATACTGAGCTGTGCATACATAGAGTGAAACTCCCATGAGGATAGGCAAAGAACAACTGCTGAAGAGCTGTAAGCTGAACAATTCCCAGAGCTCAACCAGGACAGGGAAATGTTTGATTTCCAATCAGCCAGAGTGAAGAAATGTTGAGTACCCAGGAATTTGAGTTGAGACCCCAAAATGATCACGCATTCGTAGTAGGGCTATCCTAGTCCTAGACTAGAGTGAAAGCTACCCTAGACCTACTGTAACAAAGCTTATAAACAAGCCTTAAAAGTTTGAACCTGACATGAAAATGACTTAAATGCCTGCTAAACAAAACTCAACATTCTTTAAAGTAAGACAACAAAATTCAGGCACTCAACAACAAAACATTCACAATATCCAGCATCTAATTAAAACTACTAGACAAGCAAAGAAACAGGAAAATATGACCTATAAACAGAAAAAAAAATTAGATGACAGAAAAAAACAGAAAGTGTAGAATTAACAGACAAAAATTTAGAAAAGCTATTAAAATATGTTCAAGGGTTCAAAATAAAACATAAACATAATGAGGAAAGAAATGGAAATAATTTTAAAAGAACCAAATAAAACTACTAGAGCTAAAAATATATTTGAAATAGAAACTTTACTGATTAGGATTAACAACAGATTAGACACTGCAGAAAATGAGTAAACTTGAAGACATAGCAATAGAAAGTATCCAAATTGAAACACAAAAAGAAAAAAAGTATGAAAAAATGAGAACTAGAGCCTCAGTGATATGTGGGACAATATCAAGTGGTCTCACTCATATATAATTGAAGGCCCAGAATGGGGATTTAGAGAAAACATTTGAAGAAATAATGACTAAAATTTTCAAAATTTGATGATAACTATAAATCCACAGATTCAAAAAGTTCAACCAACTCCAAGCAGTATAAACACAAAGAGAACCACACCAAGGCACATCATAATCAAGCTGCTAAAAACTAATGACAAAGAAAGAATCTTGGCTGGGCGTGGTGGCTCATGCCTGTAATCCCAGCACTTTGGGAGGCTGAGGCGGGCGGATCACCTAAGGTCGGGAGTTGGAGACCAGCCTGACCAACATGCAGAAACCCCATCTCTACCAAAAATACAATATTAGCTGGGCGTGGTGGTGCATGCCTGTAATCCCAGCTACTCGGGAGGCTGAGTCAGGAGAATCGCTTGAACCCGGGAGGCAGAAGTTGCGGTGATCCGATTTCACGCCATTGCACTCCAGCCTGGGCAACAAGAGCGAAACTCTGTCTCAAAATAAAAAGTCTTAAATGCAGCCAAAGGAAAACAAAGAACAGTTTAGGTATAAGGGAACAAAGACAAGGATTAACCCTGACTTATCAGAAACAATGTAAACTGGAAAGCAATGGAGAGACATCAAAGTAGTGTGATGGTTAATACTGAGTGTCAACTTGCTTGGATTGAAGGATGCAAAGTATTGATCCTGGGTGTGTCTGTGAGGGTGTTGCCAAAGAAGATTGACATTTGAGTCAGTGGGCTGAGAAAGGCAGACCCACCCTTAATCTGGGTAGGCACCATCTAATCAGCTGCCAGCATGGCTAGAATATAAACCAGGCAGAAAAATGTGAAAAGATTATACTGGCCTAGCCTCCCAGCCTACATCTTTCTCCTGTGATGGATGCTTCCTGCCCTTGAACATTGGACTCCAAGTTCCTCAGTTTTGGGACTCTGACTGGTTCTCCTTGCTCCTCAGCTTGCAGACGGCCTATTGTGGGACCTTCTGATCATGTGAGTTAATACTTAATAAACTCCCCTTTATATACACACACATACACACACACACACACACACACACACACATATATATATGTCCTATTAGTTCTGTCCCTCTAGAGAACCCTGACTAATACAAGTAGTGAAAGGAAAAAAAAAAAAAACTGTTAACCTAGAATGCTATATCAAAGGAGGAAAAAACCTTCCAAAATAAAAGCTAATTACATACCTTGTCAGTCAAACCAAACCAAACCTGAGAGAATTTTTTGCCAGCAAACCTGCACAAAAAGAAATGTTATACCCAATGCCCAGATATTGGTTTCTAATTTCATTCTGCAACACAAGGGACCAGGGCTCCTCGGAGAAATGGCTGACTCTAGGACTGGGGCTATGAATATACAAGATGAGCCTGGAGCATTGCATAGTACCAGAAAGTAAGAAAATGCTAAAAAATAAAAATGATAGGGGTATGCCAAAGGGACACAGCAATCAACTGAAAGAGGTCCCAAAGACCAAAATTGGAACAATTTGAATAAGAAAATAAATAAAACTGTGTGGGATTATAACTAAAAATATAAAATAAATATTCATGAGTCCTTACTGATGTAAACAAATAATTTAGTAAACAAATAAATGAGGGAGAATAGAGAAACCTCCCATACAAAAGAATTATAAATAATTTATGTGGATACTTCCCTCTCAAGGAGGTAGAGCATAACTCCCCACTCCTGAAATGTGGTCTGTACATAATGACTTCCTTCCAAAGAGTACAGTATGAAAAAGAGAGGAAAAGAGCAACTTTATGGTGGAAAAACTTGAAAACTACTACCTCAGCCAAGGGATCAAGGTTGACATCACTAATAAGCAGTCATGCTGATATCATGTGCCACTGATATAATATGATGAGAATGGCACTTTACCTCTGTGGTCTTTTTTCCAAGAACATACAACCCCAGTCTAATCCTGAGGAAAACATCACACAAACCCAAATAGAGGACGTTTTACAAAATACCTAACCAGTAATCCTCAAAGCTGTCGACGTCACTAAAAACAAAGAAAGTCTGAGAAACTGCCACAGTCAAGAGGCGCCTAAGAAGACATGACAACTAAATGTAATGTGGTATCTTAGATATGACTCTGGGACAAAGAAAAAAGCAAACAAAAATACAGTATGGACTTTAGTTAATAAGAATGTAGCAATATTGTGGCCGGGCACAGTGGCTCACGCCTGTAATGCCAGCACTTTGGGAGGCCGAGGCGGGCAGATCACGAGGTCAGGAAATCAAGACCATCCTGGTTAACACGGTGAAACCCCGTCTCTACTAAAAAATACAAAATGTTAGCCGGGCATGGTGGCGGGCACCTGTAGTCCCAGCTACTCGGGAGGCTGAGGCAGGAGAATGGCGCGGACCCGGGAGGCGGAGCTTGCAGTGAGCCGAGATCGCGCCACTGTACTCCAGCCTGGGCGACAGAGCCAGACTCTGTCTCAAAAAAAAAAAAAAAAAAATTAAAAAACGAACGTAGCAATATTGATTACTTAGTTGTATAAACGAAAAGGTATCTGAGACAGGTCTCAATTAATTTAGAAGTTTATTTAGCCAAGGTTAAGGTCACGTGCCTGGGATACAGGTCTGTGCCATTCTCCAAAGATGATTTTGAGGGCTTCAATATTTAAAGGTAGAAAGCAGCTTGGAGGAGAAAGAGGGAGGGTGTGGTTACATTACTGAATCCATATGTTACAAAAAGGGAGCAGGTAGGGGAATAGTAAATTATGTATTCATCTCACGCTCACTATAAGATAAGGTGAACATGGAGTAGCTACCTATGGAGATATTTAACTTTTTATCTGTACCTATCTGTATAGGAATAAACGGAAAAGCAGCTTCTTGCATGACTCAGCCTTCAGCTTATTTCCTTTTCTTTTGGCTTAGTGAATTGGGGTCCCAAGTTTGTATTTTCCTTTCACATTTGTAACAAATGTACCATACTAATGTAAGATATTGACAATATGGGAAACAGGATGCAGGGTATAAGCTACTGTATCTAATTTTGTGTGTGTGTGTGTGTGTGTGTGTGTGTGTGTGTGTGTGTGTATATATATATTTTTTTTTTTTTTTTTTTGAGACAGAGTCTCGCTCTGTCGCCCAGGCTGGAGTGCAGTGGCGCGATCTCGGCTCACTGCAAGCTCCGCCTCCCGGGTTTACGCCATTCTCCTGCCTCAGCTTCCGGAGTAGCTGGGACTACGGGTGCCCACCACCATGCCCGGCTAATTTTTTTTGTATTTTTAGTAGAGACGGTGTTTCACTGTGTTAGCCAGGATGGTCTTGATCTCCTGACCTCGTGATCCGCCCACCTCGGCCTCCCGAAGTGCTGGGATTACAGGCGTGAGCCAACGCGCCCGGCCTAATAACGTATATTGTAAAAGGACTAATGGCCATGCCCTAGTCTAGTCCTAATAAAGAGTTCCAGACATCACAGAACCACTGTTAGTCCTATTTCCTGGCACCTTATGAAGCAATTCCTCTGGTCAGTCACTCCTCTGGTCAAGCAATTCATCAGACCTAGGAGTACGGGTGGGGTGAAGGAATCAACGCCAGAGTAGTTGGTTATCTATCCCCATGCTCATCAACTCCTTACCCCAGCAGGACTTTGGGGTGGCCCACCTACACAGGCATTCTGGACTACTGCAATTGATTATTGCAGTGATTGAAGCAAGCAGTAATCATTTCAAGGCCACACAGGAATGAGAGGCAGGAATGAGGAGAAGCAGGAATAGAGTTCAGAAAGTTTTCCTCTGTCCTATCTTATCACTGCTGCCTCTGGATCCTCTGCACCAAGCGACAGTCACCCAACTTTCTACACACACCAGGTCAAGGCAGCATGAAGTATCCCCAGAGGTTTCTCACAGTGCTATTGCTTTTGCTGCTGATACTGCTGTTTCTAGAATCTATGTTTCTCTCCAGCTTCTACAGTTTCTTCAGAGTTCATTTTGGGGAGGGAAACAGCAACTCCTTTATCAGGAATTGTAAATATCACTCTTATTAGATGATGCTTACTCTGTGCACAGAACTTTACTTGCCTTATGTCATTTGATCCTTTCAACAACTCTATGAAGTACATGCTATTGTTATACCATGTACATATGAGGAAACTGCAGCACAAAAACGTTAAGCAACATGCACGAGATCACACAGCTGTAAGAGATGGAAATAAAATTTAAACCCATTCAGTCTTAATTTAGAGAACACGATCTTTGTTCATCATCAGATACCCAGTGATTAGCAGATTGTGAGTACTCAAAAAGATTTGTTGAATATTTGTCCAATAATGAACGAATGGATGGATGGTAAAAAAATTACACTATCAGACCGGGCACGGTGGCTCACGCCTGTAATCTCAGCACTTTGGGAGGCTGAGGTGGGTGGATCACTAAGTCAACATATAGAGACCATCCTGGCCAACATGGTGAAACCCCGTCTTTACTAAAAATACAAAAAATTAGCTGAGCGTGGTGGCATGCACCTCTAGTCCCAGCTACTCTGAAGGCTGAGGCAGGAGAATCACTTGAACCCAGGAGGCGGAGGTTGCAGTGAGCCAAGATCATGCCACTGCACTCCAGCCTGGCAACAGAGCAAGACTCCATCTCAAAAAAAAAGAAAAAATACACTACTAGCTTCACCAGCAATCTTATTCCTCATGTTTTCCTCTGTTTGATTGCCTTAGTATCTCAAAAATATACTATGAGGCCAGTCTATGTATCTGCATAGTGCATTCTACTTTTAGTTTTTACCATTTAAAGAAACACATTTGCATTTCTAATAAATAGAAACACTTGCCTTTTGATTTTTCTGAGGCAACAGAGGTGACAAATTCTCATTACCAGAGCTCTATCTCAAAAGCTGGCTTGTTTGCTCACTTTGATTCCTCATGGAAGTAGATTCTTCAAAAGAAAGAATGTAAATGGCCATCAAACATACAGCAAAGATGCTCAGACTCAACAATTATGAATGAAATATATATTAAAAGAATGCCAAAATACCATTATTCAAACTGGCAAAAATTAAAGCACTGAAATACCCAGTATAGGTAAGGGTTCTAGGAAACAGACTTTCTTATACATTGATTTGTTCTTTGGAGTTTAAGTTGGTACAGCCTTTTTAAAAGAAAATTTGATAAATTCTAACATTGAAATGTGCAGACATGTTGACTCAAGATTTTCATTTCTAGAAAATTTATGCTACACAAAAGCTTCTGTTGTACAAACATATCTGTTGTAGCATAATGTGTATAAAAACTGGAATAAGTGAAATTTCTGTTAATGAGAGAATGGTTACATAGATTAAGACAATGGAATACTATGGGGTCATAGAATGAGAGAAACCTATATGTATTTACATGGAAAAGCATCCATGATATTGACCAATGAAAAGTACAGAAGAGCCTATAAAATATTATTCAATGTTTATAAGCCAAAACTAATTTATATATGTCTGAATATATACATTTTTGATATGCATATGAAAATTCTGAAGTTATTCCAATCTATCAATAATAGTTACCTCTGGGGAGTAAGATTAATGGCATGGTGGATCCTCACTTCTGTAACACTGAAATTTCTTCACAACGTAATAGCTCTTTTGTAATTTTTAAACATGTATATCTGGAAGCAAAGAAAGAAAAAAGGAAGGAAGGAGGACTAACATTTGCTTAGAATCCTCACTAAGATCAAAAAGAACTACATTTGAAAAATAGCCAGGAATCATAAGGCCTTTGTTTTATTTGATGTCTTCTAGACTTGAGCTTATAGGGAAAGCTCTCTAGGCCATTGAGCACAAAGGTTCTTGTAAAGAGCTCAATCCCTCCTAACAGAAAACTCGTGTGGTTTTATGTTGTCATGCTAGTGATTAGGGCATCCCACACCCCTTGGGGAGAGAAGAAAGTGTGACAATTGCTTTAGCCCTTGAAAGAAAAATGGATTTAAATGCAAAAGGAAAATTTTCTCATTTTTTCTTATGTTAATTATTTGAATATATACATATACATGTACATATACATGTATGTATGTATCAGCAGGAACTATCTTCCCTCAGCCACACATGAGAATGTATCCCCAGTTGTCAGAGGTTGCTGGCCAGATCCTTGCTATTCCCAGTGTCTAAAGTTAGGCAGATAAGGGGCCGTGCAAAGTTATACTGAGAATCTGAACAGATGAATGATCCAAACACTGAAAGAAGAGAAAAGGCCAGGGTTCTGGTGGAGGGTTGAAGAGGCAGCCTCTTTTTGCCTCCAACTCCAGACTATGTGACCATCTCATTGTTAGACCTATGTTTCTCATAATATGTCTTGAGGGAAAAAAGTCTAATCTCATCTTAAAGACGAGTATCCTTCTTGGTAAGACTATAATAGTGTATTCAGTCAGCACCCTGACCTTTCTTGCCTTCACCTAGCTGAAATGTGTAGTTGTATAATTAACCAGAAACCAATTAATTTATGCAACTCTTTACCATCACTTTCATTTTCATAATGAAGACCATTCCTACCAATTCTGACCCTCACAACGGCAATAATCAATATTAAAATTACACGGCTTAGCCTGAACAAAGGATGAGAAAAATAATGAAATAAATAAAAGTTAACAAACACCAAAAAGCACAACTTATGTTGTTACAGCCATATTTCTTTATATAACAAGAATCATTTTCAGAATAGCAGAGACTACAGTTTGACAACCCCTTGTGTGAGCTATTGGCCTGAAAAACACAGCCTTGTAATTATTTAAGGGAAAATGGGCATGGAATTTAGACAGAAGGAATGTCCAGATAAGTCCATATTTGGAGAATAAAAACAAAATACTAGATTACACTGTGTAGGTATGATAGACCCGTACTTACCTGGGAAAGGTAATAAAAAGTTGGCACAAATAGGATGCCAACAGCGTAGTGTATCTCAACAATTCTGGAGGCAGGAAATCTTCACAAGGTAATATATTTGATTTGAGCTTTTTCATCAGCTGTACTAAGTGAAGAATCATTACTTGTGCCCAATCATTTAGGAGTCTGGAGTCTTCAAAGCTCAAGGAGTAGGGGTTGGAGGCCCTTTAAATTCTTGCTAATGTGTGATCCCCAGACTAGTAATATAAGCATCACCTGGGAGGTCATTAGAAATGCAGAATCACAGCCCCCATTCCAGACATAAATCAGAATCTGCGTGTTAACAAGGTGCCCAGGTGATCTGAGATGTGCTGCTCTGGATGTTAGCTGGGAGTTGCACTTGCCTGATTTCAAGCACCAGAGCCATGTCTCCAGTAGCTAAATCCCAGCATCTACCCCTATTCCTAGTCTGACAGCCAAACTCTTAGGAGATAGAAGTGCACAATGGTATTAGCTGATGGTCTGATCAACCAACATTTATTAAACTTCTACTGTGTACCCAGCCAAGGGTTAGGCCCTTAGAGAGACAAAAGATGAAGCCCCCTATTTTCAAGAACTGAATCTTCTTGCTGGGGGAAGAGAAGAGAGGCATATCCATATGCCAATCCACTTCCTCACCTTCTCTCCCTTTCTTTCTCCTATTCTAGCCACAACAGAACTGATCCCTGTTCTCCAAACGTGCCCTGTGCTTTTCTGCCTTCGTACTCAATATTCTGTCCACCTGCAACTTTTCCTGTCCACCCCATCTTCAACTACATACACCTCAAAATCCAGCTCCTGCCTACCCTAAATTACTCTGCCTACCATCCCCCCAGAGTGCATTTCTATATGCACCTTCACCATTATCCGGTTAACACTTGGCTTCAAGCTAGCTGAAAAGATTGACGTTTTTTGAAGCTAAAAAGAAACTTCAGGTGGAATTTCCCATTCTCCCAGCTAAACATAATAACCCTCTTAATGCTTGTACTTAGGGTGATCCTAGAACTGTCTCTTCTTCCAAAATGTTTCAGTTCATTGCCAAAGCACTGTTGAGGTTAAAGATTGTTAAAATGTCTCACCTAGCTTAAAATCAAATTTTAGGACTTCATCAAAATTTGAAATGTTTTATTCAGGGATCAAAATATTGGTCCCCAAACACTGGGCTTCTCCCAAAATATTTCTCACTCCCCTACATGGCTTACACAAAGAAACAAACACACGAACACACACAAACTCAGAGGCCCAAAGCAAGTCACCTGCATTGTCAAACACTGGGTGTAATTCTCAGTGAATACTCTAGATGGTAGCATTGTGCATTTTATTCTCCTATTCTTTTCATTGATTTTTCTAATTCATCATTTTATATATCAGGAAAGACATGTGTGGAGGGGGAGAAAGGTCAAATATTAATTTAATATTAATATGAATCTATAATTAGTTGAAAATTAATAACAATATTAAAAACTTTTCCAACATTTTGTTGCCTCTTAGGCCAATTTCCTGACTCCCTTTTCCCTATTGCTCAAATTCTTGGTTGACACCATTGACTGACTCCACTATCTCATATCGCACTCACTTTCCAACCCTTTGCCATCTTCCCTACCCAACCCTTCTAAAATTATTATTTCATTAACCTCCCCAGTGATTTCCTACTAGCTAAACCCAACTGCCTCTTCTTAGGGCTCATCCTAATTCATTTCTCTGAAACATTTGCGAGGTAATTAACTTTCTCCTTTTTTTCCTCGCAATTTTCCCAACTTCTTTATTTTGAAATGTTTCAAACCTACAAAAAATTGAAAGAATACCACAAAGAGCAGCCACATACTTTCACTTAGATTGACTATTTAACCTGTTACCATACTTCCTCCATCCTTCTTTCATTCTCCCTTGCTCCCTCTCCCTCCCTTTCCAACTTCCCCTCTCTCTTTCCAGATATCATGGCACTCTAGATACTTCAGCATACGTTTCCTAAGTTGCAGATATTATTATACTTGAACCTTAAGTTCCTCAACATGCATCTCGGGAATAAGTACATCCTCCTACGACACCTCCTTCTTGAAATTCTTTACTTTCCTTTCCTACCATTGATTCTTCTTCTACCTCTGACAACACTTTTCTAGAGGCCTAAGGTAGAGAGGGTGGAGCAGGGCAATGAGTCTGGCCCTGGTTTAGCCAAAAATCAACTCTGTGATTTGAAAGAAAAAAAAATTTGCTTAATTATAAAAATAACACATGTCCGTTGTAGAAAACAGGGGAAATACAAAGTTTAAAGAACATAAAAACCATCTAAACCTACTATCTAAAGATGATTACTCGAAAAACATTTTTTTAGTCTTTCCCAAAGCATAATCTATTTTATACAGTTGAGCTGGTATGATAAATACAATTTTCTATCCTGTTTTTTCACTTAACATTGAAAATAAGCATTAAAAACTTTCCATAAAACATTTTTATTGGCTGAATATTATTCTATTATTTTGTTCAATGTAATCTTGAAGAAAAGATGAAACTTCCATTTTAAAAATGAGCAAAAGGCTTAAAGAGCAATTCATAAATGAATACAAATGGCCAAAAGTTTATGAAAAAAGTATTTAACTAGTAATAAAAGATAATTTCAAGCTAAAATGACACCATTTTTATCTATCAAACTGACAAAAAATGTTTTTAAAAAAGAAATAATAACCATGGTTGGAAAAAATGAGAGGAAACAGACAAATACTACTGATTAGAATACAAATTAGTATTTTTTTTTGGATAAAATTTGCAGTGCATAATTTTGAAAACCTTAAAAATATACATACACTTTAGCAAATATGTTTGTAGGAATTCATTCTAACAATATAATTGGGCCATTGCACCACAATACATGCACAAAGATGTTCATAACTGTGATTTATTACAGATTGTTTCCAATCTATTGCTAAATAAAAATAATATGAAATTAACTAAGTAGATTATCGCACAACCATACAACATAATACTAAGCAGCCACTAAGCATATTGTTGAATAATAAAATTACAAGAAAACTATGGGCTCGGATGGGTGGCTCACGCCTGTAATCCCAGCACTTTGACAGGCCAAGGTGGGCAGATCACGAGGTCAGGAGATCGAGACCATCCTGGCTAACACGGTGAAACCCCGTCTCTACTAAAAAATACAAAAAATTAGCCAGGCGTGGTGGTGGGCTCCTGTAGTCCCAGCTACTCGGGAGGCTGAGGCAGGAGAATGGCGTGAACCCGGGAGGCAGAGCTTGCAGTGAGCCAAGATCGTGACACTGCACTCCAGCCTAGGCGACAGAACAAGACTCTGTCTCAAAAAAAAAAAAAAAAAAAGAAAGAAAACTATGATTTTTCTGTTACATATTTCTATATTCCTTGAGGTTTTTCCAATAAACATGCATTGCTTCTGTAATGAGTAGAAAACAAAGATTTTTAAATATTGTAGAAATATTTATTAGCATGAAATATATTAACAATAAATTGATGATTGAATAAAACCATTTATAGAAAACATGCATTGTATGATGCTATTTTAATGGCTTTAATAATATAATTTACACACCATAAAGTTCATCCATTTAAAGTGAACAATTCCATGGTTATTAGTATATTTACGGAGCTGTGCAACCATCACCATGATCTAATTTTAAAACATTTTCATCATCGCAAAGAAAGTCCTCTCCCATCCTCCCATCCCCATCTTCAGCCCTAGACTACCACTAGACTACTTTTCATCTGTATGGATTTGCCATTGTAGAAATTTCATATACATGAGATCATACCATATGCAGTCTTGTGATTTCTTTCATTTAACAGTATTTTCAAGTTTCATCCATGTAGTATGTATCCGTAATTTAATTTTTTATGAATGAATGATATTCCATTGTGTGGATATAACACATTTTATTTACCCATTCATCAGTTGATGGACATTTTGGCTTCTTTTCATTTATCAGCCATTATGGATAATGCTGCGAGTTTTTGTGTGAACATGTTTTACTTTTTTGATAACTAGGAGTGGAATTGCTAGGTCATATGTTTATACTAGGTTTAACTTTTGGAGAAACTGTCAAACTGTTTTCCACAGAGACTGCACCATTTTACATACATACCAGCAATGTATGAGGGTCACAATTTCTCCACATTCTCACCAGCACTTGTTGTTATCTATCATTTATTATTGCCATTCTAGTATGTATGAAGTGGTATCACTTTATGATTTTGATTTTCATTTTCTTAATGACTAATGATATTGAGCATCTTTTCACATGCTATTGGCCATTTGTATATCTTCTTTGGAGAAAAACGTCTATTCAAACCTTTGCCTGTTTTTGTTTTTAAAAATTGAGTTGTCTTTTTATTACTGAGTTCTTTACATGTTCTGGATACCAGTTCCAAGTCTTATATATGACTTTACAAATATTTTCTCCCAGTCTGGGAGCTATCTTTTCACCTTTTCAATATCATTTAAAAGACAAAAATTGTAACTTTAATGAAATTCAGTTATCTTTTTTTTTTTAATGGCTGCTGTTATTCGTATCATATCTAAGAAAATGCTGCTTAACCCAAGGTCACAAAAAATTTACTCCTATGTCTCCTTGTAAGAGTTCTATACTTTTACATCTTACATGTAGGTCTATGATCCCTTTTGAGTTAATTTTTGTGTATGGTGTACTATGGGGTTTCAAATTTACTCTTTTGTATATGGGTATCCATTGTCTCAGCACTATCTGTTGAAAATGCTATTCTGTGTTCAGTGAATTGTCATGGTCCCTTTGTAAAAAATCAATTGATCATAAATATTAAAGCATATTTCAGCACTTTCAATTTTATTTCATTGATCTATATCTCTATACTATGCCAGCATCACATCTTGTTATCTTTAAGCTATATTAATGAAGAGAAAAAGACTGAAAATAAATGGATTAAATCATCAAAAATAAAATATTTTATTGCATGTACGTACCATATGTATTTAACTACTTTCCTCTTCGGGGGCATTTTAAGCTACTTACAGACTTTCACTCTGGTAAGTAACACTGTGATGAGCATCCTTCCACAAACCTGCTGTATTTCAAGTTACTTTCTTAAGATAGATTCCAATCAATGCACCCATTCAGTCAAGAGTAAGAGTGTTTTTAAGATTCTTTAGATATATAGATGAGAGAGAGAAAATGAGAGAAAGAACAAGAGGAAAGAAGGAAAGAAACGTGTGTGTTTGTATGTATACATACATGTCAAAATTAATTTACATATAATCTGTACCAGTTTACACCCCCAACAAGATGTATTACTTAGAGAAAGTCACCCATATTCTCTGTGTCTCAGATTTTTCATCTATCCAGTGAAAATTTGTTTACAAGAATGTTAGAAGCATCAAATAAAATCCTTGTTACAGTGGAGCTATAACAAGTTTTTAAAGTTCTGTAGACATATAGGGTATTGTTATTTCCATTTATTTTGTCCAATTATGATCAATATGCATTTAGTGAGCATCTACTTCCTGCAGAGAACTATGAGTGGCACAAAAATAAAGCAAAAATTAATTAAAAATTAATTCATTGACAAGATGGTAAGCTACTTGGAGACAGAAACCATATCTCATAGAGGATATAAGAAAAGCATTATAGTACAAAAGAATATGATAGCTGTTACAACAGATGTTACAAACACAATCATTTGGATTCACAGAAGATGAGGAGATTAATTTCAGCCAGGGAAATGAGAAAGACTTCCCAAAAGAGGTAGTATTTAGGGTAGGAGTGGAAATTTGATGGAGGTTGTCATGTTGGGTTGTCACGTTTCATTAAGAAGAACATTTCTGTAAAGAGCTAATTCTTATGTTTATTCTATTTTTTATTCCATTTCTGATTGGTTTTTCTTATTCTTATCTTTTCCCAAGGTTAAGATTTTATTTACCTAACTATAAAGTTAGGATTATCATGCCATACCTGGAGTGGTTAAAGATACCTCCTGATGATCAAATACTCAGAATACAGAGACTTCGTTGTGCCTTCCCCAGCAAGTGGACCCTAGGTTTTTATGCAATTGAAAAGGCCCATTTTTATAGTTTGATCTCATCCACCATATAAGGAACTGTCGAAATTATTGGCTCAGACTGATCAGATATGTTTTCATTTGTTGTGACCCTAGTCTTATTACTGTCATAATCAAAATATATCTGTTCTTCAATAATATTGACATTGTCTTGGGAAATAATTATCTATGGGTCTCACACATTTCTGTATCGCTTGCAAGCAGAGACAATGATTATTTTCAAAGATTTTTGTATAGCAAAGAGCCATGAAAGATGAGATAGTGTCTCTCTCTAGGACAAAGGGCAAATTTGCTTATTGTTCAGTAAAATATAAGTTTCCCTCCCACTCTGCTCCTGTAGATAAGGTCCCCTAGCCAAACAATCTTCCGTATTGAGGGGATAAGACACACAGTTTTTGCTTATCCCTGAGTGATTGGTTTCAGTTTCCTGCTATCTTTCAGAATTATTGAAACAAGTCAATCACATCCCCCACGAGAACTGGGGGGCACCTTATCCTCTTGATACTACAAAGCTTACCTTCTAAAGCCTCTGGCTGTTAACTCTATTCCCACATGTCATCCCATGTGGCCCTGCATGTCATGTGGTGTCCTTCTCCACTAGGCTGTGAGTATATATGACTAACGAACTGTGGTGGACCTTACCTGTCCAGTGTTGAGTGTTAAGTGTTTGGTCATCTTCGTAACCCTGGAGCAGGAATCCGCCTTTATCAATGGGTTAAACAGGAGGTGGTCAAGACATCCAGAATAATAAAGATAATGTTTCCTTTTAGAGTAAATGTTGAGCATATTTATATGCAGCCAGTTTTAAAAGATTTGGTTCCCTACGTTCAGGATCCCTGGGCTGTGATGCCACTGTGTTCACAGCCTCTATCTAGCCCCCTCTGCATCACCCTGTGGGAGTTAGAGGGGAAGGGCAAGGGGTGCTGACATGAACACAAAGCTCCTGCTGTTTGCTGTGCAATGAGTAATGAAATCCTTTGCCTCTGACCCAGAAGTTTCATATTTTCTCCGAGCATCCATAAAACTGGCATGCAAGTAGAGTAAAATCTCAGACCCTTCATAGTTCTTGACAAATTGTACAGCCTGATAAAATTACCTTGCAATTTTCTTGAGTGTCTCTTCTTTATTAATCAACCAATGTGTAAGTGCATTTTGCAGTGATTCTGAGTGGTGTTTGGTCTGTTTCAGTTTAAGTTAAAGCCTTTGGTCAATCTGGTTCACTGATATTACAAGTGTTCTTTCTTATGGATTATTAAGACCCACAATATTGACATCCACTCGTTTAAAAATATCATTGCTACCACTGGGACACCAATGAATGAACGAATGGATGAATGAATGAACAAGTCACTGAAATCATTGAATCGTTGACTGTTTCCTGTAGTAAAAGAGTCTTAATTAAATAAAGATGGAATTTTGGGGAATGTACACAGGAGTTCTTATTATTCAAATGTTCATTATCAAAGTCTACACAGTATGTTCCTGCAGAGAGCAAAAGTTTCCATGACATATAAAGTGTTTATTAATGAACTAGCCATAGTAAAATTACAGCCCATTTAAACATTCCTCTTTGACTAACACTAGTGTCTATCCCTTGCCATTGCAGCAATGATCTTTTCTTCCTGTAAATATCCAACATCGTGCAGTGAAAATTTGCAAAGTGAAACTGAAAATTTTGTAAAAGATGCAGAAGTATAAAGAAGATAAAAGATGTTGGAGAACTGCTCAAATAACTTACAAAGTCAATGACAAATGATCCCTCGGCAAAGTTAGATAAGTTAACAATTGAAGAAGAGAAAATGAACAAGGATGATGACAGCACTGACATTTCAAAAGAGGACTATTTGAATAATAAAAGCTTAAGAAAGGTCCTTGGAAAAAATGATGCAGCTCTCAAACATTTTTGTAAAAATGACCCTCTAATAAAAGTCAAAAGTGAAGTGAAGGATATTGTTACCATGCTATCACATAAGTTTGCCAGAGAATTATACCCTTAAAAACAACAATTCATTCTTCGTTTTAAGAATTAGAAAATAGCTGAATTAGAACCTATATCAAATGTAAGATAAAATCTCTTTTCATAATTGTTTCACTTTTGAACTAAAATCTCAACCAAATCTTTTATTTTTTCACTGTTTATTATGAAACACTCCCTGTTTCACATACATTCTCTTTAAGTGTCTTTTTTCAGTACTAGTTTGTCCTGCATAATGAGGACTCCCTGTGATTACTTTGCTATATCAGGCTTCCTTTAATCCTGGAGTATATATTCCACTAGCACAGTAATTCCTAAGGGTGGTATTCATACCACTGATAGTACACTAAATGATTTTAAGTAATTTGCAGATAGTCTTTTTTATTTTAATACTTATGCATTTATTTTAATATGTATTACCAAAAATATAATGTATTAATTAACCCAACTTCTCACAAACTATTATGGCTTAAGACAAAGTTAAATTTTAAAAGGCTAATAGATTTAAAATAAAAAATAAAATGTTAATTATCTTTTTTATGCAAATGGTAGGCATATGTGGCAAAAGTTATAACTCATAAATGACTCCAGTTTAGGAAGCACTGCACTAGCATAAAGGTACCAGGCACAAATCTCAAGCACTTTCAAAAGATGACATTTGGTGGCCAAGAATGTGTTCAGCAGGACAACAAAGCCTCACATTAGTGATAGGACAGGCCCCTTCACATCATAATTGTGGAACAAGTCCCTACTATTCAGATACACTTAAAATTCTCCAGGAACAATTAGTTTAAAATAATTAGGGACAAGTTTTGTCATCCCCCATCTCCTCCCTCTATGTGTCACTGCATCTTCCTCTACTTTCTGAACACCCTACCTGTCATCCATTTTTACCAATTTTTTTTTTTTTTGAGACGGAGTTTCGCTCTTGTTGCCCAGGCTGGAGTGCAATGGCGCGATCTTGGCTCACTGCAACCTCTGCCTCCCAGGTTCAAGCAATTCTCCTGCCTCAGCCTTCCCGAGTAGCTGGGATTATAGGCATGCGCCACCACACCCGGATAATTTTGTATTTTTAGTAGACACGGGGTTTCTCCATGTTGATCAGGCTGGTCTCGAACTCTTGACCTCAGGTGATCTGCCCACTTCAGCCTCTCAGAGTGCTGGGATTACAGGCGTGAGCCACCGCGCCCGGCCTATTTTTACCAATTGTTACCTGAAGGCTTGGCCCTATCCCACTTTCTATAGTAATCCAGGCTGGAGGCCAGAGTACTTCAAAAGCCTCAACATTGACCACCTCCAACACCAGGGAAGCATAATCCATTTCCCTTTCAGTGAAAGCATATGTGTGTGCACACACATTTGTGTGTGCGTTTGTGTGTGTGTGTTGTGGAGGGTATTATGGAGGTAATCATAGTAATGGCCTTCTATTTGTTGTCTCAATTCAAATATCTTTTTTAGTAAATAGTTTTTATTTTAATTGATGGAAGAAAGGGAAGCAGCATCTCAAACAGATATTCGTACACCCATGTTCATGTTCATGTTCATGGCAGTATTATTCACAATACTCAAAAAGCGGAAACAATCCAAATGTTCACTGATAAATGAATGGACTAAAAAATGTGCTGTACACATACAGGGAAATGGTATTCAGCCTTTAAAAAGACAGAAAGTCTGACACATGCTACAACATGAATGAACCTTGAAGACATTATGCTAAATGAAATGCAGTTGTCAGGGACTGAGGGAAGGCGAGAATGGGGAGTTACTGTTTAATGGGTACAGTTTTATCTTGTGAAGATGAACAATTTCTGGAGATGGATTGCGGTGATGATCGCACAACAGAGTGAGTGTATAAAATGATTCTGAACTATACACCTAAAATGGTTAAAATTGTTATGTTACATATATTTTGCCACAGTGATGAATAAATAAGAAGGAGAAAGAGAAGAAGAGGGAGAGTGAGGGAGGGAGAGGAGGAGAAGAAGGAGAAAAAAAGAAGAAAGTTGATTTACACTGGAGAACTCACAGGACCAGGACATACAGATACCAGAGTCCTCAGAAAACTAGGGTGAGACATGGGGCTAATATAGGGTGATAAGTTGTTGAAAGTCCATATATAAAGTGGTTGAATGACCACCAGAGATTCCAGGCAATTCACCCACAAACAAAGGTTTACTCTGTGGAGAAACTGAACCAAAACAGACCTAGGGTAAGGCAGGAATAGATGTGGAGTTGGAAACAGGTGGATAAAGTGAAAGTCTACACACTAAATGTGGAACCCCTCAACTCCTGTCCCCTCTCCCCTGCTCCCAGAATGCAAGACACCAAACATCTGCTCCCAAGAAGATTAATTTTCCTCTTGAGAAATGGAATGGCCTATAGAATACAGCCTTCAGATTTTGGCATTTCGGAATCACTCAATAATAACATCAGCATACCAAAAGATTAAAGAAGGAAACAATAAAAGGAAACAGGGAGAAATAGAGATAATGCAAGTAAAAGACTTTTTATCTTTATCATTATTTTTTCAATCAATAATATATTTATATGGTTCAAGGTCAAATAAATATAAATAGGGACACAAGATTGGTCTCATTCCTATCCCTTCTTCCTCATCCACCTTCTTTCCACCCCCCACTCCCCTACAGGTAATCATTTTATGAGTTTATTTTTGCCATTTTAATATTTATTTATGTAAATACAGGAAAATATGAATATATATTTATTTTCCTTTATATTACAAAAGATAGTATACTATATATTGGTTTTCATCTTAAAAATTTTTTTCACTAAAAAGCTATCCTGGTGATGTCTCCATATCGTACGTAATAGTCTTCATTTTTGTTGTTGTTTTAATTTTGGCTTTTTTGCTTTTAGGTTTTTGTTTGATTTTTGTTTGTTTTTTGCCTGACAGGGCACACTATGTATGCATGTCATGGTACATATGTAATTTTGTACATATCTATCCATAGGATATCTCTGGATAGATTCCTCAAAATTGAACTGTTACGTCAAAGGGAAAATAGATCTGTAATTATGGTATATATTCCCAGATTCCACTTCATAGTAGTTGTACACTTTTTCCCCAAGGCCTTATAAGTAGAGTATAAATTTTGGATTTTTTCCAAGGTGGTACATAAGAATTGGTATTTCACAGAAGTTTTAATTTGAGTGTTTCTTATTGTGAATGAGGTTGGGCATCTTTTCATATTTTTAAGAGATCTTTCCCTTTCTTTAAATTGTTAATGTCCCATGTCGATTTTTCTATTGGGTTGTTGGCCTTTTTCTTGACATTTTCTATGAGAGAGCAGCTCTTTGTGACACAAATTGCAAATATTTTATCAGTTTGTCTTTCTTTTTTTGCATTGCTTATGTTGCTTTTTGTCACAAAGACTTTTTTAAAATGTAGTCAAATGCCCTAATCTTTTTCCTTAATGGCTTCTGGATTTTGAATCATAGTTAAAAAGGCCTTCTCCCACTCTAAGACTGTAGAGGAATTGACCTATGTTTTCTTCCAGTTCTTTTGTGGCTTAATTTCTCTTTAAATTTACAACATCAATCTACTTAGAGTTTAGCCTGGTATATGGCATGAGATGTGGATCCAACTTTATCTTTTTCCAGTACCAATTTTTTTTTTTTTTGAGACGGAGTTTCACTCTTGTTGCCCAGGCTGGAGTGCAATGGCACGATCTTGGCTCACTACAACCTCCGCCTCCTGGGTTCAAGCGATTCTCCTGCCTTAGCCTCCTGAGTAGCTGGGACTACAGGTGCACGCGACCACGCCCGGCTAATTTTGGAATTTTTAGTAGAGACGGAGTTTCTCCATATTGGTCAGGCTGGTCTCTATCTCCTGACCTCAGGTGATCCACCCGCCTTGGCCTACCAAAGTGCTGGGATTACAGGCGTGAGCCACCGTGCCCCGCCTCCAGTATCATTTATCAAAAATTCCTTTTTACCACATTGATTTGAAATGCCCTATACTAAATTCCCATATCTATTTACGTCTATTTCAGGACTTTCTGTCCTGTTCCCCCGTCTCTTCATTCACCAGTACCATACTCTTAACTTTTGAGGCTTTACATTTTAATATATTATTTTTCATTTTTAATATATGATTTTTCAATTGCAAAGATTCCTGGCTATTTTTGCTTGCTTATTTTCCATATGAGCTTTAGAATTTCCTTTCAGAAAAGAAAAGATGGTAGTTTATTGGAAGTGCATTAAATTTATAAATTAATTTAGAGAAAACTAACATCTTTATAACGTGAGTCTTCCCTACTCAAGAATAGAGTACATCTTTCCATCTGTTCAAGTATACTTTTGTCTTTCAGTAGTGTTTTCCTCAGATTTTTTGCACATTTCTTCCTAAATGTTTTATCTTTTTTTTGTGGCTATTGCAAATAAGGTCTTCTCTTTCATTGTACCATCTAATAGATTGTTTATACGTGGTAAAAAATATTGATTCTTGTACATTAACTTTATATTCTACCATCCTACTGAATTATCTCTCACTCTCTCTCAATATACAAATGTGTGTGTATATTGGTGGGGGCAGAGAGAGAAAGAAAGATAATTTTTCAAAAAGAGTCTTTTTAAAAGCTATAATTAATATCTTCCGAGAGTTAAGAAATTATTGAATCCATAAAACAAGAGCAAGAGTTTATGGAAAAGGGACAAAGAACAAGAACACACTTTTTTTCAGATAAAAACACGTTTTCTTTTTGTAATGCCACATCATCTATCTGCTCATGTGTGCAAATCTATATATTATATATTTTTGTGAAATAATACATGTTGAGTTTCGCTATAGAAGAGGTAGAAAACTAGCTTAGAAAACTAATTCTAGGCCTGCTTCTGTTATTTATTACCTTTGTCATATTAGGCAAATGAATTATCACCTTTGGATCTTGTTCCCCCAACTGTAAAGTTGTACTCAATTATCTAATTCTATATGGTCTTTCTAAGGTCAATAAATCTATGAATAAATTAATCAGTAAATGATTTGTTTCTTTTAATTTTCATATGATTTTTCTCACTGAGAGTTGTAACAAGTTTGTGACAATAACCTGCTACTTTCACTATAATTTAAACACAGCCAGAGGTTTGAGGATGTTTTTGGCCTTTGAAGTTTGTGAACTGGAAACCGTTACAGAGTGTTTTGAATTCTCTACAACCTGCAATCCTACTCAACAGTATAGGCCACTTATAGTTTCACTTCTTTTTAAAATTTATTTTTATTGTATACATTTAAGGTGTACAACATGATGTTTTGATATATACATACACGTAATGAAATGATTACTACAAGTAATTGAGTTAACATATCCATCACCTTCCTTAGTTACCTCTTTTTTTGTGTTTGTGGTAAGAGCACCTAAAATCTACTCTCTTAGCAAATTTTTAATAAATAATACAATATTATTAACTATAGTCCTCCGGCTGTACATTAGATCTCTAGATTTATATATCCTACATAACTTCAAGTTTGTACCCTTTGAACTACATCTTCCCATTTCCTCACCCTTCCAGCCCCTGGTAACCACAGTCCTAGTCTCTGTTTCAATGTATTTGACTTTTTAAAAATATTTTACATACAAGTGAGATCATGTAGTATTTTTATTTGTGTGTCTGGCTTATTTTACTTAGTTTAATGTCTTTCAGTTTCATCCATATTGTTGCAAATGATAGCCTCTCCTTCCTTTTGTTTTTTTTTTTTAATTTCAGCTTTTATTTTAGATACAAGTGCGTACATGTGTAGGATTGTTACATGGGTATATCAGACCCAGGTAGTGAGCGTAGTACCCAATAGCTAATTTTTCAACCCATTCTCCCTTCCCTCCCTGCCCCCTGTAGTAGTCTGAAGTGTCTGTTGTTCCCATGTTTATGTCCATGTGAGCTCAATGTTTAGCTCCCACTTACAGGTAAGAACATGTGGTATTTGGTTTTCTGTTCCTGCCTTAATTCACTTAGGATTATGGCCTCCAGCTCCACCTATGTTGCTACAAAGAACATGATTTCATTCTTTTTATGGCTGCATATTATTCCATAGTGAATATGTACCACATTCTCTTTATCCAGTCCACCATTGATAAGCATCTAGGCTGATTCCATGTCTTTGTTATTTTGAATAGTGCAGCAACTAACATATAAGTGCATGTGTCTTTTTGCTAGAACAGTGTACTTTCCTTTGGGTATATACCTAGAAATGGGATTGCCGCATCAAATGATAGTTCTGTTTTCAATCCTTTAAGAAATCTCTAAACTGATTACCTCAGTGGCTGAACTAATTTACATTCCCTCCAACAGTGTATAAGCATTCCCTTTTCTCCACTGTCTTGCCAGCATCTGTTGTTTTTGACGTTTTAGTAATAGCCATTCTGACTGGTGTAATATGGTATCTCATTGTAGTTTTGATTTGCATTTCTCTGATGATTAATGATCATAAAAATGTTCTCACATTTCTTGGCCACTTGTATGTCTTCTTTTGAAAAATGTCTCTTCATATCCTTTGTCCATTTTTAATGGGGTTGTTTGTTTTTTGCTTGTTGATTTATTTAAGTCCTTATAGATTCTGTATATCAGACCTTTGTCAGATGCATAGTTTGTGAATATCTTCTCCCATTCTGTAAGTCGTCTATTTACTCTGTTGATGGTTTCTTTTGCCGCACAGAAGCTCTTTAGTTTAATTAGATCCCACTTGTTAACTTATGTTTCTGTTACAATTGCTTTTGGGGACCTAGCCAAAAATTCTTCGCCAAAACTGATATTAAGATGGGTATTTTCTAGGTTTTCTTTTAGGATTTCTATAGTTTGAGGTCTCATATTTAAATATTTAATTCATCTTGAGTCACTTTTTGTATAAGGTGAAAGTTAAGGGTCCAGTTTCATTCTTCCGCATGAATGAATGGGTAGCCAGTTATCTCGACACCATTTATTGAATAGGGAGTCCATCCTCTATCGCTTGTTTTGTTGGCCTTATCAAAGATCCAATGATTGCAGGTGTGCGGCTTTATTTCTGAGTTTTCTATTCTGTTCCATTGGTCTATGTGTCTGTTTTTATACCAGTACCATGCTATTTTGGTTACTGTGGCCTTACTATAGTTTGAAGTCATGTAGGGTGACAGTATCTCCTTCCTTTTCCATTCATCCACTGATGGAAACTTAGGTTGTTTCCGTATCTTAGTTATTGTGAATAATGCTACAATAGGCATGAGAGTGCAGATATCTCTACAAGGTGCTGATTTCATTTTCTTTAGTATATACCTAGCAAAGGAATTGCTGGGTCACATAATAGTTCCATTTTTAATCTTTTTGAGAACTTCCATACTGTTTTTTATAATGGCTGTACCAATTTACCCTCCTACCAACAGTGTGCGAGGGTTCCCTTTTTCCACACCCTTGCCAACACTCATTATGTCTTGTCTTTTGGATAACAGTCAACCTAAACAAGACAGTATGGTACTGGCATAAAGACAGACATGTAGACCGACATAATAGAAAAGAAAGCCCAGAAATCAATCCACACACATATATAGTCAAGGGATCTTCCACAAGGGTACCAAGACTACACAATGGGGAAAGGACAGTCTCTTCAATAAAGGTGTTAAGAAAACTGGGTATCCACATAAAAGAATGAAACTGGACCCTATCTTATGTCATACACAAAAATCAATGCAAAATGGAATCAATTCAAAAAAGCACATGTACTCACATGTTCATCGCTGCACTATCCACCACAGCAAACCACACTAAAGACCTAAGCGTAAGACTTGAAACCATAAAACTTATAAAATAAAACATAAGAACAAGCTCTTTGACATTGGCCTTAGCAAAGTTTTTTTTTTATGACACCAAAAGCTCAACAACTAAAGCAAAAACAAACAAATGGGACTACATCAAACTAAAAAGCTTCTGCAAAGGAAGCAAGCAATAAAAAGCCTATGGATTGGGAGAAAATACTTGCAAATCATATATCTGATAGGGAGTTAATTTCCAAAATTAACCAAGAAACTCACATAATAGGAAAAAATCATAACTTATTAAAAGATGGGCAAAGGACCAGAATAGACATTTCTCCAAAAAAGACAATAGGTATTTTTGAAAAATGTTCAACATCACTAATCATCAGGGAAATGTAAATCAAAACCACAATGGGATATCTTCTCACACAGTATCATCTCTTTACGCTTCTAATATACTTTGGATATTTGTCTCTGCCCAAATCTCATGTTGAAATGTAATCCCCAATGTTGGAGGTGGGGTCTGGTAGGAGGTATTTGGGTCATGGAGGCTGATCCCTTCCTCATGGTCTGCCGTTGTTCTCACAATAGTCAGTGAATTCTTACAAGATCTGGTTGTCGTAAAATGTGACACCACCCCCAACCCTCTCTCTCTCTTACTCCTGCTTTCACCAAGTGACCTTATTTTTCCCCCTTCGGATTCTGCCATGAGTAAAAGCTCCCTCAGGCATCCCCAGAAGCTGAGCAGATGCCTCACCGTGCTTCCTGTACAGTCTGCAGAACCATGAGCCAATAAAGTGTCTTTTCTTTATGCATTACCCAGTCTCCAGTATTTCTTTCTAGCAATGCAAGAACAGCCTCATACAGCTTCCTAAAATGAGATAATTTAAGACATAATTATACCTTAAGCATGATTACCACAGGTTAAAACGTGGAAGAGAGGTCAGATTTTTGTTTTGGAATGCAATCAGAAATATTTATTTTAGAAAATAGTTTTAGCAGTTATACAACATTATGATTTTATTTATCCAAGATGCATTAAAATAATCTTTTTCTTAGTCCTCCTTCCCCATTTTGATTCTAAATCAGACTTACTTATCATGATGACAACTAATATTTATTAAATGTGTATATGTACCAGGCACTAGTCTAAGTAATCTCCATGCAATATTTTTTTGCTTTTATATCAACCCTACAAAGCACAAAATTTTTCTTTAATCTCTATTTCACAGAAACGATAGCAGAGATTTAGAAAGCTAAAGTGATTTGCTCAAAGTCATACAGCTAGTAAAATATAGGCATATAAACTTGTCAGTCTGTCTCTAAAGCCCATGCTCTGAACCACTACGTTTAATTTCCTTTAAAAGAAAAAAGGAAATGAAAAAAAATGTACCTTAAGCGGTACAGCCTGATGAATCAGACTTCCTCAACTTTTAAGTCATTTCATAATGTCCAGATTCACAATCATGACCCGTTACAGACAATAAAAAGTGTGATGTTGGGAACAAAAAGGTAATGGGATATTTTTCTTAACATAAGGCATGAAACTTGAACTACAATAATGTTATCCAGAATTGAGTGAAATTCTTGTGGCAAATGGGTTAGAATTTGGATTCGTTTTAATTTCAGAAACATAATAAAGTATGCATAATATTTACTATATAGCACCATAATGTTTCATCAGCATAAATTGTGAATATTCACATTAAGTGGCATAAACAAAGACTCTAAATAGCATTGTGTTGGTTCAGGTCAGGATTTACAATAAAATTAGTTATAAAGGAGTTTTCCTTTATAGAGCTCTATATATTTTGGAATTGTGGATAAGAACTCATGGACCTACACTTCTCTAATTTTTTTTCTTTTTTAAAAATTTTAATGTATTGTGGTAAGAGTACTTGCCAAGAGATCTACCCTCTTAACAAGTTTTAGTTGTACAATACAGTTTGTTAACTATGGGGACAATGTTGTACAGATCTCTAGAACTTACTCATCTTGCATAATTGAAACTTTATGTCCATTTGACTATTTTTGATACATCATATAAGTGGAATTATGCAGTTTTTTCCTCCTGTAACTGGCTTATTTCACTTGGCATGTTTTCAAAGCTTTCTCCATTTTGTCACATAAGGCAGAATTTTCTTCTTTTTATAAGGCTGAATAATATTCTATTGTATGTATATAGCACATTTTCTTTATCCATTCATGTCAATGGACATAAGATTGTTTCCACATCTTGGACATTGTGAGTAATGCTGCAGTAAACATTGAAGTGCTAATATCTCTTCAAGATCCTAATTTCAATTCTTCTGGAAAAATACCCAGAGGTAGGATTGCTAGATTATACAGTACAATTTTTTTTAGGCACCTCCATACTGCACAAAGCTTCCAATTTCTCGATCTTTGCCAACACTTTTCTTTTTGTTTTTTTTGTTTGTTTGTTTGTTTCAGTTTTTCTGTTTTTATAATAGCCATCCTAACAGATGTGAGGTGATAGTTCATTGTGATTTTTAGTTGCATTTCCCTGATGATTAGTGGCATTGAGCACATTTTCATATACCTGTTGACCATTTGTTTGTCTTCTTTGGGGAAATTTATATTCAAGTATTTAGCCCATTAAAAGCTTTTTAAATTATTATGGATACATAATACTTGTACATATTTA
The DNA here is from genome assembly GCF_000001405.40 of Homo sapiens. Taxonomy (NCBI): domain Eukaryota; kingdom Metazoa; phylum Chordata; class Mammalia; order Primates; family Hominidae; genus Homo; species Homo sapiens. The sequence goes on from NC_000023.11 coordinate 100,529,808, forward strand.
GGGTTCATGTGTTATTTTGATACAAGCATATAATGTGTGATGATCAAACCAGGGTAACTGGGATATCCATCACACCCCAAGCATTTATCATTTATTTGTGTTAGGAACCTGCCAATTCCACTCCTTTGATTATTTTGAAATCTACAATAAATTATTTTTAACCTTGTCACCCTATTGTGCTACCAAACACTAGGTCTTATTCCTTCTAACTGTATTTTTGTACCCATCCACCATCTCCTCTTTCCCCCATACCCCTACGCCACCCCCACTATTCTTTTCAGCCTCTGATAACCATCAATATATTCTCTATCTCCATGAGTTCATTTTTTTATCTCCCACATATGAATGAGAACATATAATAATTATCTTTCTGTGCCTGGTTTATTTCACGTAACATAAGGTCCTCCAGTTCCAACCATGCTGTTGCAAATGACAAGATTTCATTCTTTTTTGCTTAATAATATTCCATTGTGCATATGTACCACATTTTCTTTATCCATAAATTCATCGATAGTCACTTAGGTAGATTCTACATCTTGGCTTATTAGTTTTGGGGTGTGTTTTTTGTTATTGCGTTATAGAAGTTCCTTATATATTTTGGAAATTAATCCCTTATCAAATATGTGGTTTGCAAATTATTTCTCCCATTTCTAGTTTTCCTTTTTCACTCTATCAAGTTTTTTTCCTCTGCCGTGCAGAAGCTTTTTACTTTGACCTGGGCTCACTTGTCTATTTTTGCTTTTGTTGCATATGTTTTTGGTGTAGTACCCATGAAATCATTGCCAAGACCAGTATCAAGAAGTCTTTTCCCTATGTTTTCTTCTAGGAGTTTTACAGTTTCTGGTATTATGTTTAAGTCTTCAATCCATTTTGAGTTGATTTTTGTGTATGGTGTAAAACAAGGGTCCAATTTCATTCTTTTTTATGTGCATATCCACTCTTCCCAGCACCATTTGTTGAATCTTTTTCCCATTGTGCATTCCTGGAATGCTTGTTGAAGATCTGTTGACTTTATACAGGTAGATTTATTTCTTGGCTCTCTTTCCTGTCCCGTTAATCTGTATGTCTGTCTTTATGCCAGTATCAAATTATTTCATTTACTGAAGCTTTGTAACATATTTTGAAATCAGAAAATGTGATGGCTGCAACTTTGTTCTCCTTTTTGAAGATTATTTTGGTTATTTGGATCTTTTATGGCTCCATATGAATTTTAATATTATTTTTTCTGTTTCTATAAAAAGACTGCCATGAGAATTCTGATAGGAATTATATTGAATCTGTGGATCAGCTTGGGTAGTATGACATTTTAACAGTATTAAATTTTAATAAGATTGTTTTCCTAACTTCCTTTTTAGATAGTTCCTTGTGTGTTTTTTTCTTCAACTTTTATTTTAAGTTCCAGGGTACATGTGCAGGATGTGCAGGTTTGTTACATAAGTAAAGGTGTGCCATGGTGGATTGCTTCACAGATCAACTTATCACCTAGGTATTAAGCCCAGTATCCATTAGCTATTCTTGATGCTCTCCCTCCCGCTACCCCTCCAACAGGCCCCAGTGTATTTTGTTCCCCTCCATCTGTCCAAGTGTTCTTACTGTTCAGCTCCCACTTATAAGTGAGAACACGCAGTATTTGGTTTTCTGTTCCTGTGTAGTTTGCTGAGGATAATGGCTTCCAGCTCCATCCATGTCCCTGCAAAGGACCTAATCTTGTTCCTTTTTATGGGTGCATAGTATTCCATGGTGTATCTTTTTAGATAGTTCATTGTTAGTGCATGCAAATTCAACTGTGTTTTTTATGTTAATTTTGTAACCTGTAACTTTGCTGAATTAGTTTATTAGTTATAACAGTATTCTGGAGTGTGGAATGTGTAGGGTTTTCTACATGTAATAACCTGTAATCTGCAAACAGGGACAGTTTTACTTCTTACTTTCTGATTTAGATGTATTTTATTTCTTTTTCTTGCCCAATTGCACTGGCTACGACTTCCAGTACTATGTTAAATAAAACTGGCAAGAGTATTCATCCACTTGACATGTTCCTGATCTTAGAAGAAAAGCTTTCAGTTTTTCACTGTTGAATTTGTTATTAGTTGTAGATTTTCGTATATGGCCTCTATTATGTTCAGGTAACTTCTTTCTATTCATAGTTTGTTAAGAGTTTTTATCATAAAAAGGTGTTAAATTTTGTCAAATACTTTTTCTGCATCTATTGAGATAACCATGTGATTATATTCATTATGTTAATGTAGTGTATTACAGTCATTGGTTTGTGTATGTTGAACCATCCCTGCATCCCAGTGATAAATCCCATTAGGTAATGGTGTATGATTCTTTTAATATGCTGTTGAATTCAGCTTGCTAGTATGTTGTCAACGATTTTTGGGTCTACACTCTTCAGTAATATTTGCTAGTAGTTTTCTTTTCTTATGGTGTCTTTGTCTGACTTTGGTATTAGGGTAATGTTGGCCTCATAAAATGAGTTTGGAAGTGTTCTCTCTTTAATTTTTTGAAGAGTTTGAGAAGAATTGGCATTAATTCTTCCTTAAATGTTTGGCAGAATTTATCAGTGAAGCCACCTGGTTCTGGGCTTTTCTTTGTTGAGAGGTTTTTTATTACTGATTCAATCTCCTTACTAGTTATAGGTCTGTTCAGACGTTCTATTTCTTCAGGATTCAATCTTGATAAATTGTATGTTTTTAGGAAATTATCCATTTCTTCTAGGTTATCCATTTCCCCTAGTTTGTTGACATATAATTGTCCATAGTAGCATCCCATGATCCTTTTTATTTCTGTAGCATTAGTTACAATATCTCCTCTTTCATTTATGAATCTATTGGTTTGAGTATTTTCTCTTTTTTCCTTACCTCCATACCAAAAAAAATTTGGTATAATTTCAATCTTAAGTTTATTAAGTCGTGTTTAGTGACCTATCATGTGATCCATCCTAGAGAATGTTCCATGTGTGCTTGAGAACTTAGTGTGCTCCTTACTTAGTCTAGCTAAATGTTTATCAAATTTTATTGTTTCAAAAAACCAATTCTTAGTTTTATTTTTTTCTAGTTTTTATATGTTCTATTTTTTTCTTCTCAAATGATTATCATTTTCTTCATTTTCTTCTTTCTGCCAACTTTGGGCTTAGTTGTTCATCTTTTTCTATTTCTTAAGGTGTATAGTTCGATTATTCATTTGAGATCTTCCTTGTTTTTAAAAATGAGTGTTAAGCACCTGTAGTTCCAGCTACTTGGAAGGCTGAGGCAGGAGGATTGCTTGAACACAGTAGTTAAAGGCTGCAGTGAGCTACAATCACACCACTCCATTCCAACATGCAGAGTGACAGAGTGAGACCCTGTTTAAAAAAATGTTAAAAACAGGCATTTGTCACTACAAACTTCCCTCTTAGGACTGCTTTTCCTGCATCACATGGTTTTGGAATGTTGCATTTTCACATTTATTTGTCTTACTCCCTAATTTCCTTATTGAATTCTTCCTTGACTCGTTGGTGTTCAAAGGTGTGTTGTTTAATTTCCACATACTTGTGAATTTTAGTTTTCCTTTTGTTATTAATTTCTAGTTTCATTGTGTTTTGGTCAGAAAAAATATTTGGTATGGTTTCAATCTTAAGTTTATTGGGTCCTGTTTTGTGATCTATCATGTGATCCATCCTAAAGAATGTTCCATGTGTGCTTGAGAAGAATGTATCTTCTCCTGATGTTGGGTGAAATGTTCTGCATATGTTTGTTAGGTTTGTTTCACCTACAGTGTTGTTCAAGTCTGCTGTTTCCTTATTGATTTTCTGTCTGAATGTTCTATCCATTATTGAAAGTGGGGTATTGAAGTCTCTTATTATTATTGTATTGCTGTCTATTTCTCCCTTCAGTTCTGCCAATGTTTGCCTTATATATTTAGGTGCTCTGATACTGGGTGCATATATATGTATAATTGTTATGTAATTTTCATAACTTCCTGGAGAATTGACCCTTTTAACATTACGTAATGTCCTTCTTTGTTTCTTGTGACTGTTTTTGACTTTAACTCTATTTCGTCTCATGTAAATATAGCAAACCTCTGCTTTCTTTCGGTTGTCATTGACATAGATTATCTTTTTTTTAATTCCTTCACTCTCAGCTTATGTGTATCCTTAAATTAAAAGTGAGTTTCCAATAAGATACCATCTCATGCCAGTTGGAATGGCGATCACTAAAAAGTCAGGAAACAGATGCTGGAGAGGATGTGGAGAAATAGGAATGCTTTTACACTGTTAATGGGAGTGTAAATTAGTTCAACCATTGTGGAAGACAGTCTGGTGATTCCTCAAGGATCTGGAACTAGAAATACCATTTGACCCAGCAATCCCATTACTGGGTATATACCCAAAGGATTATAAATCATGCTACTATAAAGACACATGCACACGTATGTTTATTGCGGCACTATTCACAATAGCAAAGACTTGGAACCAACCCAACTGCCCATCAATGATAGACTGCATAAAGAAAATGTGGCACATATACACCATGGAATACTATGCAGTCATAAAAAAGGATGAGTGCATGTCCTTTGCAGGGACATGGATGAAGCTGGAAACCATCATTCTCAGCAAACTATCACAAGGGCAGAAAACCAAACACCACATATTCTTACTCATAGGTGGGAATTGAACAATGAGAACACTTGGACAAAGGGCAGGGAACATCACACACTGGGGCCTGTTGGGGGGTGGGGGGCTGGGGGAGGGATAGCATTAGGAGAAATACCTATTGTAAATGACAAGTTGATGGGTGCAGCAAACCAACATGGCACATGTATACCTATGTGAAAATCCTGCACATTGTGCACATGTACCCTAGAACTTAAAGTAGAATAAATAAAAAAAATTAAAAGTGAGTTTGTTGGAGACAGCATATGGTTGAATTTTTGATTTTTATCCATTTAGCCACTCTATATATTTTGATTGGGGGATTTAATTCAGTTACATTTAAAGTAATAATTGATGGGAAAGGATTTACCATTGCCATTTTGTTAATTGTTACCTGTTTGGTAGCTCTTTTCTTCCCATTTTTGCCTCTTGCTGTCTTCTTTTATGTTTCATTGACTTGCATTGTTGTTACTGATATGCTTAGATTCCCTTCTCTTCTTTGTATAATTCCCATAGATATTTTTTGTGTGGTTACCATGGGACTTACATAAAGTATTTCATAACAGTCTATTTTAAGCTGATAACAACTTAATTTCAATCACATACCAAAACTCTGCATTTTTACTCTTTCTACACACACACACACACACACACACACAGAGACACACACACTTTGTTATTACTGTCACAATGTACATTCATTTATATTTTGTATCCTAACATATGTTTAGTTATAGTTACTTTTAATACTTTTATATTTTTGTACTACCATTAAAAGTAACTTTGCCCATCACCATTAAAACAGTAAGTTGTTCTATAGCTGTCTATATATTTACCTATACTAATGAGTTTTATACTTTCTTAAGTTGTCGTGTTACTTTTTAGTGTCCTTTCATTTCAACTGAAAGAACTCCCTTTCTCATTTCTTGTAAGGCAAGACTACTATTGAACTCCTTCAGCTTTTTTTTCTCAGGGAAATTCTTTACCTCCCCTTCATTTTTGAAGAATATTTTGCCAGGTATAGTATTCTCGGTTGACAGTTATTTCTTTTGGCATTTTGAATATGTAATTTCGTCCCCTTCTGGCCAGAAAGGTTTCTGTTGAAAAATCCACTGATATGGGGAAATCCGTTATATAAGACAAGTGGCTTTTCTCTTGTTGCTTCCAATATTCTCGTTGTCTTTTACTTTGATGATTATAATGTATTTTAGTGTGGGCATCTTTGAGTTTATTTTACCTGAAATCTTTTGGGCTTTCTGCATCCGGATGTCTATTTCCTTCCCCAGATTTGGGAAGTGTTCGTCCACTATTTCCTTGAGTGTGCTTTTTCATGATTGTTTGGGGGTTTTGCTCTCTCTTCTCCTTCCAAGACTCCTATTTTGGTTGGCTTAATGGTGTCCCACAAGTCCATTAAGCTTTCTTCATTCTTTTTCATTCTTTTTTCTTTTTGCTCCTCTGACTCAGTAGTTTCCAGTGAGCTGTCCCTGAGTTCACTAATCCTTTCTTCTATTTGATCTAGTCTGTTGTTGAACCCTCTAGTAAGTTCTTCAGTTCGGATATTGCATTGTTCAATTCCATGGTTTTTGTTTGGTACTTTTTAAATATACATTTTCTATTTCATGGTTGAATATGTTGAGAATATTTTTGAAATTCTCACTTTGTTCATGCATTTTTTCTCCTGATCTTGGTGAGCATCTTTATCATGTTATCCATGAAGAATAAAGAATTTTCCATGAGGTAAATTCTATAACTCAAATTTATTAGAGTTATTTTCTGAATATTTACCTGTTCCTTTGTTTAAAACATATTTCTCTGTTTCTTCATTTTCCTTGAATCTATGCCTTGGTGTCTATGCATTATACAAAATATCCACCTCTTTCAGTCTTCACAGATTGGCCTTATGCAGGAGAAGAACCTCAATGATAAGCCCAGTCAGAGATTTGAGGGCCCTTTTCAACCTTCATACTATCCAATCTATGTTCTTTGTTCTTAACAGCCACCAGGCATCTAGCTAGAGTATGCTAATTCTCATTAGCATGTCAAGACAAATTGGTCAAAAGGCAGTTTCTCAGGCAGCCTCCCCAAAACTTGGATCACCAAATGTTCTCTTCAACTTTTTTCCTCCTCAGAGAGAAGATGGGATCTGGGGGTTTTCACCTATTTTTTCTGTACTGAGTCAGGGGTGTGGGGGTGGATGTGGCAACTAGTAGTGTGCTAGATCAAATCACCATCCTTGTTTTCACCAGCCCCCAGGCATCTAGATTATGCCAGGTCCCATCAGAGCTCTGAGATATGCTAGACAGAAGGCAGTCCTCTGGGTAGCCTCCAGAAAAGTTTAGGCATGTGACATGTGGCCCACCTCTTTCCCTCACCAGGGAGAAGCTGAAAGCTGGGGGTTTTGATCGTCTGCTTGCTCTGTGCTGAGCTGGGGGGAAGGACTGTGGGTCGATGGTGACTACCATCCCAAACTGCCATCTCTGTTCTCATTAGCCCCAGATAGCTAGGTCATGCCAGGTCCTGTCAGTGCTCCAAGATGAGAAAAACAGAAGCCAGTCCTCTGAGTAGGACATGGAGAATTTGGGGTATTAGATGTGTAGTGCATCTCTTTCCCTTCCCATAGAGAAGCTGAGCGCTGGAGGTTTTTTCTTAATCATATAGCACTATGACAGAGGTAGGTATTATGGAAACAGGGTTTTATTATTATTATTATTATACTGTAAGTTCTAGGGTACGTGTGCACAACGTGCAGGTTTGATACATAGGTATAATGTGCCATGTTGGTTTGCTGCACCCATCAACTCATGATTTACAATAGGTATTTCTCCTAATGCCCAGCCCCCCACCCCCCAACAGGCCCCAGTGTGTGATGTTCCCCACCCTGTGTCCAGGTGATCTCATTGTTCAATTCCCACCTAAGAGTGAGAACATGCGGTGTTTGGTTTTCTGTTCCTGTGTTAGTTTGCTGAGAATGATGGTTTCCAGCTTCATCCATGTCCCTGCAAAGACATGCACTCATCCTTTTTTATGGCTGCATAGTATTCCATGGTGTATATGTGCCACATTTTCTTTATCCAGTCTATCATTGATGGGCATTTGGGTTGGAACCAAGTCTTTGCTATTGTGAATAGTGCCACAATAAACATACATGTGCATGTGACTTTATAGTAGCAAGATTTATAATCCTTTGGGTATATACCCAGTAAGGGGATTGCTGGGTCAAATGGCAATTCTGGTTCTAGATCCTTGAGGAATCACCAGACTGTCTTCCACAAAGGTTGAACTAATTTACACTTCCACCAACAGTGTAAAAGTGGGAAAGAGCGTGTTTTAAATCTTCTTACTGGCTTTGATATAGGTAGTTTTGTGCTCACCTGGGGTCCAGGAGCTTCTCAACTGTTTCTGCATTTCTCACAAAGGTAAGTTTCCCATGAACTACAGTGTATGTGAAGAGAAGAAAGGTCCAAGGCTTCCTATTATGCCATCTTGCTGATGTCACTAAAGAGTACACTTTTGAAAATTTTTTTAATAGTGATAAATAACATTCATTTTTAGTATCTTTTTTTATACTTTAAGTTCTGGAATACCATGTGCAGAACGTGCAGCTTTGTTACATAGGTATACATGTGTCATGGTGGTTTGCTGCACCTATCAACCTGTCATCTACATTAGGTATTTCTCCTAATGCTATCCCTCCCCTAGCGCCCCACCCCTCAACAGGCCCTGGTGTGTGATGGTCCCCCCACTCCGTGTCTATGTGTTCTCATTGTTCAACTCCCACTTATGAGTGAGAACATGCCGTGTTTGGTTTTCTGTTCCTGTGTTAGTTTGCTGAGAATGATGGTTTCCAGCTTCATCCATGTCCCTGCAAAGGACATGCACTCATCCTTTTTTATAGCTGCATAGTATTCCATGGTGTATATGTGCCACATTTTCTTTATGCAGTCTGTCATTGATGGGCATTTGGGTTGGTACCAAGTATTTGCTACTGTGTATAGTGCTGCAATAAACATACATGTTCATGAGTCTTTATAGTAGAATGATTCCTAATCCTTTGGGTATATACCCAATAATGAAATTGCTGGGTCAAATGGTATTTCTGTTTCTAGATCCTTGAGGAATCACCACACTGTCTTCCACAATGGTTGAACTAATTTACACTCCCACCAACAGTGTAAAAGCGTTCCCATTTCTCTACATCCTCGCCAGCATCTGTTGTTTCCTGACTTTTTAATGATCACCATTCTAACTGGAGTGAGATGGTATCTCTTTGTGGTTTTGATTTGCATTTCTCTAATGACCAGTAATGATAACAGGTAACATGGCTGCCTGTGTAAAAAATTAAAAGAAGGGCAAAAAACCTCCTGTCATGTGACATGATGGCGCCCCTTTGCCTTTGGCAATGATCAAAAGATTTCTGAGGTCCTCACCTAAAGCAGATGACAGCACCATGCTTCCTGTAAAGCTTGCAGAAATGTGAGCTAAATTAAACCTCTTTTCTTTATAAATTAGCCAATCTTAGGTATTTCCTTAAAGCAATTCAAGAACAGACTAATACAATGTGCATGAACAGGAAGGCTTGATATTGTCAAGATGTCACTTCTTCCTAATCTCTTCTATAGATTTAATGCAATCGCAAACAAAATCCTTGCAACTTATTTTATACATATTGACAAACTGATTTTACAGTTTATATGGAGAAGCAAAAGACCCAGAATAGCCAACACTTTTTTTTAACCTTTATTTTAAGTTCAGAGGTACATGTGCAGGTTTGTTACATAGGTAAACTTATGAGGGTTTGTTGTACAGGTTATTTCATCACCCAGCTATTAAGAGGGTATTCATTGGTCATTTTTCTTGATCCTCTCACTCCTTCTCCCACCGTCCAACCTACAATAGGCCCCAGTGTGTGTTGTTTCTTCCCATGTGCCCACGTGTTCTCATTGTTCAGCTCCCACTTATGAGTGAGAACATGCAGTATTTGGTTCTCTGTTCCCGCATTAGTTTGCTAAGGATAATGGCCACCAGCTCCATCAATGTTCCTGCAAAGAACATGATTTTTTTTAATTTAAATTTATTTATTTATTATTATTTTTTAAATTTTACTTTAAGTTCTGGGATACATGTGCAGAATGTGCAGGTTTGTTACATGGGTATACACGTGCCATGGTGGTTTGTTGCACCTACCAACCCATCATCTAGGTTTTACCCCACATGCGTTAGATATTTGTCTTAATGCTCTCCCTCCCCTTGTCCCCCAACCTCCAACAGGCCCCGGTGTGTGATGTTCCCCTCCCTGTGTCCTTGTGTTCTCATTGTTCAACTCCCACTTATGAGTGAGAACATGCCGTGTTTGGTTTTCTGTTCCTGTGTTAGTTTGTTGAGGATGATGGTTTCCAGCTTCATCCATGTCCCTGCAAAGGACATGCACTCATCCTTTTTTATGGCTGCATAGTATTCCATGGTGTATATGTGCCACATTTTCTTTATGCAGCCTATCATTGATGGGCATTTGGGTTGGTTCCAAGTCTTTGCTATTGTAAATAGTGCTGCAATAAACATACATGTGCATGTGTCTTTATAGTAGAATCATTTCTAATCCTTTGGGTACATACCCAGTAATGGGATTACTGGGTCAAATGGTATTTCTGGTTCTAGATCCTTGAGGAATCACCACACTGTCTTCCACAGTGGTCGAACTAATTTCCACTCCCATTAACAGTGTAAAAGCATTCCTATTTCTCCACAGCCTCGCCAGCATCTGTTGTTTCCTGACTTTTTAATGATCACCATTCTAACTGGAGTGAGATGGTATCTCATTGTGGTTTTGATTTGCATTTCTCTAATGACCAGTGATGATGAGCTTTCTTCCATATGTTTGTTGGCCTCGTAAATATCTTCTTTTGAGAAGTGTTTGTTCATATCCTTCGCCCACTTTGTGATTTTTTTTTTCTTTTTGTAAATTTGTATAAGTTCCTTGGAGATTCTGGATATTAGACCTTTATCCGATGGATAGATTGCAAAAATTTTCTCCCATTCTGTAGGTTGCCTAAGAACATGATTTTATTCTGTTTTATGGTTCCATAGTATTCCATGGTGCATGTGTACCCCATTTCCTTTATCCAGTCTGTCATTGATGGGCATTTAGGTTGATTCCATACCTTTGCTATTGTGAATAGTGCTGCAATGAACAAAGCATGCATGTGTCTTTATAATACAATTATTTATATTCCTCTGGACATATGCCTAGTAATGGGATTGCTGAGTCAAATGGTAGATCTGGCTTTTAACTCTTTCAGAAATCACCAAACTGCTTACCACAATGGTTGAACTAATTTATACACTTACCAACAGTGCATAGGTGTTCCCTTGTCTCCACAACCTGCCAGCATCTGCTATTTTATGACTTTTTAAAAATAGTAATTCCCACTGGTGTGAGATGGTACCTCGTTGTAGTTTTTATTTGCATTTCTCTAATAATTAGTGATGTTGAGCTTTTTTCATATGATTTTTGGCCACATGTATATCTTCTTTAGAAAAGTTTCTGTTCGTGTCCTTTACCCACTTTTTAATGGGTTTTTTTTCTTGTAAATTTTTTTTAAGATTCTTATAGAGGCTGGATATTACACCTTTGTCAGATACATAGTTTGCAAAAATTTTCTCCCATTCTGTACATTGTCTGTTTACTCTGTTGACAGTTTCTTTTGCTGTTCAGAGATCTTTAGTTTAATTAGATCTCATTTGTTGATTTTTGTTTTTGTTGCAATTGCTTTTGGCATCCTCATCATGAAATCTTTGCCCATGCCTATGACCTGAATGGCATTGCTCAGGTTGTCTTCTAGGATTTTTATAGTTTTGGATTTTACATTTAATTCTTCAAATGATCTTGAATGAATTTTTGTATATGGTTTAAGGAAGGGCTCCAGTTTCAATCTTCTGCATTTGGCTAGTCAGTTCTCCCAGCACCATTTATTGAATAGGGATTCCTTTTCACCATTGCTTGTTTTTGTTAGATTTATTGAAGATCAGATAGTTGTAGGTGTGTGGTGTTATTTCTGTGTTCTTTATTCTCCAACACAATATTGAAGAAGAATAAAGTCAGAAGACTGACACTACCTGAATTCTTGCTTGCTATAAAGCTACAATAATGCAGTAAGTGTGGTACTGGTGAAAGAATAGATAAATAAGCCAGGCACAGTGGCTCACACTTGTAATCCCAGCACTTTGGAAGGCCGAGGCGGGTGAATCACGAGGTCAGGAGTTCAAGATCAGCCTGGCCAACATGGTGAAACCCCGTCTCTACTAAAAATACAAAAAATTAGCCTGGCGTGGTGGCGGGCGCCTGTAATCCCATCCCAGCTACTCAGGAGGCTGAGGCAGAGAATTGCTTGAACCCGGGAGGTGGAGGTTGCAGTGAGCCGAGATTGCACCACTGCACTCCAGCCTGGGCGACAAAGTGACTCCGTCTCAAAAAAAAAAAAAAAGAATAGAAAAATAGATCAAGTGGGCAAAATACAAAGCCCAGCAAATAGACCACAAAAAAATAGTCAGCTGATGCTTGACAAGGGAGCATAGGCAATACAATGGAGCAACGATAGTCTTCTCAACAAATGATGCTGGAACAACTAGACATCCACATGCAAAAGGAAAAATCTAGACAAAGACTTTATACCTCTCATAAAAATTAACTTAAAATGGATTATAGAGTTAAATGTAAAATATAAACTACACAACTCTGGATTATAACATAGGAGAGAACCTAAATGACCCTGGATATGGCAATGACATTTTTGATTTAGCACCAAAAGCATAATCCATGAAAAAAAAATTGATAAGCTGAAACCCATTGAAATTTAAAACTTCTGCTCTGCTTCAGACACTGTTGAGAGAATGAAAAACAAGCCAAAAACTGGGAGAAAATATTTGTAAAAGACATATCTGATAAAGGATTATTATCCAAAATATACAAAGAACACTTAACCTCAACAATAACAAAAAAACCCTGATTTTAAAATGAGCAAAAGACTCAGACATCTCATCAACGAATACATGCAGACAGAAAATAAACAAATGAAAAGATGCTCAACATCATATGTCATTAGGTAATTGCACATTAAAGAATATGGTGGGATAGAAGCCTCCACTGATTGTCCACCATCACCCCACCCGAAAGGACATCAATTTAATAACTATCTACACCAAAAAAGCACCTTCATAAGAACTGAAATTCAGGCGAGCATTCACAGTACCTGCCTTTAACTTCAAATTGCTGAAATTGACACTGAAGAGGTGGGAAAAACAGTCTTGAATTGCTGATGCCACCCCTCACTGACCTCCCAGCCAGGCAGCAGCTGTGTGGTGCAGAGAGCATTTCTCGCCACTGTGGGAGGGAGAGCACAGCAATTGTGCTACATTGAACTCAGTGCTGCCCTGTTATAGCAGAAAACAAAACTGGACCAATATTAGCTGAAACCTGCCCACAGAGGGAAGATTTAAACCAGCCCTAGCCAGAGGGAAATTGCCAATTCCAGTGGTCTAAACTTGAGTTTGCTCAAGCCCCACCACCACTGCAGGCTAAAGTACTCTGGGGCTCTAAATAAACTTCAAAGGGAGTCTAGGCCACAAGGACTGCAACTCTTAGGTGAGTCTCAGTGTTGAACTGGTCCAGAGCCAGTGAACTGGGCAGCATGGGACCTACTGAGACACCAGCTGGGGTGGCTAAAGGCGTGCTAGCATCACCCCTCCCCATTCCCAGGCTGCACAGTTCATTGCTCCAAAAGAGACCCCTTCCCTCCACCTGAGGAGAGGAGAGGGAAGAGTGGGAAGGACTTTGTCTTGCATCTTTGATACCAACTCAGCCACAGCAAGATAGGGTACTGGTCAGAGTCATAAGGTCCCCTTTCCAGGCCCTAGCTCCTAGACTGCATTTCTAGATACACCCTGGACTAGAAGGGAACCTGCAGCTTTGAAGGGAAGTACCCAGGCCTGTCTAGATTTATCACTTGCTAACTGAAGAGCCCTTGGGCCCTGAATAACCAGCAGCAATCCCCAGGTACCATGTTTAAGGCCTTGGGTGAGACTCTGAGACTTGCTGGCTTCAGGTAAGACTCAGGACATTCACAACTGTGGTGGTATGGGTCAAGACTTCTGCTTAAGAAAAGAGGGAAAAGTAGGCCGGGTGCGGTGGCTTATGCCTGTAATCCCAGCACTTTGGGAAGCCAAGGCGGGCAGATCACAAGGTCAGCAGATTGAGACTATCCTGGCTAACATGGTGAAACCCCGTCTCTACTAAAAATACAAAAAAATTAGCCAGGCGTGGTGGCGGGTGCCTGTAGTCCCAGCTACTTGGGAGGCTGAGGCAGGAGAATGGCGTGAACCCAGGAGGAGGAGCTTGCAGTGAGCCGCGATCGTGCCACTGAACTCCAGCCTGGGTGACGGAGCGAGACTCTGTCTCAAAAAAAAGAAGAAAATAAAAAAGAAAAGAAGAAAAAGTAAAGGGGACTTTCTCTTGTACCTTAGACATCAGCTTGGCTACAGGGAGGTAGAGCACCAAGTGGACTCTTGGAATCCTAGATTCCAGGTCTTGGCTTTTGGATAGCAATTTTGGACCTGCCCTAGGCCAGAAGGGAATGCTGTGCCCTGAAGGGTGAGTCCTAGGCCAGGCAGCATTCACAAGCAGATTGAAAAGCCCTGTGGGCCTTAAGGTAACATGGCGGTAGTCTGGCAGTACTCCCTGTGGGCTTGTGGTGGTGGTGGCCAAAAATTGAGATTCATCTGCCTTTGGAAAGGAGAGAGAAGAGTGGGAAGAACTGCATCTTGTGGTTTGAGTGCCAGCTCACTCTCAGTACAATAGATCACGAGGTACACTTCTAAGGTTTTTCACTCTTGTCCCTGGCTCTCAAATGGGAACTCTTGACCTGCCTGGGGCCTGGGGGAACTCACCACCCTGAAGGGAAGGCCACATGCTTGGCTGGCTTTGCCACAAGTTTATTGTAGAGAACCATGGCAATGAATGAACATAGGTGGTAGCCAGGGAGTGGTTACAGCAGGCCTTGAATGAGACCCAGTGCTGTGCTGGCTTTAGGTCTGACCCAGCATAATCATAGTGGTGGTGGCCACAGGGGTGCTTGTGTCACACCACCCTTAGCTCCAGAGGAATCAGAACAGAGAGAGACTCAGTTCGTTTGGGTGAATGTAATGGAAGAGAACAAGAGTTTCTGCCTGTTAATCCAGAGAATTTTCCTGAATTTTGTCCAAGACCATCAAGGCAGTACCTCTACAAGTCTGCAAGAAGTACAGTGTTACTGGGCTTGGGGTGTCTTCTAAAGCAGATACAGCTTAGATCACAGCAACCAAGTCCTTTCTTTCTTTCTTTCTTTCTTTTTCTTTTTTTTTTTTTTTTTTTTTTTTTTGAGATGGAGTTTTGCTCTTGTTGCCCAGGCTGGAGTGCAATGGCATGGTCTTGGCTCACCGCAACCTCTGCCTTCTGGGTTCAGGCAATTCTCCTGCCTCAGCCTCCCAAGTAGCCAGGATTACAGGCACGTGCCACCACACCAGGCTAATTTTTGTATTTTTAGTAGAGACGGGGTTTTCCATGTTGGTCGGGCTGGTCTCAAACTCCTAACCTCAGGTGATCCTCCCACCTCAGCCTCCCAAAGTGCTGGGATTTCAAGTGTGAGCCACCATGCCTGGCCAAGTCCTTTCAAATATCTTAAAAACCTTCCCAAGAGGGGCAGACATAAACCAGCCCAGATTGAGAAGAGTAAAATAAATGCCTAACTTTTCAATGCCCAGACACAGACTAACATCTACAAGTAACAAGATAATTCAGGAAAACATGACCTCACCAAATGAAATAAATAAGGCACCAGAGACCAATCCTGGAGAAAAAGAGGTATGTGTCCTTTCAGACAGAGAACTCGAAATAGCTGTGTTGAGGAAATTCAAAGAAATTTAAGATAACACAAAGAAAGAATTCCAAATTCTATCATATATGTTTAACAAAGTGACTGAAATAATTTTAAAAGAATCAAGCAGAAATTCTACAACCAAAAGATGCAATTGGCATACTGAAGAATTCATCAGAGTCTTTTAATACCAGAATGGATCAAGCAGAAGAATGAATTAGTAAGCTTGAAGACAGGCTATTTGCAAATACAGTCAGAAGGGAAAAAAGAGAAAAGAATAAAAAAACAAAGAAGCACATCTACAGGATCTAGAAAATAGCCTCAAAAGGGCAAATCTAAGAGTTATTGGCCTTAAAGAGGAGGTAGAGAAAACGATAGGCATAGAAAGCTTATTCAAAGGGATAATAACAGAGAACTTCCCAACCCTAGAGAAAGATATCAATATTCAAGTGCAAGAAGGTTATAGAACACCAAGCAGATTTAACACAAAGATGACTACCTCAAGGCATTCAATAAGCAAACTCCTAAAGGTCAAGGATAAAGAAGAGATCCAAAAAGCAGGAAAAAAAAAAAAAGAACCATACAATGGAGCTCCAATACGTCTGGCCACAGACTTTTTAGTGGAAACCTCACAGGCCAAAAGAGAGTTGCATGACATATTTAAGGTGTTGAAGGAAAAAAAAGCGTTTACCCCAGAATAGTATATCTGGCAAAAATATCCTTCAAATATGAAGATAAATAAAGATTTTCCCAGAAAAACAAAAGCTGAGGGATTTCATCAACACCAAACTCATCCTAAAAGAAATGCTAAAGGGAGTACTTAAATCAAAAAGAAAAAATGTTAATGAGCAATAAGATATCATGTGAGGTACAAAACTCACTGGGAATAGTAGGTACACAGAAAAACACAGAATATTATAACACTATAACAGTGATGTGTGAACTACTCTTAAGTAGAGACTAAACAATGAACCAATCCAAATAATAACTACAGCAAATTTTCAAGATATACATAGTACAATAAGATATAAATAGAAACAACAAAAGGTTTAAAAACAGAGGGACAAGACCTAGAATCTTTATTGGTTTTCTTTTTGTTTGTTTCTGCAAACAGTGTTAAGTTGTTATCAGCTTAAAATACTTGGCGATAAGATAGTGCTTGCAAGCCATGTGGTAATCTCAAACCAAAACATACAAAACATACAAACATGTGGTAACCTCAAACCAAAACATACATAAATAAAAAATAAAAAAGCAAGAAATTATACCAGAGAAAATCACCTTCACTAAAAGGAAGCTAGAAAGAATAGAAATGAGGAAGAGAAGACCACGGAACAACCAGAAAACAAATAACAAAATGGCAGGAGTAAGTCATTACTTATCAATGATAACATAAAATGTAAATAGACTAAATTCTTCAATCAAAAGACATCGAATGGCTGAATGGATGAAAAAACAAGACCCAATGATCTGTTGCCTATAAGAAGCACACTTCACCTATAAAAATACACAGACTGAAAACAAAGGGATGAAAGAAGATATTCCATGCCAATGGAAACCAAAAAAGAGCAGGAGTAGCAATACTTATATCAGACAAATTCCATTTCAAGAGAAAAACTACAGAAAGTGACAAAGACGGTCACTATATAATGATGAAGAAGTAAATTCAGCAAGAGGATATAGCAATTTTAAATATATATGATCCCAACACTGGAACACCTGGATACATAAAGAAAATATTATTAGAGCTAAAGAGAGAGATAGACCCCAATACAATAATAGCTGGAAACTTCAACACACCATTTTCCACATTGGGCAGATCTTTCAGACAGAAAATCAGCAGAGAAACATTGGACTTAACATGCACTATAGACCAAATGGTTCTAATAGATAATTGCAGAACAATTCATCCAACAGCTGCAGAATACATATTCTTTTCCTCAGCATGTGGATCATTCTCAAGGATAGACATATGTTAGCTCAGAAAACAAGTCTTAAAACATTCAAACAATTTGAAATAATATCAAGCATCTTCTCTGACCACAGTGGAATAAAACCAGAAATCAATAACAAGAGGAATTTTGGAAACCATCCAAATACATGGAAATTAAACAATATGCTCCTGAATGACCAGTGGGTCAATGAAGAAATTAAGGACATTGAAAAATGTCTTGAAACAAATGATTATGGAAACACAATATACCATAACTTATGGGATACAGTACCCAAAGTACCCAAAAGCAGTACTAAGAGGGAAGATTATAACAAGTGCCTATATCAGAAAAAAAGAAAATTTCAAATAAACAACCTAACGATGGCTCTTAAAGAACTGGAAAACCAAGAGCAAACCAAAACCAAAATTAGTAGAAGAAAAGAAATCATAAGGATCAGAGCAGAAATAAATGAAATTCCCATGAAGAAAACAATACAAAAGATCAGCAAAACAAAAAGCTGATTTTTTGAAAAGTTAAATAAAATTGACAAACCTTTAGCTAGACAGAAAAAAAAGAATATCTAAATAAATAAAATCAAGGCAAAAAAGAAGACATTACAGCTGATACCACAGAAATTCAAAGCATTATTAGCGGCTACTATGAGCAACTATATGCCAATAAACTGCAAAATATAGAAGTGGACAAATTCCTAGACACATGTAACACACCAAAATTAAACCATGAATAAATCCAAAACCTTAACATACCAATAATGAGTAACAATATCCAAGTTGTAATAAAAAGTCTGCCAGTAAAGAAAAGCCTGGGACCTGATGGCTTCATTGCTGAATTCTACCAAACATTTAAAGAAGAGTGAATGCTATTCTGAAAAAAAAGGAAGAAGGAATATTTACAAACGCATTCTACAAGGCCAATATTACCCTGATACCAAAACCATGCAAAGACAATTCAAAGGCCGGGTGCAGTGGCTCACACCTGTAATCCCAGCACTTTGGGAGGCCAAGTTGGGCAGATCACCTCAGGTCGGGAGTTCAAGACCAGCCTGGCCAACATGGTGAAACCCCATCTCTACTAAAAAAAAAAATACAAAATTAGCTGGGTGTGGTGGCACATGCCTGTAATCCCAGCTACTAGGGAGGCTGAGGTAGGAGAATCGCTTGAACCCAAGAGGCAGAGGTTGTGGTGAGCTGAGATCATGCCATTGCACTCCAGCCTGGGCAACAAGAGTAAAACTCTGTCTCAAAAAAAAAAAAAAAAAGACACTTCAAAAAAAGAAAACTACAGGCCAATATCTCTGATGAATATGGGTGCAGAAATCCTCAACAAAATAGCAGCAAACAGAATTCAACAATACATTAAAAAGATCCTTCATCATGACCAAGTGGGATTTATCCCAGGGATGCAAGGATGGTTTGGCATGAGCAAATCAACTAATGTGATACATCATATTAACAGAATGAAGGAAAAAAACATATGATGATTTTAATTGATGCTGAAAAAGCATTTGATAAAATTTAACATCCTCTCATGATTTAAAAAAAAAAAAAAAACTTGGCTGGGCATGGTGGTTCACGCCTGTAATCCCAGCATTTTGGAAGGCTGAGGTGGGCAGATCATGAGGTCAGGAGATCAAGACCATCCTGGCCAACATGGTGAAACCCTGCCTCTACTAAAAACACAAAAATTAGCTGGGCGTGGTGGTATGCACCTGTGGTCCCAGCTACTTGGAAGGCTGAGACAGGAGAATCACTTGAACCCAGGAGACAGAGGTTGCAGTGAGCCGAGATGGTGTCACTGCACTCCAGGCTGGCGACAGTGTGAGACTCCATCAAAAAAAAAAAAACCCTCAAAAAGCTGGGTACAGAGGAAACATACCTCAACATAATAAAAGCCATATATGACAGACCAACAGTGAGTATCATACTGAATGAGGAAACACTGAAAGCCTTTCCTCTAAGATCTGGAACATAAAAAGGATGTCCCCTTTCACCGCTGTTATTCAACACAGTACTGGAAGTCCTAGCTAGAGCAATCAGGCAAGAGAAATAAATAAGGGACATCCAAATTGGAAAGGATGGAGTAAAATTATCTTGTTTGCAGATGATAAGATCTTATACTTTGAAAAATCTAAAGACTTCACAAAATCAATCACAGCTGATAAATTCAGTAAAGATGCAGGATACAAAATTGACATACAAAAATCAGTAGCATTTCTACATGGCAACAGTAAACAATCTGAAAAAGAAATAAAAAAGTAATCCCATTTACAACCACCACAAATAAAATTAAATACCTAGGAATTAACTAAACCAAATAAGTGAAAGATCTTTATAATGAAAACTATAAAATGCTGAAGAAAGAAATTGAAGAGGACACCAAAAATGGAAAGCTATATTCCATGTTTATTAATTGGAAGAATCAACATTGTTAAAATGTCCATATTACCCAAAGCAATCTACATATTCAATGCAATCCCTATCAAAATACCAAGGATGTTCTTCACAGAAATAGAAAACATAATCCTACAATTTATATGGAACTACAAAAAATCCAGAATAGCCAAAGCTATCCTAAGCAAAAGGGATAAAACTAGAGGAATCACATTACCTGACTTCAAATTATACTACAGAGCTATAGTAACCCAAACAGCATGGTACTGCCATAAAAACAGATGCATAGACCAGTGGAACAGAATAGAGAACCCAGAAACAAATCCACACACCTACAGTAAACTCATTTTCAACAAAGATGCCAAGACATACACTGAGGAAAAGAAAGTATCTTCAGTAAACGATACTGGGAAAACTAGATATTCATATGCAGAAGAATGAAATTAGACCTCTCTCTCTCTCACCATACACAAAAATCAAATCAAAATGGACCAAAGACTTAAATCTGAGACCTCAAACTATGAAACTATTATAAGAAAACATCAGAGACTTTAAGAAATGTAATGTGGAGAGGGAGGAGCCAAGATGGCCGAACAGGAACAGCTCCGGTCTACAGCTCCCAGCGTGAGCGACACAGAAGATGGGTGATTTCTGCATTTCCATCTGAGGTACCGGGTTCATCTCACTAGGGAGTGCCAGCCAGTGGGCACGGGTCAGTGGGTGCGCGCACCGTGCGCAAGCCAAAGCAGGGCGAGGCATTGCCTCACTTGGGAAGCGCAAGGGGTCAGGGAGTTCCCTTTCCAAGTCAAAGAAAGGGGTGACGGACGCACCTGGAAAATCGGGTCACTCCCACCCGAATATTGTGCTTTTCAGACCGGCGTAAAAAACTGCGCACCACGAGATTATATCCCGCACCTGGCTCGGAGGGTCCTATGCCCACGGAGTCTCGCTGATTGCTAGCACAGCAGTCTGAGATCAAACTGCAAGGTGGCAGCGAGGCTCGGGGAGGGGCGCCCGCGATTGCCCAGGCTCGCTTAGGTAAACAAAGCAGCCGGGAAGCTCGAACTGGGTGGAGCCCACCACAGCTCAAGGAGGCCTGCCTGCCTCTGTAGGCTCCACCTCTGGGGGCAGGGCACAGACAAACAAAAAGACAGCAGTAACCTCTGCAGACTTAAATGTCCCTGTCTGACAGCTTTGAAGAGAGCAGTGGTTCTCCCAGCACGCAGCTGGAGATCTGAGAACGGGCAGACTGCCTCCTCAAGTGGGTCCCTGACCCCTGACCCCCGAGCAGCCTAACTGGGAGGCACCCCCCAGCAGGGGCACACTGACACCTCACACGGCAGGGTATTCCAACAGACCTGCAGCTGAGGGTCCTGTCTGTTAGAAGGAAAACTAACAAACAGAAAGGACATCCACACCAAAAACCCATCTGTACATCACCATCATCAAAGACCAAAAGTAGATAAAACCACAAAGATGGGGAAAAAACAGAACAGAAAAACTGGAAACTCTAAAAAGCAGAGCGCCTCTCCTCCTCCAAAGGAACGCAGTTCCTCACCAGCAACGGAACAAAGCTGGATGGAGAATGACTTGGACGAGCTGAGAGAAGAAGGCTTCAGACGATCAAATTACTCTGAGCTACGGGAGGACATTCAAACCAAAGGCAAAGAAGTTGAAAACTTTGAAAAAAATTTAGAAGAATGTATAACTAGAATAACCAATACAGAGAAGTGCTTAAAGGAGCTGATGGAGCTGAAAACCAAGGCTCGAGAACTACGTGAAGAATGCAGAAGCCTCAGGAGCCGATGCGATCAACTGGAAGAAAGGGTATCAGCAATGGAAGATGAAATAAATGAAATGAAGCGAGAAGGGAAGTTTAGAGAAAAAAGAATAAAAAGAAATGAGCAAAGCCTCCAAGAAATATGGGACTATGTGAAAAGACCAAATCTACGTCTGATTGGTGTACCTGAAAGTGATGGGGAGAATGGAACCAAGTTGGAAAACACTCTGCAGGATATTATCCAGGAGAACTTCCCCAATCTAGCAAGGCAGGCCAACGTTCAGATTCAGGAAATACAGAGAACGCCACAGAGACACTCCTTGAGAAGAGCAACTCCAAGACACATAATTGTCAGATTCACCAAAGTTGAAATGAAGGAAAAAATGTTAAGGGCAGCCAGAGAGAAAGGTCGGGTTACCCTCAAAGGGAAGCCCATCAGACTAACAGCGGATCTCTCAGCAGAAACCCTACAAGCCAGAAGAGAGTGGGGGCCAATATTCAACATTCTTAAAGAAAAGAATTTTCAACCCAGAATTTCATATCCAGCCAAACTAAGCTTCATAAGTGAAGGAGAAATAAAATACTTTGCAGACAAGCAAATGCTGAGAGATTTTGTCACCACCAGGCCTGCCCTAAAAGAGCTCCCGAAGGAAGTGCTAAACATGGAAAGGAACAACCGGTACCAGCCGCTGCGAAATCATGCCAAAATGTAAAGACCATCGAGACTAGGAAGAAACTGCATCAACTAACGAGCAAAATCACCAGCTAACATGATAATGACAGGATCAAATTCACACATAACAATATTAACTTTAAATGTAAATGGACTAAATGCTCCAATTAAAAGACACAGACTGGCAAATTGGATAAAGAGTCAAGACCCATCAGTGTGCTGTATTCAGGAAACCCATCTCACATGCAGAGACACACATAGGCTCAAAATAAAGGGATGGAGGAAGATCTACCAAGCAAATGGAAAACAAAAAAAGGCAGGGGTTGCAATCCTAGTCTCTGATAAAACAGACTTTAAACCAACAAAGATCAAAAGAGACAAAGAAGGCCATTACATAATGGTAAAGGGATCAATTCAACAAGAAGAGCTAACTATCCTAAATATATATGCATCCAATACAGGAGCACCCAGATTCATAAAGCAAGTCCTGAGTGACCTACAGAGAGACTTAGACTCCCACACAATAATAATGGGAGACTTTAACACCCCACTGTCAACATTAGACAGATCAACGAGACAGAAAGTCAACAAGGATACCCAGGAATTGAACTCAGCTCTGCACCAAGTGGACCTAATAGACATCTACAGAACTCTCCACCCTAAATCAACACAATATACATTTTTTTCAGCACCACACCATACCTATTCCAAAATTGACCACATACTTGGAAGTAAAGCTCTCCTCAGCAAATGTAAAAGAACAGAGATTATAACAAACTATCTCTCAGACCACAGTGCAATCAAACTAGAACTCAGGATTAAGAATCTCACTCAAAACCGCTCAACTACATGGAAACTGAACAACCTGCTCCTGATTGACTACTGGATACATAACGAAATGAAGGCAGAAATAAAGATGTTCTTTGAAACCAACGAGAACAAAGACACAACATACCAGAATCTCTGGGATGCATTCAAAGCAGTGTGTAGAGGGAAATTTATAGCACTAAATGCCCACAAGAGAAAGCAGGAAAGATCCAAAATTGACACCCTAACATCACAATTAAAAGAACTAGAAAAGCAAGAGCAAACACATTCAAAAGCTAGCAGAAGGCAAGAAATAACTAAAATCAGAGCAGAACTGAAGGAAATAGAGACACAAAAAATCCTTCAAAAAATTAATGAATCCAGGAGCTGGTTTTTTGAAAGGATCAACAAAATTGATAGAACGCTAGCAAGACTAATAAAGAAAAAAAGAGAGAAGAATCAAATAGACACAATAAAAAAATGATAAAGGGGATATTCCCACTGATCCCACAGAAATACAAACTACCATCAGAGAATACTACAAACACCTCTATGCAAATAAACTAGAAAATCTAGAAGAAATGGATAAATTCCTCGACACATACACTCTCCCAAGACTAAACCAGGAAGAAGTTGAATCTCTGAATAGACCAATAACAGGAGCTGAAATTGTGGCAATAATCAATAGTTTACCAACCAAAAAGAGTCCAGGACCAGATGGATTCACAGCCGAATTCTACCACAGGTACAAGGAGGAACTGGTACCATTCCTTCTGAAACTATTCCAATCAATAGAAAAAGAAGGAATCCTCCCTAACTCATTTTATGAGGCCAGCATCATTCTGATACCAAAGCCTGGCAGAGACACAACCAAAAAAGAGAATTTTAGACCAATATCCTTGATGAACATTGATGCAAAAATCCTCAATAAAATTCTGGCAAAACGAATCCAGCAGCACATCAAAAAGCTTATCCACCATGATCAAGTGGGCTTCATCCCTGGGATGCAAGGCTGGTTCAATATATGCAAATCAATAAATGTAATCCAGCATATAAACAGAGCCAAAGACAAAAACCACATGAGTATCTCAATAGATGCAGAAAAAGCCTTTGACAAAATTCAACAACCCTTCATGCTAAAAACTCTCAAGAAATTAGGTATTGATGGGACGTATCTCAAAATAATAAGAGCTATCTATGACAAACCCACAGCCAATATCATACTGAATGGGCAAAAACTGGAAGCATTCCCTTTGAAAACTGGCACAAGACAGGGATGCCCTCTCTCACCACTCCTATTCAACATAGTGTTGGAAGTTCTGGCCAGGGCAATTAGGCAGGAAAAGGAAATAAAGGGTATTCAATTAGGAAAAGAGGAAGTCAAATTGTCCCTGTTTGCAGACGACATGATTGTTTATCTGGAAAACCCCATTGTCTCAGCCCAAAATCTCCTTAAGCTGATAAGCAACTTCAGCAAAGTCTCAGGATACAAAATCAATGTACAAAAGTCACAAGCATTTTTATACACCAACAACAGACAAACAGAGAGCCAAATCATGAGTGAACTCCCATTCACAATTGCTTCAAAGAGAATAAAATACCTAGGAATCCAACTTACAAGGGATGTGAAGGACCTCTTCAAGGAGAACTACAAACCACTGCTCAAGGAAATAAAAGAGGATACAAACAAATGGAAGAACATTCCATGCTCATGGGTAGGAAGAATCAATATTGTGAAAATGGCCATACTGCCCAAGGTAATTTACAGATTCAATGCCATCCCCATCAAGCTACCAATGACTTTCTTCACAGAATTGGAAAAAACTACTTTAAAGTTCATATGGAACCAAAAAAGAGCCCGCATCACCAAGGCAATCCTAAGCCAAAAGAGCAAAGCAGGAGGCATCACACTACCTGACTTCAAACTATACTACAAGGCTACAGTAAACAAAACAGCATGGTACTGGTACCAAAACAGAGATATAGATCAATGGAACAGAACAGAGCCCTCAGAAATAACGCCGCATATCTACAACTATCTGATCTTTGACAAACCTGAGAAAAACAAGCAATGGGGAAAGGATTCCCTATTTAATAAATGGTGCTGGGAAAACTGGCTAGCCATATGTAGAAAGCTGAAACTGGATCCCTTCCTTACACCTTATACAAAAATCAATTCAAGATGGATTAAAGACTTAAACGTTAGACCTAAAACCATAAAAACCCTAGAAGAAAACCTAGGCATTACCATTCAGGACATAGGCATGGGCAAGGACTTCATGTCCAAAACACCAAAAGCAATGGCAACAAAAGACAAAATTGACAAATGGGATCTAATTAAACTAAAGAGCTTCTGCACAGCAAAAGAAACTACCATCAGAGTGAACAGGCAACCTACAAAATGGGAGAAAATTTTCGCAACCTACTCATCTGACAAAGGGCTAATATCCAGAATCTACAATGAACTCAAACAAATTTACAAGAAAAAAAACAAACGGCCAGCCGCCCCATCCGGGAGGGAGGTGGGGGGGGTCAGCCCCCCGCCTGGCCAGCCGCCCCATCCGGGAGGTGAGGGGCGCCTCTGCCCGGCCGCCCCTACTGGGAAGTGAGGAGCCCCTCTGCCCGGCCAGCCGCCCCGTCCGGGAGGGAGGTGGGGGGGGTCAGCCCCCCGCCTGGCCAGCCACCCCATCTGGGAGGTGAGGGGCGCCTCTGCCCGGCCGCCCCTACTGGGAAGTGAGGAGCCCCTCTGCCCGGCCAGCCGCCCCGTCCGGGAGGGAGGTGGGGGGGGTCAGCCCCCCGCCTGGCCAGCCACCCCATCTGGGAGGTGAGGGGCGCCTCTGCCCGGCCGCCCCTACTGGGAAGTGAGGAGCCCCTCTGCCCGGCCAGCCACCCCGTCCGGGAGGGAGGTGGGGGGGTCAGCCCCCCGCCCGGCCAGCCGCCCCATCCGGGAGGGAGGTGGGGAGGTCAGCCCCCCGCCCGGCCAGCCGCCCCATCCGGGAGGTGAGGGGCGCCTCTGCCCGGCTGCCCCTACTGGGAAGTGAGGAGCCCCTCTGCCCGGCCAGCCGCCCCGTCCGGGAGGGAGGTGGGGGGGTCAGCGCCCCGCCCGGCCAGCCGCCCCGTCCGGGAGGTGAGGGGCGCCTCTGCCCGGCCGCCCCTACTGGGAAGTGAGGAGCCCCTCTGCCCGGCCACCACCCCATCTGGGAGGTGTACCCAGCAGCTCATTGAGAGCGGGCCATGATGACAATGGCGGTTTTGTGGAATGGAAAGGCGGGAAAGGTGGGGAAAAGATTGAGAAATCGGATGGTTGCCATGTCTGTGTAGAGGGAGGTAGACGTGGGAGACTTTTCATTTTGTTCTGTACTAAGAAAAATTCTTCTGCCTTGGGATCCTGTTGATCTGTGACCTTGCCCCCAACCCTGTGCTCTCTGAAACATGTGCTGTGTCCACTCAGGGTTAAATGGATTAAGGGCGGTGCAAGATGTGCTTTGTTAAACAGACGCTTGAAGGCAGCATGCTCGTTAAGAGTCATCATCACTCCCTAATCTCAAGTACCCAGGGACACAAACACTGCGGAAGGCCGTGGGGTCCTCTGCCTAGGAAAACCAGAGACCTTTGTTCACTTGTTTATCTGCTGACCTTCCCTCCACTATTGTCCTGTGACCCTGCCAAATCCCCCTCTGCGAGAAACACCCAAGAATGATCAATAAAAATAATAATAATAATAATAATAATAATAAAAACAACCCCATCAAAAAGTGGGCAAAGGACATGAACAGACACTTCTCAAAAGAAGACATTTATGCAGCCAAAAAACACATGAAAAAATGCTCACCATCACTGGCCATCAGAGAAATGCAAATCAAAACCACAATGAGATACCATCTCACACCAGTTAGAATGGCAATCATTAAAAAGTCAGGAAACAACAGGTGCTGGAGAGGATGTGGAGAAATAGGAACACTTTTACACTGTTGGTGGGACTGGAAACTAGTTCAACCATTGTGGAAGTCAGTGTGGCGATTCCTCAGGGATCTAGAACTAGAAATACCATTTGACCCAGCCATCCCATTACTGGGTATATACCCAAAGGACTATAAATCATGCTGCTATAAAGACACATGCACACGTATGTTTATTGCGGCATTATTCACAATAGCAAAGACTTGGAACCAACCCAAATGTCCAACGATGATAGACTGGATTAAGAAAATGTGGCACATATACACCATGGAATACTATGCAGCCATAAAAAATGATGAGTTTATGTCCTTTGTAGGGACATGGATGAAATTGGAAATCATCATTCTCAGTAAACTATCGCAAGAACAAAAAACCAAACACCGCATATTCTCACTCATAGGTGGGAATTGAACAATGAGATCACATGGACACAGGAAGGGGAATATCACACTCTGGGGACTGTGGTGGGGTGGGGGAACGGGGGAGGGATAGCATTGGGAGATATACCTAATGCTAGATGACGAGTTAGTGGGTGCAGCGCACCAGCATGGCACATGTATACATATGTAACTAACCTGCCCAATGTGCACATGTACCCTAAAACTTAAAGTATAATAAAAAAAAAAAAAAAAAGAAAACATCAGAGAAATCTCTAGGACATTGGTCTGAGTGACGATTTCTTGATTAATACCCCACAAACACAGGCAACCTAAGCATAAATGAGCAAATGTGATCAGATCAATTTAAAAAGCCTCTGCACAGCAAAGGAAACAATCAACAAAGTGAAGGGACAACCCACAGAATGAGAGAAAATATTTTCAAGCTACCCATCTGACAAGAGATTAATAATCAGAATGTATAAGGAGCTCAAACAACTCTATAGGAAAATATCTAATATTCAGGTTTTTAAATGGGCAAAAGATTTAGATAGACATTTCTCAAAAAGACATACAAATGGCAAACAGGCATATGAAAAGGTGCTCAATATCACTGATCATCAGAGAAATGTAAATCAAAACTACAATGAGATATCATCCCACCCCAGTTAAAATGGCTTATATCCGAAAGACAAATAATAACAAATGTTGGTGATGATGTGGAGAAAAGGGAACCCTCACACACTGTTGGCGGGAATGTACATTAGAACAACCACTATGGGGAACAGTTTGGAAGTTCCTCAAAAAACTAAAAATTGAGCCACCATATATTCCAGCAATCCCACTGCTGGGTATATACTCAAAAGAAAGGAAATCAGTATGTAGAAGGGACATCTGCGGTCTTATGTTTGTTGCAGTACTGTTGACAATAGCCAGAATTTGGAAACAACCTAAGTTCCATTAACAGATGAAAAGATAAACAAAATGTGGCACATATACACAATGGAGTACTATTCAGCCTTAAAAAACAGTAATATCCAAAGATTTGCAACAACATTGATGGAACTGGGAATCATTATGCTAAATGAAATAAACCAGGCACAGAAAGACAAACATCAAATGTTCTCACTTATTTATGGAATCTAAAAATCAAAACTATTCAACTCATGGAGATAGAGAGTAGAAGGATAGTTACCAGAGGCTGGGAAGGGTAGTAGGAGGTGGGTAGGAGATGGGGATGGATAATGGGTACACAAAAAATAGAAAGAATGAATAAGACCTAGAATTTGATAGCACATGGTGACTATAGTCAATAATAATTTAATTGTACATTTCAAAATAACTAGAAGAGTATAATTTGATTGTTTTTAACACAAAGTATAAATGCTTGAGGGGATGGATACCCCATTTTACATGATGTGATTTTCACACATTGCATGCCTGTATCAAAACATTTCATGTAAACCATAAATATATATACCTACTGTGTACCCACAAATATTAAATATTTTTTAAAAAGAAAAGAAAAAGAAGTAACTTTTTTAAAAAAATAACAATGAGAAACCACTGTACTACATCTGTTAGAAAAGCCCAGATCCAAAGCACTAACAAAACCAAGTGTGGATGAGGATGTGGAACAGCAGAAACTCTCATTCATTGTTGGTGGGAATAAAAAATTGTAGAGTCACTTTGGAAGACAGTTTGGCAATTTCTTACAAAACTAAACATACTCTTACTATGAGATCCAGCAATTATGGTCCTTGGTATATACCCAAATGAGTTGAAAACTTATGGACACGCAAACTCTGCACCCAGATAGTTGTAGACTCTTTATTCATAATTGCCAGAAATTAGAAGCAGTCAAGATGTCTTTCAGTAGATAAATGGATAAATGGACAAATAAATTGTGATACATTCAAACAATGGAATATTATTCAGCAGGAAATAAATGAGCTATCAAGCCACAAGAGGACATAAAAGAATCTTAAATGCATATTGCTAAGTGAAAGAAGTCACTCTGAAAGGGATACATACTGTATGATTCCAACTATATGTAATTCTAGATAAAGCAAAACTATGAATATGGTAAAAGGATCAGTGGTAGCCAGGGGTTAGGGAGGAGGGAAGGATGAATAAGTGGAGCACAGAAGATTTTTAGGGCAGTGAAAATACTATGTTTGGTACTATTATGGTGGATATGTGTCATTAGGCATTTGTTAAAACCCACAGAATGTATCACACCAAGAATGAACCCTAATATAAACTATGGACTTTGGGTGATAATGATGTGTCAATAGAGGTTCTTCAGTTGTAATAAATGTGCCATTGTGGTGTGGGATTTTGACAGTGGGGAAGGCTATGTGTACATAGAGGCAGGGGGCATATGGGTAATCCCTTTACGTCCCACTCAGTTTTGCCGTGAATGTAAAACTTCTGTAAAAAATAAAATCTATCTTAATAAGATAGCAAAAGCAAAAAGATAAAGATATGGAAAATGGAAGAAAAAAGATAATAAAATTTGAGGATCAATCCAGGGGTATAATATCCACCTAGTTTAGAAAAAGAAAAAAATGTACGGGATGAAATTATCAGATAAACAATGTAAGAAAATTTCCCAGAACCAAAGGATGCAAGTCCACAGATTTAACGGGCCTACCTTGTGCTCAGCAAAATGCACACAATAAAAGACTGACCGTTCTGAAGTGATTTGAGTATTGTCAATGGGAGCTGATCTGCAGCAAGATTATGTTATGAAATATGTTGTTCTTTTTCAGTAGCTCTAATTTAAGGCTTAGGAATACATCAAAGTCACTTCAGTGGAGTTTTCATTAGAATTACTTGGCTGAGGCCATTCGATTTATTCTGTTTCTTGGCTAGCCTCTTAGCATTGAACATGAAAGAGGCTGAATGAGAAAGTACAGATGGGTTAACACAAAACCATCCCCAGTATAAGAAAAAACATTCCAAGTACCTGGCCTAGCGGGAAGTTCTGTATCTTCATATATACAAAGCAGCCTCCTCATTTTAGATAACCAAAATGTGCATAAATTATTTTATATAGTGGGTTACTACCCACACCCTAGGCTGGATTTAGGTTTTGAAACATTCTCTGGAAAAGGAAATGATTGGGTTTTCTGTGTTTTTGGTGGTTTCCTAGTCATCTTTATTCACATAAAAATTCAAGCAAAAGCCCAAAAGTAATTTTTCAGGCCAATATTTCCAGGCAAGCAAATTTTATATGCCAGTCAGATTTATTGTAATAGGAATAGAATGAATTAAGTCAGCTGCTTCTAGATGATGTTTGTGATTGATTTTCCAGAACACCTTGGAGACTGTCCGTTTATCTCCTCCTGTTCTCAGTTTTTAAAAAAATTGAAAAGTTCTTTGGCCAGGCACATGCTATTTTCCACCTATCCTCCTTGGCACCTACTACTGCACAGCGCCACATGTTCTTTTCACCCAAATTGCTTGACTTTACCACGTCTCACTGAAGTTTTTTTTTCTCCCCACAGTTACTGCTCTTATGTCAAATTCTCTTTGAATGATATATTTCTTTTCTTGTCTCTCTCTGTCTTTCACACTCACATTCTAATGACTCTTTTGATAATATCCAAGGCGCTTATTTAGAAAGAAAGAAGATCAGCAGGAAGAAAAACATCTTCTCTTACTCCAGATTTTTTCCCATTTTAAAATACGACATTCTATTCATCTTGTAGAATTTTTTAAGTTTTCAGAAGTGAATATTAATCAAGTCACAATGTGAGGCATTGAAGGAATCCATTCACCTATCTGACTCAATCTTATCTTTTATAAAAGGCAGTCACTAAATTGCCCAGAGCTTATACCTTTTGAATAAGTAACTTCTTTTTTTTTTTTTAATCCACTGCTTTCTCATTGGTCTCTGCTTAAGCACTCTGAGTGGAGTCATCCCCGTAAAATGAAAAACTGAGGGAAAAAGCCTCTCCATGATTTGATGAGGGTCACATGGCTGGTCTGTGACATTAAGAAATAGCCTGGTAAACTCAGTACACCGGACAATCTTCCCACTCAATTGTAAATCATTTAAACTCAGATTTAAGTATAATACCTTGCCTTGGTCTCAGTGCCACAGTGGTCATTTTATTGTTTCTGGCAGAGAAGGGAGGAAAAAATGAAAAGTAATATAGTGGTTGAAAGCTAAATCTCTTTAACAGACTAAGCTTTTTTAAAAAAAAACTCACTGTTTTCCTCCAATTCCTTCCTTTTGCACCCCAGACTTGGTCCCACTTCAAGAATGTATAAAAAATTATGAGTTCATCTTCTCTGGGAATAACTATCCCTACCATAAGTGGGAAGAGCCCTGGAAAAGGAATCGTGAGACCCAGGCACTTGTCCTAGCTGAGCCACTAATTAGCTGTGTTACTTTGGGCAAGTTGTTTCATGACTCTGACCTTCAGTTTTTCTATCTGTAAAAATAAGAGGGTTGGAGGAGAAAGTTTCTAAGGTCGTTTTAGTCCCAACTTTCCTTGATGGTGTGGTCAATAAAAGAAAATACACACTGTGAATATACACATGAAGTAAAGAGTGAAGTAAGAAGAGACTAATTGGTCCGGGCAAAAGGCAATGCACATGTACACACACACACACACAAATCCAAAGATGCATGAAGCTGAAAAGTATGAGATGGTGTTAGCAATTTAAGAAAGGATTTAGCTACTGTTTGCTATCATCCATTTTACAGAGAACTTGAAGCCTTGGGTTAGATGGTCATTTTCCACCTCTAAGCTGTCCTTTCTTTTATAGGTTGATGCAGTTGTTAATCCAAAGGGATATAGGATGGTGTCTTAGTTTGGATTGCTATAGCAGAATACCATAGACGGGGTGGATTAAACAACAAACATTTATTTCTCACAGTTCTGGAGGCCAGGAAGTCTTAGATCAAAGTGCTGGCAGATATGGTGTCTGGTGAGGGCCCACTTTGGCATTTATAGACAGCTGTCTTCTGATGGCAGAAGGGGTGAGGGAGCTCTCTGGGGTTTCTTTTATAAGAGCTTTCATCACATTTATGAGGACTCTGCCCTCATGACCTAATCACCTCTCATAGGCCCCACCTCCAAACACCATCACATTGGGAATTAGAATTCCAACATATGAATTTTGGGAAGACATGAATATTCAGTCTATAGCAGACAGGCTGAAAGTAAGGAGTCTTGACCTTGAAAGATGAGATTGTATGGAAGGATGGAATCTGACCAATGAAAGGCATTAGCACCATTCAGTAACCTATAGAGAATGAACACCATTGTTTCAGCCAGACACAGGAGACATCATTGGTAACATAAGGGAAATTTGGCAAACATTTTATGTGGCTGTGCACCCAGGTACGGAAATGTAGCCAAATAAACTCATGCTCAGTGTTTCTTTTAGGTAGGTCTGTTCTCTATTACATTAGGGTAAATGAATGAGCTTAAATAACTGTTAGATGATAATTCTTCCAGAACCATGTTTCTCAAATTAGGTATGCATAAGAATTATCTGTGGGAAGTTGTTAAAATACAGATTCCAGGGTACCATTCCTAGGATTATAATTCAGTAGGTCTGTAATTATGACCACCAATCTGTATCTTTAAAAGTACCTCTGGTGCATTCTAATCCAAGTCAAAGCATTCATTGTAAAAACACTGAGGTAGAGAGAATAGATCAGGCCTCTTCTACCTGGAACCTGCTCATATATGGCCCATTAGAAGAACTTCTTTCAAGCAAAAGAGTTCCCTAGAGTGAATTTTTCACCACATCAAAAGGCATAAGCAGTACATAGAAAATTCAGATATAATCCAAATCTAAAGCTATTATGTATTTGGTCACTGAAAAAAATATATAGGCTACTGATTATCTCCTCTGCCTCTAACATCTTACCATCACCTTTATTGGTTTTGTCCCATGAGTGTTTTAGCACAGTAATCTACCTCAGACATTATTTTAATAAAATTCTCAGAAGCAATTATAGTGTTGCTTTTTCTTTTTCTTTTTTTTTTTTTTTGAGATGGAGTCTCACCCTGTCACCCAGGCTGGAGTGCAATGGCACAATCTCAGCTCACTGCAACCTCCACCTCCCACGTTCAAACGATTCTCCTGCCTCAGTCTCCCCAGTAGCTGGGATTACAGGCATCCGCCACCACGCCCAGCTAATTTTTGTATTTTTAGTAGAGACAGGGTTTCACCATGTTGGTGAGTCTGGTCTCAAACTCCTGACTGCAGGTGACCCGCCCGCCTTGGCCTCCCAAAGTGCTAGGATTACAGGCATGAGCCACCACGCCTGGCTGCATTTATAGCATTTCACAGCCCTCAGATTACTGAATATTTCCACTTTCTTGAAACCCTTTCTTCCCCTGGCTTCCATGACACCACGCTCCCAATATTTAATGTCTACTATTCTGGCAGTGACATATCAGTTTCCCTTGTGAACTTTTCTTTCTATCCCCATTCCTTATTGGATATTGATTTCCAGAACTCTGTTCTAGGTCCTCTTCTTATTCTAAACACCTTTTTGGGGCAAAGTCATTATTTCAAGGTTTTTAAATTACCATCTCTATGTTAACATCCACTAAATCTGAATCTCCATCCCAGATTGTTCTTCTGACCTAGTCAACCATCTACTTGATTTCCCACTTGAATGATGCCCAAGCACCTCTAAATCAAGATGGTTCAAACTGAATTTGCAAAACCCAGGAGATCTACCACAGGATCTATCCAGCACAACTATGGAAGGAAGAAGAAGAAGGAGGAGGAGGAGTGGGGGAGGGAGGGGGAGGAGAGAAGGGGAGGTGGATGGGGGAGGGGGACAGTGGAGGAAGAGGGAAGAGGGAGAAAATAAGGAGAAAGAGAAGGAAAGGCAGAAGGGGAGGGGAAGGGGGAAGGGGAAGAACAAGGGGAATGGGAAGAGAATGAAGAGGAAGAGAAGAGGAAGAGTAGGAGGAGAAATAACAAAAGGCACCAGGTTGGAAAGGAAGAATTTAAAATATATTTATTTGCAAACGACATTATCCTATAGTGAAAAATCCTTAAAAGTCCACTAAAAAATAGAAAAAAATAGTGAAGCCAATAAACAAGTTTAGTAAAGTTTCAGGATACAAAATCAATTTACGAAACCCACTCATATTTCTATATACTATCAATGAATGAATCAGACCTAAATAAATGGAAAGACATCCTGGGTTCATAGATTGGGAGACTTAATTTGTTAATAAGGCAACATTAGCAAAATTGATCTACAAATTCAGAGCTATCATATCAAAATTCTAACTGACTCATTTGCAGAAATTGACAGGCTGATCTTAAAATTAAGATGAAAAGGCAAGAAACCTATAATAGGTAAAACAATCTTGAAAAAGAAAAACCAAGTTGGATGACTCATTCTTTCTGATTTCAAAACGGTACAGTAATCAAGACAGTGTTGCAATGGAATAATACAGGCATATAGACCAATTGAATAGAATAGAAAGCCCAGAAACAAACCTTCGTGTATATGGTCCAATAATTTTTGAGAAGGGTACCAAGATCATTCAATGGAAAAAGGACAGTCTTTTCAAGAAATGGTGCTGTGAAAACTAGATGAATGAATTTGTATCCCTACCTCACACACCATATATAAAAACTAACTCGAAATGGATTAAAGATCTAAATGTAAAATCCAAACCATAAAACTCTTAGAAGAAAACACGGAGGTAATCATTCATGACCTTGGATTTGGCAATGAAGTCTTAGATATGACACCAAAAGTACAAGCAACAAAAGAAAAAAAAATATGTAATGTGGAATTCATGAAAATCCAAACTTTTACAGATCAAAAAACATTATCAAAAAAGTGAAAAGGTCACCTATAAAATGGAAGAAAATATTTACAAATTAAATGCATGACAAGGGACTTTATCCAGAACACATAAGAAAACCTCTTACAACTCAATAATAAAAATACAAATAACCCAATTTAAAAACTCAAGAGATTTGAATAGACATTAAGAAGATATACAAATGGCTAATAAGCACATGAAAAATGCTCAACATAATTAGTGATTAGGGAAACAAAAATAAAAACCACAATGAAATACTACTTCACACCCACTAGTATGGCTATTATATATATGTATATGTATATGTATATGTATATGTATATGTATATGTATATGTATACATTTAGCTTTTCTTTTTCTCCTTAAAAAGAGAAAAAGGCTGGGCACAGTGGCTCACATCTGTAATTCCAGCACTTTGGGAGCCCGAGGCAGGCGGATCACCTGAGGTCAAGGAGTTCATGACAAGCCTGGCCAACATGGTGAAACCCCATCTCTACTAAAAATACAAAAAAAAATTAGCTTGGCATGGTGGTGTGCGCCTGCAGTCCCAGCTACTCAGGAGGCTGAGGCACGAGAATCGCTTGAACCCAGGAAGTGGAGGTTGCAGTGAGCTGAGATCGTGCCACTATACTCCCGCCTAGTGGACAGAGTGAGACTCTGTCTCAAAAAAAATAATAGTAATAATACAAGTGTTGGAAAGAATGTGGAGAAATTGGAATGCTTGTACATTGCCAGTGGAAATGTAAAATGGTGCAGCCACTGTAAAAAACAGTTTGGTGGTTCTTCTAAAAGTTAAACATAGAGTTATCATATGTCCCAGCAATTCCATGCCTAGGGATATACCAAAGAGAATTTAAAAACATATGTTCACACAAAAACTTGCACTCAAATGTTCATAACACTCAAATGTTCATAGCAGTATTAGTCTTAATAAGCAAAAAGTGGAAGCAAGCCAATGTCTAGCTACTAATGAATGATTAAACAAAATATAGTATGTATATCCATACAAGGGGATATTGTTTGGCAATAAAGAAGAATGAAATGCTTATACATGATACAATATGGATGAACTTTGGAAACATTATGCTAAGTGAAAGAAGCCAAACACAAAAGGTCACATACCATATGATCCCATTTCTATGAAATGTCCAGAATAGGCGAATTCATAAAGACAAAAAGTAGATTGGTGGTTGTCAGGGACTGGGAAAATGGAAAACTGAATCATACATGTTTAAATGGTGAATTTAATGGTATGTGAACTATATAGCAATAAAAAGTAAATTAAAAAAACAACAGAATTGGGCTGGGCATGGTGGCTCACACCTGTAATCCCAGCCTATTGAGAGGCTGAGGTGGGCGGATCACCTGAGGTCAGGAGTTCAAGACCAGCCTGGCCAACGTGGTGAAACACCATCTCTACAAAAAATACAAAAATTAGCTGGGCGTGGCAGCATGCATCTGTAGTCCCAGCTACTTGGGCTCAGGAGGCTGAGGCACAAGAATCACTTGAACCAGGGAGGCAGAGGTTGCAGTGAGCCAAGATTGTGCCACTGCACACTCCAGCCTGGGTGACAGAGTAAGACTCTGTGTGAAAAAAAAAAAGAATAATAGAATTGGGCAAATGATATCAACAGGAAATTCACAGAAGAAATATGAACAGGTTTGCAATTTCAATGAGATGTAATTTTTTTCAGCCTCTCAGATTATCAAAAGTGTTAAAAATAGATAATAAAGATTGTTAACCCAACCGAAAGAAATAGAGCAATATAGGTGCTGTCATACACTGCTGAAATAGGCGTGCATTGGTATAACCTCTTGGAGGGCAATATAATGATATTTATTAATGTTTCAAATATGCACACTTAATAGCTTAAAATTTCCTTATGTGAAGATTTGAAATGTGTTCAAAAATATATGTGGAAGTCCTATCCTCCCACCAGGACCTGTGAATGGGACCTTACCTGGAAACAGTGTCTTTGCATATGTTATCAAGTTTAGATGAGGTCATGCTGGATTAGGGTGAATCCTAAATCCAATGACTGCTGTCCTTATAAGTAGAGGAAGATTTGGATATACACAGATTTACACACAAAGAAGGCCATATGAAGATGGAGGCAAAGATTGGAGTGATGCAGCTACACACCATAAATGCAAGGATTGCTAGGAGCCACAAGAGCTAGGAAAAGGCAAGGAAAGATTCTTTTCTAGAGCCTTCAAAAGGGGCACAGCCTTGTCAACATCTTGATTTAGGACTTCTAGCCTCAGGAACTGGGAGATAATAAATTTCTGTTGTCTTAAGTCATCAAGTTTTGGTAATTTAAGATAGATTCTTAGTAGGATTAAAACATCCTACTAAGAATCTATCTTGCAGAAATGCTTGTGGAAGTGGACAAAGATATTTACAATGTACTAGTGGGCTCATTGCAGCAACCTTTATAATTTATAATTTCAAAAAACTAGATATAACCTAAATGTTCATCAATAGGTAACTGGCCAAATAAGTTATAGTACATTCTATTGTATATGGACCTTTATTCAGCTACTAAAAATGAGTTCTCATACTAACAAGGAAGGACATCTGTGATATATTTCTAAATGAAAAGAGCAAGTAGCAGACAAACACATGAATGTGTCTTAGTCCATTCTGGTTGCTATAACAAAATGCCATAGACTGAGTGGCTTATAAAAAACAGAAATTTGTTTCTCACCTATGAG
The DNA here is from genome assembly GCF_000001405.40 of Homo sapiens. Lineage (NCBI taxonomy): Eukaryota > Metazoa > Chordata > Mammalia > Primates > Hominidae > Homo > Homo sapiens. The sequence continues at coordinate 100,567,834 of NC_000023.11, forward strand.
AAACACACATTCACCTGTCCAAACCCAAAAAATGGACTCAGAGACATGTAGAACAGTGGAAGTGAGACTTTTAATGGTGGTCTTGCAAGATCGGATATCTGGTAGGCAGGCACACTGGGGGCAGTTACAGCAGGTAATTTATCTCCTAGCATGCAAGCCCCTCCCCCAGATCCTCATTGGTCAAGTACTATGGGGTTACAATCTTCCCTGACATCCCCTAAGTTTCATTACCCCCTTATAAGGTTATACTCCATCCCCTTCCCCACTTTAGTTTCAATTTCCCAATAACGAAAATTTCTTCCCTTTTATGGGCTGACCCCTCTTCTACATTCTGTTCACTTATCGTGACCTTCTAGGTGCATGAGCCGTACAGTTTGTTACATTCACAGGCTGACTGCCAGTACTTAGATTTATTATGCCTTGAAAATGGACCATTTAAAATTCCCTCCTCTTTTCTATTTACTTCGTTTGGTCTCATTTTCATCTAAACCCTTTTTGTTTTTGAATCACTTTAGAAGTTGTTTACTTTCTTCGTCATAGGAAAGTGAGTTTAATTTGGTTTCTAATAGTAGCAGGTTATTTTGCTGGTAAGTTACGGGCATTTGTTTATTAATAGCTGTTTTAATTAATTTCTGTGCTAGTCCCCTCATACGAGGGGTAATATAACATCCCACTGCTGTTAAGACTCCTGCCACAATTATGAGAGATGCAAGGATTGAGGCTACCATGCCTTTTAATTTTTTAAACCAACCTTCTAGCCAACCCATAAATGAGTCATTAATTCCAGCATTTTCTGTCAGTTCGTTGGCTAGAGTTGTCAGCCCATGTAAAGCTTTTGGGGCAGTATTTTTGGGAAAGTGCAACATTTCCCACCTAGCATAACACATACGCTGCCTTTTTCTGCTAGTATTATGTTCAGCGCAAGTCTGTTTTCCCAGGCCATTTGGCTGGTGGCATTTAACTGTTTAGCCACCCCTTTGAGGGCATCCCAAGTATAACTGATGAATCTCTGTTGATTATAATAGATGCAGTTAATCTAATTCACGTTTTTATTAATAGCTGACCACCAGAAGAGTGCTGACTCAAACCCAGCAGCTATTTGGTTTCAGGCCTTAAATTCATTAGGCACCCCCCCCCCCCCAACAGGGACTCCTATTGAGTTAACATATATATTGGGATTAAAAGAATTTGTCAAATCCCTCCAATTTTGGTGGCCATATGTATTTTCGAGTGTCTTATGGAATGCCAGGATGAAGGGAATGGCCAATTGGACTAAAGCACAAGTCCCGGTCCAATTGGATGGTAACAAGTTATGGCGGTTCCTTTTCCCACAATACTACCAGACATTAGCCCGGAGTATATGGAGAGCTGAGTAATTGCCACTGCCTGACTCACCAGTGACATTTAGGATGTGGGTACAAGTCGAGAGTACTCTTACGGGCTTATTGAACTCTGCCCCCTGCCTAGAGAGGCAAGAGGAGTGGTTCATATTCCCTATAGAGAACGAGGGGATTGCTTGCGGGAAAGAGCAATGACAGACTCTTACAAGTCTCATTTCCCCATGTATTTTTGTCTTGGTATAGAGCCAACATGCAATGCATTCCTGCAGGTTTGGTATCCTATCCTAGGGGAAAAAGAACCACCTGTGCCTGAGGTCATCCCACAGCACATGTGTAGCAGTTACACTTGTTGAGGGCTTGTACTGAAAATTTGACCCATTTGACCCAGGCATTTACATTCTTGTACCCTGTCTCAATTTCTAAGGTTTGCCTTAAATGCTTTACCTCAATTATTTTTACTCTTTTAGGGTTATTATTTGGTGGACTAAAGTTTTTATTAGGGTTTGGGGTTGGAGTAGTCCTAGGCAAATGGCAGGTTGGGTTCTTGGTTAGTTTGAGAACAAATCACCCAAGGGGGTCCTTCTCTGTGATGTTTGCCCCTAACACATATACCCAAGATGCTACTTTTGGTTTTTGATTTAGAACAGCTGGATTTGTTAATGGTGATGAGTACAGGATTGCATTTTAAATTCTGGCAGTTATTTGGCGGGGAGCCCTTGGACAGATGTAGTTTATTCTTTAAGGGTCTTCAGCTTGGAGTTACCCACCCCCTGTTTACTGTCCAACCCTGAAATTGGGTAGTCCACCATACATCATCCCAGTTGGGGCAGAGTAATGCCCTACTGTAACCTGTATCTGGTTTAGGGCAAAGATATTTATCCACCTGTGAGAGCTGTCTTTGATTTTCCAAATTTCCACAAGGTAAGACCTGGCAGGCATTAAATTTTATGGTTTGGGATGCTACCATCTCGGTTACATTAATTACTACCTGATGGGTAGGGAGGAGTACCCTGCCAGTTTCCATTTTGACCTTCTGCTCTTTGTATAGTAGCCCATCCTAACCATATTAACTTCCAAAAATGAGGCCAGCCCATGTTTTTTTTGTTTTTTTGTTTTTTTAGATTTTTCTCAGAGTTAACTTTAAGGGTTTCTCAGGTGACCCGTGCACTTTCCACTGGTCTTTTTTCTTCCCTTCTGGGGTCTCTTTTACTAGTCCCTTGACTGGAATATAGTGAGTCCACCCCCATTCTGCTGTTCACACGGCTGTCTTAGTGATCAGAAGCACTTGATAGGGACCTTCCCGGCTTGGGTGGAGCTTGCCTTCTTTTCAAGTTTTAATTTGCACCAAGTCACCAGGCCAGAAGTGGTGAACTGTGAACTCAACAGGCAGAGTTTGAGTCAGGAGTTCTTTTAACCTAAGGGGTGACAGGGTGGAGGATATGGCCAGTATATAATTTCTTAAGAAATAATCCTTGGTTTGGCGGGGTGCGGTGGCTCACGCCTGCAATCCCAGCACTTTGGGAGGCCGAGGCGGGCGGATCACGAGGTCAGGAGATTGAGACCATCCTGGCTAACATGGTAAAACCCCGTCTCTACTAAAAATACAAAAACAAAATTAGCCAGATGTGGTGGCAGATGCCTGTAGTTCCAACTACTCGGGAGGCTGAGGCAGGAGAATGGTGTGAACCCAGGAGGTGGAGCTTGCAGTGAGCCAAGATCACACCACTGCACTCCAGCCTGGGTGACAGAGTGAGACTCTGTCTCAAAAAATAATAATAATAAAAAATAAAAATAAAAAATAATAATAATCCTTGATTTCCATAGTAGGGAGATCTGTAGCTCTGCCCAAATATGGGAGCCCATATAATAACTCGTAGGGGGACAATCCCAAGTCTTTTCTTGGGGCTGTCCTAATCCTAAGGAATGCTACTGGGAGACATTTGGTCCAAGGCATTTTAGTTTCTAAGATTAATTTGGTGATATGCTTTTTGAGAGTTTGATTTATTCTTTCTACCTTTCCAGAAGAAGGGGGATGCCAAGGGGTATGATAATTCCATTTAATTTGTAAACCTTCCGTAATTCCCCTTAACACCCTTGAGGTAAAGTGGCTCCCATTATTTAAATTAATATTTTTTACCAGGTTAAATCTAGCTACAATCTGTTTTAATATTATTTTGACTACATTCCCAGGGGTGACTGTTGGAAGGGAAAGGCCTTCACCCAGCCGGAAAGGTGATCTATGATCACCAATAAATATTTCAGTCTTTTTACTTTGGGCATTTCTGTGAAATCTACTTGAATGCTTTGAAATGGTCTTAGTCCAGGAGGTCTTCCTTCCATGGCCTGTTTTCTAATCACCTTTTTGATTATTCTTTGACAAGTTACATAACTTCCACATACTTGTTTAGTGAGGGTATAAATCTTTATACACCCATAATTCCTAAGTATTGCATTACACAGAGCCTGGGGCCCCCAATGACTCCCTTTGTGTAATATAGACATTAGTTATCTCATCAAGAGTTTACTTATTATTTCTCTTCCATCAAGAAGCACCTATTTCCCATCTTTAGTTTGAGTGACCTTTATCTTGTCTAATTCTTCCTTCTCTTCTCTGGTAAACTGGGGCCTTAATACTACCTTAGGGATGTCTGGGATCAGGCTAAATCGTTTAATTTCTTTCTCTAGGGAGGCTTGCTTAGCAGCTTTATCTGCAAGCCTGTTTCCTACAGCTTCTATAGTGCTCCCCTTCTGATGACCATTTACATGAACTATGGCTAGCTCTGCTGGAAGGAGGAGGCTTTCTAAAACCTGTTTGACCAGTTCCCCATGTACCAATTATTTTCCCCTGCTATTTATTAGGCCCCACTCTGTCCAGATTTTTCTAAAAGTACGTACCACTCCATAGGCATATTTAGAATTAGTATAGATATAGTGCCTTCTTGGCCTTTAGGAGCTTTAGGGCCTGGTTAAGAGCATATAATTTACAGGTTTGGGCCAACCAGCCATTAGGTAGTCTACTTTTCTTACATAAGGAGTGTTTATTTCCATTAATGACAGCATAACAATTATGTCTTTTGCCATTTATCACTCGGGATGACCCCTTTACAAATAGCCTTATCCCATCATGTAGTGGAGCTTCCCTAAGGACCGATTTAACTTTGGTTTGGTATTTTATGATATTTAAGCAGTTATGATCTGATGTTTCTTTTTTCTCCTCTTTTTTCCATAGGAAATTGGGTGGATTCAGGCAAGTATTTATTGTTATGACCAAATTATTTTTTTCTAGTAATATGGCTTCATATTTTAGAATTTGAGAATCTGTTAACCATTTACTGGCTTTTTGATTTAATATATTCCTGACCTGGTGTGGAGTGCTTACTATTAGGGCCCCACCAAAGGTTAGCTTTCAACTCTCTTCTCTTTTTTTTTTTATTATACTTTAAGTTCTGGGTTACATGTGCAGAATATGCAGTTTTGTTACGTAGGTATACACGTACCATGGTGGTTTGCTGCACCCATCAACCAGTCACCTACATTAGGTATTTCTCCTAATGTTATCCCTCCCCTAGCCCCCCACCCCCAAACAGGCCCCAGTGTGTGATGTTACCCTCCCTGTGTCCATGTATTCTCATTGTTCAACTCCCACTTATGAGTGAGAACATGTGGTGCTTGGCTCTCTTCTACCAGCAGGGCTGTGGCAGCTACTGCTTGCACACATTCTGGCCACCCCAAGAGACAGGATTGAGAAGCTTGGAGAAAAAAGCAACAGGTTGCCTCTTCCCTCCCCAGGTTTGAGTGAGCACCCCAAGGGCCATGCCCTGGTCTACTGTTACAAACAGATGGAATGGTTTCTCTAAAGATGAGAGGGCCAGGATGGGGACTGTAATGAAGGCCTGCTTTAGCTCTTTCACTGCCTGAATTTCCTTTGGGGACAATTGCAAAGGATTGGGTTCTTCTAATAACTTGAGATACAGAATCTTTGTCTTTTGAGCATATGAGTTAATCCATAACCTAACCTACAGTAGCCAGTTAAACCTAAACATTTTTGGAGTTCTCTCTTTGTTTTAGGCAAAGGTAGACCCACTATTCCTGATATTTTCTCTGGCTTTATTCTTTGCTTCCCTTCACTAATCAGGTGTCCTAAATATTTAACTCCTTTTCCTAGAAACTTCAATTTGTTCTTAGAGACTCACAATCCCTTTTCTCCTAGAAAATTAAAGCAAGCTTATGGTGGTTTCTGATATCACCCCAGAAATTAAAAGATCATCTACATATTACAACAACTAGTTTCCCCTGGAAGGTTGGAATTCCTCCATGACTTTTTCTAAGATTTGACCAAATAAGTTTGGGGCTTCCATGAAACCTTGTGGCAGCACAGTCCAGCGGTACTGTTGTTTCTCCCAGTTATAGGATTTTCCCATTTAAAGGCAAAGAGGTCCCTACTCATAAAGTCTAGGGGACACACCCAGAATGCATCTTTTAGATCCACCACACTGAATCACTTATGTTCATAGAGTATCTTTCTAAGGAGGGTGTAGGGGTTAGGCACTACAGGGTGGCAAGTCTGGACAATCTGATTTATAGCTCTTAGATCTTGCACCAATTTATATGATCCATCAGGCTTTTTGACTGGGAGAATTGGAGTATTGTATGGTGACATGCAGGGTTTTAATAGTTCATCTTTAATTAATCCCTCTATTACCGGTTGGAGACCTTTTCTCCCTTTAATAGAAATGGGATATTGTTTTCTGCAAACTACTTCCCCTGGTTGTTTTAGTTCAATCTCTAAGGGTGTGATTTTTAGTCCTCCCCTGTGCCTTCCCTAACCCACAAAAGAGGATTAATTTTTCTCTCCTCCTCCTCTGTTAGGAGGCCCATTATTACTTTTATTTTTCCTTCCTTTATTTCTAATCCTAAGCCCAATCTCACAATCAGGTCTTGACCCAGGGAGTTAGTTCCTGCTTCAGGAAGATATAAGAGTGACCCCTCAATTTCTTCTGGTCCTAATCTAATTAACATTTTCTTGAATATTGGAACCTGAAATCCCTCCGCTTTTACCCCTAATGCTGTTGATTTTTCTGTAGAGAGTTCTGTACCCCTTGTTTGGTGAATTAGGCAGGAGCGAGCCACCCCAGTATCAACCAAAAATGTTGCTGCTTCTCCTTTGGGTCCCAACTTCAAGATCAACAGTCATGAGGGGGATCACCTTTTCTGCTTTTTTCCATTCAGGACATTTTCTCTTAAAATGCCTAGCTTTTCACACTTGTAACATCCACTCATAGCCTTAGGAGTTTTTCCCTGCATTTCTCTTCTTTCTCCGTGTCGAAATTTGTCACTCTCTTGTCTCCTTTGAGGAGGATTTTGATCTAACCTTTTTTTGACTACATCTTCCACAGTGGAAACCATGATTTTCGTTTTTTGTTTCTGTTTCTCTTCCTCTCTCCTTACAAAGACCTTCTGAGCTTCCCTCAGTAATTCTTCAATCATTTCTTATTCCATCCTTTAATCTTTTGTAGTTTTTTTTGGTAATGTTAGGCCAGCTCTTCTTACAAAGTTAACTTTCAAAAGGCCTTGCCCTACTGGGTCCTCTGAATCTAATCTGGAGTATTTGTTCATCTGATCTCTGAGCCTCTGCAGGAATGCAGAGGGAGTTTCCTCTTTTTCTTGTTGAATCTTGAGTGCCTTTGAGACAGTTTGTATCTTAGAAGTGGACTCCTTGATTCCTTTAATTATTAGTTCCTTGAAGTCTTGCATTTGGGCCTGGTCCCTGGGACATTATTATCCCATTTGGGATCAACATTCGGAAATGTTTGTTTGGCTGGCAAGACTTCTTGCCCGGGAGGGTGTTGCCTCTCCCAGATGGTCATGGCCACTCTCCTAATCATTCCCCTTTCTTCTCCTGTGGACAGGATATTTATGATAGACATCAATTCAGCCCAGGTATAAAAGCTGGGTCCCAGGCCAGGCACAGTGTTTCACACCTATAATCCCAGCACTTTGGGAGGCCAAGGTGAGTGGATCACTTGAGGTCAGGAGTTCAAGACCAGCCTGGCCAACATGGTGAAACCCCACCCTTACTAAAAATACAAAACAAAAATATTAGCCAGGCATGGTAGCAGGCACCTGTAGTCCCAGCTACTCAGGAGGCTGAGGTAGTAGAATCGCTTGAACCCAGGAGGCGAAGGTTGCAGTGAGCTGAGATTACACCACTGCCCTCTAGCCTGGGCGATGGATCAAGACTCAGTCTCAAAAAAAAAGGGAAGAAAGAACCTAGGAATTGGTCCAGCTGGTCCCTGTCCCATGGGAACTTCCCTAAGAAGGAACATGCTAGATGCCCACTATGTGGAAGGGATAGGGAAGTTCTCAGTATCCCTCTTACACTGTTCTAATTCTTTTTTCTTTTCTTTTTTTTTTTTTTTCATTTGGATAAGGATTTAAAGGAGCAGTTGGTTCAGCTCCTCCTTGGTCTGCAGGTTTTTCTTCCTTTAACCCTCCTGCTGCCCATTGATCTTTCTGTCCCTTATTTTGTGAGACACGTGGAGGGGGCAAGCATAATAGGGGGTCCCAGGGCTTTTCACTGGGCAAAGACTTTTTTTTTTGAGACGGAGTCTCGCACTGTCTCCCAGGCTGGAGTGCAGGGGCACAATCTCGGCTCACTGCAAGCTCCGCCTCCCAGGTTCACGCCATTCTCCTGCCTCAGCCTCCCAAGTAGCTGGGACTAGAGGCACCCGCTGCCACACCCGGCTAATTTTTTGTATTTTTAGTGGAGACGGCAGGGCAAGGGCTTTTCACTAGGCTCTTTTTCTTCTTTGAGGGGAAACATGGGGGCTAATTCCTTGATCCAGCAGAGTGTAACCTATCTTTTCTTGTGATTATGGGGTTTTATCATTTACATAGAGAATTAAAGCTTGGCACACTCAGTCATCATCTGAGCCAAACTTAGGCCAAAAGACGGAAGGCTTATGAATGGGGTCTTTGGGCCAGATAAAACAGCAATATATTATTATCTTTTGCTTTTCCTTGTCCCCAGTTTGAGGGTCATCCCTCCAAATCTGCAGCATTCTCCCAAAGGACTATCCGGGGAAATGTCAGAGGGAATCTCTTTGGCTCCCTCTTTTCTTTGTCCCCTAGGCCTAGAATTTCTGTTTCCCATTTTTGGTCAGTCTCTGTATCTGAGCTTTTCTCTGTGTACTCGGCCCCCACACTGGAGGTTTCTTGCACACCCAGAGAATCGCTTTGTCCATCTCCAACCATCTCCCTCACAGGAGAACAGAACCACGGATTGGGACTCCACACTCGCTTTGTATCCAGGATACGTCTCAGTCACACACACTCAACCTCCGAAAATGCCCAACCACCAAGGCGGTACTTATAGTCCAATTTTCCTACCTTGACTTGTGCATGAGGTTGCCTGGTTGCCACAGTGCCTGCTTTATTCCCTGTGTCGCCTACGCTGCCTCCTGAATAACAGTCTTAGGTTTGTCTCTGGCCTCTGTGGGGAGCCAGGATGCCTGGACAGAGCAGGCCACCTAAATCAGGTGGGACGTGTCTCCCCTATTGGCTGGGGTCCCACTCCACACAGGCACAGAGATCCCAGACGGGCCCCCATGTTTGTGAGAAACACACATTCACCCATCCAAGCCCAAAGAATGGACTCAGAGATATGAAGAACAGTGGAAGTGAGACTTTTAATGGCAGTCTTGCAAGATCAGGTGTCTGGTAGGCAGGCACACCCAGGGCAGTTACAGCAGGTAATTCATCTCCTAGCATGCAAGTCCTTCCCCCAGTTCCTCATTGGTCGAGTACTATGGGGTTACAATCTTCCTGGATATTGTCCAAGTTTCATTATCCCCCTTACAACATTATACCCCGGTCCCCTTCCCTGCTTAAGTTTCAATTTCCCAATAACAAAACTTTCTTCCCTTTTATGGGCTGACCCCTCCTCTACATTCTGTTCACTTATCATGACCTTCTAGGTGCATGAGCCATACAGTTTGTCACATTCACAGGCTGGCTGTCAGTACTTACATTTATTGTGCCTTGAAAATTGACCATTTAAAATGTTTTCTCACATCACCCTATTGGAGGCTGGGACCTAGAGCAAGAAACTGGCAGATTCGGTTTCTGGTAAGGACTCAATTCCTGATTTATAGACGGTGCCTTCTCATTGTGTCCCTACATGGTGGAAGGGAGTCACGGGGTCTCTCTAGGATCTTTTTTTTTTTTTAATAAGGGTACTGATCCTATTCATAAGGGCACCACACTTATGACCAAATCACCTCCCAAGGTGCCACCTCCTAATGCCATCACTTTGGGAGTGTAAATTTGGGGAGGAAATAAACATTCAGACCATAGTAGAATGTTTTTGTAAAATAATATATTTATAAAAACCAGTTACTAAAGAAAACTACACACACACACATACACACACACGTGTGTGTATTTTCATAAGAATAGTAAAGGATATGAAATAAAACTCATTAAACTGTTAATAGTGGTTTATATTGGAAACTTGGAGGGGTGGGGAACAATGCTGATTTTTTTTACTTCCTACTTTTGACAGATTATTTACCAGTGAAGGTATACTTCTTTAGTAATGGAAAAAATTTAAATAATCCTACCAAACTAAAATCCTTCCAGTTGCTCAAACATTTCATTCTCCTTCACATTTCAAGGTTTTGTTCATGATTTTCTCAAAACTGGAACACTGTCTCTCTGACACCTTCACCTGGCTACTCATCTTGTAAGTCTTGGTTTCTTTATTACTTTCTTTCAGAAGCCTTCCCTGAGTACCCTTCTTCTCCCTATAACCTTGCAACTGAGTTAGGTGCCCTCCTCTGTGTCCCCTAGCACTCTGTATTGCCCTAAGATAACACTTACCTCACACTAGGTTGTGATTGTTGGTTCACATGTCTTCCCCCCTACACTGTCTTATGCACTGCAGTATTCCCAGTCAGTATTCAATATGTATTGAATTTATTAATTGATTTATAGACACAACATTACTGAAAATCCTATTCCTTTTATTCCAAAGGGGAAAAAATGGAGAAATATGGAAGACAGTAAAGAAGGGAGAAAAGAAAGATAATTCAGAGATTTTATTAGGCCCAAATGAAAAGCTAGATGGAGAGGCAGAAGGAAGAAACAAGGCAACCTGGAGAAGAAGAAAGTAATCTGAGTAACACAGTCTGTCATATCTTCATCTATCTCATGCGATCAATATTCCACTCATACTAGACTACTCACTCTGCTACCCCAAATACATACTTATACACCTGTATGACTTTGCTCATGTTATTCTTGCAGCCTAGAATGCTCTTTCACGTTTTCCTCCACCCAACTCCTACTTTTCACAGGATTTTGACCATGCAGAAGCTTTTGACAACAGTTCACCACTGCCTTCTTTGTCAAACGAACTCCATTTCCCTGGCCAGCTGGCCAGCTCCTCTTTTTCTGTCACCTGACTTCTAATGCTAGAATTTCTGCAATACAATACAGCCAACCAAAGGATGAATGGGAAAGGCATGGTTAAAGGACCAGTGTAGCCCATGATGCCAAAAGACAGTGAAGCAATATCAACCAAGTCCTGAGGGAACAAAAGTGTGACCCAACAATTTTATATCCTGTCATTTTGCCCTTCAACAGACAGATATCTTCAAGCATGCAAAAGGTCAAGAAATACAACACATGTGAGTGCTTCTTTTTAAAAATACTAGCAGATGATAAAATCTAGACAATCAAAATATGTACCAAAAAAAGAACTCAGGAATAAAGAAGCTTTGAGAGAAGGACTAGTGGTAAGTATTGAATTAAGTTGGACACAAGAGCAAACAACTTAGAGAATTTCAAGTGGAGAACAGAATGTAAGTGTTATAAACTGTGAGAAGGCACAAATAATAATATAGCTAACAGAAATCAGGAGATGAGAGGGGAAGTGCAGGGGTTACATTTCCTCATATTTATTATGACAGTTTACTATGTGCCACGCACTGTGCCAAGTATTTTACAAGTGTTAACTCATTCGTTCCTCACAACAATCCATGCAGTAGGTACTTTTTTTCTTAAGTAGGTACATTTTAATTCCTTTCCAGAGAGCAAATTGAGGCACGTAGAGATTAAATAATTTCCCCACCTTCACATAGCTAGTAAGTGGCAGAACTGACTTGAACTCAGGCAGGCTATCTCCAGAGCACATGTCCATAAACATAGAAATCAGTCAACACTATCAAAAATTGAGACCCGGAGATAAAAATATGAAGACTTCAGCCTCTTTATATTTTTTAAATCTTTGATCTTAACTTTAAAATAGTCTTTCAGAAACTACTATTCCTTGAGGGGGAAGAAGTTTACCAATTCCTTGACTCACACTTTGATTTAATTTTCTTTGTTCAATTCAGTGATTCTTAAAACATAAATAATGTGTTAAAATTTGCCTATCCATTTGTTAATCCTATATAATAAAAGTGATTTCCAGAATAATGCTCATTAATCTTAAAACAGCTACTGGTTATTAGGTGTTCACTATCAAAGTAAGCACTTTATTTATTTATTTATTTTTATTTTATTTATTTATGTATTTATTTTTTATTTTGAGACAGAGTCTCACTTTGTCACCCAGGTTGGAGTCCACTGGCGTGATCACGGCCCACTGAAGCTTCAACCTCCTGGGCTCAAGTGATTCTCCCAACTCAGCCTCCCAAGCAGCTGGAACCACAGGCACATGCCACCATGCCTGGCTAATTTTAAAAGTTTGTAGAGACAGAGGTCCCCCTGTGTTACGCGGGCTGGTCTCGAACTCCTAGGTTCGAGCAATCCTCCCACCTCAGCCTTCCAAAGTGTTGGGATTACGGGCATAAGACTCCATGCCAGGCAAAATAAGCACTTTAAATGGATTACCTCATTAAGTTATCACAACAACCTATAGGTACTGTTTGTATCCTCCTGTTTTTCAGATAAGAAAATTGAGGCACAATAATGGCTATTCTTGGTTGGTGCAGATTTGAAGGGATTTTTTCTCTTTTTTGTATTTTTATATTTCTCCATTATTTTTATAATGAGTGTGTATCTTTTTTATAAAATGAAAGCCATTGTGAAAGCATGTCTCAAAATAAATAACTGTGAAGATTCCCTGGGGCTCAGTCTTGAGCTCTTTTCTCCTTTTGTCCTGAACTCTCTTCCTAGACCATATCATAGACTCCCATAGGTTTGAATGCCATCCAAAGGCAAATGGCCCCCATATCTATATTTCCATTCAAGCACCTGTTTTCCAAGCTCCAGACACATTTGCCCAGCTGCCAACTAGACAACTCCTGTTGGATACTTCATAGACTGTTCAAGTTTAACATGTCCAAAACTATGCTCATCACTTACCCCAGACTGGTCCTCCTCAGTGCTTCCTAATCCCAGTGAATGGTGCCACTGTCCACCCAAAGGCACAAACCAGAATCTATGTTATTTTTTGTTCTTCCCTTTCTCTCATTCTCTATATATTCAATCTATCACCAAGTATATGCTTTACCTAAAATATGTCCCAGATCTGTTTACTTATTTCCATCTCTGCTACCACTTCCTAGTCCAAGCCACTATAATCTCTTTCAGTTACCTCCTAACTGGTCAACCTTTTAAAACTCTTGCCCCCTTACAATTCATTCTTCTCACAGCAGCCAGAGAGATTTTAATAAACATAAAAGGAATTCTACTTAGAACTTTTCAATTAATTCCCATTGTTTGTAGAATAACTTCAGTTGAGTACACGGGCACATGCCTGTAATGCCAGCAACTTGATAGGCTGAAGTAGGAGGATCACTTGAGTCTGGGCCAAGTCCAGCCTGGGCAAAATAGCAAGACCCTATTTCTAATTTTAAATAAATAAACTTCAAACATTTACCATGACCTTTGTGGCAGAAATTATAAGTTGCCTACTCAATATGTTTCCCCCTTCTATATATACATAAAAAGATATTATTAAGAGTGGTAACAGGCTCAGTTGAAAATAAAACCTCCCCAGACCCCACTATAAGTAGGAGTGGTCATCCAACCCAGTTCTGGCCAATAAGATAAGCAAAAATCTACAGGACAGGGCTTCCAGGAACACTATTACTTTCTTAATGGAAAGGGACAAATTTAGCTGCCACATGTTCTTTTGCCCTTTGCTATCCCCCCTTTATCCTGCCTAGAGGTGGAGCAGCCATCTTGGAAGCATGATGATGGAGGCCATGCTCAAAAGATCACAGAACAGAAAGATGGAAGCTTGGGTCCTTGTACTTGAACTAGCCCTGGACTGCTGACTTTGTGACTCCCATTATGTGAGAAAAATAAACCCTTCATTTGGTTAAACTGCCATAACTTGGTTTCTATTACATACAGCAAAAAACAGTCCTAGCAGATGCAACTCTGAATATGTCTCCTGCCTACCTCTTCAGCCTTATCTCAAGTAACTCTCCTCCTCATTCACTACATCACAGCTACACTGACTTTCCTTTTATTCTCTAAATAATTCAACCCCTTTTTTGCTTCAGGATATTTCCATGTGCTGTTCCTTTGGCCTGGAATAATCTTTTCCCCACTCATTACCAGCTAACTTCTACTCATTATTCAGGTCTTAGCTTAAGTGACAACTCCTCAGCATGGATTTCCCTCACCCATCCCACCCAATCCAAATTAGGTGCTTTAAAGCACCTGCACTTTTCCTTCTTAGCATATATCATCATTTATGTACTTTTATTTACAGGATTTTTTTCCTTTTAGTTTAATGTCTGTCTACCCAACAAGACTCTGAGCTCTATAAAGGAGGAACTGTGTTTGCTTGTCTACTACTGAATATATATCTAGCTCCTATAACAATGCCTGCCACATAGGGGACACTGAATAAATACATGCTAATCAATGAACAGTCTATTGAAATGCCATGTCCTTTGTGCCATTTTTCCTGCTTTTCTGAATCAGAATTAATCACTCTTCCCTCTATGTTTCCATGGAATATTGCTTTGACTCTTGGTTTAATTCAATCCTTTTAACAAGAAAGGCATGTTTTAAAAGATCTCAAAGTCTATTCAGGAGAGGAACACATAAAAAAGAATTATAATACAGCATACAAAGTATAACGGTTGAAGTATGAGCAAGATACAAAAGTAGAGCAAGGGAAAGGGTAATTAACTTAACGAAGTGGAAGAGATGAGACCAGGAAAGGCTTTCAGGGGGTGATAACATCTAGGCAGCATTTTGAAAGCCAAATGGGAATTTTCCAGGTAAACAAGGGAAGGCAGAAAACTCCAGGCAATGAATATAGCATGGGCAAATGTCCTACAGTGTGAAGAAGTAGGGCATGTTCATTAATAGGGTGTACAGTGTGAGGCAGGCATCAGAGGCATAGTGTGAATAACATCACTGAGGGGAACCATCTGACCCAATAAACATAAGTTTCTCCATGAGACTGCTCTTGTGGCTTTTCTTTTTTCTCTCTTTAAGCTTGACCAAAGAATTGTAGAACATATAGAATCGTGACATATTTCATAATTTATGTAATCAGTTTAATGCACAATCATGTATCCAACAATTAGAAAATTATTTTCCTTGAGACATTAGGATGTGGAGGTAGTCATATGTACATGCCCCATTTTCCTGCCCAGCTGCGACCTCCCAGTTGGCTCCATCGCTGTAGAAAAAAATTGTCCAAAATCAAGACTAGAGAGTTGGACAAAGTCGAGATCATTAAATGCCTACTATGTCACAATAAGTGGCTTGGATTTTATAGACAATGAATAGATACTAAAGGATTTTAAGCAAGGGAGAGATTATCCTCAAATTTGAGTCTTAGAAAGATCACCTTGAAGACAATGTATGAGAGACAAGGAAAACAGAATTCTATTGCAATAGTAAAAGTGACTGAGAACCTCAACTTAAACAGTGGTGATTGACAATGGAGAGAATAGGATTGCAGAGCTAATTCAGAGGCAGAATTAACTGGACTTAATAATTGATTAGCCATGGGGATGAACAAGACAGGAAGAAATCAAGGATCATCTGGAAGTTTCTATTCTAGAGACTGATTATTGTGTCATTTAGTGAGAGAGGTAATACCAAAAAAAAAGTGCATGTTTGAAAGGAGAGATAACTAATTCAGTTCGGGATATATGGAATTTGAGGTGTCTGTTGGGTATTGTAGATGTCTAGCAGGTTAGATGGACATATGGATGTGGAGCTCCAAGAGAACAGCCTGGGTAAAATATATGGATGTGAAAGTTCTCAAAAAGGATGACAAACTAAACTGGGGTGTTAGCAGTGAGCACAATAGGAAAGAACAGCTTTCAAAGATATAAAAATTTAGAATAGATAGGATCTAGTGATTGATTGGAATAGATAGGATCTAGTGATTGATTGGATAAAGGGAATGTGAAAAAGAGACAAAACCTCAGATTTTTGGTTTGAAAGACAAACCTCACATTTTTGGTTTGAAAGACAAACCTCAGATTTTGGTTTGAAAGACTGGGTGCGTGACAATTCCACTATTATAAGCTAAGTTATGTTCCCTCAAAATTCATATGTTGATGCCCTAGCCCCCAGTATTTCTATATTTGACTGTATTTGGTGATAGGGTTTTTAAAGAGGTAATTAAGGTTAAGTGAAGTCATATGAATGGGACCTTATCCAATATAACTGATGTTCTTATAATGAAAGGAGATTAGGATACAGGCATACATAGAGGGAGAATGTCATGTGAATATGGAGATGGTCATCTACAAGCCAAGGAGAGAGGACTCAGAAGAAGCCAACCCTGATAACACCTTGATCTTGGACTTCTAGCCTCCAGAGCAGTAAGAATATAAATTTCTGCCATTTAAGCTACTCAGTCTGTGGTATTTTGTTATGGCAGCCCTAGCAAACTAATATAGCCACCAACTAAGGTTGGGAATATGAGGGGAAAAAGTAGGTTAGGAGAAGGTGTTGAAAGAAGACTTTGATATAGAACATGTTGAGTTTGAGATTCCTGAGGTATATCCAGGTGGAGATGTTCAAATGGCCTTGAAATTAAAAGATATAACTGGGTTACAGGTACAGATGTGGAAATCACTGATATGTAGGTGATATTTTCAACTGTAGGAATGAATGATATCATCTACGAAGTCTGTGTAAAGTGAGAATGATCATCAAGAAGAGAACCATAAGGCATGTGAACATTAAAAAGCAGACTGAGGAAGAGGACCCAAGAAAGGAGAAAAATCAGAGACAGAAGATGAAGAGAGAGAGCTTAGAATTAGTCTTTATTTTATCCTGTTTTCATTATAATTAGTTAAGTACATATTGATAGCACCATTTAAAGAGCTTTAACTTAGTGAAGGAGGCAATATCTTATTCATTTCTGAATCTCAAACACCAAGCACAGTGCCTGACATTTAATATCCCTGCAATAAATATTTGTTGAACCAAATGGAATCGAAATTAGGACTTCATTCCCTTCTTTGTTTTGTTTGCTTATTTCTGGAGTGTGCAGCATGTATTGCCACTGATATTTTAAGTTCATAGTGAAAAATCATTTCAATGTGTTCTAGGCTTGGTCCCCTTCCAACCCAACCCCCAGGACAATAGTTTTCATTATAACCTTCTGTCTTTGCCATTCTGGATGGAATTCTGTGCACAGAAGTTATATACATATATGGGTATATCTATGTAACAAATCGCAGCACAGGAGTCCCCTGGGCTCCCTCAGGCTCTGGTATGACATATTTGAGCCATATAAATTCAGCTTCTCCTCTGGCATCTGTTAGCCGACTCACTTGCAACTCCACCTCAGCAGTGGTCTCTCAGTCCTCTCAAAGCAAGGAAAGAGTACTGTGTGCTGAGAGACCATGGCAAAGAATCCTCCAGAGAATTGTGAAGACTGTCACATTCTAAATGTAAGTTGATTCATATTTTTTCCCTTTTGAGCAGAAGCATGGTTTCACAGATTTATCATATTGCAAAGTGAACATTAGAAAGTGGAATCAAAGGTGACTTTGAATTATGGCTTGCTTATTGAGATTTATTGTGTATTGTTTTATTCTCTCTGTTCTTTGGTTAGGCAGAAGCTTTTAAATCCAAGAAAATATGTAAATCACTTAAGATTTGTGGACTGGTGTTTGGTATCCTGGCCCTAACTCTAATTGTCCTGTTTTGGGGGAGCAAGCACTTCTGGCCGGAGGTACCCAAAAAAGTAAGTAAATACACATCATAATCTGATGCTTCTGTTCTGAGTTTGATTGAATTTAATTAGTAGGCATATAAATTATTCTGAAAATGAAAATCATTAAGTCTCTTTTGTGTTTATTTTCTGGTGGTATGAAAAACTGAATCAAGATTTTTCTCTCCTTCATTTGCCTAATTATTTTGGTAAGGGAAAAAAATTTATCTTCTATATTTTGGTTAGTAATGATAGGGTGTAGAATTACCCATTCTTCTATAATGCTTATATTTAAGGAGTTAAGACTCCTCCTAGGAGCAAAGTTTTTACCTTAAGAAAAAATACTTTTAATCTTTCTTTCAATTATCTGGGCAGAAACTGATGGAAAAGTAATTAGACCACCACATAAGGAGAAACCACCCAAAGTGGCAGCAAAGGATTTTCAGGGATTATGTTTCTGACTTAATGCATCTGCAGTGAGAACAGGCAGCAAGCTGCTTTTCAGGAGGAGCAATTCTCATACCTGACTTCACATTTATTTATGACTTTAAAAAGAAACTAGAGCTTTTCAGCTCCTTGCCAGCTGCAATCATCACTGTCCCACTGAGATAGCAATGCCACAAGGTAGAAGCATGCGACACCAAGTCATTAATCACAGATAACTCAGAAAGCTTCTGATACTGGGGTCATTTGGTGAAGCTTGGCTAGCCACTGTAGTTTATATTTCTGTACCTTAGTGTTATTGTTATTCCTGGGCTCATAGGCAATGGGCAAGTTTAGATATAAAATAAATAAATAAAACCATAGTCCCAAATAAAACCATAGTCCCTTCATGCTCACAATTTCCATTTGAAAGATAATCAACAAATATACAAACTACAAGTTGTGAAGATAGTTTTCTGGCTTTGCCATGTTTTTCTGTTGGTGTGTGGATTGCTGCTGAAGTTATTGTTATTACTGTTGTTAATTGGTTGTCATAAGATGCTCATTTCTATTTGGTAACAGATGTAGGGAGAAAAAAGCACAAATCCAGGAAGGAGGATGATACAAGAAAATGGGTTGGCATGGACCGTTAGGAGCCAAAGGAGCAATAGGAGCAGAGAGAAAAAAATATGGGTCAGTGGGGAGAGAGAGGCAGAGCAGGAAAAGCAGAAAATAAGCTGGCTAAGTGTCTGAAAGATAACAGAGGTATAAAGCATAACCACCCTTGGGTTCTCCACCTCTGCTGTCATACCCACTTTCATTTAGTCCCAAAGGATATCTTATCAGGTTTAAGTAGGAGGGAGAGCAAGCCAGCCTACTTTGTTTGCCTTTTTATTTATACTTTGTTCCAGAAAAGATTTCAGGCATCACCCAATGCCTATAGTTAGCCCTATCCCCTACTCCTCCTCCCCTTACTGCTCCTTGCTTCTGAACTACTTACCGTTCAAATGTCCTTCTAGAGAAGCCACCTGTGTTCAGGCTGGCAGGGTGGGTAAAGCAATCGAGATCAGGAAGGAAACAGCAAATTAATAAGAGAGCCAAAATGCATTCCAATACAATTCTGGTACCACTTAGCTAATTCCCAAGGTGATATGTCACCCCACAAGTTGAACCTTGGATCCTCTTGAAAATTATCCATGAGTTAAAGGGCCATAAATCCTTTGTTCTCCACAGCCATAATGTACTTAACTGGGCATGGTGGATAGCTAGTCCTTTTGACCACCCTTAGATGCTTGCCTAAATAAGGGGCCAAATGGCCTTTCTTGTTTTATTGTTGTCATTGGTACTGCAAATGCTATTCCAAAAGAGTATATGTGTTTTTATAAATTTACAGTGCTATTTGCCTCAACGCAGCTATAAACGACTAGGTGGAGACCTTGCCTTTTTATTGCAAAGTGTCAAACTCACTTGCAGCTTCATGGTCTCCTCTCTTTCCCTATTATATCATCTTTACATCTCATTCTAGTTCTGTTTTTAATGATTATAAGGAGCAATCCTATGATACCTCAAACCAAAATAAAACTTGGTCAGTGCATGCACAGAAGAGGTGGGATATGCTGCTGAATAAAGTTTATCAAAAATCAAACCTCTTGTGAAGTAATCCATTTTGGGATGTCATTTTCAGCAAAGGGACTCTCAGAAATGAACAAAGCTATTATGAAGTAATCCAGATAAAGACAACAGGTGTCCCCTAGGGCAAGTTTCTCTACCATGAACAAATATTGTTGGTT